>NC_000008.11:110714222-111964222 GCF_000001405.40 Homo sapiens
GAGGCCTTCCAATCATGCTTCCTGTTAATCATAAAGTTAATATCAAATAACCAGTTTATTCTATTTATTATTTTACTTACATGTACAATGTCAGAGGCTATTTTCTTCTTTTTCTCTTAACACAGATACAAGTATTTTGGCATACACATCTTATAATTTTCCCATTTTAATATAACAAATTCCATCCCCAGGCAGGGCACAAATTTTTCTAGGAAAGAAAATTTAAATAATCTTATATTTCTTTTTTTGTATAAATTTAGAAAATAAATCCTGCGAATATACAAAGAAGTTCTAGAGACTGACTATTTTCCAAAGTTGTTTCTTTCTTTAACTCAGCTTTCAAATTGTGGTACACTATTTTTAAACATTTAACTGACCAGTTAATTTCAAAATTTGAGAAAAGTTTCAAAGTTTTTCCCTCATAAAGGTTTTATTGTACCTAGTGACAACAAAATGAACCAAATAGCAGTCTTTATTTCAGTCTCTTACCATGTTGGAAAATCTAGAGAGTAAAAATGTAATTGTTTGGTGGGAGATTAAATAATCAGTAGGTTGGTGATATCAGAGAACCTGAGTAATTAAGGCCAAAACCAAGATCATATAAGTTGAGAGAACAATAAATTATGCCAACTTTTTGTCTTGGTTAAGAGAATCTAGACCATATAATTGCTCAGTAAGTCAACAAAGAGTGCACAGCTTTGGAACTGCTTGTTGCTATGGTTGAGAACATTAAAAAAATTAGAAATTAAAAGGAACTACAACAATAATTTCTTGCATTACATAAGCTTGGTTCTCTTAATTCACTGCAAGTTTTCACCACAATTTTCTCAAATCATATTTTAGTTTGTTTTGTTCCCTCCACATTGACTTTCCACGAGATTCAAAAGCATGGTAATAACAAAACCAAAATATCTATTTCGCCTTCTGTAGTATCATTATTTATCATTATTTTAAATTTAAATTTCGATATTAATTTAATGAGAAATTAGAATTACAGATTAGAAGAGAGTATCTACAGTATAAATGTAGAATTGTTATTGGCAGTATACTGTAATACTGCAGAGTCGTTATAGATTCTAAAATACACCTAAGTTTGTATTCTAACAATTGTACTTAAATCCTGTATATATTTAATCTCTTTGTACCTCAGTTTACGTATCTATAAGATAAAAATAATTATGTTATTTCATAATTTTGGCATTTTATATTGTTTCTGCAAAGGACCTATTAATGAATTACATGAGAGAAGTAACACATATAAAGTTAGGAAACTTTTAGGTAATAGTAGCAAATTAGCTCTAAGTTCTTGGTTCTAATTTCATGTTTATTTAAACCTTGTATCTTGTTGTTAGGATATAAATAAAATCAAGATGAAAAATATGCCTTTCAAATGTCTCTACAAAATGTAATTTTAATAACGTTAAGAGATAGATTTAAAAATTGAGAGATATTACTGATTACTTATTTATAGTTATTTAACTACACTTATGATAATAAAGCTTTTAATTTGCTTTAATGAAATTCAGTTTCATTGTATGAGTTTGCATCCATAGTAAAAACATTTTTTTCATAAAATGTGTGAGGATCTTAGCAATATGATATTAACTAGAAAACTTTTAAAAAAAAAATACACACATGAAAAGGTGGATCCAAACAAGGGAAGATAAAACAAAATATCAAGGCCACCGTGGTATGTCTAAATGTATTACCTAATTCATCAATGACACTTAACTTTAAGCATGTGCCAAGAGTATCTTATCATAATCATTTCACATGGAAAATGTTAAATTTATTAAATTTGTAAAATGTGAAATTTTGTGTTATGGCAAAGATGTACATTACAAAGAGTTCTAGACAGAATTTTCAAAATGGGTAGCATTGCTATGTTTACTTATGAAATTAATCACATAAGTTAGAAAGAGTTAGATGATATAAACTTACAGATAACAAACCCCCAGACAATAATACAAAATAATTCAGAACTTGTTTTATTTTTTTATATAGGCTAAACACTTAAGATTTACCAAGACATATCACAGATTGTTTCAAAGCAAAGGAAATTCAAGTAATCCTTTTACTTCCCAGTGAGAATATAAATCCAATCTGGCTGCCTTGATCTTTCAGGTCTCTCAGCTTCATTGCCTCAACTCTGGAGAATGCTGGGCTCCCCTTGTACTGCAAACTTGAAAATCTCTCTAGATGGTAATCTGGGACAATAGCAGAGGCTACATTCTTTATTTCTAACCATAAGATATATAAAACTGTAAGCAGAAAGTTAATTTCTCGCTGATATTTGGTAAAAAAATAGAAGTTCTCTCCTGTGAGGAATATACTTGACAAGACAGTGTATACAATTATAAATACACCACATTTTCATTTTTTATAAGAATTGCACACAGTATAACTTTACATTATTTCTGTGTGTACAGAAAAAGATTTGTACTAGTTTTAAAAATAAAAAAATATTTAAATCTCATATATGTCAGAAATTTCTTCGTTTTCTAGAGTTTTGCAATAATTCTAACTTTACCAATAACAGCGACTCTGCTTCAAATGATCCCTTCATTCAATCCTAATTGATAGAGGAAATACTGAGTTTTATTTTTATATTCTTTATGAAAAACAATTATGAGATTATTGATAAAAGAAATGACCAAAGATTATGCTACAAAAGTATAGTTAAATATTTGTGTAAGAGGGCCTGGAAAATTAATAAAATACTATATACTTGTTCTGGATTTTGTTTGTATGTTTATAGAATTTTTACACATACTTGGTTGTGATTTTTTGTTCCAAATAATATTGATTGTTGTATTTGATTATGAATTGGTAGTTTTGTATAATTTTTCTTAAACTACTCCCCCACTAAATTTTATGCTTCAGGTTCCACAAAGTCAGGATCCACCTATATTGATTGGGCATAAAAATTTCCCCTAAAAGGAATTGTGATTATAGTTAATTTCCTCTGTTCTATGTAAATAGGGATGGCAATAGTCAATAACTATGTGAAAATGGCAATGGAAGTTGAGGATAAGGAATTGCTTATAGAAGAAGAAAGTGTAAATTTATTTTGTCAGACTTCAACAGTTTCATGACCATAAATGACTAATTAGTCTGTCATTCACAGATGTCAAGTTGCATGGTGGAAGCTAGCATATATAGTTAGCAACTTTTAGGGAATGTGAGCATGTATATATATGTGTGCATGTCAATTATTCTTTTAATTATTAAGAATACAAAGAAGAGATATAAAGTGTTTCAAACTCATTTAAAAACTGAATATCTATCTTTTGCTATGGCATTTGGTTTTTCTTTTTGTTATTTTTAGCAAATATTTAGCAAACTAATAGAAATGCCATGATTGTTTTATAATCCATAAGGCTCAACGTGTATCTTTGTCATAAAGGGATCAGATAGAAATAAAAGGAATCTGTCAAAAAGAGGAAAAAGAAAGGAGTGGAGCACACTATTTTATGATAGGTGACATATTGTAAAATAATGAGACACATTTTTAGATGTCAATATTAAAAAAAAAAAGTATCAGCATGTGGCTCAGGAGATGTGAATTTTTTTGGTAAATGCACAAATTCCTAGTGTTGTATACCACTGTAGGATGACTATAGTTAACAATAACATATTATACAGTGTCAAGTAGCTAGAAGGAGGATATTGAATGTTCTCAGAACAAAGAAATGATAAATGTTTGCCTAACGTACATGCTAATCACCTTGATCTGATCACTATACATTATATGTACCAAACATTACTATGTACCTTATGAATATGTATAATTATTATTTGTCCATTATTAAAAAAAATGTAAAATTTAAAAATAAAGTACTAAAAGAAAAAGAGACTGTGTGTAAAGGACAAGCAAGCTGAAAAGTAAAAGACAGCTTTTTTTGATGAGTTCAATATATACTCATGCATATCTATTTCAGTGGAATCAAACTGGGATGTTTCAGCAGGCTTTCGCAATTTTCCGACTGATTTTACATTAGTAATTGAGAAAAGAAGTAAAACGATAAGTCATCCAGAAATTGAACTTCAATCTTGTTTCCAAAGAAACCAAGAAGACCAAATGTAATTGATCCCCAAATACTCCCTTTTTATGTCAGCAAAAATATGCAAAATACGAAGCAAACATCATGTCAGTGTAAACTCAGTTTCTTTGTCTTCTGTATAATTGATACTAAAATTAAAATTACAATATGTATTTAGAGATTATTGGTATAAAATATTGTAATTGTGACTTTTTAAGAACATTTAGACTATTGACTTTAGAGAATGTATTTGTGTGTGTGTTTGTATTATTATGGATATATCAGAATTAATGTGTACACAATATTTGTTAATGCACTTCCACATACAGGATTAAGTATATGAATTATTCATTAGAAATTCAATTGAATTTTAAATTACTTATCTTGAAATACACTTTTTTGGGGTGGGGTTGTAAATTTGAAATCCTTCATATACATAGGAAGGAGCATGGCATAAACACTGACACAGTGACATAAGCCAAAATTTTCTCTCTCAACTATTTTTATACATTTTCTAAGCTCCAGAAGAATATGTATGCTGAAACAATTCCCTCTAGCTCTTCTCATCTGCATGTACTCATTTAACCCTATCACTGTCTCTACTGGCACCCACCCCAAGATGGCTGCTTTAGGTCATCATTGTGGTCAACATGAATTGGCACAGTTATTCTATTCTTGCTAAGAAGAGATGATTCTACTCTTTTTATAATGTTTCCCCTTCAGCTATCAACTAGAGATTGGCATGTTCAGTTTGGTGACAGAGGTAAATCATACTTGGTACCTAGAAGAAACTTAACTAAGGCTGCCTTTAATTAAGATATAAAAGTTAATGATTATCATCCAAGCAAAAATTTAATTTAATTGTAAGATTTGTCCTCTTTGTTTTTAGTTTTTAGTTTTAAAATAGTGAATAAATATTCACATATTTTAATTAGTATTTTGTCACCCCTAAACCTGATGCATTTTAACAAAGCCAAAACATTTTAATTGCCTGAATAGAATAATACATCTATAGAAATTAAATCTCTCTGGATAGAAATAAGTGATTCCCAGTGTGTTATTCACAACCTTTAAAGCTAAATTTATATTAGTCAATGTGTTTTAAGTATAATTTATACCTTTTCACTTACTTTATGAAAATGCAAGACATACTAAAAATCGGCCATTTTTTAATTGAAAATCAAGCTTAACTGAGCATCCCGTACTTTATCTGACAACCCTAATTAGACAAACACTTTAAATATTTAATTACACACTAATTTTTCTCCTTCTCTGTATTTCTTTTAAAATCATACTTTTTTGTAAAGAAAGTACTTATTATTAACAAATAAAATAACACATCAAATGATATAACTATACACAATCTATTAACCATTTTTTAAATCAATTTGTTTCCAATTTTTATACATTATGTAAAATGCATAGAGTAAATGTATTTTTGGCACTTGGCAATATACTATAACTCATTTCTTGCATTTCTCTAATTCTGTTTATTATTCTAATTATTAAATATTTAATAATACAATACAGATAATAATATAATGATCTACTGTTTAGTTCATCATAGTCCAAAGGTTTTGTTTATCATTTTACTTGACCACCTCCTTGCTTTATGTGATTGTACAATGAAGTGGACTTATAACGTATGAAGATCTTATTCAATCATTTCCACTGTTGAATTTTAGATATTAAACATATAGATAGATATGAGTTTGCACTACATTTTTACACTAATGTTTGATGATGTCCTTAGAGAATATTCATAGAAATAGAATTATTGGATCAACAGCTGTGGGTGATTTAAAGTTTGTTTCATGTATTTCCAATTTCCTTTTCAGGAAGGTTGTGATTTGTACACTTTACATCAACCTTTGTGTATTTGCTATATGTTTCCATGCTTTTCTAGGAACTCATTTGGTGCCTAAAAAGAACAAATAACAACAAAACAAAATTTACCTCTTCATCTTTGCTTCACTTTTCTATTCTGCTACAGTGCTCCATTTTCCCTAATTACTCATATAAGAATTCAGGATAAATAGCTTATTCATTTCCACCTCCAGTTTCAAGGTAAGTTTATTTTTTCTAGTTATGCATTCTCATAATTACAAAGGATGCATAAGAAAATAGAATAATCACCATAGACCTCCCAGAGCAAGCATATATCTGGCTCTGTTGGAGTTTAGATCAGAATATCTTGGCTATCAGAAACACAAAATAATTTGACAATTTCACTGTAATGAGAGTTTACACTGCTGAAGTTGGCAACTTTCATTATAGGATGTTCCGAAGGATTTTAGAATTCTATATAATGAGATTCTGATTTCCACCTTTCCTTATCTAATAAATATATTTAACAGTATTTATAATCTACTTATTGTTTTACTAAATAGAGTTGTGTTTAATTTTGTGTAATTTTATATTTAGAAAAATAATATAATTTGGAAAATAAACCAATAAAATTTATTTTGATCTATATAATGCATACAAATATATTTAGCACCTTATAAATAATAGCTTGCAAAAAATAGACTATATAGTGTCCAAAGAAACTATTGTATGAGAAGATATACTAGTTTACTCAAACCTTAAAATACTAGAAAAAAGTAACAAAAATATTTTTGAATTAAATATTTTATACAATTTATTTATTCAATTAAGCAATTTATAAAACCAAATATGTATTTTAAAAATTTACAGTTTATGAATATATATAGAAATGTCCACTCTATTATGATTGTCAGTTATTCCTAATGTTTGAGAGTTGTGAACAAGTAGTTTAAAGCAATTAGAGCCCTAGTTAGCAATTTGCACTACGTAGAATATTCAAAATAGTACACAGTCAAGGCGATAGAAATAGTTATTTCACCTCAAAAGATAAATGAACAGCTAATTATAAGAAATTTTGTGTGATTACTGCCTGATTTTTGAGGAAAGCAAGGTTGTTTTGCTTTATTTTCTTTTGGAAGCACCTTTATGTCCATTAAATTAGTTTTATATATGAAATTATTTAAATACAATATGAATATCTAAAAATGATTACTTCCTTTGGGAATATGTTAGGTGTCATTTTTATAAATAAAACTTTGTATCAGTATCTTTACAGAGACTGTAATAGTCAATTCAGGCTGTTATAACAAAAATACCATAGAGGGTGGCTCAAATGATGACCATTTATTTCTCACAGTTCTGGAAGCTGCAAATTCCAACATCAAGGCACTTACAGTTCTAGTGTCTGGTGAGCGCTTGCGAGGGCCTGCTTCCCAGCTTGTATGGAGGTCACCGTTTTCTCACTGTATCTTCATATGACTGAGAACAGCAAAAGAGAAAGAAGCTCTGCCCTGTCTCTGGGCACTAATCCCACGAATGAGGTCTACACACTCATACCTAATTACCACCCAAGGCCCCTTCAAATGCCATCATATTGTGGATAAGGCTTCAATATATAAGTTTTGAGGGCATGTACATATTTAGTTTATAGCAGAGACTAAATTTTCTTTCCTTTTAGTAAAAAGGGACATTTTCTTAAAATGTTTTGTGGTTGTTTGTGGTGTTTTGTGTGTGTGTGTGTGTGTATCAGAGAGTGTGTTTGTGTGGCATGTGTTTTGTGGAATAGATGTAATAATTATTACTTTAGAATATAATGCAAAGATGAAAATATTCCAGTGCTTTTTTTGACCAGTGCCTTTTTTTGACTATGTAAAAAATAATTTATTTCTGCCTGAGGATCACTCTGCAAACACAAAAGAAAGCAACAACCAAATCATGAAAGACTCTGAACATTTCAGTAACAATCATTGCAATATCTCTACAGAGTCCTAACTCTTTATTAGAATTGCTGTGACTCTTCATGATAGGCTATCTTATCACCACTCTAATTCAAATTTTGCACACTTCAAATGCCTTGATCCAGTCATATGAACAAAATGGAAATTCCCAACCTAGCCATTCTCTCTTCAACTTCCAGATTTTTGCTTCTTTTGTACTGGGACATGTTTTCAAATAACAGGGCACATTATTGTGGCATATATTTATAGATATAACTTCTTTGCCTCCTTCAGTAGACTTTGAACTTTTTCACATACTGTGTCTTCTTACCATTTTTAGCACATAATTTAGCACAGTGCTTGGCCCACATATAGGTGCTCAATAAACATTTTTGGAATAAAGAAAATATGAATGATCTATATTTCAATGATTATTCTCTGAGGCCAAACTTTTCTAGATATTTTACTATCATGCATATTGGTAACAATTTTATAAATAGTGGTTCTAAATCAAAACACTTCTCCATAGTAGACCATTTCTTGACTCAGGAATTCTTAGAGACTTTAATATGTTAATTTACATATTGAATCTTAAAGAGAACATTATGAAATGTCAAATTTTCTAACATTATTTGACAATGAATTTTTTATTTTACCATGGCATGTTCAGAGAACCCATGGGCCACATTTGGAAATTGTTGACCTACAATAGGGCAGAGAAAGATGCAAAACTATGATAGGTGACTTTACACAATGATCATGGTAAAATCACCATGTAAACAAGCAATGCTTCTTTGGCCTAACAAATCAGGTTTCACCTTCTGTGTCACCACCGCTCCCATTCTCTGTCCCACTAAGGGAGAGAGAACTTAGGAGTCCATCCAGTGAGTGTGACATCGCAAGTCAGCCTGCCTGGCTGTGAAGTGCCTCTGCCAATTATTTTGTGAACTTGGACAAGTCACTTAATATCACTAAGTCATCTGTACAATGTAGATAATGATTGTTCCTAATTATAGTGTTGCTATGAGAATTAGACGAGATTATTCCTGTAAAGCATGCAGAACAGCATTAGTAATTACACAGAAATGTTAATAATTATGAATTTTTTCTATTAGTATTACTATAATATAAATCTGAAAGGAGAACATTCAAGTTTTAATGGATTAAAATGCAAAGTCTGAGCTAAAGCCTCTTAAGAACTATACTAATTCCATAAAAAAGTGTAAAACTACAAAATGTTCAAACATAATTAAGTATGAATTGATGCTAAGAGAAAATTAATCTAAAGGAAGGGTAATCTGGCACTACCCTATGTGATTCTGAAAAATTAAGGCCTTAAATCTAAAATTTGAAAGTTGATAGGTCAATAGAGTAACTCATAATTTCTGAGCAATTATTTCTATAAATTTAAAATAATTAAAGTGCACAAAAATCCATAAAAGCAAGTATAAGAAACAGCACCATATTTTTAATGTTTAAGTAATCTAAATATTGCATAGCATTGGATTATAAGCCTTAAACTCTTTATGTTAGGGCTATTCAGAGAACTAGAATATCTATCTATCGATCATTCTATCTATCTGTAAAATAAAGAATTGGCTCATACAGTTATATAGACTGAGAAATCCTAAGATCTGCAATTCCAACTCTTGCCCTGTGTGAAAGTAGAAGCCCTGTGTGAAAGACAATCATTTCACAGGATCCATTAGAGAAGAATATATCCATATATTATAAGACAAATTTGTTTACACCTAGCTGTGTACCTAACAGTATTAGATATATGTGCACACAAGGGGATGTATATAAGAAGGCTCATATAGAATTATCTATAATATCCCAAAACTAAATAAAGTCATTGTTCATCAACAGAAGAATAAGTACATTATTTTTTCTATTTGTAAAGAATGGAAAATTATACAATGATAAAATAGGATAAATTATAGCTTCACAAAATAACGTGAATAACTCTCACAAACAATATTAAGTGAAAAAATTAGACAGATTCTTTCTGTATGACTTTAATTATATAAATTATGATGAAAAGTAAAGAAGTGACACATAGTCAGAACCATAATTACTTCTTGGAGAAGTCAGGAGTTTGTGATTTGGAAGGTACAAATAATAGGCTTCAGGGATATTGGAAATGTTTCATGTCATGCCAGCTTGCTGGTTACATGAGTATTTACTTTAAAAGTATTCATTAAACTGTAAGTTTTATTTATTTATAGAATATTTTATATGTGCCTTTTTTCTATTAAAAACTAGAAAAACAGAGAACCATTCAACCAAATAGAGTGAAAAACAAATAAATAAAATGATGAAAGAATATTTTAGATAAAGAACACATAATAAGTTTCAGAAAAAAAACATAGTAAAAGGAAGAGAGGATTTAAGATAATTTACTCAGACTGAGGAAAGTTAATGTGTTCTACCCATAGAAATCAGGCAGAAATATATATGTATAAAGCAAAATTACATCAAGTCTTAGGTCTTGCCTTGACACAGGGCCTTCTAGAAAGAAAACTGAAACCAGCCTAAGAAATTGTGGGCACTACTGGCTACTGAATGATTGAAAAGGAGTAGGTACTGTCCATAATCTAAACATTTTTCCTGGTAACTTACAGTAATACAGGTTGAAAATCCTTGATCATGGTGTTGGGGAATTACATACAATGCAGCCCTAGAAATTACACGACAGTACTAGTCAAACCAGAATTTTAAAGCTCTTTTTACCGCTTCTCACTTTTCATGCCCCAATTTTAGAGAGATCAAAGCTTTGGGAAAATTGTCATGAGTAAATGTTTAACATCATTGATATCATTGTCTCATTGTGAAAATCTGAGTTTTTAATGGAATATTTTTATATTGTCAGAGGATAAGTTTATCAGTGTTAGGGACATTTCTATATGGTGCTTTGGGTGGACATCTGGAACATAGCAAATTAATTTTTCTTTTTTAAAAAAATACTTTTTTTGTTTCAACACCCACATTGATGATATGGTAAATTTTTTTAAAAAAATCGGTAAACCAATAAAAATAATGGATAGCCTACTAGTAAGTTAGAAACTCTTTCTATGAAAGTTTTGTATATAAATCTATTATTTTTGTTTGTGTTTTCATTTTTCTTTGTGAGTAATGCTGCAAAAGAATTACAGACAGCTTATTTTGCATCACTTTTGCTTTGTGGAGTAACAGTTCCAAATGTCCAAATGTAATATAATTATTTCATCTCGATGACTTCAAATTTATGGGCACCTTTCCCAAAATAGGATTGTAATTATACTATTATTTATTGAACTTTAATTTTATCATGCTTATGCTAAATCATTTCTTTAATTATGATTGGGCTAACCATATGTTCAACCCCATAAATGACAAACTAATGACAAGTAGCATTGTCTGTTCTAGAGGCCAATGAGAATTAAACACAAGAGGCAGCTTTGAAGAAAGAGACCACTTAGCTAAACTTGTATTAACATTTTACTTAGAAAATGTCAAGGAGTCCTGGCAGGAATTCGGTCCATTTTCACTTGTGGGTATCAATGCCTTCAATATAATTTTAAACTATTCCGGATGAGCTTTTCTAATATAAATTAGCTGTCAGTGTTATAGATTCCACATTGTACCTGACCTACTGTGCCTCCTACTCTACTCTATATTCTATCATTCTCCCTAAATTATAATCAGGAATATAAGAAGAACTCCCTACCCCTTTAAGATCTGTGAATAAAATATGACATCTCTGATGTGAGTATCTAGTTAAATCACAAGTAGTCTAATACATTGGTGAACAACAGTAACAACACTGGTTGAGAGGACAGTTAGATACAGGAAACTTATCAGTACTGCTCCTTATGTCTTTTTGGGCAAAAATCCTAATCACTGTAATGCAATGTTGTTCTCATTGAAAAATTAATCATCAATTAGCAGAGCTCTGGTATCATGTTGGTCATCATGATCATTACAAAGAATAAAAAATAATAACTATTAGAAATAATAAATTTGGTTCTTATCTATTTATATACTCAAACATCCTCATATATTCACATAATTATTATTTCATGTCCATAAATTTTTTTAACTCAACAAAAACACCTGAAATCTCATTATGTTTTAGAATTCAGGATTCCAGCTTAGTTGACAAGCCCTGCAGAATCAGGAGGAGCACCCACAGTCAACCGCATTCATATTTCTGTAGAGAGATACATTTGTTTTTTATATATCTAAAATTTTCAGGTGTAATTTTACTTTTTTGATATTTCTCTATTTGTTGAATATTTTCCTCTTTAAAAAATATTTAATATTAAAAGAAAACCCATATAGAAAATTCCATAAAGTAAAAAGACAAAACTTACAGCTTAGTGCTTTGTTTTAAAGTAAATATGCATCTACTGGGCCCGGTGGATCACGCCGGTAACCTCAACACTCTGCGAGGCTGAGGCGGGTGGATCACCTGAAGTCACGAGTTTGAAACCAGCCTTGCCAACTTGACAAAACACCGTCTCTGCTAAAAACACAAAAATTAGCTGGGTGTGATGGCACACGCCTGTAATCCCAACTACTTGGGAGGCCGAGGCAGGAGAATCTCTCGAATCTGGGAGAGGGAGGTTGGAGTGAGCCAAGACAGGGCAACTGCACTCCAGCCTGAGCAAGAGAATGAGACTCCATCTCAAAAAGAAAAATAAATATAAATAAATAAATAAATATATAAAGCGTGCATGTAACCAGCAATCAGACATGACATGAAACATTGCCAACATCCCCGAAGCCTGTGATTTGCATCCTCCAAATCACAAACTCCTCTCTTCTCCAAAAAGTGTTTATGGTTCTGACGGTGGGTTAGACTTCTTTTCTTTTTTTTCACAATGTATGTAAATACAGTCACACAGATTAAAACAATTAGACAAATTTCTTCTGTATGAATTCACAATTGTTAGGTAACACTGTCCCAGGCAAGCCAGGATGGAGGGTCACAGATGAAGACTGAAGATCTGTATCAACTAAGCATTCTTCTTGGTATTTTGGAAGTTAAAATTATGAATTTTATGTGTTTGATTATTTGCTTATCTGTTTAGTTATTTATTTACATACATACTTACTTTCTTGTGTACTTATTTATGCCACAGCTTAATTCCATTAAAATATAAGTGAAAAGCAAGGTGATTTCTTCTTCAAAAGTTAACCTGAAGGCAAAATCTGAGTTTAGTAAATAACTATGTCTATACATTGCTTTCCTAATCTGTGAAAAACAAGTTAACACTATTAAATCTGTAGGGTTTTTTTGAAGATTAGTTAATATATATACAGATCTTACTAACTAAAAACACTCAGAAATATAAAGTAGTGTTTTTTCTGCATTGTAATTTAACTTAGAGTAAAATATAATTTAAAGTGCAGGTGTACACAATTAACCTAAATGAATCTGTCATGATTTTTCTTGAATAAACTCTCCTCCTTTCAGGTATATGGCCAGATTTACCTTCAGTGCAAAGTTTGTTTGTATCTCTGTAAATTGTATGTGGCCATTTGATTTTTTTGGTGATGATGAGCAAACATGCCACTTTTAATCAAAAAGATTTAAGGAACAGCATATGTTTTCCCACTTTCTTTGACACAGTGACTAATGATGATCAAAGGTTATGAGGTTTCGTCAGATTGAGTCTCATGATAGAATAGCAGGAGTAAAAAACATATACCTATTGCTTTAAACCAATACGACTTCTTTTTTCTACCGGAGCATAACCTAGCTTAACATGATTGACTATATGTATGCATGTGTGGTGTGTTTGTGTGTGTCAAATTATAACCTCCTGAAAAAGGTATGCTGAAATTCTAACCTCCAGTACCTATGAAAGTGATCTTATTTGGAAATATGGTCTTTGCAAATGTAGTGAAGCAAAGATGAGGTCATAATAAATTAGGCTGGGCCTTAATCCAATGATTAACGTCCTTTGAAAAAGAAGAAAATTTGGAGATTTATGTGCACAAAGAGAAAACACATGTCAATGAAGGCAGAGATTGAAGTGATGCTGCTGCAAGCCAAGAAATGCCAAGGATTTCTGGCAACTACCAGAAGTTAGGAAACAGGCATGGAACAAATTCTACTTCAGAGACTCCAGAAGGAACTGACTTTGCCAGCAGCATGGTTTTGGACTTCTAGTCTCCTTAACTGTGAGAGGGTAAATTTATGTTCTTTTAAGCCACCTAGTTTGTGGTACTTTGTTGCAACAACCTTAAGAAACTACAATCTGTCTATTCTATTCTACTCTACTCCTATTCTATTCTATTCTATTCTATTCTATTCTATTCTATTCTATTCTATTCTATTCTATTCTATTCTATTCTATTCCATTCCATTCCATTCCATTCCATTCCATTCCATTCCATTCCATTCTATTCTATATTTCCTTCCTTCCTTCTTTTCTTTTCTTTTCTTTTCTTTTCGTTTCCTTTCTTTCTTGCTTTCTTTCTCTTCTTTCCTTCTTTCTTTCTTTTCTTTCTTTCTTTCCTTCTCTTTCTTTCTTTTCTTTCTTTCTTCTACCTCTATCTCTATTTATCTATCATCTGCCTATCTATTGTCTATCTATCTATCTATCTATCTATCTATCTATCTATCTATCTATCTATCATCTATCTGTCTCTATTATCAGTGGTTCTCAAGTTACAGTGTACACAGGATCCCTTAGGATTGCTTAATTTAATAACACCAACCCCCATTCTGATTTATTTAATATTTCTTGGGTGAGAGTCAAGGTTTCGCAGTTTAAATGAATTCCAAAGGTGGTTTTGATACTAGTGTTTCCCTGACTAAATACTGGGAAAATCAGATATAATTAATGCCCTGATTTGATGTAGATTAACTAATTTTATTGGTATTATATGGGTAAATAAAGGATGCCGTAGGAAAAACGATGTCATAAGTAAGACACTGTAGGAAAAAATGCTCAAGGTATATTCCTGGAAAGACAGGAGTATGAATTTAGTAGATTCTCAAGGTTTGTGTTGTTGATTCAGCAAAGATAGGTTGGGAAAAGACTTTGGAATTCTTTAAGTGACTAGTTCTCCATGCCAATCTTAATTAAGAAGGCCCTAGAAAGACATTAGTTTTATTTTTTTGAGGGACTGGGGGTGGTAACTTATTAATTGCATTAAGACTATCAGGAGAGTCTTTACTGAGCTGTTAGTGTCTGTCATACATAACCCACCCTTAAAAACTCTGTATAGCATTTCATATTGAAAGATGGATTGTCTAATTGTGACTCATTCTCTTAGACACACAACAGAGTCATTACATTTCAAAATTAGATCTCTTCCTATTATATATAAAACTGAGCCTCTTGGTTACTAGGTGATATTGTAGAATTTAAGGATATCTGATTTAATAGAGTTGAAGAGAGGATAATTACCAAGATAATACTGTATTAAAAAGATAAAATAATATTTATCCTGTTTTGAATATCAGCCATTTGCCAGCCATTGAATTAGGAACATAAATGATAGGATATTTAATGCTTAGAAGAATATTCTAAGATAAAATTACATCCAATTCAAAGATTTTTTTTAATGTTTAGAAAAATAAGTATCTTGCCTAAGATCACAAAGCAAGGATTTAAATCTGTACTTCAATGACTTCTAGCCTTGTATTTAACATAAAGAAGGACTAAAGGAAGAACAAGTGAGGGAAGTAGAAAGAGTAGAAGGAGCAAAGGGAGAAAAGAAGGAAAATGGAAGGTAGAAGGAGGAGAAGGAGGGAGGAAAACATTATTTTGTAGATAAATTATTTTTCAAAAGTAGAGATGAATTAGGAAAGAAAGAAGAGAAGTTTAGACCATTATTTGTAAGAACAGGAAAAACAAAATAACCACTTTTTTTCTCACTTTGACCATCTTTATGAAAAGCAGCTTGTCAATGAACTCCACAGTAACAGCCAATCCTACATTTTCTATTAATATATTGTAACCACTGAACTAATCAATCATAGTTCTAAATTAAACTAATTTTGGACTCCCTTGATTTAAGAGTTTATATATACAAATATATATATATATTTATATATATACAGGGATTTCTGTTCTCTAAGAGACACTACCAAATTTCAATATGCCATGTCTTCTTACTCTATACCTAATTCTTTTTATCAATTTCAACCCCATTCAATTTGGCCCACATGACTTGTGTGCCTCACTGTATATGTGAAAGTATCATATTCAATTCTAGGTTTGATTATATAAATGTTGAATGTAATATTTTTATAGGACTATTTAAAAATCATTCCACAGCCACTAACTTTTGGCTTTTGTAAGAATTCCCTTTAAGAGAGTTCATTTCAGTGGAGATATTTCAATATTTTAAAATATCAGATCACTGATTAATATCATTTTAGTAGAGGTTAAAATTTCCATTTGTATGCTCTGGGGCACGAAAACTTGCAGCACCAATCTATCAAAAAATGGCTTGCCACACACAAGGATTTTTTTAAATCCTTGAGCTATATGATTTTTTTTTAACTTGGTCTCATTGTCCCTTTGCCCTTTAAATTTTACACCTCTACATTGCTTTGAGCCAGAGCTTTACAACTCTGCACTATCTTGCTATAGCAGTAGAGTGGTACATTTAGGTTTTGTAGGGTTCCTTTTCAGTAAGGTAGGTCTAACTTGCTTCCCCAGACTGACAATTCTGTGCTTAACTGAACATGCAGTTACACTTGAACACATTCTAGCATTTTCATCTTAAGATTATCTTAAAGACAATGTAAAGCCCCCAGGCACTGAGCAGGGTAGGAGTCATGAAAAGGGTTTGGCCGTATCCTGTGACTCTGTATTGAATATCCACTCCAGATATTATTCCCATTCTTCATTCTTTACCTTTTTCATATCTGCATCTTATGAATCCAGAAGCAATAAAGAGAAGTATAGCTAAATAATTTCCATTGGTAGAATACGTAGTATTTAAGATTTACATTTTTCCATATATTTTCTGACAGGTTGTACCTTATATATATTCTGGATATAAGATGCAACTTATACCCAGAAGTGTGAATATAAAATTTGGAGAAATGTTTAAGCTTTTGAATTTTAGGTAGCAGTGACACAATTATTTCTGGTGAGTCCTTGCAAAAGAAAGAAGTTGCATTACATTTTTACTCCAGAACTAACAATATGGAATCTACATAAATCATCTGATATCTAGGCTCATTTATTTAATATTACATACAAAAACAAAAAGTAATTATTCTAAACCATTTTAATGAAATGTTTTTATTCACTGAAAGAAAGTTATAATAGCTATTATGGTCTTCCCTACATGTTTAGCTATTTTAAATTTAAAGAAAATAAGTTCCCATAAAACATGGAAAATAATTACCAAAAAATTCATTTATCATAAAATTTTCCTAAAATATAATTAATAAATAAAAATGATGTAAATCCTTAAGGACAAAGAGGGAGGGAATAAAAGTAGATAAGAAATGCCAATACATTCTTAGAAGATAAAAAGCAGAGGGATGATTCATAACTGGCTTATCAGGGTAAAAAATGCTGATACCAGAGTAATCACAAAAGATAATATGAAGGAGAAAAAGGCTGATTCTTTCTGCAGAATCCCTGAAAAGTTCAGCAATGAATAACACTGAGAACCTTGAAAGATGAGGATAAAGTGTAGTTTTCAATGGATTATCGCATGACAGTCTGTGAAAGGAGCAGCTAAAATACTAAATCTTCACCACCTCTACTGCAAATTCCTTGTGCAACTCCTTGAATACAACCCATCCCAAACTTCTTAAAAGGTTAGGAAATTATTCCTTCATGATAGCCTAAACTTCAGACACAGGGAAATCTGAGTGATTTCCTCTGGTAGAAGTGTTTAGATGAGAGGCTTCATATCAGAGGGTGAGGCTCTGCCACCTAATTTTGTTCCTTGGCTTCTAACACATTAATTCCAGGTTCATCATCTAAAGCAGGAAAATCCATAGCTTCTTCACTGGAAGACTAATTGGAAGAAAAGTCCCTTCAAAAACAAACAAAACAAAACCTTGAAAGATATAGCTGACATTACATCTTCAAATGGAAAAACTAATCAGAAGGTTGGTAAACTTTCATTGCAACAGGCCAGAGAGTAATTATTTTAGGTTTTTGCAGTTCAAGAGGCAAAATAAAGGATATCATATAGTTACTTATATAACAAGAGAGAAAAAAATTTTACAAAGTTTTAATGGTAAAATTCTAAATTTAAAAATAATAATAGTATATGCATAGTTTTCATAATATAGGTCTACTAATGAGAAAATTTAAACCTGTTTTGGAATAAACATTTTATTTAAAAGCAGTTCAAAATATGTTTCCTATTATTAAAATTCATTGCAAAAGTTTATCTATTAACACCTATCTTTAATGAGATTCTATATATATGATTTTTGAAACTGTTGTTTTACACATATAGGTACTGAAAATTAATAATGCCTGTCCATCAGCACATAGTCTTTTAAGCTTTTATTTTGAAAGAATTATAGATTCACAAAATGTTGCAAAAATTATACAGAATTTCTTCAAACCTTCCACCAATTTTCTACCAGTAGCAAGCAACACTTTACACAAACAGTACAATATTGCAACCAAGAAAATGACATTTGTATATACAACATTCAAGACACCAGTTTTACATGCATTCATTTGTGTGTACATACATACCTTTGTGTTGTTTTATGCGATTTTATTTTATGTATAGATTTTTGTAACCACCACCACAATCAAAATAAAGAACTATTGGATAGTTTTGTAGTCAGCTCATCTCCTTTTATGTTCCCATAGTCCTTAATGCCTGGCAATTTCTAACTGGTCCTTTATCTCTAAAATTCAATCACGTCAAGAATTTTATATGAATGAATTTATATAGTATATAATCTTCCAATATTAGCTCTTTACTCTCAGAATAATTTCCTTGAGATTCACCCAAGACGTTGTGTGTGTGTCAATAGTATGTTCCTTTTTGTTGTTGAGTAGTATTGCAAGTTAATGAGTCATTCATTGAAAGGCATTTATTTCCCATGTGTGACTACAAATCTGTTATGGACATTGTTGTATGAAATTTGGTGTAAACATAAGTGTGGTGTTATAGAGAAAAAATTATATACTTATACATATAACATTCATATAACTACGTGTGTATATATATAAACTACATATATAATTGGAGATACATACACACATATATATACATGTACATATACGCATATATATACATGTATATATATACATAAATATACGTGTATATATATGTGTATATATACATGTATATATAAAATATTTCTTCATGGATAAGCATTTCCAAACAAGTTTTACTGGGACCTGGGTGAAAGAAGCAGCCTTGGAAGTTACTGATAAAAGATTTAATTTTCCAAAGGTAAATGTTTGTATGTCAAAGTAGCATGAGATTGGAGCCATGGATACATTCCATGGGATTTAAACTGGGCGACTCTTGTCTTATCTTCACCCTGGAGACATTTATTTGTAGTCTAAAGAGAAAAATAAAATAAAAAACTATGTTTCTTTCCATCTAACCCCAAGGAGAATTTGTTGTTCACATTCTGAGCAAAGGGTTCCCTCTCTTTCTCAGAAGTGGGTGTTGGGGAAGAGCTATCCCTTTCCCATATAAACTCTCAGATTAATATCTTATGAGTTTCTAACCTATAGGATAGGTATCCTCATGTGTAGGGTGATATTTATTATATCTTTCATTCTTTGCATTGCTCCAGAAGGTAAATACTGTAAAATAATGATAAACAGTATTGTACAGTAAATATATAAACCTGCAACATAGTTGTTTATTATCAAGTATTGTCACAGGATCTTTGGGGTGTCGTTTCACCAGCCAGAAACCTCTGTAGCCAGTGGTGCCTTCTGTCTGAATATTGCTCACATCTGCGGGATTTGTTTCTCCCACTAGGCCCAGCAGCTGTGCTTGGCTTATGCCACGGGTCCTATACCAGCCAAGGCTACGCCAGTCCCGGAGCAGCAGGGGATGAGTGAGTGAGTGAATGAGCACGGGGTCTGGGCACTGCACACAGCCAACCAGGTGCCTCAGCTGCTGTGGTGGGGTGGGGAACTGCAGGCACCGGCACAGGTGCGGGTTCTGTGTGAGGCTGGGGCTGGACCAGATGCACCTCAAGTGGTTTCCACTGTGGGTACCAGCGTCTGGATGTGGGGAATGCGGTGGCGCCCGGAGGCTTGGAGATGCCAGAAACTGCAGAGACCGAAAGAGAGTGTCACAGCCCTGGCTCGGGGAGCCCCGAGGTCTGGGATCCCTGAAGGACTGCAGCTATTCTCTCCTTCTCATAACCTGCAACGTGGTGAGTGGGGTAACGTTTCAGCCCTGTTTGTGATACAGCTCTTTCAGTCCCACCATTTAGCAGGTCCCAAATTCTTTTCCCATGTCCGGGAAGAATGTGAGATACATGGACAACTGGAAGGTGAGCAAGGGGGATAGGAACTTCACTGAGTGACAGAACAGCTCTAAGGAGACCCACAGTGGGTAGCTCCTTTCAGCAGGCAGGTCATTCGACATCTGTTGAGTCTGACTGAGTCTGAGTTTTTTACCGGCTGAGAAGGGAGGATGTGCGTGCTGATTGGTCCGTGGGCAAACATGGGCAGGCCCAGAAAAAAGCACCATAAATTCTCACTCCAGGCCGTGGACTCCACCTAGAACTGAGCCCATCCCTCCAAGCTGCAGGCTCTCTCTGGCTTGAAGGTGGGGATTCACTGGGGACCTGCCCCTTTTAGCCCAGGAACCCGTCTGCCTCACACCAACATGTCTTCCATGGTGCCCGGGCTGTTTGTGCCAAGGGGCACCTGCAGGTCTGCACTGAGTCGCCCTCAGCTTCCAATCCTCGCCTCCCTCCATGAGCTCCTAGGTGCCCAAAGTTTCAGAGGGGGCTGACGCAGCAGGAGGAGTTGGAGGGTTAGCACTACCCGAGTGTGCGCACACCTGGCTGGGTTGCAGCAGCCTCCACGCTCATCTTCAACTTTGCTCCAAAATTGGAGCAGGTGCCTGTCTTCAACTTTGCTCCAAAATTGGAGCTGGTGCTGGGAGCAGAGAAGAGCCGGAGCAGGCCCTTCTGAGCTTACAGGTGTTGGGGGACTTCCCAGGTGCCTGAGAACACAGGGATATCTGGGTCTGGAGTCGCAGCTGGGTGGCTGCAACTGCTCCCGGGAACATGGGGCTCTTGGCCGGCCACCTCACCCCAAACCAGCCCCCTCTGGCTCTGTGGAGCACACAGCCCCGGCCATGCCTCCCCCGCTGAAGCTGGCATCCCTGCAGCAGGTGCTCCAGATGGGCTGCCGCTGCCATCAGTATTATGTTCCGTCATAATCATACGTGCTATGCTTTTATACAACTGACAGCACAGTAGGTTTGTTTAAACCGACATCACCACAAACACATGAGTTATGCTTTGCACTATATTACAATACCTATGACATCACTAGGTAATAGAAATGTGCAGCTCTATTATAATCTTATGGGACCATCATCAGATATGTGGTTTGAGCTTGAACAAAATACCGTTATGTGGTGCATGACTGTACTTGACATTTAAATAAATTGACTGCTGTTTTCCAGGGTAGATGCACTCTCTTGTATCACCATCATGAAAGTTTCAGGTTTTCTGCATTCTTATCAACATTTGATATTCTCTTACAAAAAAAGTTGTACCTGTCCTAATAAGTATATAACAATATCTCATAGGATTCAATTTGCATTTCCACAATGGCTAAAGATATTAAATCTTTTTTCATGTGCTTACTTAGAATCAGCATATTCTTTTTGATAAAATGTCTATGCAAGTCTTTTACTCATGTTCTAATTGTATTGTGTGTTTTTTCTACTGTTGAGTTTTGAGAATTCTTTATATATTCTAGATTCACGTCTTCTAACATAGATGGATTGCAAACACTTTCGATCTGTAACGTGTATTTTCTAGCTGGATTGCAAACACTTTCGATCTGTAACGTGTATTTTCATCCCCTTTACAATCTCAGAGCGAAAGTTTTTAGTTTTTATAATGTTCAATCTATAAATTAATTTTATGTACATGTTTTTGGTGTCTAAGAATTATTCACTTAGTTCTGGATCATAAATTCCTCCTGTCTATATTTATATCTAAAAATTTTAGAGTATTTTGTTTTACATATAAATTTATGATTTATTTCAAGCTAATTTTTATATATGGTGAGAGGTGTAAAAGTTTCTATTTATTGTGGATTACAAATTTCTAATTGCTGTACCACAAGTACTTGAAGTTATTTCTCTTTTAAATTAGCTGGGTTAAAATTGTCAAAATTATCATGCATTTGCAGATCTATTTCTGGGTTCTCTACTGTGTTCCATTAATGAATGTCTCTATCTCTCTCTATATAAAACATTGCTTTTACTGTTATAGCAATATATTATAAATAGACAAAATTGGTTAAAAGTATATCTCCAATTTTTTTCTTTTGCAAAATTTCAAACTTTAAATGCTTTTAGAAATTTAGTTTGTTTTGTATTTACAGGACGACTCAGTTATTTATTTCATATTCGGTGCTTTTCATAAACGTTCTATTTTATCTAAGTTGTTACATTAGAGATGTTCATGGTATTCTTTTATTGTATTGCATGTCAGATATATAATAAAATCTCCTATTTTATTCCTGATATTAGCAATTTGTGTTTAATCTCATTTTTATCTGTCAGTCTTGCTAAAATTGTGAGAATTTCTTTTTTTGAAAGAACCAGCATTTTATATTATTAATTAAATCGTTTTGCTGGTTTCTGATCCTATAGTTAATATATCCTGCCTTCTGTTCACTTTGGTTTTATTTTCTTTTAGTATTTCAGTTTTATTGAGGTGAGAGCTTAGATTATATGGTTAAGACATGTTATCATTTCCTTTTTTCCAATAAAAAACCCTAACTTTTAATTTTTTTGATTTTTTATAGTTTCAATGTCATTTATTTCTGCTCTGATCATTATTATTTCTTTCATTCTACTAATTTTAGGTTTGGCTAATTTTTGCTTTTCTAACTCCTTGAGGTACATCATTAGGTTGTATATATGAAATTTTTCTAGTTTTTTTGATGGAGATATGTGTTGCTACAAACTTGTCTGCAAATACTGATTTTCTGCATCTCATAGGTGATATCCCATATGCTTTTTTTCTATTTTGTTTATTTCTAGGAATTCTACATTTTCTTAATTTCTTACTTGACTCATTGGTCTTTCAGGAGCATGTTGTTTAATTTCCATGTATTTGTACATTTCTAAATGTTCTCCTTGTTATTCACTCCTAGTTTTATTCCATTGTGATCAGAAAGTATATTTTATATAATTTGGATATTTTAAATTTTTTGAGTTGTTTTTTGTGCTAACATATGGTCAAACCTGGATAAGGTTTAATGTGTTTATGAAAAGAATGTGTGTTCTTCAGCTGTTGGGTGAAATGTTCTACAAGCGTCTGCTGGATAAATTTGGTCTATGGTATGGTTTAAATTCAATGTTTCTTTGTTTTTCTGTCTTGATGATCTATCCGATGCTGAAAGTGGGGTATTAAAGACCTCAACTATTATTGTATTGGAGTCTATCTTGCTCTTCAGATCTAATATTTGCTTTTTATATCTGAGTGCTCCAGTGCAGACTGAATATGTATTTACAATTGTTATATACTCTTGTTGAATTGACCCCTTTATTCCTACATAATGTCCTCCTGTCTCTTTTTATAGGTTTTATTTAAGGTCTATTTTATATATTAGTATAGCTATTCTTGCTCACTTATGATTTGTATTTGCAAGAAATATCTTTTTCCAACCCTTCACTTTTAGTGTATGTGTTTATGTTTATTTTAGTGTATGTGTTTATTTTAGTGTATGTGTTTACACTACCTGTAAGACATGTAATGTCTTACAGGTGAAGTGGGTTTCTTATTGGCAGCATATTTTAGGGTCTTTTTTCCCCCATTTGGCCAGTCTATATCCTTTAATGGGAGAATTTAATCTGCTTACATTCATGGTTATTATTGATAGGCGAAGATGTGCTCTATCATTTTATAGTTTTCTGGATTTTATTTGGTGTGTCCTTTTATTTTTTTAATCCTGTCTCATTGTTTGTTTGTGATGTTTTACATTTTTTTCCAGTAATGAGGTTTGATTCCTTTATCTTTCTCCTCTGTATATCTGCTCCTCCAGTGAGTTTCATAATTGTGCATCTTTTCATGATAATAGTGACCATCTCTTCACTTCCAGATGCAGAATTTCCTTAAGCATTTATTGTAAGGCCAATCTAATGATGATTAATTTCCTTAGTTTTTGCTTGTCTGTGAAAAACTATTTCTCCTTCATTTCTGAAGAACAGTTTTTGCTGGGTATAGCATTCTTGACTGAGAAGTTCTTTTTTTTTTTCTTTAACACTTTCATTATATTATTCCATTCTCTCCTAGATTTTAAGGTTTCTGAGAAATCTGTTGTTAGTCTAACGGATATTCCCTTCTATGTGATCTGATGCTTTTCTCTTGCTATTTTTAGAATTCTTTGTGTTTGACTTTTGATAGATTGACTAAAAGGAGCCTTGGAGAGAATCTGCTTGGGTGTGATATATTTGAAGATCTTTGAGCTACTTGGATCTGAATGTTCCTCTCTCTCTCAAAATTTGAGAAAATTTTCAGTTATTATTTTATTAAGTACGTTTTCTATAGCTTTTCTCTTTTCTTTGTGGAATCCATATAGTGTCCCTAAATATCTGATTAATAGTGTCTCATAGTGTCCCATAGTTCCTGTAGCCATTCTTCATTCTTTTTATGTTTCTTTTTTGTTTTCTTTGACTGCCTGGGTTATTTCAAAATATATGTTTTCAAGTTCAGAGATTGTTTCTTCTGCTTAGTCTAGTCATTTGTGGAAGTTCTCAATTATATTTATTTCACTCATTGACTTATGTTTGCTTCTTTTTTATATCAATCTTTTTATTGAATTTCTCATTTGGATGATAATTTTTTTCTAATTTTGTTGAATTGCCTTTCTGTATTCTCTTAAATCTTTTTGAGTTTCCTTAAGATTATTATTTGAATTCCTTTTTTGGCATTGTGTATATTTATTTCTTTGGGTCTGTTACTTAAGAATTATTGAGTTCCTATTGAAGGGTATGTTACCTTTTTTTCTTTACATCTATTGTGTTCCTATATTGATATCTGCGCATCTGGTAGAATAGTTACCTCTTCCAATTATATAAAATATGTTTCATAGAGAAAGACTTATTCCTATAAGTGGATCTTGAGGTGTCCGTTGGGTGGGGTGCATTAGCTTTGGTTCTGGGTGGATGCTGGTAGTGTAGTCTCTGCATAGTTTATTCAACTGTAATACATCTTGGTGATGTTTGTGAGTGTCTCTCAGTTGCAAAGACTGTGGAAGTTTGTAGTGTTGGTGGAATAGCTTTGCCAGGGCTGGGCTCACCAGTTTGTCCCTCAGGCTGGGGGTATGCATGCACATGGAGGGTCTGCCAGCTCAGGGACTGGCTTGCTGGGGTTGGAGATACTAGGCTGTTACTCCAGTCTAGGACATAGACATGTAGTGGCTCATCTGGCTCAAACTTATGTCTGCTCAGGGCTGTTCCGTAGCAGCATGGGTCACGGATTGGGGCACAATTTGTGACCCATATCTGGAGCAATGCAGCCACATGAATTCCAGGCACCTTCTCAATCTGAGCTCATGGCTTGTGAGAACTGTGTGATTCTCCTGTAGTAAGGACTGCAAATGTATGTAGTGGCAACGGGAGATGGATGAAGTTATCTGCTTAATCTGCTTACCTTTTCTCCACAAGGGAAGTCCATCCTGATTCTGAATCAGTCTTGCAGGGGAGATGAAACAGCAGAGGCCAGATGCCTTGTTTCCTTTTCTTCATTGTCATCCTGGACTTCTAACCACCACATTGACCTCACCGTTATCTTGCTGTACTCTAGTACTCTGTATCCAACACTCCAGTCAAATTTTAGTTATTATTTGTTGTTTTTTGTCTTTTCTTGTGTGGTGGTGAGCACTGGACACTTCCAGTCAGCCATCTTGCTTATGTCACTCTCATTTCCACTGTAAACCTTTAGTAGCATAAATTTCTTTGTTTTACAGTATCCCTCAAAATTTGAAATGTTGTTTTTATTTTATTGTTTTATTTGTTCTGTTGTTTTTAATTTCACTTGAGACATTCTTTTTCCCCCCTTTTACTTTTAATATACATTAAAATTGTTTTGTTTTATTTCAAAGTTTTTGAAAGTTTTATCTTATCTATTATTGATGTTTAATGTTCTTTCATATGGTTAGAGAATATAGTCCAGATTATTTTAACTCATACAAATTATTGACATATATTTTATGAGCCAAAGTATGGTCTGTCTAGGTGACCATTTATGGACACTTGAAAATAGTGTTCATTTTGTTGTTGATGGGTGAAGTGTGCTATACATGCCATTTAAACCCTATTGGTAAACAATGTCTTTACATTCCTGTATCAAATGATGCATGTGTGTATATAATTATACCTTGAATAACACCATGGAACTCATTCAAAGTGTCACTAATAATACTGGAAATACTCCCAAGTAGTGAGAAAAGTCATCACATTACAAAAAAAAGTTGAATTTCTTGATAGGCACTGAAGATTGAGGTTTGCAGCTATGGTTTTCTACCATTTCAGACAGAAGATTCTTCTTGTGAACAGATGACATAAACTTAACAGTACTGATAAAAAAGTACAGTACTCTGAGTGTGTTTTCTCTTCTTAGGATTTTCTTAACAATATTTTCTTTTCTCTAGCTTGCTTTATTGTAAGAATGTATCTTTGCTGTTTTTCTCTTTTGTATTTCTGTCAATTGTTTTGAGAGTATTTTTTAAAATTTCTGGTTATAATTTAAAATTTTTAATTTTCACTTTATTTCCATCAGTTTTTTTTTTCTTATTATACTTTAAAACTCTGATGTTTGGAACATTTAAGATTGTTATGTCTTTTTGATGAGTTGACACTTTTATTATTGCTTAATGTCCCTCTTCATCCTTGACAATTTTCATTGCTGTGAATTCTACTTTTTTTAACATTATTAAAGCCATTCCTGTCTGCTTTTGATTAAAATTTTTGTAGTATATATTTTTAAATCATTTATTTTAATCTTATATTTCAAGTGAGTTTCTTATAGACAGAATATAGCTGATTCATTCTTTTTAAATCCACTATCTCAATCTCTGCCTTTTAAATGGTGCATCTGGAACATTTGTATTTAATGTAATTATTCATATATTAGGGTTAAGTTTATCCTTTTATTGTATATTTTCTATTTATCTCTTATGTTTTCCATTTCTCTGTTTTACTTTTCCTTCATTAGTGTGGGAATCTTTTCCATTCTGTTTTTGATTATCTCTAGAGATTTTTACTGTGTCTCCATGTAAATTTTTAGGAGTCACTGTATTTTATTATACATACATAACTTATCAGACATTAGTGCCAAAATAAATAAATAAATAACAATACTAATACATTCCTTGCCTCCATTTAGGTTTCTTTGCCCTCTCTCCTTTTTAGTATAGTAGTAAATATTTTCTCTATGTACAATGAGAGCTGTATCAGATAATGTTACTAATTTGGCATCCACAATCTAATACCATGTAGAACACTCAAAAACAGAATGAGAATTTATTATATTTATACATATTTTTATACTTTTTATTATTTTCCTTTTTTCTGATGTTCCACAAATATTTATTTATTGTTTCTTTTCTGTTTGGAAAACTGCTTTTAACCATGCTTTTAGGATATGTTTCTGATAGCAAATTCTGATTGTTTCCCTTGGTCTGAGATTATTTTTATTTCATGTCCTTACTTAAAGAATACAAAATTTTACTAAATATAAGTGTTGGTTGACAGTTACTTTATTTCAGCACTCAAAATATGTGTGTCACTTTCTGTTGGTCTTTATGATTAGAGATGAGAAGTCCACTGCCATTTGCTTTGGTGTTTCTCTATATTTATTTTTTCTGTAACCATATTTGAGATTTGTATTTGTGTTTAGTTTTCGGATATTTGATTGTGATATGCCTTGGCATGGATTTCTTTGGATTTCTTTTTTTGGATTTGTTCTACTTCTTGCATCTGTAGGTTTATTATTTAATTTTAGTCACTCTGGAAATCAAATTATGCAAATAACAGATTTTATATTATCTCGCCTTCATGAGGTTATTTTTTTTCCAGTCTATTTCTTCTCTGTTGTTCAGCCTGATTATTTTTGTTGCTCTTAAAGTTGCCTTATTCTGTTTTTAGCCATACTCAATCTTTTATTGAGCCAATCTGATGCTTTTCTTACATTCCAATTGTTGCATTTTTTCATTTAAAATTTCTTTGTTTTCTGTTTTTATCTCCATTCATTTACTTAGACTTTCATTTTATATTTGTTCCAAGTATTTTCATAATTTTTGAAGCCTTTATAGAATTACTTATTAAAATATTTGCTACATAATTTTACTATATGACTCATCTCAATTTTCACATCAATTTGTTATTTTTTCTCATTCCAGTTGCACTGTTTTGTTTCTTTTTTAAGGCAAGTAATTTTAAAATTGTGATCAGAACATTTTGTGTTTTATGTTTGGAGTTTTTTAATATAATTCAATCTTCTACTCTACAGGCAGTCTGTTTATGTATAGTACCTAGATGCAGACTTGATGTGAATTTTCAGCTGCAGATTAGGCACCACTGAATATATGCTCATCAAAACAAAGTGCCATCTTATTCTACCTTACCACACCTTCCAAGTTAGTGTGGACATCAATAAATAATATGAGAATAAACAACAGAGAAAGTGTCTGAAATAATTAAAATTAAGTTTGTTTGTGGGAATAGAACTTGCAAAGTGATAAAGCTTGAGGAAATACATTGAATTATTTCATTAAATGGTGGAGTTTTTTGTCATTTGAAGCTATGTACTTGTATTAAAAACATATAACAAAACGTCGTTAGATAATAATTGGAGATGGAAGGATCATTTTGACTCTTTCCAATTTCTAATAACTAGAGAAATATCACCAGATAAAGTCAGTTTGTAGAAAAACAATGGAATTCCATAGAAAGCATTGTAACAAAATGGCACAATCAATCCTTATTTGTTGCAGATCTGTATTTGAAGATCTACCTACTAACTATAATTTATTTGTAACCCCCAAATCAATATTCATGGTGAATTTTCAGTCACTTGTAGAAATGTAATTGCTTATAGCAGTGAATACTTTGTCACCTGGGATGCACATTCCCAGATGAGGTCAAACAACATGGCATTGCCTTCTTGCTTCATCTCTTACACTACAAACAAGTGTTCTTTTTCCACTATATTTACTCCAACCATGATTTTTGCATGTTTGTGCTTTTTGTGTTTTGCTATTTTAAATGATTACTAAACATAGTAAACTTGAAGTAAGCATAAGTACCATAGGGAGAATATACAGGTGTTACATAAGCTTTGTTCCTATATGAATTATGGTGTAATGATGGTATAATTCTATTGTCTTCACTATATTCATCATGGAATGAAAAATAGAGCTAAATTTTCTAAACCATGGGCATAGCTTTTTTGTTTATTACATTTAGTATAACCAGTGTTGTTTTTTTCCCAAAATACATTACAACTCTTTTATGCCTTCTTAAACAGAATTTTAAAGAAACTATTCAATGATCAATATAATATGAAACTATTTAATGATCAATATAATATGAACCAGTCTGGCGCCATGACTCATGCCTGTAATCCCAGCACTTTGGGAGGCCCAGGCGGGCGGATCACCTGAGGTCAGAAGTTCGAGACCTGGCCAACATGGCGAAAACCCGTCTCTACTAAAAATACAAAAAATTAGCCCGGCATGGTGGCGGGTGCCTGTAATCCCAGCTACTAGGGAGGCTGAGCCAGGGAGAATTGCTTGAACCCAGGAGGCAGAGGTTGCTGTGAGCCAAGATCAGGCCACTGCACTCCAGGCTGGCCCAGAAGAGAGAGACTCAGGAAGAAAACCTAAACAAAACAAACAAAAACCCAGAATGTTATAAATAGAATGAAGTCGTTTGTTTCCAAAGTTGGTGTACTAGAACAATGTGAAAAAAATAGTAAAAGCAAGATATTTCATGGCAAAGTTATCTCGGGTAAACACTGCAGTCACAAGCACTGCTGGTGAGTATTCTCAGGGCAAATGACAAAAGGGTTAAAAAAAATGTATGGCTACATAGGTCTGGCTTGTTGGATTTTGGTTTTTGCATTTAGAGGAGGCATCATTTTAAATTAGCAATATGTATTGTCCATTTTGGCAGTGAGGTGTTTTAGAAAGAAAAAAGAACACTGGTAATGTTAAATCATGACAAATAGTGTTCTGTTTTTGGAAATAATATTGGGTATATAGAGAAGAATAGCTGAGAATCATATGGTAGGAAGGAAGACAGGCTGCTGTATTATAATGGAGTCTTTTTAAAATCATGCTAAAATGCTTTGACTTTATTGGGTAAACATTAAAATGTTTTGAGGCAAAGGGTTTAATTGTTTAGTGCTGAAATGTGTATTCATGTTGAAATGTAGATCAGAAAAGGGAAATTTAAGGTAAAGCACCTTATCGTTATGAGTTTTTTTATTATCCTAACTTATGGGCATCTAAGAATTATATCTGATGACAATTTAATGGCGCTTATAGAGTGCTTTCTAAATTAATTAATTATCGATATTTCAATTGAGACTGTCTAATAATATAGGGATATCAATTGCAGCTAATGTCTAGATAGTGCTTACTTTATGATAGATACTGTTATAATGGCCCTAACATCTTATCTCATTTAAAACCTGCTCAAAGCCCTGTGAGGTAGCCATCATCCTCATTTACAAATCAGACATCAAAGCATCGAGATGTTAGGTAATTCATGCAAGTTCAGATCCAATATTCAAACCTAAGTTCCAGCCTGTGCTCATAAGCACTGACTCATGTGTAAAGAATGGAACAAAGTTGAAAATGTCCATAGAGCTAGAATTGCATGTGGATGTTGTTAATTTTCTGCCAAAAATAAGGGAATTGACATAATTAATCTCAAAGAAACATGCCCCTAGAAAGAGGAGTCTTTTCTTTCTTTCCTTTTTTTTTTTTTTTAAAGACAGTCTCCTTCTGTCATGCAGGCTAGAGTGCAGTGGCGTGATCTCGGCTCACTGCAAGCTCCGTCTCCCGGGTTCACGCCATTCTCCTGCTTCGGCCTCCCGAGTAGCTGGGACTACAGGCGCCCACCACCACGCCTGGCTAATTTTTTGTATTTTTAGTGGAGACAGTGTTTCACCGTGTTAGCCAGGATGGTCTCAATGTTCTCACCTAGTGATCCACCCGCCCTGGCCTCCCAAAGTGCTGGGATTACAGGCGTGAGCCACCACGACTGACAAGAGGAGTCTTTTCTAATTTAACTGGTATCTAGAAAATACTAGACAGTAAATATTTACTGAACATCAAGTAAATTCTAGACACTTGTGCCAGGTACCAATGAATACATATTTAGCAATTATTATTGACTAGAGACTGGGTTAAATATTTTTGAAAAGCAGATACTTAATTTAAATATAATATTATAATGCAGTATAATAAATATTGTTATTTTTCATTTATAAATTATGAAACTAAGGGTCATCAAATAAGTTAATATACTAGAACAAAATGGCACTATTTATAAGCATTAACTTATGCTTTGAAATACTCATTTTTTGGATACTGAGGCTCAATTTATAAAATGCTACTTTGAATATTAAAGAGAAAACATTTAGAAGAGAGGTCCTAGATAAGCCACAGAATTAAAACAATTTTCATAATAATAAATTGAGAACAGATATAATCATGCTTATAGAAATACAGTTAATGAAGATTTTTTACTTAAATTAAATTTTTAAAAAACAAAAATAATCTCTTAAGGGTATTTTCCAAGAAAAAAGTTTCAGAGCTGTTGTGGGAAGTCAGGGACCCCCAAAGGAGGGACCGGCTGAAGCCATGGCAAAAGAACATAAATTGTGAAGATTTCATGGACATTTATCACTTCCCCAAACAATACTCTTGTGATTTCTTATGCCTGTCTTTACTTTAATCTCTTAATCCCATTATCTTCATAAACTGAGGATATATGTCACCTCAGGACCCTGTGATGACTGCGTTAACTGCACAAATTGTTTAAACAATATGAAATCTGGGCACCTAGAAAAAAGAACAGGATAACAGCGATGTTCAGGGAACAAGGGAGATAACCATTAGGTCTGGCTGCCTATGGGCCAGGCAGGACAGAGCCATATTTCTCTTATTACCAAAAACGGGTAAGAGAAATATCGCTGAATTCTTTCCCCAGTAAGGAATATTAATAATTAACAGCCCTGGGAAAAGAATGCATTCCCAGGGCGGGACCTCTAAAATGGCCACCCTGGGAGTGTCTGCCTTATGCAGATGTAGATAGGGATGAAACAGGCCCTAGTCTCCTGCAGCACCCCCAGGCTTGCTAGGATTAGGAAATTCCAGTCTGGGGAATTCTAGTCAGACCTGTTCTCTGCTCTTGAACCCTGACAATACGTGCACAGCAGGACATGGAAGTTCATTAGTGATTCTAGTTTCGCCCTGACCTTCTGCCTTGTGATCTTTTGTCGCCCTTGAAGCATGTGATCTCTGTGACCCACACCCTATTTGTGCACTCCCTCCCCTTTGAAAATTGCTAATAAAAACTTGCTGGTTTTATGGCTCAGGGGGCATCACGGAACCTGCTGACAGGTGATGTCTCCCCTGGACACCCAGCTTTAAAATTTCTCTCTTTTGTACTCTTTCCCTTTATTTCTCAGACTGGCCAACACTTAGGGAAAATAGAAAAGGACCCACGTTGAATATCGGGGGCTGAATTTCCCCCATACAAAGCCCAATAACAAATTTCCTTTCCCATCTTTTATCCTGTTTGTTTTTCCATACAAAAGATGTTAAGGTTCTAAATTAAGACGTGGCAGTGGAAATAATTGTCAATAATTTTTAAAAAGTTAAAAATAAAAAAAGAACATTTTTCTTTAGAGAAAAAATTAAAAAATACGAACATACTATTAGTGATTTAAAGGGGTGGTCAGAAAGCAGATTTTCCTTTTGATAAAGGAAGCCTATTAGGATTAGAGTAATTTAGAGAAACAGAGATTAGTCTGATTTACAGAATCTTAGGAAATTATTACAGATGTCATGTTGCCTTCCAACATTAATAGAATAATGCTAAGGACACCTCCAGTCAAGATACGAAAACTTACATTTGTAATCAATTTCCAGTTCTGTTTCCTTAGCCCCTCTATCACATTTCATCAAAATACACCAGTTACCGTTTTGTTTTAAAGTGGAACATTATCTAGACTTATGAGAAATCCAAGATTTCCAATGCAAATTTAATTCACAATTTAACACCTGAGTTATAACCTAAGTCTTTTAACTCCCTAAGTGTAGCAATACTAGGTAACTGGAAAGCTTGGATCCATCTGGAAAGCTTTTGGGAAACAAAGGATGCAATTCCCTGGAAAAGAAAGATTAGGAATAAAAATATAAAGTCATCATTTTTACAGATTAAATTCCTACATCATTGCTAGAAGCATTGACTTTAAAAAGAAATGGTGCTTTTCTATACTTAGGTGAGGAAAGGAGATGTAAAAATTTTCAGATAATTTTAAAAAGGTGTTAAGCTGTTTGAGAAATTAGATTCAGTACCACTCACATACATAATCTGCAATGCATATTTACTAAATAATTCAAATAGTAAGTGCTATGTACTTTAAGGACGTATTATTTAAGAATTACTGAATAGAGAGTCAAGAAATAAATGCATGCATATATAGTCATATGATCTTTCACAAAGGTGCCAAGAACACACAATGGGAAAAGAATACCTCTTCAACAAATGGTGTTGAGAAAACTGGATATCTACATGCAAAGAATCAAACTGGACTCCTAATTTACACCATACACAAAATAAACTCAAAATAGATTAAAGTCATAAACATAAATCTCTACAAGAAAAAAGTAGAAGAAAGATCTTTGACTTTGGTTTTTGCAGCAATTTTTTTTTTTTTTTTTGGAAAAGCACAGGCAGAAAAAAGAAAAAGTAGACTAAGCAGCTTCTGCACAGTAAAGGAAATAATCAACAGAGTGAAAACGCAATCTATGGGATGAAAGAAATTATTTGCAACCACTTACCTGTAAGGAATTAATACCCAAAATATATAAGAAACTTACATTATGATTCTCCAGAGAGAAAGAACTAATAGAATACATGTATATATGAAAGGGAGTTTATTAAGGAGAATTGACGCACAGGATCACAAAGTGAAGTCCCATGATAGGTCACCTACAAGCTGAGGAGCTAAGAAGCCAGTAGTAGCTCAGTTCGAGTCTCAAAGCCTTAGAAATAGGGAGGCTGACTGTGCAGCCTTCAGTCTGTGGCCAAAGGCCCAAGGGTCCCCAGCGAACCACTGGTGTAAGTCCAAGAGTCCGAAGGCTGAGGAACTTGAAGTCCAATGTTCAAGGGCAGGAAGCATCCAGCACAGGAGACAGAGGAAAACCAGAAGACTCAGCAAGGTGGCATATTTCACCTTCTTCCACCTGCTCTTTCTAGCCATGCTGGCAGCCAATTGGATGGTGCCCACTCACACTGAGGGTGGGTTTTCCTCTGCCAGTCTACTGACTCAAATGTTAATCTTTTCTGGCAACACCCTCAGAGACACACCCAGGAACAATACTTTGCATCTGTCAGTCCAATCAAGTTGACAATATTAACCATCACAAAACTCCTATAATTCAACAGCACACAAAAACACACAAATAATAAAAAAATTTTTTTTAAATGATTAAAAATTGGGCAAAGAGGCTGGGCATTGTAGCTTATGCCTATATCCCCAGCACTTTGGGAGGAGGAAGCAGGAGGATTGCTTGAATCCAGGAATGCCGGACTGGCCTGAGCAACATAGCGAGGCCTCCGTGTCTATTTTCTTTAAAATGAATGAAGGACTTGAATAAATGTTTCTCTGAAGAAGATATTCAAATGGCCACCAGGCCATTAATCAGAGAAATACACATTAAAACCACAATGAGATATCACCTCACTTCTTCTAATCAGAGAAATACACATTAAAACCACAATGAGATATCACCTCACTTCTTCTAGGATGGCTACTGGAAAAAAAAAAGATACAAAAAAGATGATTGGTGAGGATGTGGAGATATTGGAAATCTTTTACACTTCAGTGGAAATGTAAAATGATGAAGCCACTGCAGTGAACAGCAAGGAGGTTCTTCAATAATTTAAAAATAGAACTTCCATATGATACAGTGATTACCCTTCTGGGTATATGTCCAAAGAAATAAAACTAAGATCTTAGAAAGATACACACACTCCTATGTTCATTGCAGCATTACTCACAGTAGCCAAGTTATAGAAACAACCCAAATATCCATTACTTATGAATGGATAAAGAAAATGTGGTATATAAGTAAAATAGAATTGGGAAATTCTACCGTTTACAATATTATGGATGAACCATTTTGTTAAGTAGCATAAGCCAGTCACAGGAGAACAAATACCGCATGATACACTTAACACGAGGTATCTAAAGTAGTCAAATTCTTAGAAGCAGAGAATAGAATGGGGTTGCCAGGTGCAGGAGGAAAGAAAAAATGGGGGGTTGTTGCTCCATGGGTATTAAGTTCCAGTTATGAAAGATGAATAAATTTCAAAGATCTGCTGTACAACATAGTGCCTACAATGAAGTATTGTACTTTTAAAAAATTCTTAAAAGAGTAGATTTCATGTTAAATGATCTTACAAAAAAAACAAAAGGACACAAGGAGACTTTTGAAGATGATGGATACGCTTATTTTCTTTACTGCAGTGATGATATCAAGGATGTATGCACATGTTCATATTCATGATATTGTACATATTAAACATGCAGATTTGTTATATATCAATTATACTTCAATAAATATGTAAAAAGGAATATTGAGAATGAGTTTTTTAGTAATTCTCTTTGTAGAAAATATACTTGAAAATAGATGCATATTGTTTTTGAATATTCTTTTAAATTTAATTATTAAAGCATTCATGGTCAATTAGGCTTTGGTTGATATTGCAAGGCCCCGTGGTTTGCCTCTTAACAGCCATATGATTTTTTCTCAGTTACAACTAAAAGAAGAGAAGCAGCATCTGTGTGCTTTGCGAATTTGTGAAATGTTGACTTTAAGGGATAAGAAGATTTTAGTCATGTCAGTATATTGAGTTGACTGAATAAAAAATATGATATTTATCTGGATGTTTCACCTTTACTGGGTTATATGCCCTTAATGGCTTTGGTCTTTGCTTTTTGTTTTGTTTTAACTAATGCAATAGTATTAGAGAGAGAGAGAGAGTCAGAGAAAGAGAGAAAATGAGATAGAGACAGTGATGGAGAATCTAAGTTTGTGGAGAGGTTGTGTGAGACTTTGTTTTTCTAAAGCCATAACTAGAGTTGGATGTCGGGAGTAGAATCAAATATTGTAATATGTCCTTCTTGATCCTGATAACGATGGGAAGCAAATAATTGAGGGATGTGAGAAGAAAATTAGAAAAAGTCAAGGTTCTCAATAAACAGAAAACTTTTGTGAAATCTTAACAGTTATATTTCTTTCAAAAAATTAAACCTTAAGTATACATTCATGTGGTATAAAATTCTAAACCTAAAAGTAACAGTGAGTATGTCAAATTTGGTAAATTATTTTTTGAAACAATTGTGTAGAATCTATGATTTCACTATGTCACTTTAATTTGTAAATGTCTTATGTGTTAATAAAAAAATCCTTTTGAACTTATTTCCATAATAATGAGATCCATGATTTTCTCTTATCATAGTATGTAAATTGCATTGTATCCTTATTGTCATAAACTTCTCTAGTCTCACCTTCCTTCTCTGCTTATAAAGTATAAAATTGGATTCCTTTATATTAAAAATAAATTTTATTGACCTTAAATAGTGAATATTAATCACTTGTGTGCAGCTCTTGGCATCCAAAATTTAAGGTCCAGTGAAGTGAGTTACACTGTCATGGCATTATTAATTAGTCCATTCTCTCGCTCATTATTTATCATGGCCCAAAGCTGTTTTGATCCTCAACTATTCTACCATAGCTGAATAGTTTGGCTAATTTGGGCATGAACTAAACACCTGAAAATGGTTTGCATTTGTTTCTGAAAGAGAAAAGAGATTCGACTTTAATACATTTTTTTCTGAATAGTCTCAAATTTAAAGAACAAGAATACATTTGGTTGATTCATGCCTTTGCTCCAGTTCTCTAAGCACTATTTAGAGCTATTTTAGTTAGAAGAGATACCCCTTCATTATAGTACGTCTTTATGTGTCTATTTTATTTTCCATTTATCAAAAAAAGGATATGGAATGGATGATATATAAGGTGTTTTGAACCCCCAATGTTCTACAATTACAGCAATCTCAAAATATATACTTTTATCCTATGACATTAACCAATCTGTGGACAAAAAAAGGAAGCAAAAATGACATTTTGTATTGCTATAGAAAGCTCCAGGTATATATTTCACCCACAATAAAATCTTATACTAAATTTATTAACTATCAGGAAAATAGTCTGTGTTGTTAATTATTGTAGGTTCTGTGTGACAAAAATAAAATATTTTGCTGCAAGACAGTTTCCAATTACAGTTTTCTTATTGTTCAACAGCTGACAAAAATCCAAGCTCTAGAAAATCATATCGACAACAAATACAAACCAATCTTGTGTGTGTGTTGAGCTTACAGGGTCCAAAGATATATGAAATTACAGTCTAACTCCTTTCAGAACCTGTTCTTTTTTTTTGAGATGGAGTCTTGCTCTGTGGCCCAGGCTGGAGTGCAGGGGCAAGATCTCGGCTCACTGCAAGCTCTGCCTCCCAGCAGAACCTGTTCTTTTTAGCATTAACCATTTTCCTAATTCCAGCTCTTTCTCAAAAGAAAACAATTTACCTATGTTTTATACTAAGGGGGAAGGAAGAAACATTATGATATAGGATGGGTTCCAAAATATTTTTATTGCAACATTTGACTTGAAACAGTTCTTCCCCTTTTTTTCTCTCAAACACATAGCATATTTTTAGATATCACTTATGATGACTGATTAATGATCTAGGCTTCACTAAAAATATAACTTTGTTTCTACATATCCAGCAACAAAAGATTGGTACACAAATACTAATAAATTATTGATTTTATGTATAATATAGTGCATGATTTCTCAACATGGACTTTACTTTAGAACTACCTAAATAGATTTAAACTTAAAATACTGATTTCTACTATATAACAAGACTAAATTAGGAACTCTGGGGGAGTAGTGCTTAGTATCCCAACATAGAGCCTGATTTCAGAACCATTAAACTAAAATAAAGGTGTGAAACTTTCTAATGTAATTTAAGTTATTTCACCAATCTTTTTTAATAGATAAAGAGATGCAGTTGGCAGCCTGTAACATAGCTTACTCATGAAGCTACTATAAGACTTAAAACGCAATGTGTAAAATAAATGTTTTTCCAATTGCAATGCAAGACAACCTAAGAAGGTAATAACTGTAATTCATTTATTGAAATGTGTTTGAACAAATTGTTATATTTTAACTGATTAACTGTGGATATGACAATCAAAACCACAACCTCTATTAGCGTTAAACTTGTAAAATGTGGTATTTTTATCAATTACTTCTTAAATTCCTATTAGCTTGGTCTCTGTGATCCCATTAGCTTGGTCTTTCTCTTCCCCAATTTCTTGAAACTAATCTGATGGTAACATCTAGACAGAAATATTATTATAAACTGGCATTATGAGCTATTATTATGGTTAAGTCATATTACTCTCCCATTGAAGGTAAACAACCTCACAGTTGTTCAAAGGCATGAAAAACACAAAATGCCACATATCCCTCTTTTATCTGTAACAGCTGTTTTCTCCCTATCTTTCATTTCCTAGGTGAGGACTAAAAAAAGTTTGTGTGTACAATATATTTTAATAAATAATTGATATTATAAATTATTGTAATTAAAAATTAATTAGATTTAACTTCTCAGTGTCCTTTAGCCATATCCATCATGACAGCATTTTTCATCACCTCTGTCTTTAGTCTCAACCTATTTTTAGGATTCTTTAAACTCCACTCTAAATATCAGAATACTTTTTTTCTCTTATAACCTTTCTTCTCCTCTGTCTCAGGCTCCTGAAACACATATTATATGTTTATTTGAGGTTGAATTATAAATTCTCAAGATTAAAATAAATTCTCCCGTGGCATGCCTTTCCTTACTGAAATAGCCTTCTACCCCAAGTAACATTCTAGTTAAAAGAACTTATATTTGTCTTACTTTTAAAAATCATAGATACATGAGAATAAATAACTACTAATTTGACATACATCTCCAATTTCACCCAAATTAATTCTTCCTAGGGGAAAAATAGTCCATCACCTTAACTAAGTAAAGCCCTTTCACATTTGCATTGATTGTCTGAAATAAATTTTTGAATGTTACAGATATACAGCTGAATCCTACTGTTCAGTATTGAATGTTTAAGAATATTCAAATCTATTCTAATAAATAGACAGTAAAATAAACATATGCTATGAAGTTGATTTGAGATGTGCCAAATTGCTACTCTTTGGGAATATTTTCTGAGGGAAGTTTTATTTTGGTGCTGGAAATGTTACACCAAATGTCAGCCATGCAACTATGAAAAGTGGTTGTTCACTTCACTGGGGATTTTACTATTAATAGTATACATTTTGAAACTTGTAGGGGAAAAAAATTAAAGATGGAGCAGAATCAAGTTTTGAAAAAAATCAATGTTATGGAGTTCTGAAAGGAATAAAGTGGACAGCAATAAATTTTGTGTTCTAGTATTCAGTTTTCTAGGTGTAATATCTTTAACTCCTCCATATTATAACTATAGGGTCTGCATTTCCAAAGGTAGAAATCATATTCAAGCTGAGCTCACTATTATTTTCGCTCAGGATTTTTATTTCTACTTAAACAAAGAAAGAAAAAATGTTTCTCGTGTTGAACGCTTACAATGCATAGGCAGTCACGTTTCCTGCTTTGTGAACCAGAGAAATAACAGAGCATCTAGAAAAAGAGAAACTCTTGAAAGAACACATAAATATGCACTGAAAGTTCTGATGGCTTGAATGGATCAATGTCATTTGAGTTATTTTACTTTTTGTTTGAACATGGTTATATCTTAATGACTCATGATAATTTTAAAACAACTTTTTGAAAAATAAGTTTGAATTAGATGTCTATCACTTGCAACCAAATATCTTAATTACTAAAGGAGAGTTATAGTTTTAATATTTTTGGATTAATATTCTGCTGGCTATTATGGTCTTTGAATGAAAGACCATATGTATTTTATTACATAAAAATACACATTGAAACATTTTTAAGGAGCCAACATTTTTCTTAGAAAATAAAGACATGAGTTGATCCTAATTTTTTAAGGAAGACAATCACATTCAAAATCTCTATGTAATCGCTTTGGTAGAGCAAATGGGAACTGATCAGATTGGCATATATGATAGGAGGATGTGTATAGTAACTTCACATAACACTAATGTGTGTAAGATATTTTCACATATTCTATGACAATTTAATTATTCCAAAAACCTTGAGCTATTCTTTATTCCATTTTACAATTAAGATAACTAAGTCCCTAAAACATTAATTATACCAGCATTGAAAAACTAACATGAGACAAAAATCAAATTTTAAGTAAATGAATTAGCATTAAATCACTGACTTTGTCATAATCATAATAATTTTAACCAATTATAGAATATAATGACAGATCTCAATGTGTAATAGAGGAATAAGATATGAGTATAAAAAGGAAAGTGCACAATATAATAAAATACTTGGCTAATAATAATGTTTATCATTGTTGTCTATCATTCATTCAATATAAACGATATACAAAGCACACCGCTAAGTGTTTTACATTAATTAACTCATTTAATCATAAAACAACTGTATCATCTCAGCTTTACATATGGAGAAACCAATATTTAGAAATATTAAATACTGTACCAAATGTTTACCCTAAAATAGAGGATTTGAAATTTAATCACGTTTCTAATGTATTAACCTGAGAACTAAACCAAAATTACATGTAAAAAAGCAAAATATATGTATTAATGCCTGTGATGCAATGTGAGGATAACAACCTATATGTCATAAAGACAGATGCGAATACATAAACTAAACGTAGCTGGTTCATATTTGCATGCACTGAACCAAGTATTTAAATGCATGATTGCAGGTAATTCTCATAACTACCAATACTGTACTTACATAAGTACTGTTAGGAGTACTATTTTACAGATGAATAAACTGCATTTAAAGGAGATTAAATAATTTACTCATGATTACATATAGCAGATAAAAAAACAAACATTTAAATCTAGAATTTCAGACTTTAGAAACTAACTGATCTGTGCATGAAAAATGCTGAATAGCATCCTATAATATGGCAGAATTTAGATTTATTCTAATGACTTTCTTTGAAATACTGATTAAGAGAAATGTGAAAGTCATATACAAGATTTAATAGAATTGCTATTGTGGTCAAACTCAGTAATTTTCATTTATATATTTATTAATTAAACCAATATTAACTAAGTACCAACTATCTTTCAGACATTAATCTTGGTATTGGGATTATAAGTGATAAAAAGAGAGACAAGGTCTCTGCCTACATGGAACTGATATTCTACTAAGGGAAAATCAATAATAAAGGAGAAACTAAAAAAAAATACATTCAGTTATTAATAATAACAAAGCAAGAAGAATTTATAATTCATATAATTTATAATAACAAAGCAAGAAGAATAATAACTGTTGCCTAAGAATTTAGGCAACAGTTATTAATCATTTGGAATACAAAATAGAAGTGGAAAAAATTACAGAATAATTTAGATATAGACATTGAAAAGGACTTTTTTACAGATCAATTTTGGTGGTAAAGTAAGGTGTTTATCAAGGATTTCCTACTTCCTACACTTTTATCTGTACTTAATATTTACAAATCAACATACTGCTACTTTTGATTGTTTTAACTCATTTGTTATCTGAAAATAGTTGCTATTGTTGAATCCACAAGCTAATTCTTTCCATTTGAAAAACAGAGGTAGAATAGGCTTAATATATAATGTAACTGAGAATGGATAACATTTCAGGTCAAAAATTAACCTTGTAAGGAAAACATCAATAAATTATCCTGAAGCTGAAAATATAAAGGCGGAACTTCCGTTGTCCCTATCAGCAGTTTGTGTAATACAAAGTATTACATGAAGTAAGCCTTGCACATCGGTTTTGTCTATCATACTGTATTCTTTTGAAATATTTTGTTTTTCTTGTGAAATTGAGTGAATATGAGACATCAACAAAGGTATCTCAGTAAATGTATCTCTGTAGACCAGGAGACTGCATGAATTACTTGTTAAAAATAAGCAAGTGTTTGTATGTTTTTATTTTTTTAATATAGAAAGTTAATTTCACAATTTAATAACATTTTCTCACAAATATTAATGTAAGCTTACAACCTTGGCTTTTGAAAGAGATAATGAACCATATTATTAACACTGCCTTAGTATTATCAAAAAATCAAATAGTAAATATATTTAGACAATAAAAGTTCAGAAAACAAATGTTAAGGACAAGGACAGTTTTTAAAACAAAAGAACACTTTCTGAATATTCTGAAAGCAATTTGTTAGTATGCTTTATACTTCGCCACAACTGGAAACCTATAGATTGCTGCAGGAAATAAATTGAACATACAAAGAGCTATTATATGCTTTGTAAAGTTGTTTACTACAGTTTGATTTAGCTCAGGTGTCTCTCTAATTATATTATTGACATTCACAGTATTCAATATCTTTCAGTATGCTCTTTCAATGAGACAGGACCCTCATTCAAGGTTAGTAAGCTAAGTTGCAAATGCTCTCAGTGAATTAAGACTTTTAAGATATGCTCATTTACTAGTCCATTATTTGATTACTTGTGGTGCTTTTCCTCCCAAACAGCATATTAAGCAGAAGAATATTGTTAAATATATGAAAATACGAAACTTTAATCATTGTATATGAAGGGAAAAAGACATGAACTTCTTATCTCATTGATTCTAATACATTTAATATCTATGAAGTGGGGGTGCATATTATAATTGCTGTTGACTAGGCAGTAGGACTAGCATTTACCATAGTTTTCATTGTCTTTATGCTCACACTCAAGCTTGCAAATCATTGTGAGCTGCTGTTTGTAAGATAATCCTGAAGATAACAACACAGCCACACTTTGAGAAATGTTGCATCACCAACATTACTGATGACGTTGAAGGCAACATACTGAGAAACAACATTAATATCCATTACATGAATTGAAAGGTGACTCAGAGAGGTTGGGCTCTCAATATGCAGAAGACCTAGGAAGACCTTAATTACCTGTTTTACATACATCCCAGAGTGACACATAATAATTTCTTAAAACAAGTCTAAAAAGTCTAAAATAAAATTTCACATGGGAAGAGAACAGTGTTTTGTATTTTACTGATGGTGTTTTAAAAAATTTATTTGGTGGTATATACTATTATAGTGTGTTTTATGATTGCTTGTGTATTAGATAGAAGGAAATATGATATTTGATGTAATAAAGTTTTCCTCCTTCTTTCTTTCCTTTCCTCCATCTGGCAGAGCATATAGCCATGTAAATACAAACTCCGGTATTAAATTAAAAACACACTAGAAAACTCCATCAATATTTCCTTCTCGGTTAATTTATTTCATCATATTTATTCGTTATATCACACTCCTGTTGGAAGAATAGTATTTTAGTTCTACTCTAAGGACTGTGATCAAATACAGAATCAGTCTTTGTTCAATTTTTAAAACAGTAAAAAAAAATCAGAAAAATAGAAACATTTGCTTTAAGTTTATTTCAGTTTTTATGCGTATATTTACTTTTAAAATTAGTTTCTATAATTTAATATAAAATTATTATTGCAGAGGTAAAGATAAATTTAATTCTCTAATTAAATTTTACAGAATAGTCATACTTTTATCTCTGAGTAATCTGCTTTTTCCCTTCCTATTTTCTTATATTTAATTAGATATTTAAAAATTTTTTGAAATAACTAGAAGGACAAAAGCAAGGGAAATACTAGCATTCTGAATTATTTAATTATGAAAGGTAATATAGATTATGGTGTCACTCTTATGAAAATTCAAACATGGTCGGGAGCAGTGGTTCACACCTGTAATCCCAGCACTTTGGGAGGCCGAGGCAGAGGGATCATGAGGTCAAGAGCTGGAGACCATCCTGGCCAATGTGGTGAAACCCCGTCTCTACTAAAATTATAAAAATTAGCTGCGTGTGATGGTGCATACCTGTAGTTCCAGCTACTTCGGAGGCTGAGGCAGGAGAATCGCTTGAACCCAGGAGGCGGAGGTTGCAGTGGGCCGAGATGGCGCCACCCCACTCCAGCCTGGCAACAGATCCAGACTCTGTTTAAAAAACAAACAAACAAAAAAACAAAAAAAAACACTAACAACAATAATGTCAGATGCTGTTATTGCTCATAACTCAGATGTTTACTATTTCCGAATCTACAATGTCTGAGAGAGTGAGATAATAACACTTTGTGGTTTTTAAAACTCTTTTTAATAATATTTTGATCCTCTTCCAGTGTAAGGCTTTATTCTGGGGTAATCATTCATGAAAATTTTGTTTTTGCCTCAGGCATATTCCATAAAAAGCAAATCAACAATAACAACTATCAATCAAATCCATTGGGCAAGCAAGATATCAAACCAAGCTTTAAAAAACAGAATATTTTCTCGCATGCATATAGGACTTTATAGCACTCTCACATCCCTTTTAGCATATAATAAGTATAAAGCTACACATTGTAGTTCATTTATTTGATGGAGGAATTTTTTTTTCCCTATTTGACACTTAGAACAAATCACATTAATGATTTCACTGACTTAACTGACTTCTTAGTTGCATGTGGGTTCAGGGAAGGATAAGATCCTACTGGCTGCTTAACATGGTTTTGGGAACTAAATTTTGTTGAGGCATGCTCACATTCTTATTTGTGCTTTGTGTAATTAAAAAATACAGAGTTAAATTCACTACAATTATCAACATTAGACTGAGGAACTAACTCAAACGAAAACTATCAGAAGTTTTCTTGGCCTCAAATAAGAAAAATATTGGTTAATATCCCAAGTTTCTTTGCCTGTTACCAATTTAGGTAACAGACAAGCTGTGTAAATGTATAAATATTAATGCATAATACAAATATTACTTTATATCTGCTTATTTTATTTTTAGAATATACTATATCAGGCCTTAGGTCAGTGTCTAATTGGCTAAGGATTTGCGAATACCAGTGTGACCTTATTAAATCTGAACATGAGAAATTAGGAGAGATTTCAGAAGGTAAGAAACCAAAAAGAAAATGTCTTCTGTGAAAATATTCTCCAAAACAGGGCATTCTTTTTTTTTTTTTAATAATACTCATTAACAATGAAAGTAACTTCTCAGAGTTCTAAGCAAGATGATATTGTGAGCAGAGGCATTTGGCTATTCTTAATTTCTACTGAAACACACAACTGGGGAAACATTTATGGGTTTATGTATATCTATGCCTGAAATGAAGGCTCTGTATGTTCCATACATGTGATACTATAAGAAGAAATTTCTTCTAATATTTGGTACACTGACAATGGTGTTAAATTTTTGTAAAGTGTTAAATCTCACCCCCCTCTTCTGCGATAATTTCCTGCTTACACCATCATCGAGAGAGCAATGGATCTTAATAATGAATAAAGAAAATCTTAGCAGACATGTGTTGGCACCCTTAGAAGCTAAGGGTTCCTTATCCCATTAGCTGTATCAATCACAAGAGATAGTTTTATGGAAATTAGATTTATTTTAACAGCGTTGATGCTACATGTGATAACTCTCTACAGCTTCATCTCCTGATCCAACACAAGTCCTATGATTCTAGGTGCCTAATTCTTAAATTTTATTTATTTGTTTGGAGGTAAAATCTCACTATGTTGCCCAGGATAGACTTGGCTCCAGTGATCATCCTACTTCAGCCTTAGACTTTGGATAGCTGGGACTATAGGCATGTGCCATTGCACCTAGCTTCCAGATACCCAAATTTTAAATATTAATGCCATATACCCATGTTTCATTGATCACACATCTTCAAAATTTTTAACAAAAAACATTTCAGTCTCTTCATAAGTCATTATTAGAAAGTTGCAAATGTATTACTTATTTTAAGAAAAAATATATGCCATAATTAAAAAGAATGAGAACACTCCAAAGCAGCAATTTTCAAACTTTTGGCCTCAGCAACATTGTATACTCTTAAAAACTATCAAGAACCTCAAAGAATATTTTTATGTGGATTATGTCCATTACTATTTACAATATTAGATATGAAAACCAAGAAATTTAAAATATTTATTAACATAAATGTCTCACATTTTATGGAAAACAATTGTATTTTTCCAAGAATTAGAGAAAAGGGTGAGAGGCTCATTTAAATCTTTGCAAATCTCCTTAATACCTGGCTTAAGAGACGACAGCTGAATTCTAATCTTTTTCTGCATTTTTAAATGTGTGGTGATAATATATTTCATATAGCCTCTGGCAAACTTCACTGTACTCTAGTCAATGAATGAGAGTGAAAAAGCCAAATGAATTTTTTATATTATTAAGAGAATAGTTTTGACTTCACAGTACCTTTAAAGCCCTCAGCGTTTCCCAGGAGTCAGGATGCTACACTTTGAGAATCATTGTTTAAAAAAATTTATTACAAGAAATTCTATCATCTGAACAGATTTTTCTTAAGAAATAAATTATGTGCTCAGAAGTGTCCTATTCATGTTTTCAATAAATTTCCAAGCGATTATAAAACATGAGCAAGCAGCTTTGGACAAGAACCAGCTGAGATGAGAAATTATATTAAATCAGGATAAGAGAAAGAAAATGTAGTGTGCACATTGCAAAAATAAGTAAATTAAGAGATACAGTAAAATGATCTCAGAAATAGGGAAAAATTAAGAAACTATTAGGAAAAAATATGACAGATTTTGAATCCAAGAGCTAACATAAAAATTAGAGAAATCCTTTAAAGAGAAAATAGAATACAGAGAAAATCAGCATGATCAAAATTTCATGGATTAAAACATTTAGGTTCTAATGAAGCATATTAGTTAGCAAATTAGGAAAGCACGTATTCTAGGACGATACAGTGTTATTAGAGCAGACTTAGATATACTCCAGCAAAAATTACAAATTTAGTCAATGAACACAGAATTTATCCAGCAGTACCCATGAGCCAGATCCTATTTCAGTCACTGAAGGAAATCTAACTATGAAGCAAAAAAAAAAAAGTCATGATACTGACAATGTAACAAAAATATATGATTAAGTATCTGCCTTAATAAATTAATTACAACAAAAATAACAACATTTTATATCAATAATAATTAACACGGATTTAAAATAAAACTGTAAACAAAGGGTATAAGCAAAAATACAGATGCACATATATGTGTGTGTTTACTATATAATTTCTAGCAAAATTCATTAAATTTGTTAAAAATCTTTACTATTAAGAATGAGATTGCTGCCCAAAGCAATTTATAGGATTCAATGCTATTCCTGTCAACCTACCGAGGACATTCTTCACAGAACTAGGAAAAACTATTTTAAAATTCATATGGAACCAAAAAAGAGCCCAAATAGCCAAGGCAATCCTAAGCAAAAAGAACAAAGCTGGAGGAATCATGCTACCTGACTTCAAACTATACTACAGAGCTAGAGTAACCAAAACAGCATGATACTGGTACAAAAATAGGCACATAGACTAAAGGGACAGAATAGAGGACCCAGAAACAAGGCTGCACACCTAATACTATCTGATCTTCAACAAAGCTGACAAAGCAAGCAATGGGAAATAGACTCCCTATTTAATGAATAGTGCTGGGATAACTGCCTAGTCATGTGCAGAAGATTGAAGCTGGACCCCTTCTTTACATTATATACAAATATCAACTCGAGATGGATTAAAGACTTAAATATTAAACCCCTAACTATAAAAACCATAGAAGACGACTGAGGAATACCATTCTGGACATAAGAAGGGGCAAAGATTTCATGACAAAGACACCAAAAACAATTACTATAAAAGCAAAAATTGACAAATGGAATCTAATTAAACTAAAAAGCTTCTGCACAGCAAAAGAAACTATCCACAGATTAAACAGACAACCTACAGAATGGAAGAAAATATTTGCAAACTATGCATCTGACAAAGGTCTATCCAGCCTCTATAGGGAACTTAAAAAAAAACGTACAAGAGAAAAACGAACAACCACATTATAAAGTGGACAAAGAACATGAACAGACACTTTTCAAAAGAAGACATACATGTGGCCAACAAGCATATGAAATAAAAAAGCTCAACATCAATACTTATTAGAGAAAAGCAAATTAAAACCACAATGAGATATCATCTCACACTAGTCAAAATGGCTATTATTAAAAAGTCAAGCCTGGCCAACATGGTGAAATCCCATCTCTACTAAAAATACAAAAATTAGCCCAGCATGGTGGTGGACGCCTGTAATCCCAGTTACTTGGCTGGCTGAGGCAGGAGAATTTCTTGAACCCTGGAGGCAGAGGTTTGCAGTGAACTGAGATTGCTCTATTGTACTCCAGCCTGGGTGACAGAGCAAGACTCTGTCTCCAGAAAATAAAATAAAATGAAATAAAATAAGATAAAATAAAATAAAATAAAAGTCAAAAAATAACAGATGGTGACAAGGTTGTCGAGAAAAGGGAACTCTTATACGCCGTTGATGAGAGTGTAAATTAGTTCAACCATTGTGGAAAGCAGTATGGAGAGTTCTCAAAGAGCTAAAAGCAGAACAACCATTTGACCCTGAAGTATTATTACTGAATATATACCCACAGAAATATAAATCATTCTACTATAAAGTCACATGAATGCTAATGTTCATTGCCGCACTATTCACAATAGCAAAGACATAAAATCAACCTAAATGCTCATCAATGACAGATTGGATAAAGAAAATATGGTAGATACACATCATGGAACACTATGCAGCTATAAAAAAAACATCATGTCTTTTGCAGGAACGTGGTTGGAGGTGGAGGGTATTATTCTTAGCAAACTAACACAGGAACAGAAAATCAAATAACACATGTTCACACTTACAAGTGTGAGTTAAAAAATGAAAACTCATAAACACAAACAAGGGAACAGACACTGAGGTCTACTGGAGGGTAGAAAGTGGGAGGAGGGCGAGAAGAAAAAGTAACTTTTGGATCCCAGGATTAATACCTGGTTGAAGAAATAATCTGTAAAACGAACCCCCATGACACAAGTTTACCTATGTTACAAACCTGCACATGTACCCTTGAACCTAAAATAAAAGTTACAAAAAAAAAGTATAATGAGATGCCGGGCACATCCCAGCACTTTCAGAGAGCAAAGCAGGAGGATCACTTAAGCCCAGGAGGTCGAGACCAGTCTCAGCAACATAGTGAGACCCCATCTCAATAAAGGAATAAAAATCTATTTTTTAGAAAATGAGAGCTAGCTAGCACCCTACAGAGAGGAAGATGAAGAATAAAAAAGTCATAGATATGTATTTTCATTTATTATTTTATTTTAAATTTTTATAAGTGTATAATAGTTGTAAATATTTATGGGGTATATGTGATACTTGAACAGAAGTATATAAGGTGTGATGATTAAATCATGACAATTAGGATATTCAACACTTCAAACATTTATTTGTGTTGGGAACATTTCAAATTTACTCCTTTAGTTATTTTGAAATATACAATAAATTATTGTTAACTATAGTCAACCTACTGTGCTAACGAACACTAGATCTTAAAGAGGGTCAGTTAATGGGCGCAAAAATACAGATAAAATATGTTTTTAAAAATAAACTAAAGAAGTTAGAATAGGGTAGCCACAGGCCGGGCACAGTGGCTCACGCCTGTAATCCCAGCACTTTGGGAGGCCGAGGCGGGCAGATCACGAGGTCAGGAGATGGAGACCATCCTGGCTAACACGGTGAAACCCTGTCTCTACTAAAAATACAAAAAATTAGCCGGGCGTGGTGGCGGGCGCCTGTAGTCCCAGCTACTCGGGAGGCTGAGGCAGGAGAATGGCATGAACCTGGGAGGCGGAGTTTGCAGTGAGCCGAGATGGCCCCACTGCACTCCTCCAGCCTGGGCGACAGAGTGAGACTCCATCTCAAAAAAAAAAAAAAAAAAAAGAAAAAAAGAAAAAAAAAGAAAAAAGAAAAAAAAGAAAAAAGAAAAGTGTCGCCACAAACTTGAGAGAATCGTTGGAAATTATTGAATGCAAAAGCATTCAAATTTATTTGTCTTTTCTTAGTGTTATCCTTAGGCAGTTTATTAAAAAACATATTAAATGCAGCAAGGTAAAAATGATGGCAAATTATAAGGAAACGAGAGTTACTTTGTAAAGTCATGGGCAAGATCGTTTATATAAATGCTTTCCATGAAAGATCGTCAGCTTCCCAATGTGGAAATGAGAATTAAGTGTTACTGTGACTGGTTTATAGGATCATGTGAGGTCCTCAGAAAACAAAATTATTTTTTCAGTAGAGATAACTTTTCCTACAAGGAAACAATAAATTCTACAATATCCTTATAGGCTATGTGGCTATGGTATTTCTTTCTCTTTTTCTTTTTTTAAATTTTCCTCAGGAAAGGCTCATTAAATTAAAAGTTTATTTAATTCATCTGTTCAATCTACAAATAGTTACCGAGCTCCTACTACCTGCGAGGCCCTCTTCTAGGCCTGTAGATATATTGGTGAACAATGTGACCACAATACTATTTTCGTTGGTCTGCAATTTAATGGGAGTGTGAAGGTACTCAGAGAACAAATTAACAATTAAATATTATGTGGTAAAAAGTGCTTTTATAATGAAAAAAAAAGCACTATAAGGATCACAAAGGATAATAGGAACGGGAGAAAATGCTCTTTTAATAGAGTCGTTAGGGAAACCTCTCCAATTAAATGTTCCTAACATGACGACTGAGCAGAGAACAGAAAGATGTGGCAGCTATTGTTTGTTATAAGACAAAACTCAGCTCTCTCAATGGTTGATATGAGTGCATCCCTTAGAAATGATTCTGTTCTTGGTGTTATGTTCAAGTGTATTTATGAATCTCCCGGGCAAAGGAAGACTCAATTACGGTGTTTACATGCTATATTTTACAGAGAAATAAGCACTCTTCTTTTGAAGGAAAGTCAATTATCCTTTTATTTTGGTGAAAGCATCTCAACATTGCTGACTATCTGAAAGTGTGAAACCTCTATATCTTTGAAAAATAATTAAACTTCTCATTAAAAAAAGTTACTAATGGAAAACAGTTGTGTTATAATACCAACCGCTAGGGTATTTCCAAACAAAGTTTGATACATGTGCAAAAGAGGATGTTATATAACCGTTAAAAACAATTTTCAAATACTACTATTAATGATAATAACATTAAGTGCTAGTTACTAACTCTGTATATAAATTAATTTTATAGAAAAATAGTTATGATATAATCTTAAGTGAAAAGAAAGACTACAAAAGTATAGAAAAGAATATCAATTTTAACTTTTAAATATCAATAGGATACATACATATTCTTATAGAAGAAAAAGCCACAAAATTTTGAAACTATTTACTAATAACTGTCTGATGGTTATTTAAAGCTTTTACTTATATGTTTAAAAATTCCCCCTACTTCATATTCTTAGATTACACTATATAAGCAAAGCATTAAAACATTTTGTGGAGCTATTGGACATTTTAATATTACTTTTGGGTATGTGAAATGGTACAACCAATTTGAAAAATAGTTTGGCGGTTTCTTATAAACTTTAAAGAAAACTTACCATAATATTCAGCAATTGAACTCTAAGGTAATTGCCCCAAATAAATGAAAACATATTTTCGCAGAAAGTTTTGTACAGAAATGTTTTAACAGCTTAATTTATAGTAGCTCCACATTAGAAGCAACTCAAATGTTTATCAAAAGTGAATGGAATAACATGTGTGGTATATTAATGAGAAATCTGTCAGCAATAAAAATAAATGATACAACAACATAGAAGAATCAGGAAAAATATAGTGAAGAATATAAGAAGTTTAAAAATTACTGTGTGATTATGTTTGTATGAAAATTCATATCAGGCAAACTTAGTCAATACTGATAGGAAGTAGATTAGTGGTTCCCTGGGCCTGGGTGTGAGGATGCACTATCAAAGGGAAAAAGGGTGTTTTGGGGGTGATTCAGGAGGTGGTTACTAGGGTCCTAACTCATCACACTGTACACTCATTATGGACTTAATTTTTTATAAATTATACCTTAATAAAATTGATTTCAAGAGAAAAAAAGGCTAGCCTAACAATACAGCCAATATAGTGGGTTGAATGGTGTCCCAAAAAAATGTGTTCCCAACCTGGGACCTCAGATTGTGACTGTATTTGGAAATAGGGCCTTTGAGATGTAGTTAGTTATAGATTTCAAGATGAGGTCATAGTGGATTAGGGTGTGCCCCAGATTCAATGACTCCTGTTATTATAAGAAGAAGAGAAGACCTACACAGAAGAGAAGATGTGAAGATGGAGGTAGAGATTGGATTGATTCATCTTCTACACGCCAAGGTAGGCCAAGGATTGCCAGGAGCCAGCTGAAGCTAGAAGAAGCATGGAAGGATTCTTCTCTAGATCCTTCAGCAGAAACGTTGTCTTACTAAAACCTTGATTTCAGACTTCTAGCCTCCAAAAATGAGGCAGAATTTCTTTTGTTGGTTTTAAGCCACCCTGGTTGTGGTAACTTTTTATAGAAGCCCTAGGAAAAGTAATATACCAAGCAATAGCAAGTTATGATTCAACATGGACAGATGTACAACGCTTAATCCACTGCTTCAATATTTTGCATTACTACAGTGTGTTTTCAAAATACCTCCAAAAGAAGATGCTTGCTTTACTTATCAAAATCATACAATTTTTGGATTTGCAAGAGATGAAAACTCAATTCACCACAACATCTCTCTACATTGTACCAAAAATGCAAAATTTTGTGGGGAGAAAGAATAGACATTTGAGTTTCAATAACATATAGATATATAATAACACAAAGTTTTAACAATACACAGATAACAAAGTTGTGGCACCGAAAAGTGCAGTGGTTGGATGTATTTACATAGTTAATTAGTGACAATATGGGAAAAATCAAATGCCTTCCTCTCTGAATGTGGTGCTCACTCTGTTTCACTTGGTTGAAAATAAATGTAATTTGTGAGTATTTTAATTCATTTTATTTAAAAGATAGAGAACTTTCAAAAGATTATATAAGGATTTCTATAATTATCTTTGCATGGAAATGTGCAAGAGGTACACAATACTTGTATACAGACGTATTTTAGTTACCCTGTTAAAAGTTTTCGAATTTGTGAAAATATTTGTAATCCATCAGGCTATCCATAGTGTGTGTGTAGAGATTAGTACACAAAACACAATAATATAAGCACAAGAGAGTCCAAATAGGAGAGATTTTAAATTACGAATTAATATGTATTTCTGATTTTAAATTTTACATAAGCAGCTTAAGATAGGGTAAAATTATTAGCATAAACCAGAAAATATAAAATATAATATATATAATGTATATAATAAAATATAATATATTATATATATTACACATAATATTTCTTCACTCTATATAGAGAGTGAAGAAAATGTTTGAGATCTAAAAATATTCTATGGATTCATTCATTTATATGAGTACATATATGTGTGCATAGTATATGTGAAACTTATGGAGAAAAAAACTAATACCTCCTGCCATAAAAGGAGCATTGATATATATAAATATATTATATAAATATACAATTATATAAATAATATATATATTATATAATTATATAAATAATATATAAATATATTATATAATTATATAAATAATATATAAATATATTATATAATTATATAAATAATATATATAAATATATTATATAATTATATAAATAATATATAAATATTATATAATTATATAATATATTATATAAGTATATCATATATAAATATTATATATAATTATATAATATATTATATAATTATATATTTTTATATATGATATATTTTATATAATATATTTATATATATTTTATATAATATTTCTTCACTATATAGAGAGTGAAGAAAATGTTTGAGATCTAAAAATATTCTATGAATTCATTCATTTAAATGAGTACATATATGTGTGCACAGTATATGTGAAACTTATGGAGAAAAAAGCTAATATCTCCTGCCATAAAAGGAGCATTTTATACTTCTAAGGAATTATACGTAGAAATTAAAGCCATGCCTATGATTCAATTTATAAAATCTATAATTTACAAACAAAATTTATAAACAAAGTTTATAAACTAGTTTATAAACTAGTTTGTTTAATGATATTAATTTTCTTTACAGTTGCATAGAAAAGTTTTTTTTAAAAAAACTCATTTTATTTTGCTTAGTAACAGAATTTACAGCAGTTGAAAAACTATCTCCTTTATAAATTATGTCACCAGATTTATAACCTCTTCAAGGAAGAGCCAAATGTTCTGTGGATTAGGAAAAACTTAATATTCGTTTTAATAACAAGCAACAATATATTGACCAAAAATGATCATTTGAATGTTTGTAAGTAATGTAGATATATAATATACCATAATTTTCATAAAGGTCAAAAATCTTCTCTGTGTTAATATCTGCTTTTAAAATAGTCATTAGTACATTTCTGAACAGGAAGTGAAAGCTTTAAGAGATTTCTTTCCTGTTAAAAACATTTTTAAAAATGTATTTTTATCACAGACTTTTATGCACTTAAAGCATAAATTCTAAATATAAATTTTTAGATATTATGAAATTTGAAAGAACACAAAGAATCCATGATCAAACTGCCAACCACCAGTCCTAACTGAGAAGTAGCCCAATGTGTAGTTATTATTATATACAATTTTTAAGAAATTTGTTAATTTAGTCCACTAGTTCTTCAATTTAAAAAAATCTATTTTATTACATATGAAATCATTTATTTTAGTTTTAGTCAATATGTTCTTGTAGAAAGAAAACACTTGTTCTATAATTTAACTGTAACCTGTTTACTTAAAGTTTGTTAAAGAACCATAAAAATTAACAAATTCATCACTTACCTGTTAAAGAAAATAATTTTCAATTGAAATTAGTTTAAAAGCCTGAAGGAAACAATCATCCTTATTGCATTCATATATTGGCAACTGAGGTATTTCACCTCTAAAAGGATAGGTAGAAGAAAAAAAAAAGACTGAAGTTGCAATTGAAGACACGTTTCTTTTTTTGTATATTCTTCTTTACTTTTATTCCTAACTTTACCTATAGGAAAAGAGACCAGATATTTTGAACTTTCCATCATAGTTCTTAATTTCAAAAATATAAGTCCATCATCCCATAACACATGCATTAAGATGAGAGCAAGCATCTTGAGTTGAGAGGTTGTATAAAATGGGAGTTAAGAGAAGAAACATAGGGCCAGGCTGCTGGAATTCAAAGTCTGCTCACCTTACGGGAAGGCTGTGTGATCGTGTATGCATTAACCAAACTCTCTGTGTCTCAGCTTACCTAATTTTAAACAGAGGAGAGAATCATAAAAACAGTCCTCCTCAGTGTACTGTGGTAAGAATCAAATGATTTGATAACTGTCAAACCTCCCAATGTCTGACATGTCTTAGGTACTAAGTAAATGTTGCTGTTGTTACTATTCATGATTCAGGCAATTTAGAACTTCTGTCCTGAAATTATCTCTACACAGGCAAATAAAAGAAATAGGTAATTAATGCTATAGAAAATCAGACTGTCAAAGGAATCTAATCACAGCTTCTTAGCAGTATCTAGATGAAGAAATGGGTACACAAAGAGATGATGTGGCCTGCCCACTATCACACAAATAAATATTGGATGTGGGATTGCAGCCTCAGTCTTTTGATTCTTCACTGGTTGAAAGTCAGCCCAGTCTCTTCTGCGGTATATGAAAAACCCTATCAGTATATTGTAACATTACTCTCCATTTATCTTCATCTCATTCATTCGTGTTTATTGCTGTTACTGCTATGATTTCCATGATAGCCTACTCACATGTCTTTTGCAAATGAAATGTTTTCCATTTAAAAAAATTCCATGCATAGTTACCAAAATACATTTTCATCAAACATCATCACCCTAATTCATTTTCTGGTTTTAGAATGTATTATGACACTATATACATTTATTTCAGCATACCTTTTTTTTTCTTAATATTTCAGCCTGTTTCTCTTGTAGGGATTTATTTCACAGAGAAGTATAATCACTATTGAAATGCATACTATACTACTTGAAGAAAAGATTGATCAAAGATGTTTCTTCATCATTACTTCTTTCAATGCTGAATATTTTTTTAAAAAATAAACTTAATTTTTGCACCAATGTCATTCTGATATCTCTCATAGCACTTTAAATTCATTTTAACCATATTACTTTAGTGTTCTATATGATTGCTGTTCAGGTTTTTCTGTCTAAAGTAAAACTTTTAAAATATTTTAAAAATGCAACATTAAAATAGATGCATATATTCTGTGCATACATTCTATAATTATTATTTTACTCATATTTGAATATTTTGGATAAATATGTTATTGAGAGTTTTAATTTTGTAATATGTTTAGTTAATTTGGAAAAAAGTTGGAATAATTGCAAATAGTCAAAATGGCTCAAATATTCTTTAATTTACTTTTTCCTATTGGATCAAGGTTCCCTTGAACATCAATTATGGAAACTATTTCTAAACATGAGCATGCACACCACCAAGCATATAATCATTTATCTTTTAATCAACACATTTTGTTATTCACTGTGAGTCTATTATAAAGAAAGACACATAAAGCTTATATAACAAAGAGCCAAGCTATTTTTGGTCTTCAAAGATCACCAACTTAATTTGAAAAATTACTCGTTAGTGACTTTCATAGTAACAGAAATATCCTCTTAATGCAGAATTTCTCAGACACTATAGCAAGAGTAAAAAATCTGTTCAAATAAATTAAGCAAAACTCAGCCTACTTAAATGCATTAAACTGAAAGTACAATTTACCATGCATTTCTTTAACTGAACTTAATATTTTTCTCAATAAAATTAAGTAATTCTATTTTGCATAAAATAAATTCTTCTTAAATATTTTTAAAAGTGGTGTTTAATTGTGAATAAGCACTATAATGTTATATTAACTATACCTAGGTTACCACCTCACTAAAAATACAAACATACCTATACTCTGTATTACAAAATGTAGTAAAACTGGTAATCTATGAATTTAACATTTCCTTTTGGTTACCTCATATTCTCTTTGTATGTATTCAATAAGATCACTAATTCCCATCCTAATGGCAGAATAATATAGGAATGAAAATATTTCAGAGAATTATGTTATGACAACTATAGCTTATATTGTGCTGGTGAGCAAGTTTCTGATAGTTAATGCTGTTTTTTAAAGGAAGGTGTATATGTATCAATCAATTATAATTTTAATTACATAAACATGAATATTTACAATTAACATGAATATTCAAAGTGTAGTTCAGTCTTAATTCTATCCTGGAAAAATGGCATTGTAGAGATTCAGAATTAAAAGTTTATGAAAAATAAATGGAGTCAGAAGGAGTATTTTTCTGAGTTTAGTAGATTGTATAAAAGGTTGACATTATCCACGTGACCAAAAAAAGGAAAAACCACAAGTTGGAAGAAATGTATCACAAAAATCCATAAATTCATGATGTACAAAAGTAAAGGCTATGAGTCTTATAATTCAATCCAAAATGTCATGATATTTTCAAATTTTAGAAAATTATTTCTGACAAGAGATAGTTGACAAATGGTGACAAGATGAGCATGCACTTCTGGTCACAGTGCCTCTATAAGCTCCTGCTGCCTCTTCCAGGCTATTCTTGCCACTGCCCGTACTGCCTCGTTGCTTTTTGTTTAACAGACTTAATACCTTTATTTAAACTGAGTAATCTTTTATCTTTCAGAATACCTTTTATCATGAGATTCAGCTTTCCCACCGGTTGCGAGCCTACATTGGATAATTAGAACATCATAAGATCCTCAGTAACAATGAGTCAATTTTGTTATAATTATTTCTAACATACTATTTTTCAAAAACTGCTGCTCAAGCAATTGAGTGTTGGAAATTCTTGGGAAAAGTACACCCATGACCTAAATAAGTTTTCTGAACAATCCTTCCTTTTTAGTTTGTTATTGAAATTGATGTCTGCAACATTCAATATAATTTGAGCTTTTAGGTCATTGTTACGGATTGAATTGTGCCCCTCCTCCTTCCTGTTCATATGTTGAAGCACTAAGCTGCACTATCACAGTATATGACTGTATTTGGAGATAAAGCGTTTATAGAGGTAATGAAGATTAAATGAGGTCATAGGGTGGGCCCTAATTCAATAGGACTGGTTTTCTTAGAAGAAGAAGAAGAGATATCAGAGCTCTCTCTCTCCATGTGCACGCAGATAAAAGGCTCTACAAGGGCACAGAAAGACGGTGGTTGAGTAGCTATTCAGAGAGTTTTTCCAGGAGAGGCAGTCCATAGAAAAAGAGAGCTGATAAGCTGTCCCAAAAGTAACTGAGGTTATTTGAAACAGATTGCGGGAAGTCAGGTCCTAAGGGTGCTCTCAAAAAGAATAAAACATCTTAATTAATTAGAAGTTAAACTACAAATTAAACTAGTTCACCAGGAAGAACCAGGAAAAGAGATAATTAAAGAGAGTCTTTCTGGGGTCAGAACCAACTACAAAAACTGGATTCAAAAATTATCCCTAACCAAATTTAATTGGATCAGACTCATGAGCAATGTATCTCAAAAGCACTGTGAAAAACAATACAATAATGCATTCGCAGTAAGTGAAGCTTCATAGACTTCGTGTAATATCAAAAGATCCAGACAGGGTAACAGAAAAATCAAGGAAGGAAAGTCAAAAAGATCCCTGCTAAAACCTCCGTCGTCGAGGATAATGGCACACATTCAAGTCTATGCCCTCCAAGGAATGATTTTAAAGGCTTCACTGCTTACTAAATAGACTCTACTAATATAACCTAGTCTATTTGTAAAACAAATAAAGAGTCAAACTAGAACAACAGCAATAGCATTAAAGAGTGGAGAAGGAAAGTAATATCTACAGTTGATATATTAGCTAATATATCTAGTTTTCAACAAATTATGAAACATGCGAAGAAAGGGGAACAAGTGTTCCACACAGGAAAATATTGTATATCAGCCAACAGAAATTGCCTGAGAGTAGACCCAGATGTCAGGTTTAACAAAGACTTCTATGTAGTCATTATAAATATGTCCAAAGTACTAAAGGAAACTATGATTAACTAAGTAAAGTATGATGAAAATGTCACATCAAATACAGAATATCACTACAGATATAGCAGATATAGAGATTCTAAACAAAAGAATAAAATAAAAAATCTGAAGTATAAAATTACAATAAGTTAAATGAAAAATTAAGTAGAAACCTTATTAGTAAATTTGAAATGGCAGAAGAATGCATTAGAAAGCTTTAAGATGTATCAATAAAGATTATATAATCTGAAGGATACAAAGGGAAAACAAAAAAGAAGTCTCAGAGATATGTGGAACAATTTTAATTTCACCAACATATTCATAACGAGAATATCAGAAAGAGAGGAGATGGAGAAAATGGAAGAAAAAATATAAAAAAGGTTAGAAAAAATCTGAAAAACAATATGCATAGCTATGAAGTTCAATATAGTGCACATCAGTGCAATGCAAAGTGGTTCAAACCCAGGCACATGCTAGATAAAAGGATGAAAATCAAAGTCCAAGAAAATCTTGAGGCAACAAGGAAAAGATTCTTACTTTATGAGGGATTCTTCAGTAAGATTAACAGCTGACACCTCATAAGAATGAAAGGAGAGTAAAAACCATTTACATGACATATTGAAAATGCTGAAAGAAAAGAACAGTCTTTCAAGAATCTGATGTATAACAAAACTCTCTTTCTAAAATAAAGGCCAAATAAAGACATTCCAAGATAAAAACTGAAAGAATTTTCTGCTAGCAGTCCCACTTTTATAAGAAATATTCAAGGAAGTATTTTTAAGGTGAAAGCAAGTAAACTCAGAGGAAAATTCAAATCCAACTACCACAACAAATGTCCACAAGCTGGCCAGACATGGTGGCTGACACCTGTAATCTCAGCACATTGAGAGGCCAAGATAGAAGAATCCTTTGAGCCCAGGAGTCTGAGACCAGCCTGGGCAACATAGGGCAACCCCATCTCTATTCAAAAAAAATAAAAATAAAAAAATAGTAAAAAAGAGCACCAAGAAAGGTAATTATGTAATTATAATAAATGGTATAAATGCATATCTTTCTTTTCTCTTTCTGTAACTGATTTAAAAATGAATTGTAGAAAACAATATGTATATAATTGTATTGTTGGGCCTATAAGAAACACACTAGTTCCCACTTATCCATGGGAGATATATTCCAAGACCCCTAGTGGAGTCTGGAAACCAGGGATGGTACCAAACCCGAGGGCCATTAGTGAAAACATTTCTGTCCATGCCTTTCACCCACAAATTTAATAATGCCTTTTCTATCTCAGTTAAGCACGTGTCACGGACTGTAGCCATAGCTTTTGCAGGTTGAGGTGTGACAACCAAACTAGGACAAGTTTCTTTTTTTTTCTTCACAATTTCACTCAAAGATTTGTTGGTTTTTTTTTTAACTGTAGATCTTAGCAACCTCAGCATACATTTTTTTTTCTTAATTAAGGTTGAGAATTTTTACCTTTTCACTTATAGAAGGCACATGATGTCTTCTCTTTGGCATATCTACATTGCCAGCATAACTACTTTTGTTCCTTCAGGACATTATTAAATAAAATAAGGGTTTCTTGAACACAAGCACTGCAATACAATGACAGTTGATCTGATAACCATGATGGCTACTAAGTGACTAACAGGCAAGTAGCATCTACAGTGTAGATATGCTGGACAAAGAGATGATTCCACCCCAGGTGGGATGCAGCATAACCGTGCAAGATCTTATCACAGTGCTCAGAATGGCATGCAATTTAAAACTTACAAATTGTTTATTTCTGGAATTTTCTATTTAACATTTTTGAATCACAATTGACTGCAAGTAACAGAAATCACAGAAAGCGAAACCACAAATGGGATGGCTTTACTGTACAAAAGAACCTTAAATTGTAATTAATAAGATAATATAAAAACTATATAAGTATCACTAGTTTTGTTTTTCTTGCAGCTCAATATACATAAAATTTAATAAAGTAATAGTAATAACATTGCATTTTTTAGTTGATAAATAAAACAACTATTTTCAAATTATTTTTGAATAATGGTTTTATATCAGTATTCAATCCAAGATGGAATTTATCACCTATTGTTAAATTAACAGAAGATCGATATAAAGAATGATTGATAGCCCAGAAACAGACTTTGTTCATACTCTGAAATACATTGTGACATGTAATAATAGAATAAATAAAAGTAGTAAGAAAGAAAGTACTTATTGAATAAATGTATTTGGTAAGTTGATCAACTGGAAAAAAACAAATAAATCATTTTTACACTACCAATGAATTAAAATAAGATCAATATGTAAAAAAAATACATTATCACCTCTTTTTGTATTTATTGCTCAAAGTGTGAGTAATAGTAGGTCCCTATTTAAAACTATATGAAAGCATAGCAAACAATTGTGGATCAATGGAAAATGAGCAATGATAGCTTAATTAAAATGATCATTCACACCACTGTCACTTTTTTTATTTTGAGAAAAGATCTCACTGCCACCCAGGCTGGAGTGCAGTGGCACAATCATGGCTCACTACACTCTCAACCTTCTGGGCTCAAGTGATCCTCCTGCTTCACCCCCAACCCTAACCCCACTACAGGTGCACACAACCATGCCCAGCTGGTATAGAGAGTTAATGTGTAAAAGATCATTATGTTTAATAAGTGATTGATGCATATCCTCAGATTACATGTTTCTAAACTTATATTTTTCAATTGTGTGAGGCTGTCTTTTTATATGTCGAATATCAATTCAAAACTTTTTTTGTTCATGCCATCATTTTCAACTGCTTTACTCTGCAAATGATTCAGAATCTATGCTATTCAGAATTAAATGCATTTTAGATTATTGAACACCTGCATATTATAAATAAAAATGAAAGACTCAATCTTTGCAAAGTTTAGATAACATTTATAAAATAATAAATATGCATCTTCTTGAACCTATTCCTTAAGAGAGATTCAGGCTTTAAGTTCCTGGATTTGCATTAAAAAAGGAGAAAAATAATTTTTATAATTATTTCTATACAATTACATTACATGTTTGAAGGATGGCTTGAGCCATATGTGTCAAAATTTTCCTTAATTTTTTTTGCATAAATTTGAGTAGACTATAATCTCTCCTTAATCTGATACTTCTTATTTTCATTCTAATAAGATAAACATTCTTTTGGTTACTTTTCTTACTGCTTTATTTATCTATAATAATAATGCTACACACTGACTAATAAAATCTTAACCATATAAAAATATTTATTGTTACTTATGAACATGTGAGTCCTTTGATCTTAGCTGGGCATGGTTGATCCCAGCTGATCACAAATGTCTGTAGCCTTAGTTGGGACTAGTGTTCTAATTTGTTTCTGCTCCATAGGGTCTCTTATGGCAGTAGCTTTTTCTTGTCATTGAGGCAAAAGTCCAAGAGCAATCATGCAAAGTGTGCAAAGACCATGGAGTGCTACATTTGGAATTGGTGCACTGTCACATCTGCTGCCTTCTCTTGGCCAAGGCAAGTCATAAGACTATTCACAATTTAAGAAGCCATAAAATAAACTTCAACTCTTGATAGGAGTTGTTGCAAAGTCATATTGCAAAGGTTGTGAATACAGGAAGAACACGTAGAAATGGATCCATTTCTTTAATCATTTTGCTACACTTCACCTGTGGAACTATGGTAACATAGATACTTCAGTATTTTTTTCTCAGAATTATAATTTTATCTATCAATACTAATTTTAAAATTATTAAAGAAAATTTCATTTTGTCTATTATTGTTGTTTGTTTTGTGTTTGCTGGATATGAGATATACAATACAAACTGTAAAACTGGATCAAATCTCTACCTTTGGATACCTTATGTCACCACTCTTATTCAACATAGTATTTGAAGTTCTGGCCAGGGCATTCAGGCAACAGAAAGAAAGAAAGGGCATTCAAATAGGAAAAGAGGAATTTAAATGGTCTTTGTTTGCAGATGACATGCTCCTGTATCTAGAAAACCCCATCATCTCAGCCCCAAAACTTCTTAAGCTAATAACTTCAGCAAAGTCTCAGGATACAAAGTCAATGTGCAAAAATTATAGGCATTCCTATACACCAACAGCAGACAAGCAGAGAGCCAAATCATGAATGAACTCCTATTCATAATTGCTACATAGAGAATAAAATACCTAGGAATATATCTAACAAGGGAAGTGAAGGACCTTTGCAAAAAGAACTATAAGCCATTGCTCAAAGAAATCAGAGAGAACACAAACAAATTGAAAAACATTCTATCCTCATGGATAGGAAGAACCAATATCATGAAAATTGCCATACTGCCAGAGTAATTTATAGATTCAATGCTATTCCCAATAACTACCATTGAAATTCTTGAAAGAATAGGAATCAACTATTTAAAAATTCATATGGAACCAAAAAAGAGCCCATATAGCAAGACAATCCTAACCAAAAAGAACAAAGCTGGAGGCATCACACTACCAAACTTCAGACTATACTACAAGGCTACAGTAACTGAAACAGCATGGTACTAGCACAAAAACAGAAACATAGACCAATGAAACACAGTAGAGAACTCAGAAATAAAACTGCACATCTACAACAGCCTGAAGTTCAACAAGCCTGACAAAAACAAGCAATGGAGAAAGGATTCCTTACTTAATAAATGATGCTGGGAGAACTGGCTAGCCACATGCAGAAAATTGACACCGGACCCCTTCCTTACACAAGATGGATTAAAGACTTAAATGTAGAAACCAAAACTATAAGAACACTAGAAGAAAATCTAGGCAATACCATTCAGGTAATAGGCATGGGCAAAGATTTTATAATGAAATCGCAAAAAGCAATTACGACAAAAGCAAAAATTGACAAAAGGGATCTAACTAAACTGAAGAGCTTCTGCACAGCAAAAGGAACTATCATCAGAGTGAACAGACAACCTACAGAATGGGAGAATATTTTTGTAATTTATCAATCTGATAAAGGTCTAATACCCAGAGTCTACAAGAAACATAAAAAAACTTACAAGCAAAAAACAACCCCATTAAAAAGTGGGCCAAGGAAATGAAGAAGACATTTCTCAAAAGAAGACATTTATGTGGCCAAAAAACATATGAAAACAAGCCAATATCACTGATCATTAGAGAAATGCAAATCAAAACCACAATGAGATACCCCAGTCAGAATGGTGATTATTAAAGAGCCAAGAAACAACAGATTCTGGCAAGGCTGCCATGAGATAGGAATGCTTTTACACTGTTGGTGGGAATGGAAATTAGTTCAACCACTGTGGAAGACAGTGTGGCAATTCCTCAAAGACCTATAACCAGAAATGCCATTCGACCCAGAAATCTCATTACTGTGTATATGCCCAAAGGAATATAAATCACTCTATTATAAAGAAACATGTACATGTATGTTCATTGCAGCACTATTCACAATGCCAAAGACATGGAATCAACCAAAATGCCCTCCAATAATAGACTGGATAAAGACACAGTGGTACATATACATCATGGAATACTATGCAGCCGTAAAAAGAAATAGGATCATGTCCTTTGCAGGGACATAAATGGAGCTGGAAGCCATTATCCTCAGCAAACTAATGCAGGAACAGAAAATCAAACACCACATGTTCTCATTCATAAATGGGAGATGAACAATGAGAACACATGGATACAGGGAGGGGAACAACACACACTAGGGCCTGTTGGGGTGGAGGGAATGTGAAGGGAGAGCATCAGGAAAAATGCATGCTTGGGTTAATACTTAGGTAATGGGTTGATAGGTGTGGCAAACCACCATGGCACATGTTTATCTATGCAACAAGCCTGCACATCCTGCACATGTATCCCAGAAGAAAATAAAATAAAATGAAAATCTTGGCCTTTGGAACTTAAAATATGTGACGTAAAAAACAAATAATTAAAAATTAGCAGAGCAATACACTAGAGAGTAAAAGAAAGAAAGATGAAACAGGCAGCACATTCTTACCGGCTTCTCTCTTTTTTGAGGGTAGACAGGCATTTTGTTTAAGACAACAATCAAAGGAGAGTGTTGTTTATCTTTGGGGAGTTAAAATTATTTTTAAAAATAACATATTTAGAAAAGTGCTTATAGTAGAAAGGAGTAAGTACATTTTAAAGGGAAGTGTATAAAATAGAAGGAAGAAGTAGCAATGTATGATCAGAGACAAAAACTAAAACAAAGTTCTACAACCCTGCGTTTGAACTCTAGTGTTTTTGTGTGCTAACAATTTCAACTACACAAAAATTTAAAATGCCTGACTCTTCAAGCCAATCAGAATTCAATTTCTGAGTAAGAGCACAATAATCAATTTGTTCTATTGTATCAGCATAGATCAGCCAACATGGAATATTCCTCCAGATAAGCATTTTGTGTAAAAAAGGAAATCAATATAATATGATTTTTCCATCCTATAAATTTTTCCAATATGAAAACAAATATATCAACTTCAATTTTGCCTTGTTTTTACCTCAAGTTTTCTCTGGCAACAGGAAGAGATTTTCTTACAACATAAACAACTGGCAATCTTTCTCTTTAATTTTTCACTGCCATGTCAGAAGTTCATAAATAAAATATTTCTTGAAGTAGATGAATTCATTACAAATAAACAGAGCCGGGAACCGAAATATAACGCAATTTCTAAAGAAATGAGCTGCTTCTATAAATCAGGAAATGATTTAATATTTTCTTAACTCATTTTGGAAACATTCTTTAGAGGAAGGCAATAATAAAGGAATCTTCATTTTGGGTCACTGTCATTAATATCTTTTGTCAGCATAGATTCCTTTCAACTAAAACTACTAGAGTGCCAAAATTTTTTCAACTTTTTATGCTACCAGAATTAATCTTTATGAGTGATTACAAGGTAAGATTATAGTTTTTGTAACTTTTGTTCATACACATTCCTTTTGGAGGATTAAATATTTTGTGGCACAAAACTTTAATAAATAAGAAAATGTAGTGCATATTTTAACAAGATTAAATAGCTGTACTTTATGCACAGCTTGTCTTTAAAACTAAATAACATTTATTAACCATTCTTTGAGAGTAGCCCAATTATTAAAGAGTATCCCCAAACTTGCTATGGTCCTTAAATTTAGATTTGCTAACAATTTAATATTCATTTTCAGAAAGAATTGAACTTCTGTTGCTTATGTTCTAAGCTTTTCCTTTATTTAAGGCTGTTCTTCAATTAACTTCAATTCATTAAAAGGTTTTAAACTATATATTTGTGTTTCCCAAAGAATAGCTTATTGTTAAAACCTATGTATTATTCATATGTGAAAATAAGTGAACAACTATTAACATTGGTAAATTAACATATAATCAAGTGAGATGAAGTCAATATTAATGAAAATATTTTTACACTAAGCATAAATACAATTTCTATCATTTTAATTATGTTATATTGTACACATTTCATTATTTATAGATCATAATTGTATTTCTGAATCTGAAAAGGATGGATAAAAATAATAGTGACTATTATTAAATCAGATATTTTCAAATAATTATCTTTAAATAAAATGATGATTTAGTAGCATATAATATGAGTTTCTAATTTCTTAACCTATTAGGAAGGTTAAGGAATAATTAAATGCATACATTATGTTTATGTAGTCATTAATTTGCTCTTTGTTCTGATTTAGATTTTTTGGTGAAAGTTGTTAGTTATTTCGATTGATTGTATATCTTAAATATCCTAGATGCAAGAAGAAACTGCTCCAATTTTCAAAATTGGATTTGATTCCTTTTAATGGGTCAATGTCACATAGTAAATATGAGTGTCAGCATTTGAAGTCAGACTTATTAGCATAGGTATCTTTAAATACTCTGGGGACTGTACAGACTTCCTTCTGATTCTATAGAATCTTTTAATTTTTCTTCCTGCATCTCAGAAAAATGGAGGACAGTAATAAATTAGAAAACAAAAGAGAATCCTTACTGTTCTGTTGGCTAGCTCTGTCCTTTGGAGCAAATATCTGACATGTCAAATGTGCTTATAGTCTTTAGAGTAGTCTTTGAGGGTCAACATTTCATTCATCTCCTTTGGCGATTCCTTTGTTGTTGATTCCCAGCTTTATTGCCGTCTAATTAACAAATAAATACTGTATATATTCAAGGTGTTTAATGCAATGATTTTCTATACATTGCGAAATGATTATGCAAATCAAGCTAATTAGCACATCATCTAACTCACGTAATTACTGTTTGTGTATATGTGGTAAAAACATTTAAAATCTACTTTCTTAGCAAATTTCAAGTATGTAATACAGTATTCCTAACTACAGTCACCATACTGTACTTTAGAAACCCAAGATTTATTAATCTTGTAAGTGAAAGTTTGTATCCTTTGACTAGCATCTCCCTATTCTAGATCATAAATAATTTGTGTTTCTGTGCCTGGATTATTTTACCTAAACTGATGTCTTTCTGGTTCACCCATCTTGTTGTAAATGGCAATATTTCCTTCTTTTTTATGACTAAATAATATTTTATTATATATGTGTGTATATGTGTATAATTTTGTTTATTTATAGACATGCAGGTTGTTTCTATATCTGGTTATTGTGAATAATTCTGCAATAAACAGAAATGCTGATACCCTTCAATATTCTAATTTTATTTTCTTTGGATATACACCCAGAAGTGGAATTGCTGGATTGCATAATACAGTAGTTTTGTTTTTAATTATTGGAGGAACCACCATACTGTTTTCCATAATGGATTTATCAACTTACATTTCTATCAATTGTGTCCAAATATTCCCTTTTCTCTACAACCTCACTAGCACTTATTATCTCTGCGCTTTTTGGTAATAGCCATTCTGTCAGGTGTGAGATGATACCTTATTGTGGTTTGGATTTACATTTCACTGATAAGTAGTGATGAGTACCTTTGCATATATCTGATGTCCATTAATATGCTTTTTTTTAAGCCTGCTTATATCCTTTGCTCATTTTTAAAATTGGGCTATGTGGGGTTTTTTTGTTTTATTTTTTGCTATTGAGTTGTATGAATTTCTTACATATGTTGGATATTAACTTCTTAACAGATACATGGTTTGCAAACATTTTCTCCCATTTTGTAGGTTGCATTTTCATTTTATTTCATTTGCCATGCAGAAACGTTTTAGTTTGATGTGGTGCCGCTTGTTTATAATTGCTTTCATTGTTTGTGATTTTGGTGTCATATCCAAACAAATTATTGCCATGGCCAAAGACAAGGAGATTTTTCACTATGTTTACCTTTAGGAATTTAAGTTTCTCTTAAGCCTTTAATTCAGTTAGAGTTAATTTTTGTAAGTAGAGTAAAATAGGGGCCCCATTCCATATTTTTGCATATGGATATTTAGTTTTCTTATTACCATTTATTGAAGAGACTATTCTTTCTCAAGTGTCTATTCTTGGCACTCTTCTCAAAGATTAGTTGACTGCAATACGCATGAGTTTATTTCTAGAATCTCTATTTTGTTCCATTGGTCTATGTTTATGTGACTATTCCATTCCAGTACTATACTTTTTTGATTACTATTGCTTTGTAACATACTTTGAAATCAATAAGTATGACATCTCCAGCTTTGTTCTTTTTACTTAAGAATATTTTGGCTATTTAGAGCCCTTTGTGATTTTGTATACATTTTAGAATTTTTTCTGTTTTTCTGAAAAACGCCGTAAGAATTTTTACAGGGATAGCATTTAATATGTAGATTGATTTTGGTACTATGGATGTTTAAAACATATTAATTATTCTAATTTATGAACATGAGCTATCTTTTCGTATATTTGTGTTCTTTGATTTTGTTTGTATATCTTACAGTTTTCCGTGTACATAACTTTCACCTTCTTAAGTTTATTTCTCAGTACTTAATTTTTTTGATGGTATTGTAAATGAAATTTTTAAAAATTTCTTATTCAGAAAGTTTGTGGCTAATATAGAAAAACAAAACAGTTTTGCATGTTGAATTTGTATCCTGCTGCTATAATGAATTTGTACATTAGTTTTAAGTTTTTGTAGTGTCACTAGGATTTTCCACATTTGAGTTTGTGGTATCTGGAAGCAGAGACACTTTCTTTTCTGGTCTAGAGTCATTTTTTAAATTTTTCCTGCCTAATTTGTCTGGTTAGTACTTCCACAGCTGCGGTAAATAGAAATGGCAAGAGTGAGCAACACTGACTTGTATCTGCTTTTAAAGAAAAGGATTTCACATTTTTACCTTTGTGTATGATGTCAGCTGTGGGCTTGTCATATATGGCCCTAGTTGTGTTGAGGTATTTACCTTTCATATGAATAATGTTAAAATTTTTCAAATGTGTTTTCTGCATCTGTAATAATAATCATATGGTTTTTATCTTTTTAAACTGTAGTGTAGCATATTTGTTAATTTGAATATGTTGAACCATTCTTGCATTCCTGAGAAGAATCTCGCTTGATCATGGTTTATACCTTTTTTTCATTTTTACATAATACAGGTACATATTTTAAAAGTACATGTGATACTTTGACACATTTATATAATGTGTAATGATGAAATCAGGGTAATTAGGATACACATTACCCCAAACATTTAATTTTCTTTACGCTCGGAACATTCAAATCCTTCCCTTCTGGATACTTTGAAATATATAATAGATTATTATTAACTATATTCACACTACTGATCTATCAAGTATTAAATCTTGTTTCTATTATGTGTGTGTGTTTTTTTTGGTACCCAGTAAACAACCTGTCTTCATACTACCACCCCCAACCTCCCACCTTTCCTGGCCTCTAGTAACTGCCCATCTACCCTTTATCTTCATGAGATACACTTCTTTTAGCTTCTACATATGAGTGATTAACATGAGATATTTGTCTTTCTGTGACTAGCTTATTTTACTTAACATAGTGACATCCAGTTCCATCATGATGCTGCAATGACAGCCTTTTATTTTTTATGGCTGAATAATATCCTACTGTGTATACATCCACATTTTACTTATCCAATCATCCATTGAAGGGCACTCAGGGTGATTCCATATCTTGGTTATTGTGAATAGTGCTGCAATAAACATGGGAGTGCAGAGATCTCTTTGCTATGTTAGTGGAAGGTGAAGGGGAGCTGGCGTCTGCAGAGAAAACATGGTGAGAGAAGAAGCAGGGAGGGGTGTGGAGGTTCCAGGAACTTTAATAAGCAGCTCTCATGGGAACTGAGTGAGAACTCACTCCTTACTGGGAAAATGGTACGAAATCATTCATGAGGGACCTACCCCCATGACTTCAACTGACATTGGGCACCACCTCCAACATTGGGGATCAAGTTTCAACACAAGGTTTGGGGAACAAATGTCCAAACTATAGCAGTGTATGTATATTTGCAATTCATATATCCTTTTGCTGAATTGACCCGTTTATCATTATATAGTTACCATCTTTGTCTCTTTATAGTCTTCAACTTATAGTCTATTTTATGTAACTTATATTCATTCCTGTTCTTTTTTGGTTTGGTTTTACATGAAATATATTTTTCTATCCATTTTCTTTCAGTCTATGTTTGTCTTTATAGGTGCAGTGTGTTTCTTGTAGGCAGCATGCAGTTAGGTCATTTTTCAAAAAAAACATTTAGCTATTCTGTCTTTTAATTAGATAATTTAGTCCTTTGCCTTCAATGTTATTATTTATAGGAAGGGACTATAGGAAGGGAATATTGCCATTTTCCTACTTGTTTTCCAGTTGTTTTGTAATTCCTCTCTTCCTTTCTTTCTTATTGTCTCTTTTTTTGTGGATAAGTAATCTTCTATAATAATAAAATTTAAGTTGTTGCCTTTTGCTTTCAGTATATCCATCACAGGTTTTTCCTTTGTGGTTATCATAAAGCTTACAAGAAAAATCTTAGCAGATGTAACACATTATTTTAAACCAAAGACAAGTAATTCTTGATCACAAAGAAAAGAAACAAACAAAAAAGGAAAAATTGAAAAAAAATCTACACATTAACTTCAACCCCCACCCCCAACATTTTTACTTTTTGTTTTCTCAATTTACATATTTTATATTGCCTATCTCTTAACAAGTTGCTGTAGCTGTTGTTATTTTTGATAGATTTGTCTTTTAGTCTTTATACTAGAGACCTTAGTGATTTACATACCACAATTACAGTATTAGAGTATTCTGGATTTGTTCATGTGCTTACTTTTACCACTGGTTTTGTACTTTCAAATTTTTTTTTCACATTGTCCTTTCTCTTTCATATTTAAGAATTCTCTTTAGCATTTCTTGTAACATTGAGTGTGGTGATGAAGAATTGTCTTAGTTTTATTTGTCTAGGGGAGGCTTTATCTTTTCCTGTTTGAATGAGACTATATCCTGGTCACAAGACTGCTTCAGGACTCACACCATAACCAAGGTCGGTAGGCCTGCCTTTGTTGTAGAATTGTTTCTCCTGCTGGGTCCCTGAGTGGAAAGAACTGTTCTTGATCTGTAGCTGAAAGAATCTAGAGCCAAGTGACATGGATGTGTTAGGATCTACAGTTGAAGTGAGGTTGGCTGGTTTCCCTCCCAGTTTCCCTCCCAGGACATGGATAGGTATGTCTCCCAACAGGTTCCTGAATGGGCAGGAATATGCCAGAACCGTAGTTGAGAAGGCTTTAGGTGGATCACAGGCTATTTGCAGGTCCACAGCCGTGATCAAAGTCATTGAACCTGTTATCTGAGACATGAGTGAATGTGACTCCTCTTGCATCTTTGGCAATGGTGGACCAAAACCAATGGGGCTTTAGCTTAGTCCACAAAGGTTCATGGATGTTTTCCATTGTATAGCTAGTACCATGATCAGTGAACCTGCCATCTGGGCACAGTCCTCCCTATCAAAATGGCTTTTCTCAGTCTTGGGCTCCACTGGGGTTTTGCAACCACATCCTGAGTTCTAAATCTCCCACAAAGTCATGTTAGTTTATAGATAGCTTTCAAATTATTGTTTTTCTGTGGTCTATAAGTAGAGGATTTCTTATTCTATCAACTTACGGGAATTATTCCTTCAGGCTTTTCTTAAATGTCATTTTCTCATTGAGCTCAAAGGGGAGGGAGAAATTAAAAACAAACCAGCCTATTTTCATAGTTACACTTACATGCACTTGAACAAAGTAAGTACATGTGAGTTTTTTTTTTTTTTTTTAACCAGTGGTATTTAAAGTGTGGTCCAAGGAAACGTAAAGTTTCTGTTGAGACTAGGCAATCTGAATCACCAAAAATATGTTTTGTAATAATAATAAAATGATATTTGCCTTTAATATGATGACACCATCATTTTGACAGCTAATAGAATATATGAATATGTATTCCTATTTTCTCAAGATGTTGGATAATTTTAGGGCATATATGTGTACATTTTCAGATATTAACTCAGATTGTACTCAGTATTACTGATATGCTCTTGCTGCCAGCTTTCTGTTATATGTGTTATCTTTTTAACTTCATTTTCATCCAGAATGTTGATATTTTGAAATCCCTAAATTTTCCTTGAGCCCATGTGGAAGGACACACACACACATAAACAAGTGTAATTTGATGTCTTAAAAGCATTTAAAATTTAAAGTTTAAAATAACTGTTATTTTAGTATTTGACAATTATTCTGGAACAAGTACGTGCCTTTTATCTTTAAAAATTCATTACTGAATTAATAAAAATATTAGAAGACGCACTTTCTCAATCGCAGCTGAACTGTCTAGATCCAAATATGGTTAAAATGATATAACTGACATATCAGAGAGTTCTTTGACTTATGGAAACAAGAATCTCTTCTGGACAGAATTGTAAATAAGGAATAAAAATATAAAAAAGAAAAACAATAAAAACAAAAAAGAAAAATAAAAAACATGATAATAAAAATTTTAAAAAGAAATAAGAATATGACAGATCTATATTTGACTTTATAAATGTCAAGTAATTTGTTTAATCTTTTGAAATAGAACTTTATTGAATAGTATACATAATGCCATTGTGTTGTCATTTGAAGATCAATGTTTTAAAATTTAAAAGAAAATGTTAAATTTACATGAAGATCTTTGTTACAATTTTTACACTGGAAACAAAAAAAATATGGAAACACAGACTAAGTTATTATATTGCATTTCTTGAAGATGTGAGCCCAAAAAGCTAAAAGACTAAAAAAGTTGTGTACATTTTATATTGTTAAATGCTAGCAGAATAAAAAGTTAGTAAAGGGAACCACAGAAATGCCACTTTTAAATGATACAGTAACTTGTCAAATTGAAGATTTATTAGTAAATGTATGAATAATGTTAGTACCTCATTTAGAGTATTGTACTTTGTGCTAGTGGCAAAAAGCAACGGTAGGTAAAACTGTTGACATTTACACACAAATCAGTAATTGGCAACACATTGTACTAGTTATTGCATTCTTTACTACCACATAATCTTAGGAGAAAAAATAAATTCTTTTGGTTTTCAGTTCAGTATGTAAGGAGCTTGGAAGTCATCAATCTTGTTCTCACAACAGAAAATAGTTGAATATACTGAAATTTAATAGGTTTTCCTTGATCAATCAGAGAATTGAGGTCACGGGGCAAACTGCTGTCCTCAGAATTGTAGAGACAGAGGTATACGCGGAATCGCAACATACTGAAGCAGAAGCCCAAGATAAAAAACCTCCACTGGGGAGTCCCCATAGAGCTCAACACATTGAATGCTCCTGGCGAGTGGCGTGCCTGGGGAGGGCAGGGAAACTTGGCACCCCTTCCTCCATACCTCAACCTGAGGTCTCTTCATCTGTATCCTTTTTAATATCCTTTATCATAAACCAGTAAATGTAAGTTTTTTCCTGAGTTCTATGAGCCACTCAAACAAATTAATCCAACTCAAAGAAGGGGTGATGAGAACCTCAATTCGGAGCCAGGTGGTCATAAGTTCTGAAGGCCCAGACTTGCAGCCGGTATCTGGGAGGAAGGGAGTACAGTTTTAGACTGAGACCTCATCCTGTGGGATATGATGCTATAGTATAGGACTGAATTGGAAGACACCCAGCTGGGGTCTGTTGCTTGATGTGTGGGGAAAGAAACCCCACACATTTGGACAAAGAAGTCTTCTGTGTTGATAGTTGTGGTGTGAGAACAGAGAAAAAACCTGGTTTGAGAGATTTTTTTTTTCCTAAATAATTGGTATCAGATTAGTGCAATTTGTTGGAATAGCCTAGGCTCAGGGAAACATGTAGTTTAGGAACAGAAAAGATGAAAGGGTGGCAAGTGAGGAACATTTGGTTCCTCAGTGGCTACCTGGTCACCCATGGCATGAAGCTATATTGTTCTCAGTTACTAAAGGTAAAAGTTATCAGTGGAATTTGGTATCAGATGGAATATAGAGATGGATCAAACTCCCAGGAAGATGGTTCACTAGATGCATAAAGAAATCTACACTAATAAGAAAAAAGGCAAAATCAATCCCTTGGTTATTGTTATCTATAATAGCTAAAATGAAATTGAAGCAGAGTGCTGGGTCTGGCCTTGATGGTACACCAAGCTTAGATTTCAGTGAGTGTGACTTTTAGCCCCCAGCCTCAGACCTGATACCTAAGGACAAAATTATGCAGAGACAACAGAAAGTACCTCTGAGACCTGTGGTTACCAAGAAAGTAGTCAATGTGGGGGAAGGACAAAACCACAAAACTATTGAAACCAAATGGTAAAGTGTGAAGAAATTATTCCATTTTGTTGTTCCGTATCATCAGCTTTCTGAGGAACCTTTACTAAAATTGATTGTGCTAATAACTAATTTAGGAGCAGTGTCTTCAGTTTTAAACTCTGCAGAGTGGAAGAACATGTTTGGTTGATACAGGACTTACAGCTACAGTCACCTGACAGGCTCTTCCTGCCTCCAACACACATAAAACCAGTTCACTGAGACAATGCTATTGCAGTAGAGTTTTATTGTCAAGAGGCCAGCCCACATGGGAGAACTGGAGTTACCACTTAAATCAGATCAGTCTCCTGGAAGGCTCAAAGATTAGAGTTTTTTTGGGCAATTTGGTGGGCAGTAGGCTAGGGAACAAGTGCTGCTGATTGGTTGAGGATGAAATCATAGGAGTGTGGAAAATGGTCCCTATGTGCCTCTGGGTGGGGCCACAGAATCTGTTGAGTCATCAGTCATAAGTCTGGGTGGAATCAGTCTGAAAGATTCAGAAAAACAATCTTAGGTTCTACAATCTTAGGTTCTTAGCTTTATCATTTTTAGGAGAAATTGGGGAATTCACAAATCTTGTGACCTCTGGCCACATAATGCCTGAGCAGTAAGGGATTATAGAAACTATGCCTACAGAGTAGCAGAGTTCATTACCCTCCCATAATCCTGTTCTTGTGGCCTTTCATTAGTCTTACAAAGGGAATCTTTGGTCCCTGAGCAAGGAGGGGATTAGGGAGAGACTATTTTCATCCTTGCTTTCAAGTTAAACTATAAACTAAATTCTCCCCAAAGTTAGCCTGGCCTACACCCAGAAATGAGCAAAGACACAGCTTGGAAGTCAGAAGCAAGATGGAGTCAACTAAGTCAGATTTCTCTTACTGTCATAATTTTGAAAAGGTGATTTCACATCTCATTATCAAATAATTACAGATTATCTGGACACACAGGAAGTTATTCTTGAGGAAATGACCAGCCTATTGGACTGGATAAAAGCCACCATAAGATATTTATACCCTGAGAAGGAGGATGTCCAACTTGACCTATAAATGCCAAGTGGAGTACCCTAGATGAAGCAGCTGATATGCTTCATATGCCCAAGCCATGTGGGATTGGCTTTATGATGACAGGGAGATTCACCCACTGAATATTCCCATTACTCAGGTCATGGAATATGCTATGGTTAAGGAGGCGCTTTGTACATGGGCACCCCAAATGACATTAATCCTGCAGACTCAAACAATAGTTCAAGAAGTTTTATCAAATTTTTTACCTCAGCCTCTCCTCATGGGTCTTATGATGCTAATAAAAACATTAGGTTAATTAACAAGAGAATGGTGAAGGGTAGAGGGGAGAGTCAAAGGATTCATCCAGAAAAGTAGAAATTTTTACATGGCTATTTGAAAATAAGATGGATAAGGAGAACATTGATAGTGGTAAAACTAAGAGGAAAAAGAATGAGGAGAGTTATGGGATTTGTCCCATAGAGTGGAAATCTTTAGATGATTATTTAAAAATGGAATGAATAAAATGGGAATTGGTAAGGTTAAAACAAATGTCTTAATACAATATTACCAATGGTTGGGTGGACCAAAGGGAGTCCTGCTGTTCCTCCAACATTAAAGAGCCCCAAACCAGTTTGCTGTGTTTCTCCCCACTTGGAGACATTTTAAAAGCACAAAGGTAAACATTACAATTAGGAACTGCATCTAAAATTGCCTAGGGACAATGGTTAGACAGGTTAATCAAGGTAAAAATTCACAGAGAGGCCAGGGTCTCTTGGCCCAATCCTTGGCTGTGAACCCAAAACCTTTTGTACAAGAGAGGGTAAAATGCTCTGGGGGTGGAAAAGAGAAGTTCCTGGGAATAGAACATAAAAATGTAAGGGTTGATAAGATTATGAAAGTTGGTATATGCTTGTTGTGCCTGTTTTAACTGACTGTATTATTGAAATGGACATTGTATCTGACTGGGGAATGTTGCCCCTACCTAGCACTGTGAAACAGCAGGCATGTAAATCCACCATTCAAGCAACTTTAATTGGACAAACTTAATGGGAATCAGTAATACTGTCTGAGCCCACACAGTGTAGAGTAGAACCTGGAATGCTGGTAGGAAGGAATTCTCCACCTGATAGTCCTCTGTGGAATGTGTGTACTAGGGCTTATGGCAAAAGCCTGTGAGCACCTCCCAGTGACTTTGGACTTTGGGCTGCAGGATTTTCACTTGAGGTGCATTTACTGCCTTAATATGAGAAGTTCACTGAAGCTCCTATTACTGAAAGATGTAAAATGATCTCAACACCTGAACTACCCCTGCTGTCTTGAATGAAGTTAGAGAAACATTCTAATGGGGACAGTAGTACCCAGAAGAATACTGTAATAAAATAGAAATGGTTTATTCAAGATTATGCTATCTGGAAAATGCAAAAAGAGAATACTAAAAAGTAGAGAGCTTTTTAATCCTAGGGCTGTCTTTGGAGTGGTGTGAGGAGCTGCTGGATTTTATGGATAACTAGACAATGTCCTAGGAACAGCTCTTGATTGACCAACAATGATTTTCTTGGTTTACTGACAGCAGTTCCAATGTGAATAGACAAAATTCTGTTTGGAAGTCTGTTACTTTGGTCAAAGAAGGTTAAAAACAGATCAACTCAGTGGGCTGAATTGCATGAATTAAATAGTGGTAGAAGCCCCTGTTTTGGGATTTTACTGACTCATGGGCAGTGACCAATGGCCTGGCCATAGAGTCAGGCAGAATGGCAATGAATGCCTGACCTATTAAAAGAATGTCCATATGGTGTATGGCCCTACGGAAATTTATCTGAACATTAAAGTCAAATAAGTCAATGTCCATCAGGATAATTTCCTTACAGGCTCGGAAGGTGACTGGAATTGACAAGCAGGTATCCTCATGTGCTCCTTTAATGTGGTCACCTGGGTCCATGAAATAAATGGATGTGGGGGTACTGCAGCAGTGCAGAGAAGGGCTGAATCTAGATAATGTTCCTTTTGTACCTTCTCAGGTACACAATGCCAGTAAGAACTGTTCTGATTTTCAACAAGAGAGAGACTGACCATGGCTGTGGGGCAGATTCCCTAGTGGGAAAGCCATGAACATACCTGGAAAGACCTGTGAGGTAAACTGACATTGATAGCCCTAAGGGGCTACAAACGGGTCTTGACAGGAATAGACACAGACAGGCTTTGCTTTCCCAGTAGAGGATGTAAATAATGAGAGTGACAAAAAAAACAAAAACAAACAAAAAAAAAACACCACGTGCGCGCACGCGTGCGCGCGCGCACACACACACACACACACACACACACACACACACACAAACAGAAGATATTGCATGGATTTGAATGGTCAGGCATTACTTTTTCAGATCAAGGAACACATTATACATCTCATAATGTCCAATAATGGGCAGAGAGAGAGAGAGAGAGATAGCCTGCTCAGTGCAATAGTTTGATAGAGAAGTAGAACAGGCAATTAAATCATTGGTTGTCTAAACAGGAGGAAATGAAAACATGAAGGGCTGGCTTACTCACCTTCATGAATGTGTGCTCACATTCAACATGAGTGGGAATAAAGGTGTTTCCCCAGTAAATTTTTCTGTTTTCCTGGGTGATCTGGGGAAGAAAGGGTGGGGAGGATGGATACTACTATGACTATGTAACTCTTGACAAAGGGAGAGTACATTGGTATAATGAATCAATTTTGTTCTTTTTTCCCCAAATTACCTATAATAATTATTTTTTTTTTAATTTACTACTTGATGCAGTGGTCCTAGGACCAGGGCTACAAAAAGTGCTAGAAACAGATATGGTTTCTAAGCAAGAAACTGTAACCACGTTTTCAAACATTATGTTAAAATTTCTAAAGGCCTAATGGGGGGTAGGTTATACTTTCACCCCATCTAGCAAAGTTGGAGCTAATCATGAATGCACCTATATTACCTGGTGGCAAAAATAGCTCATTAGTTCTGTACCTATATAACCTTCCCCTATCTGAATGAGAGTAGTCTGAGGAGGGGGTACTTGCTAGACTAGTATTGCAGCCTAAATACAGATCAACACAATGGCAATTCAAATGATAGCCATTTCAAAGGTGAAAAAATTTGGATAATAATGGAGAGAAGAAGGAATCATAGCTGAGAATAAGGAAGTCAATAAGTGGATTATTAACCGAGGGAAATTCAATACTACATTAACAACTCCAAAGAGTCTCAGAGCAAGAGATGACACTGTGTCCTAGCTCAGTTATTCCAGATGCCTGACAGTGTGAAGCTGTGTATTTACCAATGGCACTCCTGCTTTTGGAACCTGACAAGTTTGAAAGGAAGACTACAAAGCTGAGTGATCTTATACTGAGAGATACTCATTCACCATAATGGACCAGACTAAGTATTAATGACTGAATGGGATTCTAGTAATGTGGTGGTGCCTTTTGAGTTGTATGTTCTTTTGATGTAAGGGATCTGCTCTCAAAAACCATGCGGAGGCCTGTGTTGTTGTAATATATTTATATATTGGCTTTTGTCCAAGGTTCCTGGCTCCTAACTTTCATAGTCTTTGTTATAACGTTGAAGCACTTTAGGCCTTCAGGAAACAGAATCTCTCTCTCTAAGCTTCTTCTGTTCTTCTTTCCCCTGTCCAAGGCAGGACTCTAATCCAATTGTGGGTCAAAAGACCTTGATTCCAGAGTGCGTCCAGCTGGGGCCGCATACCCTAGAGGAAGGAATGCTACACAGGCCAAGAAAAGTCTGAACAGATCGGCCTTGCTGGGTTTAGATCCTGTGATTTTTGACCAATCACATTTCTAAACGGTTGTCAATCATGCCTATGTAATAAAGCCTCCATAAAGACCACAGAGGACAGGATTCCAAGAGCTTCTGGATAGCTGAACAAGTCATGATTCCTGGAGGGTAGAGCCCCTAGGGAGGGAGGGCATGGAAGCTCTTCTCCACCACCTTGCTCTAGGCATCTGTTCATCTGTTTCCTTCTAATATTCTTTATAATAAACTGGTAAACATTAAAAAAAAACAAGCTTCCATGGGAGTTACTATCAGATGTATCATGTCCATTTTCAACAGAAAAATGACAAGGGATACTAAGACAAAAAATATACCTTGAAAAGATGGAGTAAGTGTGAGACTGAAACTTACACATGGCAGATATTGCTATTATAAAACTAAAAATTTAAAAGAACTATGATTAATATGCTAAAGGCTATAATAGAAAAAAGTGCACTGTATGCAAGAATACATGGGTAGTGTAAGCAGAGAAATGAGAAAGTATAAGAAATAATTAAAAGGAAATGCTAGAGGCCAGGCACTATGGCTCACGCCTGTAATCCCAGCACTTTGGGAGTCCGAGGCAGGTGGATCACGAGGTCAGGAGATCGAGACCATCCTGGCTAACATGGTGAAACCCCGTCTTTACTCAAAATACAAAAAAATTAGCCAGGCATGGTGGCGGGCGCCTGTAGTCCCAGCTACTCTGGAGGCTGAGGCAGGAGAATGGTGTGAACCCCCGAGGAGGAGCTTGCAGTGAGCCGAGATCACGCCACTGCACTCCAGCGTGGGTGACAGAGAGAGACTCCTTCTCAAAAAAAAAAAAGGAAATGCTAGAAATCTGGGATAGCTGTATAACTCATCAAACCAATATTTTCCAAATGACCAATGCATTATGGTTGAAAATTATGAAAGAATCGTAAGATCTATTTAAAGTACGATATATACTTTTTAAAAATTTAACAATGTATTAAAAGACCATTCATATTATTTCAGATGCCACATTGCAAGTGCCCTGTAAGAAACAACTGCTGGCCAATTTTGGTATAGAATCAGTAAAGAATATTCAAAATTGTATGAAAGCCTATAAATATACTGTGCTCTTTTTCAACTGTATCTGTGTGAGCCCAGAATTCTTTGAAATTTTTAACCAATATCACAACATATTGCAAGAAAATGCAGATAAGACAATCCAGTCTTCTTTTATTAAATCAGATGTTAAAGAAATTTGCAAAAATATAAATTTTCGTTGTTCTTCTCAGTAAATTTTATTTTATTTAGGAAAATATGGTCATTTTTAAATTTGAAATTGTTCTTATACTAAGACATTTTTGTGTCTTTAATACTTGCATAATCAAATGTCTTTTTAAACATTTTACAGTTTTAATTACTAACAACTCACATAAACTAAAGTTGTTTGGGTTTCTGAATTATTTTAAAAGTGTGAAGTGATATTGACATCAACAATTTCAAGAATCACTGCTGTTACCAAATGGGTAAATTTTCCCACCATCTAATTAAAACAGTAAAGATGGGGTGATACTTGATGACTTAAACTCAAAATTGAATTTTTTTAAGTTTTGTTTCTACACATATCGAATATAATTTCCATTTTAATTTACTTTTTATTTATTTGACCAATGGGTACATATTTTACCCCAGTATGCATTTTTATAAATGTAACAGATTATTATTTAACTTATCTATTTTTTGTTACTGAATGTACAAAAATGATTATTTTATCATCCTTACTTTAAGCCATACTTAAAATACTGTGGTATAGGTCTCCTTCCAAAGCAATATAAAAAGTGCTGTGACAGATGACTTCAAAGGATTATAAGATCATAGCAAAGGTTTGCCTAGAATAATAAATACCTGCCTCATAGAACTTTTATGAGGTAAAATAATATTATTAATAGCTTGAAATATTGTCTAAAAAATAATTCTAAGTTCTATATAAATGTTTGTTAAACATATTCATACTTTATTGTTAAAATAAAGCTCAGAGAATACCATCCTTTCCACTTCCTCCCAGAAAAATTGGAACTTCACTTGACCTTTTAATTAGAGACCTAGCCCAAAGGAATGTTCAGTCTGAGTGTTTTAAGTTAGATGCCCTTCTCTCAGCTTTTTCAGAATAAAATTTATTTTCATCAAATGAGAAGTACTAGTGAAGCATTACACTTAAGAATTGTTAAAGAATGTCTATTGCTTATGATATAAAAGTTCAGCCAATTGGCATTTTAGGGCATTTCATTTTTTATTGACTCCTGCTTTTCTGAACAACTCTTACAGAAAGTGCACTACTGTAGTCATTATTTTGTGATGTAGAAAATAGAAAAGTAATAATCTCTAACTCTACACAACTACTGTATAGAATACAATAAACATAAACTTTCTTCGGAGCTGGGATGGATATTTTCTAAAGATAATACAAATGTTTACTATTTATATAAATGTTTACTATTTAGCAACGACTTGTACCTAAGAGGGAGGTGACTGAATTTGACCACAGTATGTTGTATCTTGAAAGGAAGGAAGATATTTTGATAAGTAATCAATTTGTGTGTGTGTGTGTGTGTGTGTGTGTGTGTGTATAAATATACATGCATGAATATATGTAAGCAGGTATATATGTATGTGCGTATATATGTATGTGTCTACTTTTAAAGTGCTAACTCACTTTAAAACTATAGGTGATCATTTTAATATATTAGAATATCATAAAATGCCATAAAACTGTTGATAAATGAAACATTGGGTAATTTGAATGCTTATTATATATGATAATCAAAGCTGATCATGATGATTTTCTAAAACATTATTTATGTGAATTTATCATATTTGTTCCACTTTCTTAATAACGTTTGACATTTCTTAATAATATTTATAATAGCAATACATCCATTTGGCATTATTATTCATTTTGTAGGAGATGACTATATTATTTATTCCTTTACATCTTGACAATGGCATGACATACAATAGAAGATAATAATAATTCTATTTAAGCCAAGTCATTTGACATTCTAGGATATGTTATATAATTAATAGAATAATGATATTTACTATTTTCATAGAACAAGCTATTTTGTATTTCACAACATTTCAGTCAGTAGTCTTGAAGTTAATACAAAAAATTTTATGTATTTCTCAGACTTAGTTTTGATTGAAGCAAATAACTTTTTTGAAGTTATCAGCAAAAATTAAAAAAGAAAACAAAATATCTTGGAATATTCATGGTATGTCACTTATTCCACACTGTATTAAATTGCTCAAATCACTTCTATATGTGACTCTTATTCTCTTGCTAGATACAAATCAATGAAAGAAAGTTCATAATCTTCTATAATATCAAAGGATAGAGTATTACGAAAGGACCAAAGGATAGTGCCATACACACAAAAAAGCATCATTTTTATGCTTTATTTAAACGTATTTTAACTTATTTCTCTAACTTAAGTCTCACATTGATCTTTCTTTATTTTCCTTATAGTCAGTATCATTTTGGTAAAATGCAAACCTATGCATGTCATTCATCATCTGAAAATGTCTCTGTGGGTCTTCTTTGCATATGATATTAAGAAAAAGTAAAAAAATGACATAAGACATTTTTCATAACCAAAATTTGACGTTTCTTTTATCTCCTAGTATTGATCCTTCTCTTTAGATGACCAATGTTTTTCTGACCACCCTGTCCACTAAGTAAATTGCTCATTAATATTAATTATCTTTTGCCATTATTTTCCTCATATCAAAAAAGAAAGTAATCCTGTTGTTTTAATTCAATTGTAATTCAGTATTTCACCTTATAGCACTTACCATATGTTCTGTAATGGTAAGTGTGTGCATATATATATAGTGTGTGTGTGTGTTTGTGTCTGTGTATAAAATCACATATGTGTAGAGGAGAAAATATAAATATACATAAAACATAAGACTTGAAAATTTTGAAATTTGAGCCTTTCAAAACCAGAAAACTTTTAATTTATATCAGTGGTGTCTAGTTGTCTCCATGAATTTTCATTTGTTTTCATGAGGTAATATGCTAGCATCAAACTTATAAAAGTTGTTATTTCTTATCGGGGAAACCAGCCCCCAATATTTCAACGTAGGTTCTTTTCTATTTTCCCTAAATGTCGGCTGCTCTGAGAAATAAAGAGAAAGAGTACAAATGAGAGAATTTTTACAGCTGAGTCTCCAGGGGTGACATGACATGTCAGCAGGTTCCATTATGCCCCCGAGCCGCAAAGCCAGCAAGTTTTTATTAGCGATTTTCAAAGGGGAGGGAGTGTATGAATAGGGTGTGGTTCACAGAGATCACATGCTTCAAAGGCAATAAAATATCACAAGGCAAATGGGGGCAGAGCGAGATCACAAGTCCAGGGCGAAATTAGAATTGCTGATGAGGTTTCATGTCCCACTGTGCATGCATTGTCATTGATAAACATCTTAACAGGAAACAGGGTTCGAGAGCAGACAACCAGTCTGACTAAAATTTCACCAGGCTGGAATTTCCCAATCCTAGCAAGTCTGGGGGCGCTGCAGGAGACTAGGGCATATTTCATCCCTTATCTACAAATGCATAAGCCAGACACTCCTAGAGCGGCCATTTTAGAGTCCGCCCCTGGGAATGCATTCTTTTCCCAGGGCTGTTCCTTGCTGAGAAAAAGAATTCAGTGATATTTCTCCTATTTCCTTTGCAAGAAGAGAAATATGACTCTGTTCTGCCCGGCCCCGCAGGCAGTCAGACCTTATGTTTATCTCCCTTGCTCCCTGAAAATCACTGTTATCCTGTTCTTTTCAAGGTGCCCAGATTTCATATTATTCAAACACACATGTTTTACAAACAATTTGTCCAGATAATGCAATCATCACAGGGTCCTAAGGCGACCTACATCCTCAGCTTACAAAGATGACAGGATTAAGAGATTAAAGACAGGCATAGGAAATTATAAGAGTATTGATTGGCGAAGTGATAAATGTCCATGAAATCTTCACAATTTATGTTCAAAGACTGCAGTAAAGACAGTCGTAAGAAATTATAAAAGTAGTAATTTGGGGAACTAATCAATGTCCATGAAATCTTCCCAATTTATGTTCTTCTGCTGTGGCTTCAGCTGGTCCCTCTGTTCAGGGTCCCTGACTTCCCGCAACAATTTCTTTTTTTTTTTTACATTAATTACTCCACAAATATCCATTGAGTGTATAATATTTGTCAGAAACTAAATTTGGTACAAGGATTTAAATGGGTCAAAGCCATACCCTATCCTTGCCTTTGAGAAACTTGTAAGCCCATGGGAAACATGCATATTAAAAAAAATCCCATAATAATAAGAATAATAAATGTCTACACATGGAGATAGATTTAATATAACTTAATATAACCTTTCCATCTGTAAGAAATATATATGAATGTGTGTTTTATATATATGTGTATATATATATAGAGAGAGAGAGAATGAGAGAGAGAGAGAGATCTCCAACTCTTCACTCTGCACTTACTCCTATTTGCACTTTTATTTTCTGTCAATCTACCACTCTGGGTTTTCAGACAATTGTTCTCTAGCAATACTGTTAATAGTGCTTCCTTGTCTACTAACCATCCTAGCATTTTTAATTCCCACTAACTTTTGATACTTGGTAGATGCATGAAATCAGAATCTACATCTATTTTTTTCTCATTTTAAAATTGTTAAATGAACTTCAAAAACTGTATAGACCACAAATTACAGACTTTTTCTTCCCTCAAGCATTTTTATTATTGATTACTCTACAAAAATATCATTTCATTTATCATTATCATTTTGAAATATTGTTTGTAATGAGTGACATATATTTTCCCCTTACCCCCATTTCAGAGCCTTATATTTCAGATCATAGTCTTACTACATGGTCATGCAAACACCTTTAATAGGAATATTGAGGATAACCAGGAAGTTAACATTCAGTTGTCCTCATGTTAATCTCAAGAGCTGTTTCTAGTTTCTTTCCTTTTTTTCTATCTCTCTGAAGAATTATAACTCCATTACTCTAATGCTAAGCCTTTTTAAAAATAATTCATGTTGTCATCTTCTTTGCTTCTGTTTATTTGTAATTATTATCTGAATTGAATATTATATACATCAATGCTTCTGTTAAATAACTTAGTCACTTAAAATATGTTGGCTTTTATTTAGAAGTATATTTTCATACAGCCAGTCTCCTTTTATTGATTTAAGGTTAGTATGCTTTTACTTATAAATTGTTATTAAAACCAATTTAAATTCAGTAGCAGAAAGAGGAAGTGCTTTTACAGAAAAATACAAGATGGAAAAAACTGTTCAAAAATACTTTCCTTTTTCTTTTAACTCTTAAATTCAGGGGTACATGTACATATTTATTACACAGGTAAATTTTCATGGTAGCTTGTTGTACAGATTAACTCATCACCCAGGTATTAAGCCTAGTACACAATAGCAATGAAATGGAATCAGCACAAATGCCCATTAAAGATAGAGTAGATAAAGAAAATGTCATACTATACACCATGGAATACCATGCAGCTATAAAAAAGAATGAGATCATGTCATTTTCAGGGACATAGATGCAGCTGGAGAGAATGTCTATGGATAGACATTCTTGCCTTTCAATTTTATGCCTATTTCTTTCTTTATTTTTTTGAGATGGAGTTTTTGTAAATTAACACAGGAAGAGAAAACCAAATACTGCATGTTCTCACTAGTAAGTAGGAGCTAAATGATGAGAACACATGGACACATAGAGGGGAACAACTCACACTGGGGCCTATCAGAGAGTGAGAAGAGTTAGAGAATCAGGAAACATAGTTTTCTTTTATAAATAATTTAGAGTTTGTCTCATCGATGTTGCAGGCAGAAAACTTGAGTGCAGAATAACCCAGTTATGATTATAGGACTCTACAGTGGTCACCAATGCACTTTTGTGAATGTTTGCTCTTCACTGTAGTGAACGAACATCAGAAGTTTCTAAAGACACTGCATTTGTCAGTATCGTAATTCAACTTCATTTTAAGCTGATTTTGCAGGGGTGAAAACAAAACAACTTTTTATAATTGATGAATTGGGTAACTGTATATGTAACACTTTTCATAATTCAGAATGGGAGAGGACATTTAAGGTAGAAATAGAAGCACTGTTTCTTTCCCAGTGATGAAAAGACATGCCAGGGACATAAGAGAGAAGATGAATTTAGTGGATCCCAGTGCTTCTGTTGTAAATACATATGGCTTTTACTTGGTTAATAAGACCAATAAATTGTGTATTGAAAATGTGCTGAGAGTAGGTTTTAAGAGCTCTTATCACACACGAAAATTAGCTCTAGAAGGTGATGGATAGGTTAAGTTCTTTACCTGTAGTAATTGTTTCACTCTGGATATGTATTTCAAAACATTGTGTGGTACACCTCAAATTTATGCAATAAAAAATAAGTCTCTGTTGCTCCTACAGTTACTGAGTTACTACACATTCATTTACACGTCCTTGTCTTTCAATTTTATGCCTTTTTTTTTTTTTTTTGGAGGCAGAGTCTTTCTTTGTCACCCAGGCTAGAGTGCAGTGGCACCATCTCAGCTCACTGCAACCTCCACCTCCCGGGTTAAAGTGATTTTCCTGCCTCAGCCTCCTGAGTAGCTGGAATTACAGGCCCACCACCACACCTGACTAATTTTTGTATTTTTAGTAGAAATGGGGTTTCACCATGTGGGCCAGGCTGGTCTTGAACTCCTGACCTCAAGTGATCCACCCGCCTGGGTCTCCCAGAGTGCTGGGATTACAGGCATGAGTCACCACACCCAGCCAATTTTATGCCTATTTCTTGAAAAAGAAATTTAAACACATTCCAAGGAGTAATTTATCTAAATATTGAAAACTTACAGTACATAAAATTTCCATGTCAGCTAAAGTGGTTTCCAGATTGGTTTGGGCATTTGGATCAATGACATCATAGTTTGGTTAGAAATCTATCAATATTTTTTTTTCTAAAAAGTAATATTTAGTATTATTAGTGACATGACATTGTGAAGAGCATACAATACTAAGAAAATATTTATTCTCTTCATATCTGCAGAATAATATAATTTAGATATTTAAACCTATATCTAAATTAGGAATGCTTTTTCCAACTAACAGAAAAAAATCTATTTATATACATATATATAGTAAAATATACATAAATATTTCTGTCTCTATATCTGTGTATCTTCTCCCATTGTTGTAGGGTGATATGACTGATGCTGTTTTTTTTTTTTCTAAGCCTCTAGAAAACAGAAAATAACACTGTATAAAAGTCACTTTTCTGTGATTTTCCCCCCATCCTTTTTTGTTTTACTATATTTATGAGGGTAGGGAGCCGAGACCCCTGAAAATTATATTTCTTAGATACCCTTCCAGACCACTAGTTAAATTCTGACAGTGAGAAGTGCTTGTTGGAGATGGGAAGGCCTTTGGAAGGGGGCTTAAGTGCTCTCTCTCTCTCTCTACTGCTGGCCCTTATTAGCACTTCATCAGCATCAAAACAGAGCGTTGCGGAAACTCTTCCTGTGTCCAGGCATCGGCACTCTGAGGCTTCTTGGTGGCTTTTCCACCTCCACTGATTTGTTCCCTGTCCTTGTGATTTTGTCATTTTTCAGAATGTCATATAAATGGAATCATGTAACATGAAGCTTTTTAAGTCTGGCTTCTTTCACATATCATAATGCATTTGGAATTCATCCATATTGTTGTATTGATCAATAGTTTATGTTTGTTCCCACTTGTTGTGGCTGAGTTCTATTATATACCTGTGAAACAGTATTGTTTATTTATTTAGCAGTTGAAAGATGTTTCAGTAACTTCCAGTTTTAGGTAACTGTGAATAAAGGTATTTTAAACATTCACAAACATAGTTTTGTATGAATATGCATTTTCATTATCCTGAGGTAAATAGAGCAAGATTACTGGATCATATGGTGAGTGCACAATATATTATAAAATAAAATGCTAGCTGTTTTCCAAAGTGGCTATACTATCTTGCAACCCAGAAGTAAAAATGAGGGTTGCAGTTATTCATCATCCTCACCAGAACATGAACTAGTTTTTAAGCATTAAAATAATTAGCAGCTACCAAATAGCCATTTTAAAAATAAATAAATAATTGAAAAAAATTAAATTCATTCCTAATAATCTCAATTACTAATATGATATGGATGTTTGTTGAGGATGCACAGCTTCTCAGACCTTGGAATCAAATTGGACACTACCATCCTCATTTTCTGTTTTACACTGTAGATTAGACTTTTCTCAGGTTTATACAAAATGTATGTTAGTATCCTTTGTATCAATGCCTTATGTATTGCTAAGGAGTTTTGTTTCCTTTAATGTGCCTTGCACAGTGCTTGAGACCAGATACATGTAGTTGGTTATTATTAGAGATGGCTTCTGCCTCTGTTTCTCCTGGAATTTGTCCTGATTAATAACAAAAATGACCTCTGCTCCATCATTTCATCATACCATGTTTTGGGTTTTTTTTTCTAAATTATTTGGCAAACTACAACATGTTATATGGAAAGTTTGAGATTGAAAATGAAAAGATATGTGCTTAATTGACAGAAACAGGAAGGCTAAGTAAGTTGTTTTGTAACAAACAACAAAAGAACAATACCTTTGTATTGTTAAAGAACCCAGAGAAATTGCTGTCTAAATAAAGCCCAATATTGTGTAGTTATACAAATAATTTAAAATATATTGGTGCAATGTTCACTGTTTGGTAATGAGTGTACTAGAAGCCCAAACGTCACCATTACACAATGTATCCATGTAACAAACCTGCACTTGGTTTCTCAAATAAAAAATAAAATAAAATAAAAAATCTAAAATTTATTTTCAAAATAGCAATTCAACCAAAGCAGCCAGGTTTATATATATCAATGTTCATTCTAAGACAAGTAGCAGCTGTTTGGTTATTAATATATCATCAATGTACATTTTCATCACAAATTATCAAATAGATAAATGCAATTTGAAAATTACTGTACTCTGATCATATGAAATTAATTTGAATTGATTAAAGTTAGAAAATTAAAATGGAAACCCTTTTTTGTTCTAAATTATTTTAGTTCTCTTCAACTGTCACCCTTGAAAAACTGCATAGAGCTTTTATGATCTCTATAAAGACCTCATACAGTTTTCATGATGATTGCATAAGTACTATATTAAAGTGCTTAGAGAGTGTCTTTTACATGGCAGCTATTAACAATTTGGTGTATTAATATTCTACTAAACAATTGTAATATTTTTTATCATCTACAAGACAAATTTTAAGTACCTTTAGAAGTAATAATTTTTTAAGCTCTAACCTCAATTAACCTTTCTAATCTTCTTTCTGCAAGTACGCACCAAACTAAATTATTCCTAGTCTCTGAGTATTCACTGTGTCTTTCTAAATTTCTGTGTTTGACATGTCCTTTATTTTGAATCTTTGCAAATTTAAATCTAAAATCCCCAGGATAAAATTTATTTCCTGTAACAATTGAATCCTAATATTTATAATCTATCGATCTATCTGGTTTATCACATTGTGTGTGCACTTTTTGTATTCTGTACAAAAGTATGTATCTTGTATATCTTTCTTTGTACTATTTTGTGCTTTGAAATTAATGTTACAGTTGGAATCCAAAGCATGTCTCTTTTGAGAAATTATTAATCTACTAAAGTGGGCCAGCAAATATTTATTTTTTGAATAGATTAATCAATTGGCATATGAATAATTGTACATTAAGGAGATGGTTGGCCAACTGTACATGAGTGTTCATTACCGATTTATTACACCTGGACAGGAAATAACTAAAGTTATTTCTATCTTTATTGGAGTAGCATCAATCTAGTAGCGTGTAAACAATTCTTTTTCACCTTTCCATGAAAACATCAGTAAAGAAGAATTTGTAAACACTAAAATTTAAATTTAAATAAAATTAGAAAATTACATGCAATTAAAATGAAACATTCATCAAATAATCATTGGTCTCTGGTAAAAAAAGGCAAAGTTAATGGGTTAAGAAACTACTGGAGCTCAAATTGTGCATTAATCTTTGAAGTGAGAGACAGGGATACTGAAAGGTGGCAAGAGGATGATCTCCTCTGCCACACTAAATATCCACACATTTAATGGCTTTTGTTAATGGCCACGAAACCAAGCAGTCGCATCATCTTTAGGATAACTCTTTTTGAGACATCCATTGAATATCTCTATCACGTACTTTCCATCCACAACCCTCTAATTCTAAGGTATCCCTTTCCATATTCATTCTGGTGGTAAGAGATCCTAAGATGACATTGTAACTGGTAGTGTGAAGAGACAGAATCCTCACCGAATCCTCTTGTGTGAAATCGGCAATATATATAAGCAAATATAATAATGGTAACAATATCACTTGTGTGCAGGTATGTATATAAATATGTGTGTATATACATATACATACACATAACTTAGCAACCGGAATACATTCTGAGAAATGCATCATTAGGTGATTCCATCATTGCCTAAAATATCATAGAATATAGTTACACAAACTTAGCTGGTATATATATTTTTATTCACATATTTTTATATAAAAAAACAAATGTCCCAGCACCACTATTGATTATCAGTGATGTCCTCTACTTGACCTGCAGTGCCAATATCAAGTGCCATATATAAGATTTATATATATGCTCACTTATAATCATATGGAACCACCATTGTATATGTGGTCTATTATTGACCAAAAGGTGATTATACAGTGCATGACTGCATATAGATAGGTAGATAGATAAATGGATATTGTTAAACATACCTGTATCTATCTACCTATCTATATATGTACACATACATAAATATACGTACATATACTGTGTTTCTTCATATTACCAACATCTCTGATTAAAGGTAACATTAGCCTCATAGCATGTGTGTTATAGGACAGGTTTAATGAAAGGGAACCACAGGCTGGAGTTTTTTATTATTATTATTATACTTTAAGTTCTAGGGTACATGTGCAGAACGTGCAGTTTTGTTACATAGGCATACATGTGCCGTGGTGATTTGCTGCACCCATCAATTTGTCACCTACATTAGGTATTTCTCCTAATGCTATCCCTCCCCTTGCCCCCAATCCCCCGACAGGCCCTGGTGTGTAATGTTCCCCTCCCTGTGTCCATGTGTTCTTATTGTTCAACTCCCACTGAGTTATTCTTTAAATGACTGTAGAGGAAGAGTTTTTTGGAGATAGGAAATAAAAGATGCAGGGCAAAGGAGCAGAAGAAAGCTGTGCAAGAATCTGAATTGAGCTTTAGTCTGTCTCCAGGGAGAACTCTAGGCTTCAAATTTTTCCGTTCATTTGGTTCCTCATTGAGGCAAGGAAGACAGCTATTGTCTTGCCATTAGCCATTCTCTGTTCCTTATGAGTGAGGAAAGGAAACCTTGACAGGGCAGCTCCCAAGGGACTGAGGGCAATTCTACAGAGAAGGCCGCAGTGTGCCTTTCAGAACCAACACTTACAGAAACTGGGGGCTGGGTATACTGGCCGATAAAGGAAAGAGGACAATTTTGGGCCTTTTTTTTCTTCTGGATTTATTTTAGAATTGACTGCGGATATTTTCATTATGATTGTACTGAATGCATAGCTTAATCTGAGTAAGATTGAGATATTTATGTTAAATAATTACCTTGTGTATGTACATTGCATTTGTTAAACTATCCTTCTGCAAAGTTTTGTATTTTGTTTCAATAAATGTCTTGGATATCTTTGGTTAAATTGATTTTTTCCCACTTGGCACTCCATCAATTTCACAGTATTTCACAATTGAAAGAACTCTTAAAACTCCACAGAGCATGTAGATTTAATAAATGTGAATGACATGGTACAGTAGCAGAAAGCACACGCAAGAATGGGAGTCCTAAAATATTTCCAGGCAAAATTTTACACACAGCATCCTTTCTAAGTCACACAGGATGAGATTTTCTTCCCAATTATGAATCACCAGGTAGCATCTGGTTTAGGATAGTTTGGGTGATAGTTCACAGAGGGATCTTTTATATTCCACTGCTCATATAGCCATGCCAGACTATGTAATTACCTAAAACAAGTGTTTAAGTTCTCTGAACAATGTAAACATGCAGGTCATGTGCCACCAAGGGCATTTCAAACATTAAATAGCTCATGATCAATTACTAGTTAGCCCATCTTGGCTTATCTTCTCCTCAGGTCAGTACTGAACTCACAGGCATTCCAGAAGATAAATCTGATCTCAGTCCATTTTTAAGTTAATTTGCCTTAAAAGAGGCCACATTCACGATTCTTCTTCAATTTTAAACTACCCAATGTCATTCTGTTTTCTGCATCTTTTGCACCATTTTTAGAAAGAAAAAATCACGAATATAAAAATACTCATTATTTTTATGATTCAATATAGTTTAGGCCTAACTTTAAAGAAATATTTGAGTTTTCCACATTATCTAGCATAAGTTTGTTCAAATTATATACAAGCTTAACATCTGTAAAAGAGGGGGAAAGGTAAAACTTCCTTCATTATAAAAAGTTGAACTTTTATAAGATATATCAATAAATATATTTACTATAACAATTAACTGATTATTAACAAAAGGTACTTTGACTAATAATCTTTCATCAGAACAATATCTTGTGAGGTATTAAATTTAATCTCCTAAGGCATTTGATCATAGATGTCAGCATTATAGAAGATTTTGTTACAATTAATGAAATTAATTTTAGCAATTGAACAGATATTATACCAAATAGCAGATATATTGTGAGTCAGACTAAGGTCATTAAAAGAAATCACTCAATTAAAATTACAGCAATATTTTCTAGGCCCCTGTCTACATAACAAATGGTGTTATAGATTGATATCTACTGACTAATACCGAGGACTAAGTTTCAGTTAATTCTTAATTCTAAGTCTCTTGTGGGAATAGCCATATAACTTTGTATTAGTTTTCCAGTTCTGAGTAGAAACATTATCACACACTTAGTAGCTTAAATAATACAAATACATCATCTTAAAATTCTATTGCTCAGAAGTCCGACACAAGTCTGACTAGGCTAAATGTAAGTAGTTGGGAGAACTGTATTCCTTCATGTAATCTCTACTTGAGGGTCTGTTTCCTGGCTGGCTGATTAATAGGCAGAATTCAGCTCCTTTTGGTTATAGAACTAAGATCCTGTTTTTGGCTGACTGTTAGCTGAGGCCCATTCCCACTTATAGAGGTCATCCAAATTCCTTGGCTCCTGGTCTTCTTCTTCCAGCTTCAAAGATAACAGTGGCAGGTTGTGTCCCTTTCGTGCATCAGATCTCTCTTTTTTCTTCAGTCTTATCTCTCACTGACCCAGCCAGAAAAAGCTCTTTACTTTTAAAGGCTGTGTGATAATCCAGGATGACATCAGCATCTCAAAATTTGTAACCCGAATCACTTCTGCAAAGTTCATTTTTCCATGTAAGGTAACAAGTTCCAAGGATTAGGAGGAGCCATTATTGTGTTGAGCACAATTCTGTTTTATACTAATATACTGATAAAGATTTCCTGTAGAATTTATCTGTAAGTCGTTTCTATTTTTCATTTCCTGGTAAAATTTGGGTCAAGTTTAACTTGACTCTCCATTCCTAGTAACTGCATTATTGCATACATTGGTTGTTATTTATATATAGGGCTTTGGCAGTCAAAATCACCTGTGCAAATTACATTACACGTTTATGAATTCCTTGAAGCTATAGATCATGTCACGAGTGTATTTCTTGTATTTACACTGCCAAAATCTTAGATTATCCTTGTTTCTAAAGAAGCATGCTAAATAGATCCTCTTGGTTCAGAATGTATGGTATCTCCTATATTTGTTTCCTAGTGTATTGTTTACGTATCTTTTGAGTTTGTCTCATGCATTTCTATAGCTGTGTTGAATGTCCAAGCGAGTTGCCAATCTTTCTCTTTCTTCCAAAATAACATCTCTTTTAAGTATCCAATGCAGGCTAAGTCTGTATGGCTCCTCTCCTTCAAAGTAATTTCAGCTTGTCCTGAGACTCGACCTGTATTAATTTCTTTATTTTTAATTTTTTACCAGACCACTTCAATTATTTTTACTATGACAAGCATATGAATGTCCTGTAACTTATTTCACTAGCAACAATAAAGGGTGAGGTGTTTCTCTCTCTCTCTACATGGGCTACTCCCTGGAGTCTGGTCACAATACACAACTGCAGTGGGAGTAAATTGCTTTCCTTTCCTGAAGGGAGCAGAGCTTAATCTTAGGACCACCAGGTGGGATTTCCTCTTGCAGCTGCTTAACTTCTCACTCCCAGCTTTCTCTCCACAGTTACTTCCACTGCTCTCTCTTGGCACAGTAGTCAGGATACATTGCCTTCTCAGAAGGAAGCCAATCATCTAAGAACCACTCTGGAACCTTGTAGCACTTATATCTCTCATTGGAGGTACCCTCCAGACAGCCATGGAAGATTCATGGCTGTGGAGGCTGACAGTGCCAGAATTCTTCCTCTGTCACCCTCAGCAGCTGGGTGGTCCTGATTATATCCTTTTCATTCTGGGCTCTCATCAAACAAGGAAAGTACTGGTCTTTGTCCTTGTGAATGCACCATGAATCAAGGTGTCACAGCACCCACTTATAAACCCACAGCAACTTCTGCTGATGGGTCAGGTAGGCTACCTGAGCTGAGAACACCATGACTGCCTACTCACTTTCCCTGTGTTATAATAATTCCACCCGTGGTTATTGTGGAATGTTTTGGCCAATGTTTGCTTATCCATCAATCATATTGATGAGCCACCAATATTGTTTATCTACCAAACATATTGTCATTTGTGTGCATGAACGGGGCAACAGTTATTACATCTTACTTTTACAAAAGCATTTATAATATACGATGAAGATATAATATTATTCTTTAGCTGTGCACTTTCAACATAATGGTATATTTTCATTTTTACATTATGAACTTACTGGCTCTCTTTCAATCAGCAATTACTTTCCTTTCTTTCCATTTGTCAAAAAATTTTAACCCAGACCCATCCCCCAACTTAAGGGTAAGACTGTCGGATTCAGCTGAAAGATTTACCAGTAGACCTGTGTGAAAGTTGCAGACACCAGGTGAAATCACTTTTGTTAGAACCAAACAAGTTGAAGCTGAGAAAGTATGAAGGAGGAGAGCTCATGCTTGTATATATAAGATATGGAATGTCTCAGGGTCATTTCTAATATAACCCCACAATAAATTTCTTATTTTGACCTGTAGCAATTCAGATAAGATGTTCTTGAAAGAATACTTGCCCTGTAAGGGTATCTACACCAACGAACTGATGCCAACTCTGGCTTTGAGCCTCTGGAGCTAATGAACTCTGTTTTCAAGCAGTTTGTGTGAACTTCTCCTTTTTGTCAGCAAAGGCTTTGTTCTACCCTCTCCTGTCTGTATGCATCCGTGGCTTTGTCACAGCTGTTATTTCTGCTTACTCCTTTAATCCTGTCTGCTTTTTAATGAATAAAATCATTATTATTAGACAATATTTTCTCTGATTTTTCTTTAGGCTGACACCTGATGGAAGTATGAGTTTGCCTAATGCCCCCACTTCATACATTGCCAACCATAAAAACTAGATAGGAAAAATGTAAATGTATTAGAGTGTCATTCAGTGGGCAGATAGACACTTCTAATTTCAGTTTATACAAGTAAGGAAAAGCAGCAGCTCATCCCATCATTTCCTTAGAAATTCAAAATAATACAGTAGTCTCTAAGTACCTGTGAGGGACTGGTTCTAGGATTCCTTCAGATACCAAAATCTGGGGATGCTCAAGTCCCTTAGATAAAGTGGTGTGATATTTGGAAATAATCTATGCACATCATCCTGAACATTTTAAATCATCTCTAGATTATTTCTAGCATCCAGTACAATATAAATATATATAGTTTTCTACTTGATAATATTTGTATTTTTATTCTTCTATTGTTATTTTGTGTTTTTAAAAAATATTTTTGATCCATAATTGGTTGAACCTGCAGATGAAGAAACCACAGATGTGAGAGGCCAACTGTATTTTGAGATGTTGTCATGTTGTTAGGGTAGCAACTGATCTTTTCTCTCTCAGTCACAAATATAATCCAATTGCTGGCACCACAGGATCAAGCAAATATGGAGAATAAAAAATAGATGCAGAGAAGAGTATATATAGTTCCTCTGTCACTTCTCACATCCTGTTCTACTTTTTGCATAATACCTTAACAATTTTTCCAAAGCTGATCACCTTTAGTATTACATATATTGTTTTATTATATATTTATTCAAATAGGCAAACCAATGTATCCCCTTATTTTTTAGCCACAACTCTCCCTACCCTCATTTAAAAAGTGGGTGTTACAAGTGCCCATTGCAGTATTCATTCAGTGTACTACTTTGTGGTATTAAGATATATAAGTTCATGGTAAATGATGCTTCTTAGCACATTGGCGCACTGCATTTGTAGTAAAATAAATTCTTTGATCATATATGATACCAAATGAAAGATTTTCTCTCTAGATATCTATTTGTGTTGAAGGCATTTACTTCAGTTACTGGATATACAAGTAAAACTTCAGATTATGTATCTGTCCTAGTCAAGATTGACCTGTAATCACAAGGAACCATAAGCAGCAGGCCAATGTAATTCACCTACCAGCTAAGGTTGGTCCAGACCATCCTGGTAGATTATATATATTTTCTAATTTTCTTATTCACAAAGAAACAAATGTTAGTCACATTTCAAGCTTCTGAAAGAGATAATGGAATACATGTTTATTTATTTCTTTGTTTTTTTTCCTGCTTATTGTTACATTGCTTGAATGCCATCATGCTGCAGCTACCAATCCTGTGTACTTAAGAGAACACTTTCAAAAACAAATATTAAAAGAAGGCATATTATTGTTGGTTTCAGTCATATTTCGAATTTGAAATAATATCCTTTTGATGTGCACATGCATGCCCCACTTTCATTTTATCCCCTACTCTGCTTTCACTTTCTCCCTCCCACCAAAGGTCATGAAGTTTTTGATAACATAGTATTTTATACTAGGGTTGCCTTTTTCTCCTAGTTTTCTAAGATCAGCCTTTCAGATAATACTGTTAGCCCATTGTTTACTATCCAAAAAGCCATAAAATTTATATCATTATTGTTACTATCCAATTTCTATAGTGCCATAAGAAGCACATCTTTTAAGTCTGCCCATTGAACAGGTATATCTTTTCTCAACTTGAGCCAAAAAGGAGTCATCACTCAGTCACAATGTAACTGCTTTTTAAACTGCATGCTGGCCTCCCACTCTTGAGCTACCATGCTGCTTTTTGGCAATCCTTCAATAACTGCAAACCATGCTGCTCTTTGTCCAATTCACCTATAGTATTTAAAGTAGGACCAAAGGATTGTGTCAGCTGCCTATTTGTGGGTGATGAATAGATACTTAGTAAGTCCACACCATTCCCATCTAATGAGGGAATTCTGAGCATTTTCTTCCTGATGGAATAGTATTCTGCTATAACCAGAACTGGCTATTTCAGGCCTGAAAAATGTTATTTCTTCTGTAATGTTATTTCAACTAAAGCCTCGTAACCATCAACAATTCCCTTTTAAATTATGTGTAAATTTTTACTTGGCATCATTTTAATTTGGCTTTGTACTTTCATTGAGTTAATCAGCCATCCTCGATTAGATTAACAAGAAACTGTAGTTTAGTTTTAGCTCTGAATTCAGTTTGAAATATCAACATTGTATCATGAGAATAATAGATAAGTCCTTCTCCATGGAATCAAATTTAAGTGTGTTCTTACTAGTACTTACTACAGGAAGTTGTAGAATTTAAATATCCCTGTAAAAGGACAGTAAATGTGAGTTGGAGTCCATCCCATATGAATGCAAAATGGCTTTGATGTTATTCCAAAATAGAAGAAAAAAAAGCATTAGAAAAATCAGTCAAGGAATACCAACCTCCCTGAGCTTTCTGCACAACGTACATTGTTAATTTCATATAAGGCACAGCTGATACTAAAAAGAAGTATTATTTTGTTAAAATCTCCAAAATCCATCAACTTATCTTACATGCCTCAGTAATGTATTACACAAGCAATTTTATGGACACTAGTACACATGTATCCAACATATTTTAATTAATACCAGAATATCTTGATGTCCTCTAATTGTTTCTGTATACTTTTAAATTAACCCCTTGATTTTCCAAAGATAATTGTATTATCTCACATATCAAATTAAAACATGAATGAAAATGGATGTGCATAGCAATCCATTCTTTCATGATTTCTGTAACAGAAATGTCCTACATACAGGCACTCCACTCATGCCAATAATATATCTGATAAAGGTGAAAAAGAACCATAACTGTGTATTCAAATATTGCCAAATTTTAGTAGTCTCTTGATTCTTTATTCCTGTGGCTTATATAATTTTTTACTGAATATCAATAAGACAAGGACCATATTCCAATCAAAATGGGTATCTCCCCAACTCCCGTTTGTTGGTATATACATTGCATTTATAGACTGAAACATTATTCATATCCTGAAAGTTCAAACAGCCTTGAAATGTTTCTTATTTATTTTCATTTTTTTTTGCTAAAACAAGCAAAAGTGCTCAAGAAACCACAATCTTGGTTGAATTATCTTCCATATGATTTTCTTTATGATCTATTTATTAATTTTCTCCACCTCAGATCTTCCAACTCCAAGAGTCATTGATATGTTTTTATTCCTCTCACTGATTAGAACATGATCTCCCACAGGAATGGCCAGGAATTCAACCTGGCAACAGTGGTTTCTCACCTCACTTCTTTTCTCACCTTTCTTGTCCTCAAATAGAGCCTTAGCCATTTTGAACATTATAGAAACAGAAATCAGTTTAAATGTCCTGCAAACTACACCAACTACACGTATTTCACATATTGGATAGTTTACAGGACTCCACAGAGCATATGCAATTATAGATTTAATAAAGGGATCTTAAATAAGTTTCTTACAGCTTTGCTACTATTCTTTTCTTAAAATACTTATAACAGTTTGTTGCTGTAATATTAGAGTGGAACTGAATTATGTATATTAAGATTATATCCAGCAACCTTGTTGAAATCTTTTTAATTCAAATAAATTTCTCTGGTGATTCTCTAGAGTTTTCTCTGTGTATAATCACATTATCTAAAAATAATGTAATTTTTTTCCCTTTCTAAAGTTTATATTTTATTGTGTCTTACTATACCTCTTTGAAATATTGGTATATTATCATAAAGGAAGACATAACTTTAGCAAGCATCACTGTGTTGTTTCCTGTTTTTTATTTGAAATGGTGTGTACTAATTTTACACTATTATGAATGACCTGAGCTTTGATGGATAAATGTCTATTCCTGTAGAATGTGCAGAAAGTTTCTTCTCTATCTGGTATTATGAGTTTTTTGTTTTATTTCTAATAATAAATGCACATAAGAATTTATCAAAAGGTTTTGTTATACAATGGGCTTGGGTAATCTTTAGAAAATGTCATTTCTTTTGAATGACTGGAACTTGTGGGCAGCATCCTTAGTAGAAAGAGTTCAGAAGAACATAAAAATGCACTGGTTATATGCTTCATGTCACATTTTATTTAAACATGTATGCATATATCTATATAAAGTCTAAAATTATTTTTAGGAATATCTATCCTATACTAAGTAAAAGAAAAGCCTCTGACTAATTTATGCACTATATTCTCCATTGCATGTGTGCACACTGGTATAGGTCCAGAAGAACAAATAGAAAATTGAGAGGATTACAAAACAGACTATTAAGCTTGGTTAATTCTATGTTATTGGGATGGGGCATGAAGCAGGGGAAGAGAGAGAAAATACATATTTTTATTTATATATTATTCTATTATTTCTCTTGTTCCAAAAGCATATATCACATTTATCCTTTGATTTCTAAAATGATAAATATAAAAACGGTGAAAATAATAACTCTCAATTTTTAAATCAATTATGTGAAAACATTAAACTTTTCAGACATATAATGTGATGGAAAAAGTCTCTCTAGTTGCTTTTCTAAAAATATAATTAATATAGTTGTAATAAGCAACTCTCTTTCATAATAGACCATATACTCTAGTGAATAGATTAAGAAAAAAATCTGGGCTCTAACCTTAGCTCTGCTTTTTATCAACTAGGTGAATTTAGGAAACTTATTTAATCCACCATACTTCCCTCTTACTTATAAAATATGCATAATAATGTCAGGCTTACCGTGGTGATAAAAGATATAATACATACAAAGTGTCACAGACCCTTGCACTCTAAATTTACCCACTCATAGAAAATATAAAGCAAGTCCTTTTAGGAACAGGTCACTTTCCAAGTAGGTTAGCTGCAAGTTTCACTAAAAGCAGCTCTTGATATACTTAGAGCATGAATGAGGAAGCAAGCAGGGGAAAATAATTTTTTATTTCCACCAAGCTCCTGTACATGTCAAGTTCTTTACTATGTGATTCCACAAATGCTATTTTATTTAATACATCTACACTACACTAATGTTTCAAATTCCTTCATATCTGTATAAGAAAAGCATGCAACATACTATTATACAAGTAATACACAGTTTTTTTTAATAGAGTCCTCTATGTATTTGTTGCATCAAGACTTTGAGGCTGAACTGGTTTTTTTTTTTCATGTTAGAAATAGGATCACTAGAAGAACTAGAAGTATCATCATAACTAGAAAAACAAACAACTCGATAAGAACATGAAGGCAGAAAGTTTATGATATTTAGTTTATTTATTCTTTATCTTCTATAAATATGGAGTTAATACATGCTTTTTACATTTAATAAATATGGAAATCAAAAGATGAAAATAGAGCTAAACTTTTATCACCATATAAATTATTTAGCACAATAGAATCACTATAGTTAACAACAATATACCGTATATTTTAAAATTGCCAGAAGAGAAGATTTGAAATGTTCCCAACGCAAGAAATGATAAGTGCTCCAGGTAATAGATATCCTAAATACTGAGACTTAATAATTACATATTTTATGTATTTATCAAAATATCACACATACCCCATAAGTATGTATAAATATTATATATTAATAAAAAATTTTAAAATTACCACCCACAAATATGTATTTTTATAATTATTAAAATATATAAAATTAATTTTAAAATTTCAATGTGTTTACCCTTGCCTCAAAATCAAAGTTCCTAGGTCATAAGACAATACTCTTTGTATTTGTTACTGGTTTATTTTCCATTCCAAATCACTACTTCTGTTTTTAAAATTTTCATCTCAAAAATACTAATTTATTATTTAGGTATTTGGAGAACTATAAAAACTTAAACCTCTATCAAATGAGATACTAAGTCTTAAAAAGAAAAAAATCAATAAAGTTTTAACTATGAAATAAAAGTAAGTTTGCAGCCTTTGGCATTGTGTTGTAGTAGAAAAATTTTAAGTCTGCAGTAGAGTTGTGTCCTGGTTCAGGTTTACATGATTTTTGAAATAGTCTTTGAAATACATTGCTGTGAAGTATAGTTTCCTATACATGAAATAATAGTGTTAGCTGAAAAGATTAAGTTTAGCAATAAAGGCAAAACCCAAGTATACAGCCTAGTCTTGAATTTACGTATTTTTCCTATTAATAAGCAATTAAGGCAAAGAGCTAAAAAATCAATGCTAATTTTATTCAATAAATTTAGAGAAATATGTTAAAATACAAACCTGGATAGCCAACAAAGTGATCCAATGAAGAAAAACTTTACATAGTAGGTATTATGCATCATGCGTTGTCTTTTTTTTTTTTTTTATAAGTAATACAGAGTCTCGTTCTGTCACCAGGCTGGAGTGTAGTGGCACTATCTCGGCTCACTGCAACCTCCATCTCCTGAGTTCAGGTGATTCTTCTGCCTCAGCCTCCCGAGTAGCTGGGATTACAGGCATTTTATGATTAAATGATTATACACCATAACCAAGTAGAAACGCAATGGTGGTCTAACATATGAAAATCAATCAATGTAATAATGCACCACAGATTATATAGATTAATTTAATTTAGAGATATAATTAATTTAATATATATTATATCTATATATCTATATAGATATATAGATTTGAATTGATATATATATCTATATAGATATATAGATGTATCTATATATCATTTTAATATACGGGTAGGTTTGGCTTACTAGCATTTTCCTTCTTCTATATTTATAAGGGCTATTACCTGTAGTTCTTTTTAATTATATTAATATAGATATATTAAATTAATCTATAATTAAATTAATCTATAATTAATTTAATATAGATATGTAGATATATATTATATAATATGTAATCATGCACCACATCAGTAGAATAAAGAGGAAAAATAATTATCATAATGTATGCAGAAAAAGCATTTCACAAAATTTCACACTGTTTCATGGTGTAAAAAAATTCAGAAAACTAGAAATATAGGAGTGCAAGGCTTATTGAATGAAAGAAAAAACTAGGAAAAAAAGAAAACTAGAAATAGAAGGGTGGTTTGACGCACTCATTTGCTTGTACCTAATGAGTGAAAACCCAAGCTTTCTGATTAGATTGATGTGGGAAATAGCAACCACCCAAAATGGTGTGAGATGCCTTGTTAAAATGTGAAAAGAAAGGAGCTAGACTATATATTATCATATCTCCTCCTATTATTAGCATATTTTACCAGGGAAATTGAATATTTCTGATTCTTTTTTTTATTATACTTTAAGTTTTAGGGTACATGTGCACTAGGGTATTGCAGCACTATTCACAATAGCAAAGACTTGAAACCAAGCCAAATGTCCAACAATGATAGACTGGATTAAGAAAATCTGGCACATATACACCATGGAATACTATGCAGCCATAAAAAATGATGAGTTCATGTCCTTTGTAGGGACATGGATGAAGCTGGAAACCATCATTCTGAGCAAACTATCGCAAGGAATATTTCTGATTCTTACACTGTATCCCATTCTACTAGAAGAGGAAAGGACAAGTCTCTTTCCTGATTGAGAAGAATATGTTGCAGTATTAGTGAGGACAAGGGAGGTACCATGGGTTCCTCAGAAAAGAAGACATAATGTACAGAAACTAAAGCAGAGCATTGTAAGAAGACCTTATACCATTGAAAGAAAAGGTGTCAGTACTCTAAATTGCTTGAGTCATGGACCACTGAGATAATAATACTTAATAAAAAGTTTTCTTGGGTCCTAAAATCTGATAGCAGAGAATACCAGAAACCAGGGTGATGCATTTCTGCATGTAGGAGGCACATCTCTTATGGGCATTCTAAAGTGTCTTATTATATTAAATGTTAAATAATTAAGGCACTGAGAAATGTGTGCCATACAATTAATAAGAAGTTCTCTTCTCTTTCATCAGCTCAAATGTAATAGTAAAATATCTCCAAATGGTAAAAGGAAACAGGTCACAGAAATAACATTAATCATGTTCAAATATAGTAATGAGTTGCATGAAAATCCCATGAAAAGATAATGTTTTAGTAAAGCAGTTTAATCCTCACCTTGAGACAAAATAAATGAACCATATTTAGATTCAAATTTAAATATTAGATTCAAAGCTAATAGGCAATAGAAAGATTTATGACACCCTACAATGGTATGAAAATATTGTGAGTGTATGTGTATTTTAGATAATTTCCTCCATGGCAATCTCTTTGTTGTTACCTAATTTTCAAAAGTAATTGAAATAGCGAAATTGTTGCAACAGAATCACAAGACTTCCACTACGTTAATGCATATTGTTCTGCTGTCCAGTGCTTTTTCAAAGTGAAGTAGTCATGATACTGGATAAAACCCATTTTGTATCATTAGTTTTATTCTCAAAGAAAAATCAAGTTTGATTCTCAAAGTGGCATCAGCGAATCTTTGAATTTGCGTTGTTAACAGAAGAGTAACCATTACACAAGTATTTTTGAATGTATGAAATTAACAATAAAGCACAGAACAATATGGCTCTGGTTGCAAAAAAAATCAGCGGTTTATATTTATTAACTGGATATATCAAATTATTATTAGAATGGATATATAAAGATAATTAACAGCATTGTGTAACACATGAATCTGATCCAATATTTTATGCCCTTTTGATTTAAATATGAAATATTGCTACAGTTGATATAATAAAGCACTTATATTAGTAATGGTTACTGTCAACTGACACCCTTCTTTTGTTTTTTGGGTTTTTTTTTTTTGAGACAGAGTCTGTCTCTGTCACCCATGCTGGAGTGCAGTGGCGCCATCTCGGCTCACTGCAAGCTCCACCTCCTGGGTTCACGCCATTCTCCTGCCTCAGCCTCCCGAGTAGCTGGGACTACAGGTGCCCACCACCATGCCTGGCTAATTTTTTTTGTATTTTTATTAGAGACAAGGTTTCGCCGTGTTAGCCAGGATGGTCTCGATCTCCTAACCTTGTGATCCGCCTGCCCCGGCCTCCCAAAGTGCTGGGATTATGGGCGTGAGCCACCTCGCCCGGCCTGACACCCTTCTATATCTCAAACATTGCCCTGGGAATTTTTCAGATAGTCTACATTAATTAAGACTCAGAAAATCTAACAGATTCTTACTGCTATTCCTGTTTTTAAGTGGAAAATGTGTTAGTTTACAATCTCTAATAACTTTTTCCACAGAAACTAGATTGAAGTTGAAAGAATTAAAATTAAATCAAAGCCCAGTATGCCTCTAGACTCTAGATCCTAGAAATGTTTTGTAATATAAGAGTAGTGTATTATCTAGATCGCATATTAGTTTTAAATAAATGTGTTTTGGTTTTAAAATTTCATTTGTAAATGGATTCCTAACTTAAAACTGACAAGGTCTAAGCTTGTATTTCTATTAAAATTTTGTTAAGGCATATTGCGGGATACATAATTACTTTGAAACTTATTTTGGAAAAACAGAATAAAGAAATAGTCACTTTCAAAGAGATTCTTTAAAATCAGTCAATCAAGTTATTGAATGTAATTTTATTTAGATTTGAATACAAAACAAAGCAGAGTTACCTCGATGGGTTTAGCATAAAACACACAAGTGCACATGCTTGCACAAGTAATTTAGTAAAATAAGTTTTAGTGTGACATAAACATAAAGTTTATTCATGTTCTAAAGTTATTTTTTCTCAGCTCTTACAGAATGTATTATTACCATCTCCTATTCTCTAATTTTAGGAATAACTGACAGTATTCACAAGAGTGTGTGAAAATGTTATTCTATATTAATACTAATTTCTAATTCAAAATACTGTTGTTGCAAATTTTTTAAAAAGGTCAGTAATTTTTACTTTGTTAAACTACACAGGTTTTAAATTAAAAAATAGGTTATGTTATTGTGTCAGGGAAAAATAAAACATCTTGTTTATTTTAATTTATATTATTTCATTATAAGATTCAAAGCAACTCTAAACACTCATAAACTACAGCAAGGTTAAGTGAGATAAATATAAGACAGATTAAGTTAAGGTAGAGGAATACTGAAAGCCATGTGAAACAGCTTTCACATGTGAAACGCAAATAAACTAGAAAATCTGGAGGAAATGTACAAACTCGTGGACACATACACCCTCCAAAACTAAACCAGGAAGAAGTCGAATCCCTGAACAGACCAATAACAAGTTCTGACATTGAGGCAGTAATTAACAGCCTACCAACCAAAAAAAGTCCAGGACCAGACGAATTTACAGACAAATTCTACGAGAGGTACAAAGAGGAGCTGGTACCATTCCTTGTGAAACTATTCCAAGCAATAGAGAAGGAAGGAATCCTCCCTAACTAATTTTATGAGGCCAGCATCATCCTGATACCAAAACCTTGCAGAGACACAACAAAAAAAAGAAAATTTCAGCCAATATTCCTGATGAACATCGATGCTAAAATCCTTAATAAAATACTGGCAAACCAAATGCAGCAGCACATCAAAAAGCTTATCCACCACGATCAAGTCGGCTTCTTCCCTGGGATGCAAGGCTGGTTCAACATATGCAAATCAATAAATGTAATCCATCACCTAAACAGAACCAATGACGAAAACCACATGATTATCTCAATAGATGCAGAAAAGGCCTTCGACAAAATTCAACAGCTCTTCATGCTAAAAACTCTCAATAAACTAGGTATTGATGGAACGTATCTCAAAATAATAAGAGCTATTTATGACAAATCCACAGCCAATATCATACTGAATGGGCAAAAAACGGAAGCATTCTTTTGAAAACTGGCAGAAGACAAGGATGCTCTCTCTCACCACTCTCATTCAACATATTATTGAAAGTTCTGACCAGGGGAATCAGGCAAGAGAAAGATAGAAAGGCTATTCAATTAGGAAAAGAGGAAGTCAAATTGTCTCTGTTTGCAGATGACATGATTGTATATTTAGAAAACCCCATCGTCTCAGCCCCAAATCTCCTTACAGTGATAAGCAACTTCGGCAAAGTCTCAGGATACAAAATCAATGTGCAAAAATCACAAGCATTCCTATACACCAATAATAGACAAAAAGAGAGCCAAATCATGAGTGAACCGCGATTCACAATGTGCAAAAATCAGAAGCATTCCTATACGCCAATAATAGACAAACAGCCAAATCATGAGTGAACCGCAATTCACAATTGCTACAAAGAGAATAAAGTACCTAGGAATACAACTTACAAGGGATGTGAAGGACCTCTTCAAGAAGAACTACAAACCACTGCTCAAGGAAGTAAGAGAGTGTGGGCTGCAAGCCACCCAGGTGCCGGGGCAAGAGACTGTAGGCACAAGCTGTTCCAGTATAATAAAGAAAATATATAGAACAAGAATAGTTATACTAGAAATAGAATATGGATATGATTATATATGAATATTAATCATTAGTTTGTAGCATTACTCTTTATTCCAATATTATAATAATCTCTGTTCTACACTTATAACCTAGGAAAAACCAGGCCATACAGAGATAGGAGATGAAGGGACACGGTGAGAAGTGAACAGAAGACAAAGAGTGTGAGCCCTCTGTCACGCCCGGATAGGGCCACTAGAGGGATCCTTGGTCTAGCGGTAACGACAGTGCCTGGGAAGGCACCTGTTCCTTAGCAGACCTTGGTCTAGCAGTAGCACCAGTGCCTGGGAACTTAGCTGACCGGGAAAGGGAGTCTCCCTTTCCCTGGGGGAGTTAGAGAAGACTCTGTTCCACCACCTCTTGTGGAAGGCCTGACATCAGTCAAGCCCACCCGCAACCATTCAGAGGCCTAAACGTCTCCCTGTGATGCTGTGCTTCCGCGGTCACGCTCCTGGTCCACTTTCATGTTCCGCCCTGTACACCTGGCTCCGACTTCTAGATAGCAGTAGCAGAATTAGTGAGAATATTCAAATCTTTGATCTCTCCGAGAAATGCATAGAAGAAATAATGACGTAAGCTGTGCCCTCTCTCTCTCCGCCTCGGCTACCAAACAGGGAAGGGATCCCTGTCCGGTGGACACATGACTCACGTGACCTTACCTATCATTGGAGATGATTCACACTCCTTACCCTGCCCTCTTGCCTTGTATATAATAAATAACATCCCAGCCAGGCATTCGGGGCCGCCACCGGTCTCCGCATCTTGGTGGTAGTGGTCCCCCGGGCCCAGCTGTCTTTTCTTCTATTTCTTAGTCTTGTGTCTTTATTTCTACGATCTCTCGTCTCTGCACACGAGGAGAAAAACCCACAGGCACTGTAGGGCTGGACCCCACAGAAAAGACAAAAACAAATGAAAAAAGCATTCTATGCTCATGGATAGGAAGAATCAGTATCGTGAAAATGGCCATACTGCCCAAAGTAATTTATAGATTCAATGCTATCACCATCAAGCTACCATTGACTTTCATCACAGAATTGGAAAAAACTACTTTACATTTCATATGGAAACAAAAAAGAGCCCGCGTAGCCAAGACTCTTACCCACCTTTCTTATGCATAATATTATGGTTCCCTTTTATAAGCAGGGAGAATTTTTCACATAAACTTTATCTAATTCATCAATATAAAAATTATCGCCCATTTTTTAAAGATTTAATGATATAAATGTACATTTTAGTGTTCATTTGCCAATTTTAGAGGTATAATATTTAAAGCTCAACAGATGTCCCTACAATAATTACAAAAATTTATCAAGTAGATAAATATTCAAAGAGGCTTTGTACTCTATACTAGTCAGCAGTTGACCAATATACAGTATTCTTTCAAAACCAAATCTCTAAAGAATAAATATGGATATAACTTGTGGGTATATCCATGAACTTGTGGGTAAGTAAAGCAAAAAAAAAATCTGATCAAAAGAGGTTGCAAAAATGACAGAGGACTAGATTGAAACACTCCAGGACTGTGAGAGCCTTTAAAGGATTTTAGGAAGCCAAAATATTTTGTAATTACGGTAATTAAAATGTGTAACTCTAATTGTATTTCATATGTGCTCTAGAACTTAGAAATAAGCATTTACTTATTATTTTAGAAATTGGCATCTCAAATTACTATTGTATTGAGACATCTTGTATAATGAATGAGTTATTTTCTGACATTATATTGAATCAGTGAAATATTTAACTGTCATTTTTTCCACATTCAGTTAATTACTTCAGTGGATTTTATGGTAAACAGAAAGCTGAAGCATTTGAAATAATTTCTATGCTATATTATTTATATTGTCAGACATATTCTGTGAAAATTTTAATGTTATATGAAATGATATATATTAAATAAGTTAATAAAAAGATAAAATCACAATGTGATACCTTTTTGAAAATGTGAAAACGATGTACACCTTGGAAATAACATGTATACTCATTAACATGCTCTTTATACTACTATTTTTAGTATACTAAATTATCAGCAAATACATTATTCACATGCTTTAGTGCTATTGGTTTAAGTTTATTGCAATCTTGTGAATACAGATTGACATTCTAGAAACTCAAAGCCATGGCAAGGTTTTCCTTCCTTACATCAGATAAGAGCACTTTTCATCAAGGTACATCAGGATAAATTAATAAATCTGGGACCATTTGAATCATATTGAATTTCAACAGCAACTGATATTTCAGAATTGCCAACTAAGATAAATACCTCTATAGTCTGCTTTGCAATGCCTTTTCTTAACATATTAATATCTAGCCACAATAAAAGGCCATAATTGCAATAGTTACATTATTACCCTCTTTTTAGCAATTGATTATTTACTTGCCATTTGCAAAATTTTATTTTTGTAAGAATTTTATAAACATGCAACTTTTGTAAGCCGGTGATACAAAACTATAAAAGCTGAACAAAAGTATGTATTAACAAGCTAATGTTCTTCTTGGCCATAATTACAGAAACATATTAAGATGATGTCTATTATAAAAGTCTTACTTCAGAATCACAAATATTACACATTTTACTTTATTATCTTTCAATGATTCTACCTCCCTTAGCATTAGCTTATCTTTAAGAGTAGAAATTAAAATTCTAAAATCAAAAAGTTTAGCTAATTATATACATATAACCATGAAAAGGACAGTAGAAAAACAACATAATTTTTAAAAAGTTACATTTTTTCATTGCAGTTAAGGGGTAAAAATATTACATACATATTACAGGTTTCAGAATCAGATGGACAATAATGAGGTATGGTGGATGTTAGTTCAGTGAGCTATTTTGGGCCTTTTCAGGGAAATAGCTGCTGGTTAAAATATTTAGTTAGTATAAAACAGATGATGCAAATAAATGTGTCATGAAAAGAGTAATGAAAAATTCCCTGTTAAATAATCTCTATCTCACTTTTCAGGCAAATGTGTTTGTGGCAGACATCGCAATCTATCACTGGCAAAAAAAAAAATCTAAAAAGCTCCAAAGTGGTAAAAATCAGAAAGCCATAAAGAGATTCTAAAAAGCATCCAGCATGAATTTTTACTTAAGCAACTTCAGATGTAGCTCAAATATTTTATGTCTCATCATGTTTACCTAGATCGCCTACACACATTCAGTGACCATCAAAGTTGTCAGCAGGCTATTCCCTCACAAATAAAAAATATATGCACCTCTCACATTAATAGTATTTTTCCTCCTCTCCACAATCTTGTCAACTTCCTGGCTCTCATACTTTGTGCTCTGTGACTATATACCTAAGGTCTCAAGGAAACTGATTTTGAAAAATATTTACAAATTCTTATAAATAAATATTATAGATCTTATTATTTGACTAAATGAATATATTATCTCAAAAATAATTGTTGATTACTCTTTTTGGCCTAATAATTAGACAGAGGCTATAGCAATACAAATTAAAAAAGAAAATATTCAGACTTTCAGGAGTATATGTTGTGGGGCCCAAGTGAATTTTCCAAATCCATAAATATATCATTTATTTCAAATAGTGTGCTATTGAACAGCAAAGTCAATTTGATATTAGTTTCTGAAGAGCCCCCAAAAAGCCAATTGCCAATTGGCAATTAGCAAGACTACCATTTTTAGTCTAGATGCTCAAAAGAAAGTGCTGAGGTCAAAAAGGGTGAAAAGAGTTAATCTGTAGTTTAGCTTGATCTTTAGTTTTGTAACATTACCATTGAACTGTAATCCAAAGCTTTTTGTTCAATAATAATATTTTCCCTTGAACAATTGTGTTGTAAGTCTGTGCACAGTAGGCTTCTAAAATGTTAAGACATGTTTATATACACATTTACACTTTAAAAAGTAGGTCTCTCAGTGAATAAATTTTCATTTATCTATACAATATTCTTTCTACTTGTAAAAATGTTTCATTCCAGTGTTCATGTTTAAGAATGCCTATAATTAATTGTTTGTAATAGTCATCCATCAAGAATAAAATTGCAAAATAAATATTTTACATACGTATAATAAATATCAGAGAAGAATGAAAACTAAAAATTATAAATTATGACAGGGATTAATCTATAAAACATAATATGAAGCAAACAAGACAACATCAAATATAATACATCCGTTAAGATTGTATCCACATTAGTTTAAATTGAGCAAAACTTAACTCTGTTATGTAGAGATGCATACAACTATTAAACAAAAAAGCATAAAAATAATTATCAAAAGGTAAAGCACAGGGATTACCTCTAAGAAAAGCAATGACAATTAAAAACATATATTTTAATAAAAGTAAAAAATGTTAATCTGATTTTACAATTTGCGATTGAATAAATTTTTTTGTTCAACCCTCCTGAAATTAACTCCTCTGATCTCACTGTGCCATTTAGACAACCCCAAATAATGCTATTTTCTTTGAGAAATATGTAATTTACACACATAAAACCCACCATCATCCAAAAATTTAAAAGAATATAATTCACTCAAAATTTTGCAATGTACATTTTTCATAAAAAGAAAGGGCATTTTAGCAGCCAATCTTGTCAATTTTCCTTAGGAAACTTCACTCCCTGCATCACATTTATAATTTGTATTAATAAGAAAACAAACTTATTTTTCTGGTGTTTCAAAAATTGCATATTCTGTTGCCATCAAACTAATCATCAAGTAACTTGTTTAGGTCATTTTTTTCCTTTTTTTTTTTTGTTCCTTAGGCTGGAGTCAATAGTGTTAGCTCACTGCAACCTCCGCCTCCCAGGTTCAAGGGATTCTACTGCCTCAGCCTCCCGAGTAGCTGGGATTACAGGCACCCATCACCATGCTCGGCTAATTTTTTGTGTTTTTTAGTAGAGATGAGGTTTCACCATGTGGGCCAGGCTGGTCTCAAACTCCTGAACTCAAGTGATCACCCCACCTCAGCCTCCCAAAGCATGCTTGTTTTCTTTAAAAATGACTATATTACCACCTTGTTTGAATTTTTCTAAGAAATTGAAATTTCATTGTCTATCCAGATTATATTTTCTCTTGCCTTGAAACATGCCTTGTAATTTGTTGTTGTTGTTGGAAGTCAGACATGTTATATTTGGAAATAGAAATTGTGTATAAGAGTTTACATTTACGAGGCTGAAAGTTGTTTAGTCTTTACTGTTTGCTGTGCGCACCAATGCATGACTTCAATTTCCTCTACTGTCCTTGTTTTGTCTTTCCTGTTGTCTTTAGGTTTCCCTAGAAATTCTTCATTAAATATAGTCTGAGCCTTGTAGTTCTATCAGATGTAATCTTCTGCTGTGACACAGATACTCTGTTGATGTGGTGGTAAGGTGTGTGGGGAGAGGAAGCCTTCAATCATGCCATGATTCAGTCTCAGTCTTTTAGTGGGCCTGTGTCCCTAGGGTGTGATGTTTGTAAGTGCCCCTCAGTCCCTCCCTCCTCCCACACCACACACATAGACTGACACCATACACACAGAACTAACTTTCTCAACTAAGACCAGAGAAGGCTGAAACTGAGTATTTACCTACCTTTACTTTAGTTAACTTCTTGCAAAGTGGTTTCCTTTGAGGACAGAGAAAAATAATCTTTTAGTATATTTCAAATTGGTTACTTTCTCATGAGCATTCTCCATGATGGTTAGTTTTCCTCTCCTTTTGCTGAAGCATGAGGGGCTTTTTTCATATTTTCACCACGAGAATCTGGATGAGCTCCTGGGGATAAAGCTCACTACAGTGACCCTTAAGGCTGAATCTTCAGTAGTTTTTAACTCTGAAGCTTCTACACACAACGTGACCAACACTTGATCAGCAACCATTTAAGTTTTCCTCTTCTTCCTCTTCTAGCATCTTCTGTTCTTGGTGAGCTGAAACTTTCTGTATTTGAAAGTCTCTCTGGTTTTAAGAGCATCAGTCCGTTATGTAACCTTAATTCTAGGATGCACTTAAGAATGCTTTTTGATTTTTAGTTTGTTCAGTTTTTCTTTTTTCTTGAAGGAAGGATGACAGTGATGCCTTCTAAGGTCTTCATACTGTAGCAGAAATAGAAATTCCTGAACATATATATTTAAAATAAGGTTTCTGAATCTGAAAATGGTTTAGAGACTTTCACGTAGTTTAAAAAATTGAAATCTAATCAAAATATGCAACTGAAAATAACTTCAGTGATTAATACTATATTATACACTGTTGTGTTAGGAAAGCATAGATTTCATACATAACAGCTTGACTATAGCAGTTATGTAATAACTTTGAGATAAGAAATGATGTTCAAATATAAGACTGTAATTTTTAATTTTCTCTAGCCTAAAATCTATTATCACCACATCAAGCATCATATAGCAAATGTTTTTTTTATGGCCCTGTTTTGGATGTGATGAGATGTAAATACAGTTACTATGAACTTGCCAACTATTAGAGAGACTAGAGCCAGTGTCTTAGTTCTCTTTCTGGAAAGAGTGTTTACAAACTTAGAGTTTGAAAACATATGCACAATGTACATTACACCATAATGTATGTACTCTGTACAATATGTATAGTATGTTTCAAAGCATTGTTTAAGAATAAGACAAAATATGTGTTAAGTGAATTCATAAAAATACACAACTTCGTGATATTATAATAATCTTATGCTAGGAAAACCAAAATAAATATCTAAATTATATTACAGCCTTAAGGCAAGTGAAAGAGAAAGTGAGGCATTAGAAAGTATAAAGTTTCCATTAAAGGGGAAAAGAAGGTAGAAGATAGCAAATTTTGGGGTGGGGGTTTGATAGCTTCAGTAGACAGAATAAGAGAAGTAGAAAGGCAAGAGGACTAACTGAGAAAAATTTAATTTTTAATTTGATGTCCAAAAAATGTACCAGTTAATTCCTCTCATCCTGTCGAAATTGTCATCTTTTTTCTCCCCAAAATGTCCATAATTATTTTGAGATTTATGTTAGTTTATAAGCTAACATTTTGGAATATTTAAAACTTAGATGTACTTATCAGGTTCTCAAACCTCAGGGCTCCAAAGATAAAAATGCTATTTCATTAAACTAATCAATTTTGAAAAAATATGATTTTTTATTTGGAGGCTAGTAATTTCTTCAATTGGATTTCTTCATCTGCTCTTCACTGACCAATAATTTTAGTATGCTATATGTTTCATAGGCTTATTAGAATTTGAACAAACCCAATAGATTTTTAGGAAGTTCTGTCACTGCCATAAATAGTAATTGTATCAATGTTATCAGTTATCATTACTCACTGAGTAATGATATAAATGAGAGGCTCATGTCTATTTAACATTCTTGAAAAATGTAATGCCATTTATCTCACAATCAGGAAATTACAAATGAATAAAAAATCGAATATATGTATACATACAAAATAATGGAAGTCATATTATTACATGAATAATCTGGTTTTGATATTAAAAACATGAGCTTTTATCAGGGATAATGTCAGCTGTTTGGTAGTATAAGAAGCCGCAGACCTCACTGCCCCACAGAAGCACTGACTTAGCAACATATATTTGTCCAAAAAACCTTTAAAAGAACTCCAGAAACCAGTTATGAAGTCATAGTGAAACAGCTCCATTGTCTGAGGAATTATCCGTGGTTCGTTGTCTCACGCTGAGAAAGAATTCAGGACACAGACACAGCCGAGGAGTGGGTTTAGGAGTGGAAAGTTTAACAGACAAAGAAGAAGAAGAGAGAGAGAAAGCTTCCTCATGCTGAGAAAGTGGGCTGACCAAGAGAGGGTTTCTGGGTTAGGGGCGGAACGTGGTTGGTTTTGTACAGAGGCTTAAGGAGGCAATAATAGATTTACATCGGGACCAGGAGATTGTTTTGACCAGGTGTGCCATTTACATAGCCAAAAAGAGTGGCCCTCCCACCCTAATTTTTATTATGGAAATGCGGCTTCTACCTGATGGTCACCATGAAACCTGCACACGTGGTTTCATCTGGCCGGTGCCCTGATACCTACACACCTGGCCACAAGAAAAAGGGAGCGGGAACCGCCATATTAAATGTACCTGGTTTCCAGGTAGCGCTGCTGGCATTTAAATAGGAAAGCTTCTAGCTCGCATATCTATGCTTTCAGCTTGACTTTTCAGGCTGCTTTCTGTTAGAAAAATGGTTTGAGGGCTGCATTTTATTAAAGGAAAATTCCACTGAGAACTCTTTTACCCTTTCTAGCTGCCTAACTTTAATTCCTTAACAACTCCTGTATTATTCTCCCCTCAGGAGATGTAACCCTAACTGCTTTTAGGGGGTGTTGGATGGCGATTCTTTCTGGCTACTTCCTGCTTAAAAGGGGCATCACGTGAGGGGACAGCAGTTGGGGCTGCTCCTGAGGCTGATCTAAGGGTTCTCAGAAGAATGGCAAGTCCGTGTGCGGCTCTGTTCGCAGCACCATTTGGAGTTTGCTTCTCGGTGAAAAGAGACAAATTTTATAAGAAGGTTTAAAATATAGGGCTAGAATATGAGTATTAAGATTACCACTATTAGTGGGGTTATTATGGACCATAACTATGTTATATACTAGAGTTTGATAGCTATTAGTTACATCAATTGATTGTAATATCACTTTCCCTCCACCAGATGTCACTGTACAATACCAGAAATATTAATATGGCAGTAACATTTTATTTGAGAAAAAACATACATGCCTCCCTTGGCTTGCCATTAGGGAATAATTTTAGATTTAGGCCATTTTTATAACTTGGAATATGATTGGGAGAAATATATTATCAGGTAGTTAAATTTAGTGTTAATCTTGGCAATTCCTTTCATTTAATTATTAAATTCTTTCATGACTTCCATAGACAATCTTACAACATACTTAAACTTTCTGATTTGTCCTATACATCCTTCCATTAAACAACCAGTCATTTAGTTTTAGGACAAGAATTTGCCATATAAGATCCTTCCTTATATAAAATCTCTTTCTTTATAATTTTCTTTTCATAGCTTAGAGTCCACTACATTACCAATCTTTAATAAAAAGTTATAACAAACTTAATGATAGCAAAACCTTCATGCTTACTTCTTGTCTATAACTATTACTCCTGCTATAAGCAAAAAACCTTGATTAAATCTTTCCTGCAATTATTAATCCTGTTATAAAGATGATAATTAGGCCAAATATTGTAGCAAGTAGAGTTTTACAACCAGAATTTCACATTGTGGGTTCCACAGTGTATAGCTCTATTGCAAATAGTAGAGTAAGTATAACAATTACTGCAAGAGTGGTATAATAAAATAATTTACATTTAAAACTTTACTTGCCAAGATATAATATTTCCCTTTGGGGATTTATGATGTTACAAATGCAATCCCATGTATAATTAAAATCTCCCTGCATGTATGCTTTAAAAAGCAGTTCTAATATTTGGCAGTGAATTTTGAGAGGAAAGGTAGAAATGATAAAGAAGTATCTGGTAAGGTGGAACGGGACTGAGTAGGATGAGTAGCGTTCACTCAGTTGCTTATCTTTTATGATTATCAGCTCAAGATCTTCTGTTTCTTCACATCGATATTCAGGACATTCCTCTGGCCTGTCAGGGGTTCCTTCCTCAGCTCTTCAGGCTTTGAGTTGAGTGTGACGCATTCAGAAGTTGATACCTGTAACTTTTACTGCCAGGGGGGTTGAAAGAAGAACAGTGTGGGGCCCTTTCTAGCTTGGGTTTAGAGAAGGAGAGAGAGAGGAGATTTTCACTAATACCAAATGTCCTGGGTTAAGTAAAAGTGGTCCTATTTTATTGGGGTTGGGCTTTTGCTAGTTGTGTTAATTCCTGTTGGAAGTGAGATAGAGAGGCTACATGCTTAACCAATTTAGAGGTTTTCTTCCTGAAAACAATCTCTGAGCACATTGATAAGTTTTATCCTTTCTTAAGTGAAAAGCTTGGCAAAGGATTTTAAGGACTTTCCATTGGCTGGAGGCTAGCAAATGGAGTTTGCCATCCTCTGACTGCAGCTATCCTGAGGGCTGGAAAGAATACCCTTGAGAAGTGGCCTATTTCATGTCTGCAGGGGAATACTGAGGTTTAATTTGTCTTATGGAGCCTTCCTAGATTAGAAGGGCTTCAAGTGTGCTGATGCCTTGAAGCTTCCTTGCTGCTCACTTGTGTGCCTCATTAGCTAACCTATTTCCTTTGGCTGCTTTATTTGTTCACTTTTGATGTTCCATATAATGTATCACTGATATTTCTTGTGGAAGGAAAACTGAGGACAGTAACCTATTTATTTCCTGGTGATATTTTATAGAAGATTCATTAGTGGTAAGAAAATGTCTTTCCTTTTAAATGGCAGCATGAGCATGGAGAACTAAGAAAGAATACTTGGAGTCAGTGTGAATGTTAACTACCTTTCCCGTGCTTAATTTAACTGCTCTGTAAGAGCTATTAGTCCAGCTAATTGAGCACTTGTGCCTGGAGAGAGATGTTATTTAGAGTGACTAGTGCATATCCTGCCTTACGCATCGCTTGCTTTACTGGCTGTTTGTGAGCTAAGGGCTCCCCCTAGAGTACAGTAATTTTGCCACATTATGTTGGGTATAAATAGTTATTTCCTAGGGCTAATTTAGAGGCTTTTCTGACTAGTAGAGCCATGGTGACAATGGCCTGGAGGCATGTGTAAACAGTAGGTTCTCCTAACTGTAACTAAGAGGTTGAGAAAAATGTTGGATTAGAGTTTTTCCTGAGATGCGCCTTATGGTGCTATGGGAAGAGGGGAGGCCTGGATTAGAGAAGTGAAGAGAGAGAGACAGAGACTAGCTGTAGAGCTTAGAAGGAGGTCTACTTTACTTCCTTCAATTTACAGAATCACCCAGGGCTCTTGTGCTGTAATGGCAGTTTGAGCTACTGAAGCCGGGGGTTTGAGCCCTGGGATCCATCCGTCCTGCTGGAATATCTGTGAAACTGGTTCCGAACCTGGTGACCTCTACCTCCGGGGTCAGTTTGATCTCCAGTGGTCTCCACCACAGGCTGGACAGGGTCAAGGTGGCTTCCTCTTGCTGTTTGGGCACTCCTTAAAATGCCCTTGCCTGCCACACTGATAGCAACTAGCCGATGTACCTCAGGGGTCCTGGACTTTGTAATCCTGCAAAGCAGCTGCTAGAGCCTTTGTTCTTCTCCTGAGCTTCCTCTTTTTCTCTTAGGCCTCCTCCTGGTCCCTATTATAAAAGACCAAAGTGGCCACCTTCAGGAGGTTCTCTAAGGTGCTCTCTGGTCCTATAACTTGCTTCTGTAGTTTCTTTGTAATATTGGGAGCTGCCTGTGCCATAAATTTGTCCTTTAGAATGAGCTGTCCCTTGACTGAATCGGGGGATAAGGAGGTGGGCACTATTCATGCCTCTTTCAGTCTTTCCATAAAGGCTGCAGGATTCTCATCAGAATTTTGGTGTATCATACACAGTTTAGAATAATTGAGAGATTTGGCCTTAGTTCTTCGTACGCCCTTTAATATGCATTTTAAAAAGTCCTTTCTTTTCCATTTATCTGCAGAGCCATTGAGGTTCCAATCAAGGTTGTCAAGAGGAACTGCTTCACTCCCTATTGGGAATGGAGTTTCTGCTATTTCTTCACTTTCCCTATCTCCTTTCTTCCCTTTTAGTGTATTATAGGAGACACGTTGCTTATCTCTGAAATTCTCTACTGCCTGCAGAGCTGACTGCTTTTTATTTGTGGTTAAGGTTTGGATTAGGAGCAGCATAACATCCTTCTATCTGAGGTAAAACATCTGAGTTAAATTCTGAAAAGCTATGTACCTATTGGAGTTGTCAGAAAATTGGTCTAAGTCTTTATTTGCCTAAGGGACTGTAATGAGAAGGGAGCTTGAGGTGGCCCCAAATAAGGGGGAATCTCAGATGAATCCCTTGGAAGTTGCTTTTTTAATTCTGGGGGATTATTCTCTGTAGGCCTGCCTGATATGCCTGTTAAAAAGGCTGGGTTGACCTTACAATGCTTGCAAATGTTTAGTAGAAATGCCATGCCTTTGTGCAAAAGAAAATGAGTTGCTTTTCTCTTCAAAGTCCTGAAGTTAAAGGAGTACCAGTGTTTCAGGGTGCACTCCAGTGGGGTGCAAGCTGAAGTTGGTTTGTTACCTATCTACAAAAATAAATGAGAATAAAAGTGTCCTTTTAGTTTCTCTCCTTTCACTGTGACCCAGGGTGGAGTGGAATACAGTGGGAGCATCTGCCTGACTGTTTTCTCTCCTTGGTTCCTGAGTCCTGGCACCATGTTAAATGTCCTGGCCATGGTTCCAAGTGTGGCCCTCCAAGCCATGGAAGTGGATGAACTAAGTAATGGGATTTAACCACGCTTTACCCACACAGCCTTAGTTATCCTCCTGTGAATCCATTTTGATTTCCAAAACTTGTGTGATCTGCCTGGCTCTGAAAAAATGGATCTCTGAAAGACTGTAATAGTCACTTTTGAGCAAGGCTTCTTTAACGGAGGGAATGTGCTAGTTGCCTGCTATTACGGCCCCGTGCTAAAACATTCACCCTTAAGGAAAATGGTTCCGGTTACATTCTAAACTTAAAATCCCCTTACCTAATCAAGTACTATTTTAATTGGGAGACAGAATAGGTGCCTGAAATGAACGTAGAGGCCTAATGGCAATTTCTTCTGTAGATGGGACAGTATTGGAACTAAAATTTGGCTACAAAGGACATTTTACTCCTAACTGTTGAAGGCAGAGCTTTCCTATTCACAAAAGGGGCTTTTCTAGAGGCACAAAAAGAGAGAATTGGGAAGCTGCTGTATTAACAGCAAAGGACCTACAATGTGCCCAATCAAGAGGGTTTCTATTTCCATTAGGTGGTGGTATTGGCTGAGAAATATCATGTGCTCACCAGTACTATGGCATTTTCCCAACAGAACTGTTTACATGAACTGTAAAACTTCCTGCACATTGCATAAACAGAGAGGATAGAAGACATAGCAACTGTGGTTAGAAAAGAAGGAAAATTTTGTGACAGGATAGCTGGAGATCCATTACCAACAACCAGATGGGTTGTTGGAGGCCTTTGAATAATGCCATGTTGTGCTTTGGCCAAAAATCCTCAGTTGCTCTAGTATTTCTCCCACCCGCACATGATGTCAAGGTTCTCTATGAAAGAAAATTTGTTTGAAGAGAGTCTTGAGACTAAAGGACAGATTTGAGGTTCACTCCATACTCACCACTCCAATGTTTCTATCTCCCTTCTGATCCAGATCCCAAAAGAGTCCCCAGATGAAATGGCTTTGTTGTCTGTGGAATTACCTGTGGTTTGTTGTCTCACACCTAGAAATAATTCAGTACACAGACACACATGAGGAGTGGGTTTAGGAGAAGGAAGTTTAATTGACAAAGAAGGAGAAAGAGAGAAATCTTCCTCATGCTGAGAAAGCAAGTTGCCCAAGAGGACATCTCAGGGTTTTGGATGGAACACAATTGATTTTGTACAGAGGCTTGAGAAGGCAGTAATTGATTTACTTAGGGCTCAGGGGATTGGCTTGACCAGGTGTGCCATCTACATAGCCCACAAAAAGACTGGGCCTTCTCACCCTAATCTTTTATTATGCAAATGTGGCTTCTACCCAAAGGTCACCATGACACCTACACACGTGGTTTTACCTGGCTGATGCCATGGTTCCATGACACCCGCACACATGGTGGCAAGAGAAAAGGAGCAGGAACTACCATATTGAATGTACCTGGCTTCTAGGTAGAGCTGCTGGCATTTACATATGAAAGCCGATGGCTTGCATATCTATGCTTGCAGCTTGACTTTTAAGACTGCTTTCTGTTAGAACAGAAATGGTTTGGGGGCTGCTTTTTATTAAAGGAAAATTCCACTAAGAACTCTTTTACCCTTTCTAGCTGCCTAAAAATAATTTCTTAATAACTCTTGTATTAATAGTAACCAGGTAAGCTCAAAGCCAGAAATAGCCTCATTTAAAGGAACAAGAAAATTGTTCCAGTTCAACTGTTTCTCCCTCAAAGCAGAACAGCTCACATTTGAGGAGGATAAGCCCAACTTGTGGCTGCTTCCTCAGAAGGGAAAGGAAAGAGTGGAGTATGCTTCAAATGTTTTAGCTTTGGGGGTTAGATGCCTGAGGAGCTGATTTCTGTCTCATCTATTTCATGGCACTGATGGGAAAAAACACATACTTTGAATGCCTGTGGTTGCTGAGCACAAAAGAGAGCTCACTGGATTTGTTGTAGCACCAGAGAATCTACAATGCCACAGTTAGACAACAGGGGAAGTAAGAAACGACAAAGCCTCAAAAAGAAAAAAAAAAAAGGAAGAAGAGAAAAAACCCTGCAAACCTCTCTAATTCAAAAATTACATTCCAAGCCCAGAGAAGAAGAATCTCCATGAAAAATTGAGAGGTCCCCAGAATTTCCAGCTTGGCTGATTTATGGAAGTGTTTCCCTGTATACAACTGGTTCATGAGGACTGAGACAGGAGGTTGTTTTTTAAAAAGGCAAGAATCATAACAAAAAATAAAAAGACACCCAAAGAAACAGAGAAGCATGACCCAATCAAAGAAAAAAAAAAACATCTCCAAAACTGCTCCTGTCTATGAAATATAAAACAAGGAATTCCAAGTAATTATTCTAAAGGGGCTAAGGGTGATATGATAACACAGATAGAAAACTAAATGAAATTAGGAAAATGGTGCATGAACAAAATAAAAATATTAAGAAAGAGATAGAAACTATAAAAAAGAACCAAATAGAAATTCTGGAGAATATAAACTTTTAAAAAATACCAGAAGGACTCATTAGCAAACTTGATCAAACAGATGAATAAGTCATTAAACTTAAAAGGTCATTTAAAAATATCGAGTCAGAGGAACAACAACAATGAAAATAAAAAACATAAAGAGGTCCAAAGGACTCATGGAACACCAGCATGCTGATAAATGTATCCATTATTGGTATCTCACAAGGAGCAGAGAAAAAAAAATGAAGAAGAAAGCTTATTTTGAAAAATAATAAATTCTGATGTCTGAGAGCCTGTGAAGATGCATGTCCCAGCTCAAGAGAAAAAAGAAAGGTTTGCCTTTTCCCTAAATGTTTATTCTATTAAGGCTCTCAAGGCATTGGATGATGCTCACCCAAATTGGTGAGTGCATATCTTCTTTACCAGTCTACTGATTCACACTAATCTTTTCCAGAAACACTCTCACAGATACACCCAGAAGTAACATCAATCAACTATCTGGGTAACACTTAATTCAGTCAAGGTGACACATAAATTTAACAATCATAATGTGGACTTAAAAGGATCCCAAATTGCCAAAACAATCTTGCAAAAGAAAGCAAAACTGGAGTTCTCACACTAATTAAAAAAGATATTATAAAGCAATAGTAATCAAAAAGGTATGGTACTCACATAAAGACAGGCATAGAGACTAATGGAACAGAATAGAGAACCTAGAAATAAACCCACACTTATGTAGTCAGATGATCTTTGAAAATGATGCCAAGTCATAAAATGGGGAAAGGATAGTCTTTCCAACAAATAGATGCCCACCTGGAAAAGAGTCAAGTTAGACACTTAATTAAAAACATAAAAATTAACTAAAAATGAATTAAAGGCCAAAATGTACTACATAAAACTATAAAATTCCTAGAAGAAAAAATAGAGAAAAACCTTGCTGATATTGGTATTGGCAATAATCTTCTGCATATGACACCAATAGCACAGGCAACAAAAAGAGAAATAGGCAAAAGGGACTACATTAAACTTAAGAACTTCTCCATGGCAAAGAGAGTAAAAAGCAACCTACATAACTGGAGAAAATATTTGCATACCATGCATATGATAAAAGCATAAAATTCAAAATATATAAAGAACTCCTACAAGTAAACAACAACCACCGCAACAACAGCAACAGCAAAAACAACAGCAATAAAAATATTAAAAATGGGAAAAGAACTTGAACAAACATTTGTTCAAGGAAGATATACAAATGGCCAACAAGCATATGAGAATATGGTAATTGTCACTAATAATCAGGGAGATACAAATCAAATCCACAATAAGATATTACCTCACAACTGTTAAGATGGATACTCCTTTTTAAAAGCCAAACTAAACCAAACCAAAAAGAAAATACATATTTGAAAAGATATGGAGAAACTGGAACTCTTATGCACTGTTGCTGGGAATGCAAAATGGGGCAGCCACTATGGAAAACAATATAGAGGTTCCTCAAAAAATTAAATTTATAGCTACAATAACGTTCCAGCAATCCTACATATGGGTATATATCCAAAGGAATTAAAAATGAGATATTGGAGAGATATTGTCATATTTATGTTTTTTACAACATTATTTACAATATTCAATTCACGAGCAAACTAAATGTTTGTTAATGGATGAATGAATAAAGAAAATGTGTCATATAAACATGATGGAATATTATTTAGTCTTAAAAAAAGGAAGAAATTCCATTCATATGCTACAACATGAATGAACTTTGAGGACATTATGCCAAGTAAAATAAGCCAATCACAAAAAAAAATTTGTGTGATGCCATTCATATAAGATTTATAAAACAGTCAAATTCTTAGAAACAGAAAATAGCATTAGGTAGTAGCTAGGGACTAGGGAAGGGGAAAAGTAAAATCTTTCAATGAGTACAGAGTTTCAGTGTTACTACATAAATTAGTTCCAGAAGTCTGTTGTCCAACAACGTACATGTAGTTAACTTTACTATACTATGTACTTAAAAATGGCTAAGATGGTAAGTGTTATATCCATGTCTTCATCACAATGAAAAAATAAAGATGAAGTCTTTAGGGTGGGCTTGTATCCCAATATGCCTGGTGTCCTTGTAAGAAGACAATGTGAAATTAACCCACAGGAAGGAAACCCTGTGAAGATGGAGGGAGTCATACAACTATAAGTCAATGAATAGCAAGGCTTTATGGCCACCACCAGAAGCTAGAAAGAGGCAAGGAAGGAGTCTCAGAAGGACCACAACCCTGCCAACACCTTGATTTTGGAATTCTGACCTCCAGAACTGTGAGAGAAGACATTTCTGTTGTTGTAAGCCCCTCAGTTTGTGGTACTTTGTTATGGAAGCCCCAGGAAATGGAGGCACCCCACTTCAAGGCTGCTTTGTTATCCATGGGGCAGAGAAAATGCAATATTGCTTAGTACTGTTCCTTCTTTTTTTTTTTTCCTTTTTGTTTGTAATCTACCAAGCACATAGCAGTGTTCCTTTCAAATGAAGAGATTACCAAGTGCAAAATAAGCAACTTTTAAGTATCACTATTTACTTATGATGACGACGACTACTAGTAGGAAAGCCTTTAGTCATTGCCGGTGAATATCACAGAATAGTGGGGGAATATTTATATAATTACCCCCTGTAGGGCTTTGGTAAATCAGATGGTAAATTCAAATATTTTCATAGTTATATTAATCTTATGCACAAAAGTGAAAATTACAAACATGTATGAAAAGTCCAAACATGTATGAAAAGTCACGCAGAAATGAATTTGAATTCTAATTTTAGTACTTCTTGGTATTTTTTACGTATGATACCATTAGTTGCTAAACTTTGTTGCCCTCATCCTTAACCAAGACACATTATAGTTATAAGGTGAGTGTGAATATTAAAAAATATCCCTATGCACCTAAATTACCAGGGAGGTAGCGAGCAAGTGTGAGAGAGAGACACAGAGAGAGCAAGAAAGAGAGAAAAGATGGGCTGGACCCCATTCCTAACCAATTGAATCAGAATCTTCATAGTGCTAGGGTATCAGTATTGTTTCAAAATTTCTGTAGGTAATTCTGTCACACACAGAAGGTAGAGAACAACTATTCATAATGTGAGGTTTGTTACATAAAATATTCTTAATGAATTGAAGCTCTGATTATTCATTTCCCTATCTCTTCTTATCAAATGACCCTCAGAATCTCTGCTGTAAGTGTTAAAATGTATGGGCATTTATATGAATCATAATTAAATAGACACTTTTGAGTAGCAGCCTAAATCCTCATAATGTAATTTCTATTTTCCTAATGTGTTGCCTTGTCATATGGTTATGTGAGCAAAAATTAAAAAAATTGAAGAGCGTAATTGTGACATAATTTTTAGTAAACCGCTAGCTAAGAGCCTCTTAAAAGTCTGAAGTCTTGGTGTCTTAATAATTATATTCAGTGTTAGATACAAATGGCTTTATTGAACTATAGGATCTTAGATGGTGTGTAGTCCATGAATCTCATGGAATTTGAAGCTTATGCTTTATAAATATTTGCCACTGGGTAGCATTACCCATATAATTTTGCTTTTTTGCTTGTCAGAATATTGTTTCTCATTTCTTCTCTCTTCTGGTTTTGTTGCCTGACCAAACATAAAGATATAAGAAAACTCATGGCAATTTTGTTTAAAAACATCCAATTTATATGTAAGTATGTTTAAATTGAACCTTTGATTAACTACTTTAATAAATCTGTCACAATCAATAACCTAAGTTGTCCAAAAAATTCAGCTCCATGTACCATTTCCAGTTAATGATATCAGCTGAAATTAGAATGTCTTAAGTATTATCTTTTCATGGAGTCAGCAATAATATCAAATGAAATATGAAGTTACTGTATTGCACATTTTAACATATACCCAATCTTCAATTTTTGATATTTTTATTTAATCTCATTACTCAATCCCTATTAAATAATTAGCAATCATATTTCACTTTCAAAGCATTACATACTCATTTTATGTAGAGACCATAGGACCTTTTTTGGTGATCTAAAAAGGCCGTTGGAGGGCTGCTTGTGGGAAGGTCAGATGTGTGAGATCCAAAGTCTTGAAGATTTAAAGTATTTAAAAAATAAAATGTGGCTATTAAAGGGATTATAAAGTTAGAAATTTTCTTTATTTGTATTGGCTGGTATTGCTTTGAGAGACAAAGGATATATCAATTTCAGATTCTCTATTCAGATTTTGAAGTGTTATTGAATCTAAAAGATTCCCCTAGAAACTTCTGTTTTCTAGAACCTCACAAATATTTTATTGTATCACATACGTGTATATATGTATATACTTAAAATACTTATGCATATGTGCTCAAATGTAGTTATATGTTTACATACTTATCACATTCTTTGAAAGTTGCATAAGGTACCTTTTTGCTAATCATAAATACAGTTTTTGTTACTTTTAGCAGAAATTTACTTTTTTTATACCTATTATCAACTAATAGATTATATTTTTAAATATTGATTTTATTACATCATCCTTAATTTACAGAGCAATAATTCATAAGCATTTTCTTAACCACTATTAGAAAAAGTACATTCTATGATGAACTATTCTTAAGGAGGTATGGTGTTAGATTTAAAATAAATTTTAGAAAAATATCTCTAGGTTTTAAGGCTATTTCAGTTTGTTTTGAAACAATGCATTTCTTCACTTTAGCTGAATATCAAGAAGCACTTTAAAAATACGGGCTTTTGTGAATAACAGTTTGATCACTAGAATTTGTCAACATGATAGTAATGAGATTTTGTGAACATTATATAAGTCATCATTATTAAATTTTCAAGTGAGTGTTACTTCCTGAAATTTTACCAGAGACAAGTCAATGAAGATATTCAGAAAATGCAAAAGCAAGGATAAATAATTTTTTAAAGCCAGATTATCTTATATTCAAAAATAATAAAATGCTGAAAGCTGTAATTTCAATTTATTAGGAGTTGCTGGAATTACAATTGTGAGCCACCACACTCAGCTATGGATAATATTTTTAAAGCCTAATTTGGACATAACACATATTAGGAGGGTAGAGTTTAATAAATTAATCATAAACTTTCAGGTTTTTACACTAAAATATTTGTAGAAGTCACTTTTAAGAAGTTACCCAGCAATGATCAGGAGAGATAACCAATTTTGTCCTAAAGTTCAAAGGAATAAAGAATTAAAAATAAATCTATAGCAGTCATATACTAAGAGTATTCTAGTAGAAAGTAGAATAAAGGATTGTGCTCTGTTTGTGAAGCAAGATTAGACACAGTGAAATAAACAGCCAAAGAGTGCATCACTATGAATTGATACTGTGAAATCAGTGGGGTAGAGGAGACTACAAAAAATGTATCCTTGGACAATTTTCACAAGATGTAAGGATGGTGAGTGATTTTTCACAGTACTTGGGATAACAGCTTGGGCCATTTTCCTTGTATTCCATTGATACCTTTATACAGTTCCTTTGCAAGAGTATACCCCATTTAGCATTTTAGGTATTACCAATATTGTAGGTAAGCGAAACCAATTTCTTAGTGACAACTTTGGTTGCTGTTACTCTTTGACACATTCTTGAATATACTGAATTAAGTTTTTTAAGTGTATTTTATAACTGATTTAATATAAAGACACAATCTATCCTGGCATTTTAATTGTAATTTTAAAAGAAATTAAAACATTTCTGAGCCTCTAATTTGTGACTTGTCCAAATTAGGTTTTAAAAATAATACCCTTAGCTGAGTGTGGTGGCTCACACTTGTAACTCCAGCAACCAGACGGGCTGAAAGGGGAGGATGATTTGAGGTCAGAAGTTTAAGACTAGGCTGGGAAACATAGTGAGACTACGTTTCTAAAAAAATTTTTCTTAAATAAATAAAAACATTACCCTGACAGCAGTGCTGAGGATAAAAATGGGAGAAGGAATTCAAAACTAGGAGCAATTAGTGTAGAATCTGACAGCCATGTTGAGATCAAATAAGGTAGATACATTTCAAGCTAGCAACAAACAAATATAAAAAAACGGAATATAGAAGCCTGTTTCAAAGATGTTTGAATCAAAATATTGAACATTTTGGGATATTACTTCATTATTAAATTACTACATCTCAGATGCCAACATAAAATAATTTTTTCTTGGTTACTTACTATTTTTTTCACCTTTTAATTTCATTAATTTAATGACCTATTTTCTTCTTTAGATTTCTCAGCAATAATTATCTGCTGCCAGTGTTATACATATGGTTCCCCAAACCATTAAAATAGATGAATTTCCTTATCTCTAAGAATCAATTCTAAATTAATGTTCAAACAAGTAGAAAAGAATACCTTAAATATTTATTTATTCTGTCATGTCAGAAGAATATATGTCAGGTAGACTCTAAGGTAGACACTGAGGAGCAACCAATAAACATAACGTGTGCAGATCTTGGCTGATAATGCTACATGTTCGTACAACAAGAGCCAATAATAAATCACATTATTTGATGTGCAAGAGTAAAGTAAAACATATAAAAACTTGAAATAAAATAGGCTGTTCTATTTTACTAAACAAGGCTGTATTTATAACATTTGATATTTAGGTCTTTTTGTATTTATTTAGAGATGATGTCTCACTGTCATCCAGGTTGGAATGCAGTAGTTTGATAACAGCTCAGTGCAGCCTCGAACTTCTGAGTGCAAGTGGTCCAATCACCTCAGTCTCCTGAGTAGTGGGGGCTACAGGTATGTGCCACCATGCCTCACTAATTTTTTAAGCTTTCTGTATATACAAGGTCTTCCCATGTTGTCCATCATGGTCTCAAGAGATTTTCCTGCCTCAGCCTCCAGAGTAGCTGGGATTACAGTACTGAGTCACCATGTCAACTCCAATATTTGACATTTGAAAGAGTAATTTTTCAAACATATACCAGAAGAGACATAAAAAATTAGAACTTTCTTTCTTCTTCTAAGATGCAGTTTTGAATGTGTAAAGACTCATAGACCAGAGGAATTCCAGTATCTTAGCTATTCTGTTATGTAAATTACATTATTAAAAATTATTGTATTTCTGAAAAAGTTTAATGTTAGTTGTGGAATAATAGTACTCTATTAATGTCGCTATGGAATAATTTTAGATGTCTTAACAAGATATCAACTAGAACATTTTATGACTGACAATCTTAGAAATAGCACAATTTTTATTTTTTAATATATAAACCAATATTTATAACTACTTGTGTAGTTAATATTATATCACAATGTAATGCTTCATCTTTCCAAAATAATGTTCTCTCATATGTATGTGAGCTCTGTATTTACAGTAAGCAGTGTCATTAAGTAACTTAAAATTTAAAAAACTGAAATATAAATTTATTACCTTCCTTTTATTATACAATATATGTTTTAATTTAAATAAATGGAAACACACCACAGAACAAGAGTTGAAGACCCTTGTCTCAAAATTTTGATTGTGTAACATGAAGAATACATTATGAATTTACCAAACAAATAATTTTGTCTGATTATGTAGCAATGATAGATGAGAGATAAAGAGGTCAAGATAGATTTTTACAGTTTGCTTAGAGTGAATAAAAAGATAAATAGAAGGAAGAAAAGAGAGAGAAATAAAAGAAACACAGCTGAAATTCTGAACTTGCTTCATTGGCTTGTCAAATATATTTATGTCTGATAATCTTGGTCCAGATAAGCAGCTTCATTGTGTTAGGGATAGTATTATGTACTTCAGCAATATCTGATAGTTTCAAAGACCTATTACCAAATGATGAACGTTGGAGCATACATTTAGATTTAATTTGTTAATTTCACATTTTATAACAAAAATTTACGTGAAATAAAATACAAACTCTTATACAAATGTACATACATTTACCTTTATACAAACATAAACATATATGCCTAAAAATCTTCAGATAGTTCTACTCCAAGTGGTTGTAAAAAGGCCATAAAAATTTAATTAAAAGTGACCTATGTATAAGGCATATTGAATAATATATTTTGTGATATAAAGTGAGGTTGAAATAAGCAAAGAGGCAATATTGAAGGAATTTGATCTCAATAATAATTATTGAATTTAATTTTATTGATGAAATTTTTTCTGTTTCTCTTCATTCTGATGTGATATTTTCAGATTATGCTTGGGTATTATGTTTTATAATTGTAAAACTTAAGAAAATAATATATTAATATAAAAATAAATATATCAATGTGTATTTCTACATGTTAAATGCAAATCTTAAGATATCTGTAATAGAGCTAAATAGAATACTTAAAAATACTATAAGCTAAATCTATTAGAAGGAATTACAATTATCATAAGTCACAAAATAAGTAAAACAATAACAAAAAATAGTATATTTAAATTTTAAAATGTAGTAATATCTTGTAATTTTTCTGAACTTCATAACCAAAGAAATTGACCATAATTCTAATATTATATATGACTATTTTATTGTCTATTATTGAAGTGTTCACATTTCTGAGCAGCTACTACGATGTTTTAATATAGTTTCTTTGGGGAGTGATTTGATCATTAGTCTTAAGTAAGTGGTCAAAAAATATATATATTCAAATTATTAGTATCTTTTTAATAATATCACTGAAATTATGTTTGAGTAATCGCAAATTATTATATTGTTTATTCATGGCTCACCTGGCCATTTATTAAGTAATTAATTTTACATTAATCCATAGACTCAATAGGTATTTATTGTGCCTCTCCCATTCTAAAACATAGTGTGGGCCGGGCGCAGTGGCCCACACCTGTAATCCTGCACTTTGGGAGGCTGAGGCGGGCGGATCACAAGGTCAGGAGTTCCAGACAAGTCTGGCCAACATAATGAAACCCTGTCTCTACTAAAAATACAAAAGATTAGCCGGGCGTGGTAGTGGGTGCCCGTAATCCCAACTACTTGGGAGGCTGAGGCAGAAGAATTGCTTGAACCTGGGAGGCAGAGGTTGCAGTGAGCTGAGATCATGCCATTGCACTCCGGCCCAGGAGACAGTGTGAGACTCCATCTCAAAAAAATAAATAAATAAAAATAAAAATAAAATATAGTGTGCTATAAAAGGTAAATTTGAGACAACATTAATGAACATAAAAAGTGATATATCATTTTTATGATACTGATACTAAATATGATAGAAACAAAGAAAATTATTTACTAGAATGAATTAGGTAATTTAGAAAAAGCTATCTCTTGATAAGAATGTTAATACAAACAAATTTCCAAACATAGAAATTTTTATTGTTTTTTCAGTTAGAAGTGAAAAACTTTCTTTTTAGATTAACATATTATTAGAGAGAGTGAGATAGAGTTTGGGTAAGTAAATGTTACCATATTTGGAAAGTGTTAGTATTAAGCCAAGTAATTTGGAATAAATGTGGTAGGCAAGGCAGAAACTGCATTATGAAAATGCATTAGAAATATTATCTGGCAGTTCAAAAATTAAAATTGTGAAAAGATGCTGTCTTCAAATGTATCAATCTGGAAGTTGAACCAAAACCACGTTTGAACTAACAGTGAAAAACTTACTTTAGAAAAAGTAGAAATAAATTCTAAGAGGCTGTGCAGAGTTTTTTAGCTTGATGTAATCCTATTTGTCATTTTTTGCTTTGCTTGCTTGTACTTTTGAGGTCTTATTCTAGAAATATTTGCCCAGACCAGTGTCCAGTAGTGTTTTCTGAATGTCTTATTCTAGCAATTAAAAGTAGCAGGTCTTAAATTTAGGTATTTAATCCATTTTTATTTTTTTTCATATGGTGGGAGACAGGGGTTTCCAGCTAGAAAGCTTCTTCAGAGTAAAGGAAACAATCGAAAAAATGAAGAAACAACCTACAGGATGAGAGAAGATATATTTGCAAACTATTCATTCAACAAGGGATTCATAACTTGAGTATATAAGAAGCTCAAACAACTCAATAATGAAACAAATAATCCAATTAAAAATGGGCAAAATAATTGAACAGATATTTCTCAAAACAAGACGTACAAAGGGACGACTAGTATATAAAAAAAGCTCAACGTCACTAATCATCTTGGAAATGAAAATCAAAACTACAATGCAATATCATGTCAACCTGGTTAAATTGGCTATCATCAAAAACACAGAAAATAACAAATGCTGGCAAGAATGCAGTGAAAGAACGCTTGTACACTGTTAGTGGGAATATAAATTAGTACAGCGACCACGGAAAACAGTATGGAGGTTCATCAGGAAACTAAAAATAGAACTACCATATCATCCAGCAATTCTACTGCTGGGTATATATCCAAAATAAAGAAAATCAGTATATCAAGGACATAGCTGCACTCCCAAGTTTATTGAAGCACTATTCACAAAATCCAAGATATGGAGTCAACCTGTGTCCATCAATGGATGACTGGATAAAAAAAAATAGTATATACACATACAATGGAATACTATTCAGCCTTAAAAAAAGAAACGAATCCTGTAATTTGAAGCAATATTAATGAAACTAGAGGACATTATATTAAGTGACATAATCAGAGCATAGAAAGACAAAAATCACGTGTTTTCATTCATATGTGGGAGCTAAAATATTTGATCTCATGAAGGCAGTGTGTAGAATGGTGGTTACCAGAGCTGGAAATAGCAGTGGGGAGGGGTGGATGAAGGACTTGGTTGATGGGTACAAAAATACTATTAGATAGAAGAAATAAGTTATAGTGTTTGATAGAACAATAGGGTGACCACAGTCAACGATAATTTATTGTGTAATTCAAAATAGCTAGAGAAGAAGATTTAGCATGCTCCTAATACAAAGGAATGATAAATGTTTGAGATAATGAATATCACGATTACCCAGATTTAATTATTGCACATTGTATGTTTGTATCAAAATAACACATGTACCCATAAATATGTACAACTATTATGTGTATAAAAATTAAAAATAGAAAAATTATAAGGAGAAAAATTGGTGACGATTTAAAATAAACAAATTCAAACATAGTAATACATTGAATGTAGGCAATCAAAGATAGAATATTATCAAATATAGCACCACAACCCCTATAGCAAATATTTTATGAATATTTACTGTGAATTTTCATTAATTAGTACAACCTCCAACAGTATTACTACTATGCTCTGTATTTAAGTTTTAGTTGCCAATTAATGTCTCTGTAGGAAACTGGACAATCTATGTATTATTCATCATTTTGATAATAAATTTTATATACAATATTTGAGGAAAGTGAGGAAATGGAAACTGATATTCATTTTTTCTACTACGTGCCATGGAGTTGGTTAAGTGTTTTAAATGAATATCAATTAAAACCATATGAAGTAAGTGTATTCATCTACTTTAAGGAAGGAGAAAAGCTTGGTTTAAAGGGAATGTTAATAAAATATATTTTACTCCAAATTCAGTTGTGCTTTCTTGTCACTGTACACTCAAAGTGTCTGCATCTACTGCTCTATATCAGTCATCGATGATTCATGCAAGAGGAATGGATATGTCACTATCGGGAGCAGAAATGACTCAGAAAGAAATAAATGAGAGGACAAAGATCAAAGTTATTGAGAGAAAAAATAAAAATCTCCCTAGGAGATTGTTTGCTGTCACTAGTAGAAAAAGACCCAACTACATTATTCTTTAACCCTGAATCCACCTGTATTTTCAGCTACAATATGAAAGCCTGTAATCTGCAACTTTGTTTTGTGCTATACAGCTGAGAAATATGCTGCTGAAAAGTAACAACCTTCTTTTTTCTATAAAAGGTCACTTTTAGTAATGGACATTAGCATAATCTTCTAAAAACACTAAGGGGAATGGTTATATAACTTGAAGATTGCAGCAAAGAGGTATATAAAATATGCAACATAAATAGGGAAACAATTTCAGCCTCAAGTCACCCAGTGTATCTTTACTTTAACAACTCAGAAGATAGCTGGAGGTTTTTTAAAAAGAAACTAAAAATGATGTTTAATCGGTGTGGCTGGAAGCTACATGGGAATTATCTGTGCTTGTCAAAGACACAATACTCTTCAGTGTTTCAACTGTATAGGCCCATTCTGAATAGGTGATTCAATCTTGCTTTATAATTTAAGATATTGTGCATAGGTTTTATGAAAAAAAAATGTATTGGAACATTAAGGAAGTGTGATCTTCATACCCCTAACGAGAAATGAATCAAGTGTTATTGCTATCAATCACCTTGCTTACTGAGATAGTGGCCATGACATATCACCCTGGAAAAAGGGTGCTGTGCAAGATTGTCTATCAGTGAGCTTCATTCCATCTGCCTCTAGTCTTTACTTTTCAGCTATCTGAAAGTAAGAGAAAATTCTCCAGCAAAGGCCTAAAAAATTCAGTGGCGGTAATGTCTAATTTTCCCTTAAAAAAATCACTTTCTGTAGAATGTATAAGAAGATTGCTTGTAATATTGTTTGATTTCTGTCCTTTGATATCACGAAACTTTCTCACATTGCCACATGAAATAAATTAATTTATAACATAGGAAAGTAATTCCTCTGGTAGCAGGCTATTGTTTTTCAAAAACTTGATATTTAAGTCAAAGTGGTAATTCATATATGTGTATAATAGAAAGTACACTTATTTAACTGTATTTGGAACTATGACCAGATAGAGCCCTAGGAATTAATTAATTGTTTCTTAAAAATTTGATTGACTTAATAATATGATTTGAAGTAAATGAATTCTTTAAGTATAATGAAAGAAATTAAAGGACACAAATAGTTGGGGTTATAATTAGTCTCAGTGAAAACAGGACATTTCAAGTGTAAGAACAAAGTGATAATAAATAAAATGATTAAATATGATAAGAAAATAATTTTAAAATTCCACATAATATAAATATAAACAAAATTGAAAGTCAGAATGTTAAAATTCACACATAGTGTACTTTGAAACATCAGTAATTAAAAAAATAGTCCAGATATTAAAGGTCTTAAGTAGGCAATTTTCAAAAGTTGACATAAGTATATAATCAGTAATTATCCATTCATCCACTTCTGCCAGTCCAGTTATTAAGCCACTTGCTCAGCAAACGTCTACTGAGTCTCTAGTATGTTTCAGGAAATAAGCACAGAAACACATTTATCCTCATTTGTAATGACTGAAATAAAAATTTTAAGTAAAATAATGAAGCATATTATAATACACTATTGTAAAATGAAAATGCAATGAAACCTGAATAAGCTGAAACATGAAACCAGGTTTCATTTAAGAGGGAACACATGGACATTTTCACAAAAAATTTCATGGAAATCTACATTGCTGCAACATTTCTTCAGAAAAGGGAAATCACCACATTGTGTTTCATCTTAAAGAACCAAGTGTTCAGCTTAATTTATAGAAGATGTACAATAGATTTCCATAGCCCAACTTTACTCTGTCATGTTGTCACTTTTCTACGTTGCTTCTTGGATAGTGTTTTAATATGACGATAAAATGTTCTTGGGCAAAAAGCAATTCAGATACCATTGATTTTTACCAATCAAGTTAAGTCATTATTTCTCATGGGATGCATCAGGTCATTTGGAACATTCTGCTTGATGGCTCCATCTCAGTCTGGAATCTCAGGCATTTGAAAGGTAATTCTAAGTTAGTCAAATAATATTTCTCTTGTTAAATAAATTATTACCTTGGCTGCCTAACAGGAAAAAAAAATCCCCCCTTAATGTCCAATTACCCCCTTAAAACAAACACATGAATAAACCTATTTTGTAAGTGAATAGGTTGAAACATTATTATTTGTTCAGCTTAGGCAAGATCTGAATACATTTCCATTTATATAAATCCTGAAGCAGAAATTTTAATGATGGTAGTTAAATTCCTATTTATACCTCTATTGTCAGGACAAATGATTGTGTTTTACATGTGATCCTGCATTTAATTAACAGCCATTTTCTTAATTATGTGTATTTGCATATGAGAGTATTTGCTCAGATGCATCTGAACATGAAATATGTTGTTTTTGAAATTTTGAAAAGCAGCTTACAAAACAACTTAAGTTTATTAATTTTCCCTAGCACAATTAATACTTATTAAAAGTAAGTAGTGATCAAAATAAGTTATAAAGTCAAATTTTTTTCTATTTGTTTGTTCCAAGAAACAAACTTGAGATTCATTAAGCAAGAAAAAAAAATCATTAGAAGTTTACCAGGCTAAATATAAGAGAGTATTCTGACCACCAAAAATATGGAAATGAGGAACCTGGTCTTGACTGCAGAAAGCCACTCTTTCAGGCTCTTCTGCAGTCTGGTGCCAAAATTTCATTCTCCATGTCTTTCTCAGTAGTCTGAACTTTTTTTTTTTTTTTTTTTTTTTTTGAGACAGAGTCTTGCTCTGTCACCCAGGCTGGAGTGCAGTGGCGCAATCTTGGCTCACTGCAACCTCCGCCTCCTGGGTTCAAGCGATTCTACTGCCTCAGCCCCCTGAGTAGCTGAGATTACAGGCGTGCGCCACCACTCCTGGCTAATTTTTTTGTATTTTTAGTACAGACGGGGTTTCACCATGTTGGTCAGGCTGGTCTCGAACTCCTGACCTTGTGATCCGCCCGCCTTTGCCTCCCAGAGTGCTGGGATTACAGGCGTGAGCCACCACACCAGGCCAGTAGTCTGAACTTTTCACATGGTGAAAAACTACCTGCCACGTTTAAATAATCATGCTTTAAAAGTATACTCAGAAGAAACTAGAATCTCTCCCAATTTCAAATCACTAGAACATGAACCAGTATTCCTGTTTTCAACAGGTATCCCCTCCTGTTATCATAAGCCATAGCCAGACAGTGGGACAGATCAAGGAGTACAAACATGGTTGTTTTCACCCAGTCTTGAGAGAGGGCAGTCCTCAGAGCAGGAGTGATTATTTCAGCAGATCATCCACTGCCAAGTGTTTTGTTTGGTATCTACTGTATGATTACAGTCAGAGAAAATTGGAAGTATGTGTAACAAATGTTAACATTGCTTTATGAATCGTTTGTTTTTCCTCTCTGACTCCCACTTTCCTTTTATAATGATTTGAAAGTACTAAGTATGGGGACGATAAAAAGCTGAAGATTTATTTATTTTTAAATACAGGTCATTTTGGTTGAATTTTAGTTTTGCTTTCATTATGTCATCTATATGATCAAATCGTGCCATTAATTCTGAATGAGAGTAGAGCCGAGAGGACTAAAGGGAGGCTGGAGGAAAATGGCAAAGAAAATCTGTAAGCCAGTTTGACATTGCCTATTGAATGGCTTCAACTTGGCTGATATGTACGTCTCAGGTTCTAAATTTGTTTTTATTATTATTATTATTATTTCAATTGATTTTTGGAGAAACAGGTGGTGTTTTGTTACACGGATAAGTTTTTTAGTGGGGATTTCGGAGATTTTGGTGCACTCATCAGTCGAACAATGTACACGGTACACAATACGTAGTCTGTTATCTCTCACACTGCTCTCACCCTTCCCTCAAAGACCCCAAAGTCTGTTGTATTGTTTCTATGCCTTTGCATCCTGATAGTTTAGCTTCCACTTATAAGGTTCTAAATTTTAATCCTGTTTTGGGCATGAATGCTGCATATTTAAAATGCCCAAGAAATAGCTATATTTCCTTCTAACTAAAGGTCCTTAAAATTAACCGGGAAGACCATTGGCTAAGTGAATAATTATTCATGCTTTGGAAAGTTTTTCTTCTCATCATTATGAGACTTTTTATGCTCAATCATTAAATTGTAAAAATTTGGAGACTTTTTATGCTCAATCATTAAATTGTAGCATAACAATATTTGTGGAGAGCAGAGGTCAGTAATTCTTTCACTGTAGGTTTTTGTTGTTGTTGTTCTCATTTTTCTCCCTTCCACATGCATTCTTATCATGCTGGTGTTTTTTTCCTTTAATCCCCATTAGGAAGAAAGAAGCTTAATACCACAATAAACAGTGAAAAACAAGGGCTAAAAAACATGTATCTTCTCAAACTTTATTTTTGAGACACAGAAAGTATTTTAGTTACTTCTTAATCAGTTTCACATTGATGTAGTCAACTGCTGACAGTGAGAACCAATCTGTTTGAGGCTAGTGTTGACATATTTATAAATATATCTGCCTAAACTAGAAAGAGATAGATGCTCCCACACAATTTCTACCTTTCTACCTTATTCGTGTATGTTTTTTAAAGTGAGCAAATATATTTGCTTTTCTGTTTACTTTTGAGATTGTAAAACTACTTTTTTCTATGCTATGTGAATAGATGACCTATTTATATATAGTCATAGGTAAATAGTGTTTGCCTCTATGTGTTCCTCCCATCCACTGGCTATGGAGACCTATTTCTCCATTTACTAATATATTCACTGTGAAGGTCTGGTGTTTTATCCTAATAATCTACAGGTCTGATGTTCAGATTGTTTTAAAATAAAATCAAGGGTCTACTGCTACATGACACTTTTGTAGAAGGCTTAATAATGTAAGCACTATGCAGCATTTATGTTTGATCTACATATCATACTCATATGGGCAGGCTTGTGTGAAAAAAATCTCAAACAGCTTAGTGCAACCTACAAATTCAGCTCTTTTTCTGGCCTCTTTCATTTTCCCCTTTTCGTGTTTCCTTCCACTGGTCCTCATGCTCCACTTATTTTTTGTCTTTCTTCCTGGTCTGTGTTTAAATAAAAATGTAGTAACTATTTTTGAATCCAAATTGCTAGTCCGATAATTTGACCATGTGAAAAATATATTGATCTTCCTTTGGATTATTAGTCTACAAGATTAACCTTTAGAATTTTTCACTGATTTAAGAATATTACTAATATGCTTAAAGCTTGTATATCAGAAAAAAATGAGACCCTGGAAGACTAGCTAAATGAAGCAAAGATTAACAAATGAATGATTTCGATTTTAGTCTGTTGTGCATTTTTAGTACTCTGAAAAACTTTACTTTCTTGTAATTTTATAATAAAATCACAACGTTCTCACAGTAATTAAATTTCAATAGTTTATAATTCTGAAACCAAAATGAATATCCATAGAGTAAACAACATATGGGTTAATTTTGATTATTGATACATTAAATGCATGATAAGAGTAATTTTGTTATTTGGCTAACATTATAGGTTTTATTATCTCTCATAAATACTGAAAGCTTAAAAATGTAAAGGAAGTAACAGCAAATAGTTCAAATGAAAAAAAATTATAGCAAAGCCCCTGTTTTAGTTGCATAGCAACTTACAAAAGTAACAAAAAGAGAAAGTAAATTTTTTGAAATCACAAGTTTTTAAAGCAAGACAGGAGACATGCAAAAGAAAAATGTCATCTTTTCAGATACATTAAAATGTCAAGATAACACAATTTGAGAAAATAGAATACTTACATAAACCTGTAATACATATTCGATAGACAATAAGTCCAATAGTCATATTTTATTCATTTGAATATGAAATAAAAATGTAGAATTTCAGTTTATAGTAGGAAATGTAAATGTTTCTAAATGCTATAATATACCAAGTATAACTAATAAAATAGATACAATGATAATAAAGAGAAAATTCAATAATGCCAGATATAATGTTACTTTTACTTTGTTCTATTTTATTATTTTTATTGTTCTCTCCCTGCCCCCCAGATCTAAAGGTATGGTATTCACTATATGAGGAAAAATTATGACTTAGTATCAATAAAACCTTTATGAAATATCAAAGATGACTTTTTTAAATATTTGCAATGATGGCCAATAAGCATAAATATATGTTGCAAGTTTTCAACAAATCTAACTCAAGGACCTGTTTAGAAAGGTATATTTCTTTATAGAAATTTGAAAGAAAAAGTTTTATTTTTTAAAACATGGCACACTAATGTTATAGATCTTCTGAAAAATAAGCATTGACTCTTCTAGTATGTGGAAGACATTATCATATGAGAATAACTGCTGTTTTAATGATTTATGTTGCAGACATAAAAATAAAATGTTAGTTTTATTAGAGATCACTGAGGTAGGCAAGATTAAATTTACAAATTTAAATTTGAGTTGTTTTCTTAACAAGTTATAAAACAGAATAATAAACTCAATCAATTACATCAAAGACTCAGAAGAAAACATTGAAGTTAAAATGACAACAAATATAAATTACTTTGGAATAGATTAGAAAAGAAAATCACAGCACAATTCAGTAGAAATTGTTAGAAATGATGTTAGAAATCATCTAAACACAGTACAGAAATAAGACATAAAATATACAGAAATCAGACATAAAATATACAGAAATCAGACATAAAATATTCTCCAAAGACATCCTAGTGATAAATAGTGATAAAAGTATTTCAAGATGCAGACAAGGTAAAAGATGAAGCCATTTCATAAAGAAGAAAATAATAATTGGCCAGTATTTAATATGATGAGTGTTTTTTAACTTGAAATTTTTCAAGGGCAGATAAAGAGATAGATTGGAATTTTGTTAGAAATTTGGATGCATAGAGGAAGTACATGTGACAGACAAGGTAGTTGTGATAACCATAATGGGCAGTAGAGTTGAAAAACAAAGCAGAATGCTTTGATAAGCAGATATGTTTAATGTTATTGACTAATCATTCTTGGTCACCTGAGGGCTAAAATGATGGACAATCTCTCTCCAAAAGTAGTGTTACTTGATCTGTTTAAGTGGAAAATCTTTAGGTATTTTTAACAGGTGATCACATGACATTAACCAATTGTTTGTTTTGTTTTAATAGGACCTTGCTCTGTGACACAGGCTGGAGTGCAGTGGTGCAATCATAGATCACTGTAGACTGGAATTCCTGAGGCTCAAGAAGTCCTCTGGCCTCAGCCTCCTAAATAGTTGGAACTAAATGTGCATACCACCATGACCATCTAATTATTTTTAAATTATTATTATTATTATTATTATTATTATTATTAATTTTTGTAGAGAGCAGGGCTTGCTATGTTGCCCAGGCTGATCTCAAACTCCTTGGCTTTACATGACGTTTCCACCTTATCCACTCAAGATGCTGGGACTATAGGTGAGAGCTACCATGCCCAACCATCTGTTCTTAAATTCAGACTCAAAGCCTCTTTCATGGAGAAGAATACAGTAATCTGAAGAATAATCCTGCTATGATGCTGAAATTTGTATTTAAGTGTTTCTTTTGGTCTTTTCCAAGTGACCTGAAATCATTTACTAGTATAACTAAGCACTGGGAAAAAGGGAAACATAATTTTATGGAACTGTGGGCAGTGGTTCAGAATTAACACTAATTCCTGAATCCTCAAAAGTCATTGGGATTAACCAATTAGAAAACTGCCAAAGTCAGAAGATTAATTGAATTTTGGTTGTGGTTTGTCTCTCAGTGAACTCATTAGTCTCCATGTCTTCTCTGTGTCTGTGTTTCAGACATACTCAGACCCAAACACAACCTGCACATTTTTTCCCTAACCTGTGAAGTGAGGGTTATCGTTACATGAAAGACCTAGTAGAAGCCCCTAGAATTGCCTGTATCTACCAATATAGTAAATCAAAACTAATGTCCACTTTTTGGAGATATTAAAGTGTTAAGTACCACTGTAAATAATCTTCAGTAGTGGTAAATCACATTGAATGTTAAAGTTTTGTAGTTTCAAATTTAACATTTATATGCTGGACAAACTTGTGTATGTTTTTTATATGGTGTGAGGTATGGATCATTTTTTGCATATATTTACCTAATTTTTCCAACATAATCTGTTAAAAATACTATCCTTTCTCTACAGAATGGCTTTGTTCTTTGCCAAATATCAGTTTGTCAAAAATCAAAATATATATGTATATCTATTTCTGTACTCTCTATTTTGTTATTTTGATCTAGTTGTCTTATTTGGATGCCAATATCATACTGTCTCTAGAGTATTCTTTTTAAATAGGGAACAATAGACACAAAGGGCCTACATGAGGGCAGAGGGTGGAAGGAGAGTGAGGGTCAAAAAACTACCTATCAGATACTCTGCTTATTACTAGGGTGATAAAATAAACTGTATCCCAAACCTCTGTGACATTCAATTTACCTACATGTACCCTAGAACCTAAAATAAAGGTTAAAAGAAGTTTAATGATAATGTTCCTTAGAGTGGATTTCTTTATGTTTATTGTGTTTAGGTTTCACTTGACTTCTTGAACTCGAAAGTTCATGTTTATTTACAAATCTACAGTCTTCAGATGTATTTTCTTCTAGTAGTTTTTTAGGACTGAAAATATTAGATCTCTTATTATTGTTCCACAGGTACCTTAAACTGAGTTCATTTTTTTCCTATCAATTGTCTCTATTTTCATATTAGGTGCTTTCTATTGTTCTTTCTTTGTATTTACTGATATTTTTTCTTCTGTACCTTTATGTGTTCTTTTGAGTCAATCCTTTGTGCCTTTTATTTTGGTTATTGTATTTTGCAGTCCAAAAATTTAAGCTTTGTTCTCCTCTATATCTTGTTAGTTTGCTGACATTCTCTTTCTTTACCTGAAGATTTTTTTTCATTTGTTTCATTTGTGTTAATTATTGTTTCTTAAAGCATTTTTTATAATGGCTGCTTTGAAATCTTTGACATAGATAATTCTAACACAGCTTTTATCTCAGTGCTAGAATTTACTAATTGTCTTTTGTCATTCACTTTGAAATCTTACTGGTTCTCAATTTGATAAATGATTTTGAATTTTAACCTGGAACCTTTTAGTATTATGTGTCTCAGGATTATACTTAAAATTTCTATGTTCATGGGTTTTTTCTAAAACCACTTTGGCAGGGCAAGGGGAGTGGGCCTTATTACTGACAGACGGAAGTGGAATTCTAGGTTTTCTACTTGGCCTACCTTGACATCTGATATTGGGGAATCTTTGTATTACTGCTATGCAGGGATTGTAATTACGACTCTCCATGGAGTCTTCACTGACACTGTGGTAGTGTGGCCTCTTTACCTTTGGGTTACATCAAAGTCCTGACCCTTCACTAGGTTGCCTATGGCATGCCACTATAGTGGGAGACATAAGCATCTAATTCTTGCTAATAGTTGGAGATCTGAGTTACCCCCATGTTCTTTACTGATGCTGGGGTGTCAGGGAGAGATCATTACGGACTTTTTGAGATTTCAGTCCTGCTCCTTACTTCCTAATTGGCTTTCTCTGGCACCCCTCATGTGGGAGATTTTGGATGCCTTGCAAAGGTGGTTGTATACACTCCCTACTCAGCGTTTGTTGGTTAGAATGTGGCCACACAATTATTTTATGCGATTTGGCTGGTAGAGAAGTTATTGCTTAAAATTATTGTGTCTTACTGAACCTTCTCTTTTTGATCCTTGGTAAGAGAGAGCAAGTTTTTATTTGGGCTGTTTTTTTTTCTTTTCTTTTCTTACTTTCTTTCTTTTTTTTTTTTTTTTTTGTCTTCAATCATGAGCATTTCTGGGCTTTTGGCTTCTTCAGCTCCAAATGTGGTATACACCTGGGCAACTCATCACCATGTCAACCTTCAGATCTTGGAGTTTATACAGGGTTGTCTTCTTCTTTCTATCTTTCAGAATCTTGTTTATTTTATGTATAATATCCTGGATTTTCAGTTGCATTTAGTGGGAAGATTAAGAAAAATGCATACACTTCATCTTCCTTAAGGTGGAAATCAGTAAATTATTTTTAATAGACTTTTTTTATATAACAGTTCTAGATTTACAGAAAAATTGGGAACATAGTACAGATAATTCATATATAGAGTAATATTTTAAACTGTCTCCCCTCTCATTAACACCTTACATTAATATTAGTATGGTGCAATTCTCAAAATTAATGTGTCAATATTAATATATTATTAGTAACTAAGTTCATAGTTTATTGAGATTTTATTAGTTTTAAGTAAGGCCTTTTTCTGTTTTAGGATCTTGTCTAGGATTCTATACTAATTTGCGTCATCATGTCTCCATAGATTCCCCTTGGCTATGACGATTTTTTAGCCTTTTCTTGTTTTTAATTACCTTGATAGCCTTAAAGGATATTGGTCAAGTATTTTGTAGGGTGCTCCTCTATTGAAATTTTTCTGGCATTTTCTCATGATTAGACTGGTGCTCAGGGTTTTTGGGAGAAAGACCATAAAGGTAAAGTGAGGTTTTTAGCACATCAAATCAAGGGTACGTGCTATCAACATGATTTATCACTGTAGATACTGATCTGGATTACCCAAAGTGTGACTTGTCTGAAGTAGGGTTTGCCAGAGTTCTCTAAAGTTAGGCTTTTGACCACTTTTCCATAATGTACTTTTTGGAAAAAAGTCAGTGGGCACAGTTTATACATAAAGAGTGTGAATTTATATTCTCCCTGCCTAAGGGCAGAATATCTACATACATTATTTGAAATTACTCTGCATCAGAGATTTGTCTCTTTCCCTCATTAGTTTATTGATTTAAATATATATTTATATAATTATTTTCTACTATCAGCCATAATTCCTACCCTACTAATTTTGTTGTTCTATCTTTGGCCACTGGGAGCCCTTTCAATGGCCTCTGTGTCACTTTGAGATATGTATCTGTAAGGTATTTGGGGGTCAATGTTTTTTAAGTCTCTTCATCATTGAGACTTTCTTTCACTCTATTTAACATGGCTATTCATTACGTTTTACATTTTGATAATCATATCTTGTTTTATAATTTTTCTTCAGTTTTATTCAATATTGTGCTTTTCATGAAATTGTATAATTTTTGAGTAGTATTTATATATTTTTTATTTTTATTTATTTCTTCAAGATTTTTATTTTATTAGTTTTTTTTTTTTAAGCACAGGATCTCACTCTGTTGCCGAGGAAGGAGTGCAATGGCACTCTCATAGCGCACTGCAGCCTTAAACTACTAGGCTTAAGTGATCCTCCTGCCTCAGCCATCTGATTAAATGGGATTACAGGCTTGGGCCACTCTGCCCAGCTATTTCTGTATTTTTAAACATGCTCATGTTATACTTATTCTAAATTGTTCAATGGATGCTAATTCTTTGGGGTTTTGTTCTAGCCTTTTTGGTAGGTTCATTTCTTGACATTGTTTTTCATTTTTTAAGGTAATCTTATCATAATCAGATGTCATTTTATTCATTTATTATTCCTTCTCTCAGTTGTAGATGTGTTTCTGATGGCAGCAGTGGCCTGTTTGGAGTGGCTGCTGCAAAGATACCAGTTGCAGCAGGGGAGGTGTGGCTGGGGCTGCAGGCTCAGTGGAGCCAGGGGGAGCCAGGAACAGGCGGGGGCCCCGCCCTCTTCTGAGTTAGTGGGAAGGGGAGCCCCACACTCCTGGGTGCAGCTGCTGCCACCCAGCCACAGCTGCAGACCTAGGCATCTCTCAGGGGCCCAGGAAGCCCTTTGCCCCTGCAGGCTTGAAAGTGCCTGCTATTGTGGCCTGACCTCTACCTACTCTCAGCAACTGCTCTGAATTTGGAGCAAAGTCACGGCCAAACCCAGGTGTTATCATGACCTCGCTATGTGTGCATATGCTCAGGGTGGCACTGACACCAGCCCCCTGCTGTGTCTGCCCCCTCCAAACTTTGGATGCCAATGATCATGAGAAGGAGGCCAAAGGGGAGCTGAGGGCAGCTTGGTGTAGGCCTTCAGACACTCCTTGGCATGAACAGCCTGGAAACTGTAGACAGGATGTTGATGACAGCAGGAGGCAGACAGGCTCCTGGGCCAAAAGGGGCAGGTCCCTGGTGAAGCCCCACTTTCAGGCCAGGATGGCCTGAAACCTGAAGGACAGACTGCCAGTTCTGGAGTGGACAGGAGTGCTAACTTATGGTACGTTTTCCAGGCCTGACCATGACTGCCTATGGACCAATCAGCATGCACTTCCTCCCTTGTGAAGCCCATAACAACCCCAGACTCAGCCAGACTTGGGCAGACATTGGGATGACCTGCCTGCAGAAAGGAGCTACCCACTGTGGGTTTCTCTCAGCCAAGAGCTGAGCAGATGTCAAAATGACCTGCCTGCAGAGAAGAGCTATCCACTGAGTATCTCCTCTCAGCTGAGATCTGAGCAGAAGTCAGGACAACCTGCCTACAGTGAGGAGCTACCCACTGTGGGTCTCCTCTCTGCTGAAAGCTGTATCCTCATTGGGATGACCTGTCTGCAGGTAGGAGCTACCACTATGGTCTTGTTTCCACTGAGATTTGCAGATGTCAGGATGTCCTGCTTGTGGAAAGGAGCTACCCACTTCAGGTCTCCTGAGAGCTGTACTGTAACTGAATAAAAGCATTTCTTCACCTTGCTCGCCTTCCAATTGTTTTTGTACCTCATTCTTCTTGGATGAGGGGCAAAAACTCGGGAACTGCCAAATGGCAGGACTGAAAGAGCTGTAACACAAACCGGGCTAAAACACACCCCCATGCTCTCTAGTGGCCATTGCTGGCCACTAGAAGGAGAAAAGAGAAGAGCTGCAGCTCTTTGGAAAGCCCATACCTGGGAGCTCCCCAGGCTAGGGATGTGACACCCTCTTTGGGGCTCTGCAGTTCCTGGCATCTCCAAGTTTTGGGGCACCACTGTATTCCCTGGTGAGAGCAGTGGAAGCTGCTTGCAGTACATCTGGTCAAGCTTCAGCCTCACAGGGAGCCAGTGCCCATGCAGGAACCTGGAGCTGCCCACCTAGCCAAAGCTAGCATGCCTGGCTGTGCCCAGTGACTGGATTCTGCGCTCATTTGTGCATGCACCCCTCACTGCTCTGCACCTGGTTTGCCCTTAGCAGTTGTGAGATCCAGGCTTGTAGCATGAGTTGAGTGCAGCCTGCCAGGCCGAGTGGGCAGAACAAGCCCAGAGAGCCTAAGCAAAACGTGGGCAAAGGCGCCATCATCCACAAACGTTTCTGGCTGGCAAAGTGACACCACAAGTATCTCATGATATTTCTACAAGTAGGTTTTTTGCTAGTTCTGCCAGAGTCCAATATATTTCCCACGTTCTGAATCAGTTTTTGCAGTAAGTCTTTTATGTAAATTCCTACACTTGAGTGTGTGATAAAAATGTTTATCTCTGGTTATAAAATCCATATCTATTTCATATTAAAGGCTTCAGTTTCCCTAAAAAAAGTAAGTTATTAAAACTTACAGTCATAGACAGATGACAAACATCATTTCATATTTCTAGCTAAGGTTAGGAAGGATGCAGGGTGGTTTGCTAGTTTATTTTTAAGGCACAAGACAGCACTTAAAAGTTTAGGCTTTTATTGAGAAATGCCAATTCCCAGTTCCTTTAGGGGAAGACACAAAGCCATCTCATCATCTCAGTCAATCAGATTCCATAGACAATAACCAGGTTCATAACATACATGCTCTTCCCAGGATTTCAGCCTGCTGTTCCCTCGTTGGTTCTAGTTTGTTCTCTATTTCTAGCACTTGGTGGTACTTCACTCTCTTTATTCCTAACTGTAATACAGAATCTAATTCCATTATGTATATTCGACCTCTAACATCTTCCAAGCCCAAGGCCTCCCTACACACCTCTTGTCTCACATCTCAGCAAGATAATTTAAAAGTCCACAGTCTCTCTCCCTTGGCTCTGGTGGAAAGTTCAAACCATGCATAATCCAGTCATGCCTGTAAGAACTGTAACTGCATAGCCACTCCAAAGCTTTCTTTTCTTTCCCAAGAAAACTGTACAGTGTGAGTAATTAATATTCTATATCCTCTTGATGCTTGAGTAACATTATCACTCTGAATAATGAAACCATATTTTGGGTGAAGATTTTATCCTGCCTTTCATAGGGCAACCACAAGACACTAACCCACCTGGATTAGAAATAATTTTAGGGACAATAGCTTAGGAACAATTTTTAAATTAATTCATATTGTGATAGGGACCCACAAGTTATTCTACTATGTTGTTGAAAGTCAGTATATAAATATTTTTAATTCTGGTAGTTATCTTGGACAGGAAAAACAAACAATAAGCTATATTGCATTTCATCTATTATGTTGACAAATGAAAAAATAACAAACAAGATAATATGGAGTACAGATAACATTGTAAAATGGTACTCTCCTATACTGCTCATGGGAGGCAGCCTACTTATTAATACCCGGCAGGAGACTTTACAGGGAGAAACACAGAAAAGATAGGGCAAAAAAGACCACAAGTGACCCTGGGGAAGGGAGAAAATAGGCCACAGGATACTTTTTAACATATCTTGAACTTTGAAAATGTAAATAAGAAATGGATAAAAATCAAAGAAACAATTTTTAGGCATATTCTAAAGTGTATATTATAATTGAGTGTAACATTGTATGATGTAAAACTTTGATTTTAAACCTCCCACCTTCCACAGCCCCTCCCCATCCACATACACACAGATATAGGGATCATACTTTTTTTTTTTTAAGAGAGTCAGCTCTGAAAGAATATACAAGAGTGCAAAGAATAAACCTCAATAACAACGATCTTGTACTTTAGACATTGAATTATAATTTACAGGCAAATCAAGGAAACAAAAGTATATTCAGACCCGATAAAAATGTCACCCCACAGTGCCACATCATTGTCATTCTGTTCACTGTAATTTCATATAGTGAGGCTAGTGAAGGAAGATTTTCTGTATTAATTTCCTGGTTTGTTAACAAGTTAGATTTGCATTTTCTTACTTTAAGTGAGTTGTGTTGTAAGTCAGTGTCTCTAGGAAATAGGCTGTGCTCCAGAGTCTTGCATGCAAGAAGTGTATTGCTTTCGGGAGTAACATCTATGGGACAGCAGAACAACAGAATTGGGCAGAGGGATAATTAGAACTGCATGTCATTGCCACAAAGACTTCAGCTGATACTACTAGAGCCCAGGTGGCTCTGCAGGGTTGTCCCGAATGGAAGGACACGACTAGGCCTTATATGATTTCCTCAGCTCCAAACCACCTCCTTGCTTCTGTGTTGGCCAGTTATCGGATGTGGGCTATATCACCAAAAGGAAACATAACCTTGGTGAGGTGCCTCTCTCAAACTGATCATTTCCTCAGAGGGACTCAGCTGAGAGATTATAGTCCCAGTAGCTGGAGGAATGAGTACTTCAGTCCTGAGGGCAGTGAGGATTTCTGAACCAGTTGAGATTTCTGTGATACTTTAAGTTTGATAAATTGAAATTAGAAATATTTGGACTCATTCCAAGTTCAGTGTAAAAGCACTCAAGGCTTTATCAGGCTTGTAACACTCCTTGGACCTTGGCTAATCCTTATTGGGAGAAAGAAGAGGAGATAAAACAATTTTACAGCTGTGCAGACTCTGAAATGCCTTAAGAGTGATGAGAACAATGTACGAAGTTCCTCACAATAAAGCCTTTTGCCAATTGAGTTCATATCTTGAGATTGCTGAGAAGGGATACCTGACAGATAGTATCTGCAAATGAATTCTTTAGAACAAGGTCACTTAGCAAGCAATGCACGTGTATATGTATTAGTGACAGATGTATAGCAAGCACATAGAAATCAAAATGTTATATTTTGAAGGGAGAGGATAGTCAGTGGGGGAAATCTGTTAACAGAATAAATAGCCTCTTTTTTATTCATCTTAAAGAAAACTGGTCATAAATTTTTGCTTCACAAACAGAAGCGTATCTAACGTGGTTTATTACAGTGTCAGGTAATTATAAAACACGAAAAATGTTAATTTGACTTCTAGAGAATTATTGCATGAAAGGACAGTTTTTAAACAAGATTCGTTTGTGTGTGTGTGTGTGTGTGTGTGTTTTGCTTTTTCTTCTGTTTTAGTTATAATGTGCAATCAATAAATCAATAGAGACACATCTTTCAGGGCAACATTGTCACATGTCCAGCCCATGAAATTGATCATTTAATTTCTGCTGAATCCCTTGACAATAAAAATTCTATATTTTAATGTGCAGGCTGATTCCCATGACTTCTTCCCTGGAAAATATGAAACGTACTACTGTAATTTTACACTACCCAGTATAAAGAAACTAAGATTTTGTTTTTCATTTTCATTTCATTTAATTATCTTGTACTCAGAAATATCCAGTGACCTATACTTGATAGTTCGTGTAAAATGAACGCATCAGATAGTAGAACATTAGAAAGCTGATGTAACATCAGCACATCTTAGTCATTGTTATGTGGACAAAACAAATTGCATCCTGTCATGGCTGCCAAATGTTTTGGTAGAGATGGGATCATCAAGTTCAGCAGACGTGTTTTCTGTCTGTACAAAACAATTTAAGGTGGTGAAACAATTGTCACAATATGTTTATATAACATAAATGAATGTGAATGTGTTTAATAAAATAGTGCAAATCTCATTCATTCTAAATGTAATAGCACTAAAAAAAAGAGCAATACAAAACCTAGTTTTACTTCTTCCAAGTAAATGAAAAAGAAACAAAATAAGTAAAAGAAAAAGTTAATTAAAATATACACATGCATACATGCTTTACAATTTTGTTTTTGGTTCAGTATTCATAATTTAACCCATAAATAATTTTTATTTTAATTCCAAGTTTAAAAGTAAATTTTAATAAAAAAGGAATAATTACAAAGAGGAATTTTAGTGTATATCGTTTTAGTATTTAGCTTCTTTTATTTAAAAAAAGAGCCTTACTGCATATAAGAACGACTACATTGAAAACAATATTTGCAGTTTACATCACATGTGAAACATTTATATAATTTATTACTTGTTTCAGTAATACATCACTGGAAATTTATTTTTTTTAATGTCGGTGTTAGAGGTTCAAAAACAAAGTCACTGTCTCTACTACTGTGTATACACCTATATACCTATCCATATTGATATATTTTAGCCTACATTTACCTACAAACATACATTTTACATGCTCATATGCACATCCACATGCTTCTCTTTTTACTCAACTCAATGGAGTTGGTCAGGTAAGCTTCCTACATGAAGTGAAATATCGGAAGGCACAGTAAGTTAAGCTTTGACAGATTTAAAGTGCTACTCCAACCATGTGTAAGATTGTTTTATATAACATAAAACATTGTGTATTATCTATTTCTTGAATTCCTCTTAATCCTACCTGCCTTTGAATTTCCTGACCACTGTCCATTTTGGACAATGGTACTGATGGTTTTCCTCTGCTCATAAAACTTTACCGTTTATCTTCTTTGATATCACTACTCCAATCTTCATTTACTGAACTGCAGTTTTTTCATGACCTGACATCTCCTCATGCCCGATGGCTAAAAGTCACAGTGGCACGCCCTTCTCAGGCCACAGGAGTAAGGTATGTGACCAAGACAAGTTGCTGTAAATAATAGTGACCTGCCTTTCCTAGACCATAGGAGTACATCATGTCTGTCAGATAGAAAATGTATCCTCTTGGCCAAAGTATTGGGCTTGGGGTTAGATAAATTAACGTAGATAAATTAACTGGGTATGTCCAGTGAAAACCATTTAATGTGTTCAATTTATATTCTCTGAGAAAGATAAGACATTTTAAGTAGTTGAATTAGGAAGCCATTGGAATGTGACTTGGGGTTGCAAATAGTTGCCACTTTCCCCAGGCATTCAGAACCTCTTAAAGAATGAAGTCAGGCCGGGGGCAGGGGCTCACGCCTGTAATCCCAGCACTTTGGGAGGCCTAGGCAGGTGGATCACGAGGTCGGGAGTTCAAGACCAGCCTGGCCAAGATGGTGAAACCTTGTCTCTACTAAAAATGCAAAAATTAGCCGGGCATGGTGGCAGGCGCCTGTAATCCCAGCTACTCGGTAGACTGAGGCAGAGAATTGCTTGAACCCGGGAGGCAGAGATTGCAGTGAGCCGAGATTGTGCCACTGCACTCCAGCCTGGGTGATAGAGCAAAATTCCGTCAAAAAAAACAAAAACAAAAACAAAAACAAAATGAAGTCAGTAAACAGAGCCAAAAATACCTACAGGAAAAGATAGAGAAAGCACTGGTACCTTCCTTTGAACTGTTAGATCTAAGTATGAAGCTAGTCATATTTATATGGTTCAATAATGCCACATCCCCTCCAATTTTTTTTTTTTTTTTTTTTTTGAGACGGAGCCTCGCTCTGTCATCCAGGCTGGAATGCAGTGGCGCAATCTCGGCTCACTGCAACCTCTGCCTCCCAGGTTCAAGCCTTTCTCCTGCCTCAGCCTCCCGAGTAGCTGGGACTACAGGTGCCCGCCACCACCCCTGGCTAATTGTTTTGTATTTTTAGTAGAGACGGGGTTTCACTGTGTTACCCAGGATGGTCTCCATCTACTGACCTCGTGATCCTCCAATCTCATCCTCCCAAAGTGCTGGGATTACAGGCGTGAGCCACTGCGCCCGGCCCCCTTCTATTCTTAACACAGCTTGAGTTGAGCTTTAATTACCTATGGCACTAAAGTGATTCTTAATGAATACACACTTCACATCAAGAAAACATTTCATGGGTAGGAAATAGGCTGAATTTTTTTAAGAAATTGCTAAAGATACAGCAAACATTTACAGAACATCATGATCTAGGTGTACTGACATGATCACAGTATCCAGCGAGGTGACAATTTATGGGTGAGAGATCTTAAGTTTAAGTAGAGAGTCTTCCAGTGTGTATTGAAGACTATGAGTTTTGTAAAATGTAAGTCAGATGTTTATTTCTCTGCTCAAAATCTTCCATCATGAAGTAAAACTATGACTTTCTATGCTTTTATCCATCCTTCTTATGTATTTTCCTGTATCTCCAACTTCATACTTTGTATCCCTCTCACTTTCTTACTCTGTTCCAGCCACACTGGCCTCCTTTCTATGTGTATAACACATTAGAAAAACTCATGCTTGGGTCTTTGTACTTGCTCTTCTCATATGCCTTCCAGAATGTTCTTCCTATAGGTATCTACAGGATTGTCTCTTTCATTACATTCGTGAATGCTACTAAAATTTCAGATTTCTAAAGGACTTTCTTAATTATTTTAATTAAATATCACATACTCACATTTTCTTACCTTCGCTGCTTGATTTCTCATCCTTCAGCACTAATCGCTATGTAATATTTTTATTGATTATTTATACTGCTTATTGTATGTCTTTTCATAAAAGTGTGTATTATACATAACAGCTGTAATATGGACTCATCTTTTTTTGCTTTAAAAAATTTGTGGTATCCTTGATACCTAAATTAGTGGCTTAGCATAATATGTGCTCAATAAATTTGTTGAAATAATGGATGAGAATGAGATTTGAAATCAGAATACACCACAATTAAGTACCTGTCCTATGATTTATAGAGTGGTGATAGCAGAAAAACTATTTTGCTTGTGTGAACTTAAGACTTGTCATTTACATAAAAGTAGTCTTACTGTCCTTCTAATATATTTATTGATATATAATGGACATGCTGTCATTTGCACATATCTCAAATGTATATTTTGATAAGTCTGTGACCCATCCCTCTCTTCTTTTATGTACTAACATCCAGACAATCACTGATATTTTTTAGGTTATATAAATTTGCAATTTCTAGGATTTCAAATAGATGAAATAATACATTATGCACTCATTTTTTTTTCTGTTATCTTTAACTATTTAAGAAACTACCAAAAAGTTTCCCAAAATGACGGTAGCATCTTACATTCTTACCTACAGTAGGTGAGAGTTCCACTTTTTCCACATCCTCGCCAACACTTGGTATGGCCAGCCATTTTAATTTTAGGTATTCTCATAGTTGTATTGTGGCATCATATTGTAGTTTTTAACTTGCATTTCCAAATGACTAGTGATGTTGAACATTTTTTTATGTTTGCCAGATATACATCTTATTGAGTGAAATGTGTATTCAAAACTTTTGCTAGTTAAAGACAATTAATTTGTTTGTTTTCTTGTTGTTGTATTTGAGAGTTATTCAAATATTTTGGATGTAAGTCCTTCACTGTATTGATGCTTTGTGAAGATTTTTTCCAGTCTAAGGCTTTTCACTTAATTCTATTAACACTGCAATAAAATTTAATCTATTACTTTATTGATTTATGGGTGATCGTGTTCAAGAAATCAAAGAAATCCTTCAGTAATTTAATGTCAAATTTAGAAGGCCAACTTAGAAGGCTTATAGGTTTAAGTTTTATACTTAGGTCAGTGATCCATTGTGAGTTACATTTTGGAAATGGTGAGAGTTATAAACCAATGTTTTTGTTGCTGTTGTTGAAGTAGGGATATCTAGCACCCTTTGCTGAAAAGATTATTCTTTCCCAACTGATTTGCTTTTGTACCTTTATCAACAATCAGGCTCCATAAATGTGTGGGTATATTTCAAGACCCTCTATTGTGTCGTGTAGAAATATAACATTGCACTGCCTTGACTACTGTTTCTTTACAATAAGCCTTGACATTATATTGTGTTAGTATTCCAATATTTTTATTTTTAAAAAATCGTTTTGGTTATTCTAGATCTTTCAAATTTCTATATAATTTTCTATCTAGATTCTAGAATATGATAATATTTAGGTAAAAATAAAAAATATAGGGTGATTACAAATCATAGAAATACATACTTAAGGTACTCATTAACATTAAAAAGCTGTTAATATCATGGTCAGAACCTAATAATTATGATGATAATGATGGAATAGATACTAATTTGAATCATTTTCAAATAAATATTTTTAAAATATAAAAAATATCAAGAGCACTGTGGCACTGTGGGTCTGGCATATTTCAATCTTCTTTCAACCTGTTTTTAATGTATATGTATGTGTTTATAAACACACACACATATACATGCAAAAATAAAAAACATTATTTTATATTATATTATTAATGGTATACTTTTTCACAGGTAATATTACAAAAATCTCTTTCATAACAAGTATGATTTTTTAATGTAGTTAATAATCAATGCTTGTGGTTTAGTTTCATTCCTCTGTTGTCTACAAGGTTGATATTCATATATTTCATTACTAGTAGCCATTACCCTCTAGCTTCTGGTTTAATCAAAAGGAAATGTGCAAGTGGAAGACTGGATTTGGGGGGTGAGATATTGTGATGTTTCTTCACTTTGGATCTTGGTGATGGACTTACTCTGTTCCATTTCAAGATTCCAGCTACCTCTGGATCCAGTAACACCATCTTCTACTATTTCTTCAGGTCTAGTGAAGGAAATGGCATCTGGCTGTCGATTGTCCTTGGATAATTCAATATCTGTTGTCTGTTCTCTTAACTCTTTCTACTAGTCTGTTAATAATATCTTCATTAAATTATCTTCAGAATTTTAGATTTATTTGTCTATTATTTTGTTGGGACACTGACTAATATAACACACTTGGAAGAAAGTTTTATAATATTACATATAATGAAATTGACACTCTCAAGTTTAAATAAACTATTTAGACTTCCATAATGTGTTAGATGTTGTAAAATGTAAAGATATGAGGATGAAAACACTTTTGTTACACCCAGACAAAATAGATCCAGGAAGGCACAAAAAGGAGTGTTGTGCTTATATGTCTGAGATAAGAACTGTTTCCAAGGACTTTTTAAAAATGTCACAGAAAACCCTTTTACACCCTTCACACATCTTCTGCTTTGACAAGGTCCATCACTGGACATTCTTTGGGACTGCAGTAATTCAAATAAGATGTTGCTCTCACAAGAATACTTTCCCAATAATGGCATCTCCATCAATAAACTGACAACTCTATCTTTGAGTCTCTGGAACCAGTTAACTTAGTTTCTTGCTTATGTGAAACTTTCCCATTTTGCTAATAAAAGCGTCTATTTATTATTCTTCTCCAGATGTACTGCTGGTAATTCCATGCATTCCAGATTATAATCCTTATTTCTCATTTGTGAGTAAACTTAACATATTTGGATATAATTTTCTCTGATGTTCCTTTTTTAGGTTGACAGGTTGACAGTATGGGTGCCAGTTTCATTCATTCTACAAGTACACACTATATATTTATATTCCAGTCTCTAATAATACCTAGATGAATAATACATGATGTATACTTAGGAGAGAAAAGATTTTTTTTTAAAAGCTGTTTCCCTTCAGATTATCATATACTTGAGATAAACAACATCAGTAACAGAAAAAAAAAATAACATTGTAGTAAGGACAGGGAATCTATCCAAGTTTGACAGTGAGTCAAGTCACAGTAAACTTCTTGGAGGCGCTGAAATAATTTTAGTTTACTATGTAAAGGCATATCTGAGATTAGCTCATTTATCTGCATTTTTAAAGTAAAGTAGATTTCTAATTTCATTTTTGGTCTTTGTCTAGGAAAGATATATCATTGAAAAATAGTATATAGATTCAGATAATGAGAGGCTCAAAGTACTGTTTCTTGGCAAAGCTAGTCTCTCCATTGTTATTTACATGAGATCTTGAAAAGATTGTCAAACAAGAATAGGTGAAATATTATAAGACATTAAGATGATGTTATCAAATAATATTTACTGAAATTGAAAAGTAATCGATGTAAAATTAATTTTAAAACAATGTCTAAGACAGTGTTATGTATTTCATTCATATGAGGATGTAAAGAACTAGCAAAGAATGCCGACTTCCATTTCCCCATCTTGCCCCAACTCAAGAGATACCATGAAAGATGAGAGTATGTGGATCTTCAAACCAAATAAAAAAGACAAAGAAATCCATGGAAAATTGAAGGAAGGTTGTCAAATGAGAATATCCCAGCCCAGAGTAAAGAAGGTTTGAATGCCACAGTGTGGGGATAGTTTAGGTGAAAGTTTTCCCCTCCCTAACAACATAAAAAGGACAAACAGCAACACTGGTCCAGGAGTATAAAGTCTGCCAGAGTTTCAACACAGCAATGTTAAGACGGGATGAGAAGCAGATGAAGAGGTCTAGGCAGGCTTCTCACCAGTGAGAACGCCCTGCTAATCACTCCGTTACTACACTCTGAGGAATGGGACATTAGAGTTTTAGAAGAATATCGGTGCCCAGAGTGAAAATATACAAAAGTCAGTGTATCTGATAAAAAAGTATGAAATAGAGGTAAGGGGAAAAGGAGAGAGTGGTTTTACCCTAAATTTTCTGTTCTTTTTTTTTTTTTTTTTCTATCATCGGACTTTCCCTATCCTTCTTCTCATACAACAGCAACCCTGCCATAAAAAGCCACAAGGGCTGGCAAAACTCAATCTTGATTTTTGGACCTCTGCTTTCCCACGTTAAAAGCGGATAACTAAAGCTATCAGAGAAAATGAGATTTTGTACAAAAATAGGCGTAGATTGCTCTACTCTGGGGTACCAAAAACTCTATGCATGTAAGTCCTCTAAATTCTATTCATGTCTTGATATTTAAAAATGAATGAGATGGAAGTTTCAAAAATTTAAATGGTATATTGGAGTCTACTTTAGATTTCTAAATCTTTTTCATAGAGTAATAGTCCTCATTTTTGCATTTATTTTCTGCCTAAAGTTTTAAGGCAACATTTAATTTTTTTCACTTTGCCCATATATATACAAGAGGAATATAAAGTGCTAAAATATGTGCATTATATTTGCTTATATTCTTACATGATGAAGGAAAAATTAACAAAATGAAAATATTTATTAGCTGAGCTAACACAAAGCACTCCTCCAAACTTTTGCAAACTGTGCTAACGTGATTATTTTTAATCCCATATTTTTGAGTGATAAATAAACTTTAGGAACTCAAAGCATTATTTTTACACATTTAATCTTTCATTAATAAATCTTGAAGCAGCGCCTACCCCTCTTCCTTGTGAAGTGCTTGTTTTGCATTCCTTTTTGCCTGAGAGTCTTCTTCTCAGCAGTATTTCAGAACTGACAGTTTTGCTTGTGGTGATAAGAGCTTGAGGTCTCGGTAGCATGCTGAGTACTCCAGAGTTTCCAAAAAACAAACGAAGGCCCTATACCTATAAAATCAGAAGATCAGCAAGGCACTGACAAACAGTGAGTTTTGCAGTGTGGTGAAAAGAATAAAGCAGGTAAATTAATCATAATCTAGCCTTACCTTTGTAAAAAAAATTCAGGTTAGGCTATTTTGTATTATAGTTGGCCCTACCATTAATTTCTGATTTTGCTTTAAATTCTGGATGACAACAGCCTGGAATAAATGCTGTTTATTTATAAAAGAGGTATAAATATATGCAAAACATTTCTAAAACTGTTTCTAAAACAGGTTTCTATATGCTTTGAAATATGCCCGAACAATATGTTTAGGAATAGTTAAATTAGGACAGTGAAAACTAATGAAGGACTAAATGGACCAACCATTATCTGACCCAGCAGCTGTTGATGTTGATAATAAACACTTTAAAAAAAAAATCAGGGTTTTTGAGTTTGTTTTGTTTTGTTTTTAATATGAGATATTCTGTAGACCCAAAACAGAAACACCTATTTCTTTTTTTTTTTTCCACAATGATTAAGTACAATCCAGGTTTTTCAGGCCTCCCCAACTGTCTCTATAGACAGGATTTTATAATAGGATTAACCAGGATGTCATAGCTTCTTTCCTATAACCTCAGATATAAAAACTGCAGTCTGTCAAACTAATCCTTCTAAATATTTCTGTGGCATCTTTTATGTGCTCTTGAGAATGGCTTCTCCCGCCAGTCATAGCTATCCCTAAAAGCAGGAGCTAAAGACAGTCTTACCCAACAAGCATCTCATCTTCTGCTCAAGCACTAGCTGAAGAGTTTCCAGGATAACAAAGCTCTTTCCTTTCAATTATTTTTCTTTCCCTTTCCTTTTCTGTTCCTTTCTTTCTTTCTTTACTTTTCTTTTTCTCTCTCTCCTTCTTTCTTTCCCTTTGGATATTAAAATAGGTATTTTAGAATACCTATACATTACAGATTCTTTATGCTATAACTCTTTAAAATTCCTTTTCTTTCTTTTTTTCTATTCCCCAGTCCATACAAGTTCAATAATTTCTGTACTAATAATATTTAAAGCACATTATTTAAGACTTAAGAAACCTCAACAGTAAATGCTAACCCATAATTAAGAATAAATAATCAAAATTTTAAAAACGGTTATTTTTTCTTTGAGACAGTGTCTCACTCTGTTGCTCAGGCTGGAATACAGTGGCATCAACACAGCTCACTGCAGCCTCAATTTCCCAGGCTCAAGCAATTCTCCTGCCTCAGCCTCTCAAGTAGCTAGGATTACAGGTACTCACCCCATGGGCCTGGGTAATTTTTTAAATTTTTTAAGAGATGGGGTTTCCCTCTCTTACCTAGGCTGCATAAATATGTTTTAAATGCTACTTGTACACATTCTGATATGAAATATTTTATCTTAATTCTACAGTTGATATCTATTTAGTTACAGATCAAACTCAAGAGTCTTGCTTTTGGTGTGTGCCCTTTTTGTTGTTGGTCTACTTCTTCCTTCCTTGAATACATACCACAGGGCCTTGTATAAAGCATGAATGAGCCCAGTGGAGGGGAACGAGTTACAATGTGGACAGCAAGCACTATACCAAACTCAGCATCTTCTCTTCTCCTCTAACAACCAAACATTTTTACTGGGTCATGTAGTGTTCTTGAATCACAGTAGCCTTATTAACCCTGATGTAAATCAGATTTGGTGACCTTCTCTTTCAGTTTTCCAGGCATATTAAAACATGTCTAATTTTGTTTATTCTTGAAATGTAAATATGCTATACCCACCTTATTTTATCTTTATTTTCAAAGTTTAATAAGGTTGGTATATCCTTCTAGAACACAGTAACTAAAAAGTCTGAGTCAGACTTGCAGTTTTCCACTATTTATGTGATCTTTCATTTCAATTAAACTTGATGAAAATATGCACCCCAAATAAAATAAACCTTGAAGAGAATTCTTGACTCTTTCACACTGGACTCATTATACAGCTTGGCTATACTAGGAAAATGTGTGTACGATCTTTTAATCAATAATCAAAGCTATCAGTTCTTACTAGAGATGGTTTTCAGATCCTGAATAGACATCACTGTGTATCAGTGAATCAAACACCTTCTTTGCATTCAGTAGGAGCATTATTATACAGATCAAATCAATCTAAGATGAAAAGCAGGGCAGCCATATTTAATGAGGAAGACAATAACAAAGTGGCAATGGAAGAGCTTTAGGAATATGTGTGGAGTTTTTTTTTCTCTCTCTCTCTCTTTTAGTAATATCTGCTGGAACCATGATTCTTTGGTGAGCTACTTCCCTTACTGAATCATTTTTCTGTACCAGGTTAGCTGAAGAGGTAAATGGAGAATCGCTATCTCCAGCCCTTTTTATAAAGCATGACAATATTACACACAATAATGTTCTTAACCCTCTTATAATTTAATGAAAAATTGAAACAATGCACAGAAGCATGACATTTGATACATTGAAAGCTTCAAGTGAATAAATTTTCTAACAACTCCTAGCACCACTGACCCATGAGTTTTAGAAGGAATAAGAGCCTTGCTAAAAGCAGTATCATGAATGAATGAGTCATTTTGAAAATCTGACTCAGAGAACAAAAGTTCAGCCTCAGCCTTAAGACAATGACCCAAAGCATGTTGCATAGATAATTCAGCTGAATATTGAGATTTAGATTCCTCAGTTGCTTAATGAGCATTGTGACAGAATCATGTTAAATTCTCATGGTGAATATAGATAATTACCAAGCCAAATTATTTTCAAAATAAATCCTGGATAGTTTTTCTTTCAAGTCTCTTTTTTTCCCCCGATGGTATCCCACATGATCAAGTCAAATGTCTTGTTGAAATAAACTTCTTGTTTAAAAAAAATTCTAGTACCTAAACAGAGATAATAGGTCATAAAGTAAACTTTAAAATTAGTACAGCTAATAGTATAAGAAGGATAAAATTATTTTATTGACATAATATACAGGCTGATCAGTGCAAAATAGAAGCAGAGATCTGGAATGGTAAAACATAATAATTGAAATTCCAAACTCAGTAGATTTCATAGGTACCTGATTGAATGCAGGAATTTAGTCAGCTGGAATATTAAATCAAATAATATTGTTTTGGCACAAAATTCAAACCAAAAAGAAAAGGAAGAGGTATCAAAGATCATCCCAAAAGCAGTAATATTTGACAAATGAGAACTACAAATAGAGAAGAAAGATAAATTGGATGAGAGAAAGGGAAAGTTGTGCACTCTTGAAAAAAATATTAACAAAATGTTTTCTGAATTAAGTTAATTAAGACTCACCAAAGTAAGTAATAAACCAAGGACACTGCTACATCTAACTGTCAAAAAGAAAACAACTCATGAAAATAACTGTGTTTTTTTCTTAATAATTGTTAATGCACTAGTATGTAATTCCTTATATAAAATTTGTTGATTAATTGTGTTTGAGAATTTCAGAACTTTTTAGACTTAACAAGATAACCTGGAATACCTTAAACTTCCACGTCAAGAAAATTAGAGAAATAAGGGCTATTCAAATTAACATAAATCAGGAGAAATTATAGCAGAAAAATAAAGAAAATCAACAATACATACAGCTAGCTCTAAGACAACATCAATAAAATTGATAAAACTCCATTCAGGATAACCTGAGAAAAACACAAAAAAGAGAAGACGTTTCTGATATTAATTAAAAAGATTGGTTATTGCCACTGATCTTATGGACATTAAAAATAATAAAAAATACCATGATGAACTCTGTGCCCTCAAAATTGATAACTTAGATTTAACAGACTAATTCTAAGAAAGATGCAAATCACCAAAATTCACACTAGAAAAATAGATTTTATTAATGGCTCTGTATCTACCAAAAAGATTGATAATAATAAAATAATTATTAAAATAATTAAAATTTATTATTTATTATAAAATAAATAACCATGCCAGAACAGCACCAGGTCCAGATGGTTTCACTGTTAAATTCTACTAAAGTTTTATGGGAAAAAATAACATTAATCCTCTACAATATTTTCTAGAATATACAAGTACAGGGAGCATTCCATAACTCATTCTCTGATGCCAAAATTAACCTAATAATGAAATAATGTAAAGACATTAACCTAATAATGAAATCATGTAAAGACATTACAGTGGAGAAAAACTAACTACTCATTACCGCTATGAACATAGATACAAAAATGTTAACAAAATATTAGCAAATATAATTCATTACTGTATAAAAATAGTTATATACCATGCTCAAGTGGGATTTACTCCAGGTATGCAAAGCTAGTTCAACTTAAGAACACCAATCAATGAAATTTTCCATATCAATAGGCTAAAAAAGAAAAAGTATATATGATTATTTCAATATACTCAGAAAATTATTTTAACAAAATCCAAAACACATCCATGAAAACACTATAGAAAACTACAGATAGCATCACATAACACAGATAGTATCAACAAACCACAAATAGAGGGCATCTTCCTGAAATTGAGAAAGATCATTTACAAAAACCTACATCGAAAATCAAACAATGGTGAGAATCTAGGTGCTTTCCTCCTGAGATTATTAACAAAGCAGTTTTGTCTTCTTCTCTCACTACTCCTACTTAAGATTGCACAGGAATTTATACATAGGAAAATACAAAAAAAAAAAAACCTATCAAATGTATACAGATTGAAAGGAAAAAAAGAAAACTGTCTTTATTTGCAGATGATATAAGATTATCAAGAAAATCCTAGAGAATATCCAAAAGTCTGCTGAAACTAGTAAGCAAGGACACACGATAAAAGATCATTTAACAAAACTCAATTGCTTTTTTGAACATATGCAGTGAACTGCTGGAATTCAAAATTTTTAACCTTTCTTTTAAAATATCACTAAAAATAAATAATAAAAGATTAAAAACATGAACAAGATCTGTATGAAGAAAACTACCAATCACTGATGAAATAAATAAAAGAAAATATAAACAGAAAGACAGTCTATGTTAATGTATTGGTAAAATTAAGATATAAATTCTTCCCAAATTTAACTAAAATTTCAATAAAATCTCCAGGAGTTATTTTGGAGATATTGATAAAATTGTTCACATGGAAAGGCAAAATATACAGCCAGCACAATACTGAGAAAGAAAAACAAATTGAGGCAGGGTATAGTGGTTTATGTTTGCAATCCCAGCACTTTTGGAGGACAAGAAAGGCTGATCAATTGAGGTCAGGAGTTCAAGACCAGCATGGCCAATAAAGTGAAACCCGACTCTTCTAAAAATCCAAAAAAATTAACTGGGCATGGTGGCACACACCTTTAATCTCAGCTACTTGGGAGGCAGAGGCAGGAGAATTGCTTGAAACAACAGTTGCAGTGAGCCAAGATGGTGCCATTGCACTCCAGCCTGGGTGACAGAGTGAGACTCAGTCCCCCCACCAAAAAAAAAGAAAAAATAAATAAGAAAAAAGGAAAGAAAGAAAGAAAGAAAGAAAGAGAAAGAAAGAAAGAAAGAAAAAGAAAAAAGCAAATTGGAAGAAATACTCAATTTCAAGATTTAATATAAAGCTACTGTAATCAAGACAGTAAGATAATGGCAGCCAAATAGAAGGAAAACCAGTGGAACAGAATGGAAACCCCAGAAACCAACTAACATAAATTTGGTCACTTCATCTTTGATAAAGGCAAAAGGGTGATTAAATGGAGAAAGAATATTGTTTCCAAAAATGTGGCTGGAACAATTGAACTTATACTGAAAATGGACCACAGGCTTACATGTAAAATGTAAAACTATATAATGGCTGGAAGAAAACATGGGAGGAAATCTAGGTGACCTTGGTGCTGGTGTTGAGTTTTCAGATACATCAGTAAAGCATAATCAATAAAATAAAAAAAATTATTTTTACTAAAATTCAAACTTTCTTTTCTACAAAAAGTACTCGGAAGAATATTGAGAACAAAAAGACTAAAATTGTATATAAATTGTCCAACTTCAAAAATAATTGGCAGAACCAGAATGATAATTCAATTTTGTCTAAATTCTACAGAATTTAGAATCTAACTTACAGTATGGCAGTAACATGGTTAAACAGTATGTCAAAGTTATTATAATATGTCTCAAATAATCAAAAAGCAGGTGTAAGGAAAGGAATAAATATGGCTGTTCATGTGCCCAAGATTAATTGGCAAGTTTCCAAATGATCTCATATCTTTATTAGATCATATCTCAAATGAACATTTCTTTCTTGGTCTTTCAAATTGTGCATAAAAACATCTTGCTGCAAAACCTGATCATGCCTCATCAAATTTCATTATGTATTTAATTAAGATATTAATAAGACAACTCTGAAATTGAATGAGGAATTAACCTACTAGTTTATCGTTAATAGCCAAAATTACTACCCGCCCTCTACTTTCCTGCATCACACAGCACTTGGTAAATTAATTTTCACTTACTGATTTAAGTACTCTTCTATTATTTGTGAGAATTCTTCTCATATATTTTCTAAGAACCATTTAGAAATGGCTCATTTAATCTTTTTAAAACATAACAGTGTAATTTGAAACAGCATTTTGCTCTTTATGAAAATAAGCTCATTTAACACCCTTTATACTTAAGTTTCATGGTCCAGTTTTATTTAAATAGCAGCCCTAACAATAAGCAATTGATATACATCTATGATATTGGTCACACATTCTTTCCCTGCCAACACATTTTCATTTAAATTGAAATACTAACAATGTTACCATTAAATTCAATTTACGTGTTTAAATTGAAGAGTGTTTTCTTAAGAATTATAGTTTGGAATCAGTAAAAACTGGTGTTATAGAACTAATTTTAAAACTTTTTTATTTGGTAAAACTAGATGATTTTCATAGAAGCAAAATTGTAAAATATAGAAAATATAGAAAGATAAAAACATTCTTTTTTTCACTATATGGTCATTTTTTTAACTTTTATTTTAATTTAACAGGTACAAGTGCAGGTTTGTTGCATAGGTCAACTTGCGTCTTGGGGATTTGCTGTACAGATTATTTCATCACCCAAGCATTGAGCCTAGTACCCATTAGCTATTTTTCCTGATCCTCCTCTCCCTCCCAACCTCCACCCTCCAGAAGTCCCCAGTGTGTGTTGTTTCCTTCTGTGTGTTCATGTGTTCTCATCATTTTAGCTCCCAATTATAAGTGAGAACATGTAGTATTTGGTTTTCTGTTCTGAGGTTAGTTTGCTGAGGATAATGGCCTCCAGCTCCATTCATGTCCCTGAAAAGGACATGATCTCATAATTTCAAAATAGAACTAGAGTATAGAGAAAATGCATAAAAAAGCAATGTTTTTAATTTTTAGTATATGGATCTGAATTTAGAAGCAAGTGAATTAGAAACTGTAAAATATAAATAGATTAATGATTATTTTAGTTTAATTATCATTTCAATTAATGTTTCTTTTTAATATGTGAAAAAATACTAAGGAAGAAAATATTCTGAAAAATGTGTCCCCAAATTAAAACTATTTTGAATACAATTTACACAACTTTTACCAGATTTATACCTAAGTATTTCATTATTTTGGATGCTATTGAAAGTGGTACTTTTTGTAATTTTTAATTTTTCCTTGCTTGCATGTAGAAATAGAAATAATTTTATTTATATTGATCTTATATTCTGAAATATTGCTAAAACCACTTATTCGTTCTAGTAGAGTTTTTGCAGATTGCATGTGATTTTCTACATACTCTATTTTGTTGTCTACAATACAAATATACTTTTTCAATTTAGATATATATTATCATACTGGCATACATACTGTATTTTATGATGAATTACATTGAATTAATTTAACATTTTAAGCTAACACTGAGTTGGTGTGAAAAATTCCATTGACTCATATGTTATATGTAAATATACATATATACGTATATGTGTGTATATATATACATATTATATATATCTTTTTTTTTTTTTGAGATAGAGTCTTAACTCTGCCTCCCAGGCTGGAGTGCAGTGGTGTGATCTTGGCTCACTGCAACCTCTGCCTCCTGGGTTCAAGCAATTATCATTCCTCAGCCTCCCGGATAGCTGGGATTACAGGCGCTTGCCACCATGCCTGTCTAATTTTTGCATTTTTAGTAGAGACGGGGTTTCTCCATGTTGGCCAGGCTGGTCTCAAACTCCTGACCTCAGTTGATTGGCATGCCTCAGCCTCCCAAAGTGTGGGATTACAGGAGTGAGCCACCACACCCGGCCTATAATCTCCCATATATATATATCCTATTAGTTAGGATATATATATCCTAACTAACTATATATATATATATATATATATATATATAGTTATATATATAGTTATATATATAGGAGATATATATATATCTCCTATTAGTTCTGTCTCTCTAGGGAACCCTACCTAATACAGATTTTGGTACCAGGAGTGGTCCTAGAGGAATAGAATATTAAGGATGGAATTCTTTAATTTGATTTTTTTTTTTTTTGGAGTTAGCTGTTTAATATGATTAGACTGAAAAATGCTAAGAACCCTAATTCTAATAGTATGGAGAACACTGATAGTTCTTGGTGTTAACTGTTTAGAGAGTTATGCAAAATAAATGCATTTGACATTCCTAATTCACTGCTTGTGAGAGGTAAGGAGTTTAGTGATTCTATACACAATACTTTCGACCATATGTGGAGAACCAAGGAATGTAATGAAGCTAGTTGGTTGCTCCTAAGTTCAGTGGACAAAGTGATGAAAGAAAATGATGAACTCAGACATTCTGTCTCCTGGCTTCAGAAGCAGACACTGAGCCTCATATCTGTTACGATTGCCCTGAGTGAGAGTCTTATCTCTTGTAGAAAAAGAGCTGAAATTGTAGAAAAACAGACACAAGCTCTTATCATGGGAGTGACTGACCTGCAATAAAAGGTGCACGGACTGTCTCTCCAGGTGTCTATTAAAGTGAGGGCATTGATTGGAAAAGAATGGGACCCTGCAACTTGGAATCTGGATGTGTGGGAGGACCCTGATGAAGCTGAGTTAGTAAACTCTGACAAACCTGTATCAACAGAAGGAACAGCTTCCCCATTCCCAGTAGTGGCAACATTCCCTCCCGCTCATGCTGCCATCAGCCTTTCCACCTTTGTCTGAGGAGATAAACCCTGTGCTGCCTGAGCCAACCGTGATGGCCTCCCCTAAGGCAGTTGCCAGGCAAGGCAATGTTGATTCTCCTCAGGAGCCATCCCCAACACCTCTGTTTTCTTCTAGAACTATAACTAGACTAAAGTCCTGACAGGCCCCTAGAGGTGAGGTTGAGAGTGACCCATGAGGAGGTGTGTTACACTCAAAAAGAATTGCTTAAGTTCTCCAATTTATATAAACAGAAATCTAGAAAACAGGCATGGGAATGGATATTAAGGGTATGGGATAATGGTGGAAGGAACATAGAGTTGGATCAGGCTGAATTTATTGATCTGGGCCCACTAAATAGGGACCCTGCATTTAATGTTGCAGCTTAGGGAGTTAAAAAAGGTTCTAATAGTTTGCTTGGTTGGCTGAGATATGAATTAAAAGATGGCCCTCTGTGAGCGAACTGGAAATGCCTGACCTCCTTTGGGTTAATGTAGAGGAAGGGATCCAAAGGCTTAGGGACATTGGGGTGCTGGAGTGGATTAGTCACTTTAGATCTACTCATCCCAGCTGGTAGGATCCAGAAGATATACCCTTGACCAATGCCTTGTAAAATAGATTTGTGTTGGTGGCATCTGCAACTTTGAAGAGCCCTGTAACTGCTCTTCTCCGTATGCCAGATCTAACAAAGGGAACCATAGTCACTCAACTACAAACTTAAAATACAATGGGAATAATTTGATCCTGAGGTGGCAGAGGCCAGGTGGTAGCACTCGCCATGAAAGGCAAGGTGAGTGTAGTTACTGCAGTGGACAGCAGAGACAAAGCCACAGTCAGAATAGTCTGACTCATGTAGAGCTCTGGCATTGGCTAATTAATCACAGTGTTCCTAGAATATAAATTGATAGGAATTCTATTCCATTCCTACTTAATTTATATAAAGAGAAAACTTCTAGGTTGAATGGACTAAAGACTAATTTGAATTATAAAAACAGAGAATCACGGCCCCTCAATTTCCAGACTTGAGTCAGTTTACAGACCCAGAACCCTTTGAATGAAAGGGAGGCTGGGTCCCCTTGAAGAAGGACCCCAGTATATTATTGACAATTTATGCAGTGAATCTTTCTCCCATCCTTCCCCAAGGAGACCTCTGGCCTTTTACCAGGGTAACTGTGCATTGGAGAAAGGGAAATGATCAGACATTTAGGGGACTACAGGACACTGTCTCTGAGCTGATGTTGATTCCAGGGGACCTAAAACATCATTGTGGTCCTCCAGCTCAAGTAGGGGCTTATGGAGGTCAGGTAATTGATGGAGTTTCAGCTCAGGTCCAACTTACAGTGTGACCAGTGGGTCCCCAGACTCATCCTGTGGTCATTTCCCCAGTGCCAGAATGCATAATTGGCAGAGACATATTGGCTCTCTAACTTGTAGGGTGAGGGCTATTATAGTGGGAAAGGCCAAATGGAAGCCATTAGAGCTACCTCTACCTAGAAAAATTGTAAATCAAAAACAATATTGCATCCCTGGAGGGACTGTGGAGATTAGTGCCACCATCAAAGACTTGAAAGGTGCAGGGGTGGTGATTCCCACCACATCCCCATTCACTCTCCCATTTGGCCTCTGCAGAAGACAGATGGATCTTGGAGAATGACAGTGGATTATTGTAAGCTTAACCAAGTGGTGATTCTAATTCCAGCTGCTTTACCAGATGTGGTTTTGTTGTTTGAGCAAATAAACACATCTCCTAGTATCTGGTATGCAGCCACTGACTTGGCAAATGACTTTTTCTTCATTTTTGTCCATAAGGCCAACCAGAAGCAATTTGTCTTCAGCTGGAAAAACAAGAAATATATGCTTACTGTCCTTCCTCAGGGTTATATCATCTCTCTGGCTTTGTGTCATAATCTTATTCAGAGAGACCGTGATTGCTTTTCACTTCTGCAAGGTATCACACTGGTCCATTATATTGATCACATTAGGCTGATTGGATCCAGTGAGCAAGAAGTAGCAAACACACTGGACTTATTGATGACACATTTTCATGCCAGAAGATGGGTAATAAATCTGACTAAAATTCAGGAATCTTCTACCTCAGTAAAATTTCTAGGGGTCCAGTGGTGTGGTGCCTGTTGAGATGTTCCTTCTAAGGTGAAGAATAAGTTGCTGCATTTGGCCCCTCCTACAACCAAGAAAGAAGCATAATGCGTCATGGGCCTATTTGGATTTTGGAGGAAATATATTCCTCATTTGGGTGTGTTACTATGGCCCATTTATCAAGTGAACCGAAAAGCTGCTGGTTTTGAGTGGTGTCCAGAACAGGAGACAGCTCTTCAACAGGTCCAGGCTGCTGTGCAGGCTGCTCTGCAACTTGGGCCATATGACTCAGCAGATCCAATGGTGCTTGAGGTGTCAGTGGCAGATATGGATGCTGTTTGGAGCCTTTGGCAGGCCCCGATAGGTGAATTACCACAGAGGCCTCTAGGATTTTGGAGCAAGGCCCTGCCCTCTTCTGCAGATAACGACTCTCATTTTGAGGGACAGCTCTTGGCCTGTTACTGGGCTTTGGTGGAAACTCAGTGTTTGACTATGGGTTATCAAGTCATCATGCAACCTAAACTGCCTATTATGAACTGTGTGCTTTTTGAGCCATCTAGCCATAAAGTGGAATGCACAGCAGCATTCCATCATCAAATGGAAGTGGTATATATGTGATTGGGCTTGAGCAGGTCCTGAAAGCATAAGTAAGTTATATGAGGAAGTGGCTCAAATGCCCATTGTCTCCATTCCTGCCACCCTGCCTTCTCTCCCCAAGACTGCACCCATGGCCTCATGGGGAGTTCACTGTGATCAGCTGACAGAGTAAGAGAAGACTAGGGCCCGGTTCACAGATGGTTCTGCATGATATGCAGGCACCACCCAAAAGTGGGCAGCTGCAGCACTACAGCCCCTTTCTAGGACTTCCCTGAAGGACAGCGGTGAAGGGAAATCTTCCCAGTGGGCAGAACTTCGAGCAGTGCACCTGGTTGTGCACTTTGCATGGAAGGAGAAATGGCCTGATGTGCGATTATATACTCATACATGGGTTGTAGCCAGTGGTTTGGCTGGATGGTCAGGGACTTGGAAGAAGCATTACTGGAAAATTGGTGACAAAGAAATTTGGGGAAGAGGTACGTAGATGAACCTCTCTGAGTGGCCAAAAACTGTGAAGATATTTGTATCCCATGTGAGTGCTCACCCATGGGTGACCTCAGCAGAGGAGGATTTTAATAATCAAGTGGATAGAATTACCTGTTCTGTGGACACCACTCAATCTCTTTCTCCAGCCACCTCTGTTATCACCCAATGGGCCCATGAACAAAGTGGCCATGATGGCAGGGTTTGAGGTTATGCATGGACTCAGCAACATGGTCTTCCATTCACCAAGATGAGTGTCCAATTTGCCAGAAGCAGAGATCAACACTGAGCCCTCGATTTGGCACCATTCCTTGAGGTGATCAGCCAGCTACCTGGTGGAAGGTTGATTATATTGGACCTTTTCCATCAGGGAAAGGGCAGAAGTTTGTGTTCACTGAAATAGACACATACTCCAGATATGGGTTTGTCTATTATGCACGCAATGCTTCTGCCAAGACTACCATCGTGGACTCATGGAATACCTTATCCACCATCATGGTATTCCACCCAGCATTCTCTCTGACCAAGGCACTGACTTTATGGCTACAGAAGTGTGGCAGTGGGCTCATGCTCATGGAATTCACTGGTCTTACCATGTTCCCCATCATCCTGAAGGAGCTGGATTGATAGAATGGTGGAATGGACTTTTGAAGTCACAATTACAATGTTAACTAGGTGACAGCGCTTTGCAAGGATGGGGCAAAGTTCCCCAGATGGCTGTGTATGCTCTGAATCAGCATCCAATACACGGTACTGTTTCTCCCATAGGCAGGATTCATGGGTCCAGGAATCAAGGGGTGGAATTGGAAGTGGCACCACCCATCATCATCCCTAGTGATCCATTAGCAAAATACTTGCTTCCTGTTCCCAGTACATTATGTTCTGCTGGCTTGGAGGTCTTAATTCCAGAGGGAGGAATGCTGCCACCAGGAGACACAACAATGATTCCATTAAACTGGAAATTAAGATTGCCACCTCGACACTTTGGGCTCTCCCTACCTTTAAGTCAACAGGCTAAGAAGGGAGTTACAGTGTTGGCTGGGGTTATTGACCCAGACTACCAAGATGAATGAAATCAGTCTACTACTCCATAAGGGATGTAAGGAAGAGTAAGTATGGAATACAGGAGACCCATTAAGGCATCCCTTAGTATTACCATACCCTGTAATTAAAGTCAATGGGAAACTACAACAGCCCAGTCCAGGCAGGACTACAAATGATCCAGACCCCTCAGGAATGAAAGTTTGGGCCACTCCACCCAGAAAAAAAAATCATGACCTGCTGAGGTGTTTGTTGAAGGCAAAGGGAATACAGAATGTGTAGTAGAAGAAGGTAGTCATCAATACCAGCTACGACCACGTGACCAGCTGCAGAAACGAGGACTGTAACTGTCATAAGTATTTCCTCCTTCTATTGTTAAAAGAATGTTTGTGCATGTATACACTTATACTAAGAAAAATCTTCATTGTATTTCCTTTCTCCTTTATCATGTGACATAAGATGTATTGACTTCATATCAACCTTTAAGTATTGTTAACTTTATGTAATAGTATTTGTGTTGGGGATTGATTGGTGAATTTTCAGTTGTACGAAGGATAGTTGTATTATGTTAGGCATAATTATTACCTTATTATGAACCCAGAAGATGTGTATGGGTTCAAGTTGGCAAGGGGTGGACTTGTGATGGTTAATACTGTGTGTAAACTTGATTGGATTAAAGGATGCACATTACTGTTCCTAGGTGTGTCTGTGTGGGTGTTGCCAAAGGAGATTAATATTTGAGTCAATGCGCTGGGGAAGGCAGACCCACTCTTAATCTGGTGGGATGATCTAATCAGCTGCCAGTGAATATACAGCAGGTAGAAAAACGTGAAAAGGCGAGACTGGCCTAGCCCCCCTGCCAGCCTACATCTTTCTCCTGTGCTGGATGCTTCCTGCCCTCAAACATCAGACTCCAAGTTCTCCACTTTTGAGACTCAGCTGGACTTCCTTGCTCCTCAAGCTTCCAGAGAGCCTGTTGTGGGATCCTGTGATCATGTAAGTTAATACTCAATAAACTCCCCTTTATGTATAGTTATATATGTCCTATTAGTTCTGCCTCTTTAGGGAACCATGACTAATACAACATTTATACCATGGAATATGTTTCAGAAATATTTTTTTTAAAATGAACTTTATGATACTCCAACAACCTGGATTAACCCACCATCACCCCTAGTAATCCACTAGCAAAATTGTTGCTTCCTTTTCCTGGGACATTACGTTCTGCTGGCCTGGAGGTCTTAGTTCCAGACATAGGAACACTGCCACCAGGAGACACAACAATGATTCCATTAAACTGGAAGTTAAGGTATTTATTATATGATTTGGGTTATATAACATGTGCCAAATAATATAATATATAGATAGAGAACAGATTAGTGGTTGTCAAGTAACAACAATAGTGTTGCTGAGGTGGATGTGGCTATAATGGATAAATTGATGGTGTCTTGTGATGGTATAGATCAATATGTTGGTGATATTTACACAAGGCTACACATGTAATAAAATTGTATAACTAAATGTACACAAACACACAAGTGAGTGCATGTATAACTGGTGACATTTAATCCAGCTCTATGAATTGTACCAATGTTAATTTTCTGGTTTTGATATTGAACCATAGTGATGCACAATGTCAATGTTGGATGGGGGTAGCTGGATGAAAGGTGGTCAGATCTCATTATCCAATTATTTGCGTCTTCCTGAGAAAAATTATTTCAAGATATAGTTTTTTTAAAAAACGTCTCTGGAAAGTTTAGACATTTTCTACATTACATAATCTTATTTTCTATTCTTAACCTCCTAATAAGCATTTTCCAGGTGAATAATTTTTCTTTTTAATGCAAAATAATGTATATACAGTCATTGTACAATTTTCACATAACTTTCTACATTTTTAAATAACTTGTATAGTGCACACTTAACATAAAATATTTAACCTAAAGTAAAGCAAATATAATATGCTTTTTTATATGGAGATGATTTTATGTGAAATTTCTAGCACAATTTGTTTTACATTTTGTGGTGTTATGAGTATATATATATATATATCTCATATAGTTTTGTTTTAAGATTACTGGCTCATAGCTCATATATATGTGTGTGTGTGTATATATGTGTATATATATATCACACACATATACACACACACATGTATGAGCGATAATATTTTATATATACACATACACACATATAAGCGATACTACTCTATATATTATGTATATATGTGTGTATATATATATAAACTAATATATATTAATTTATATATATTATATATATTAGTTTATATAGATATATTAGTTTATATATATTATATATAATATATCTTAGTTTATATAACATAAACTAATATATATAACTAATATAAACTAATATATAATATATATTATATATAATATAATTAATATAAACTAATATATATATAAACTATATATATAGTTCATATATATAACTATATAGATATATATAACTATATATAGATCTATATATAACTATATATAGTATATATAGTTATATATAGATCTATATATAGTTATATATAGATATATATAGATCTATATATAACTATATATATAGATATATATATAGAGAGAGATATATATAACTATATATATATATTAGTTTGCCTGGCTCATAACTTCCATAGCCCTTGTTACAGTCTTTTGTTATAATATCGGGTATGTTAGGTCTCAGGAAACAGCATCTCTTGGACCTTCTCCTGCCCTCCTTTCACCTGCCCCATGGCAGAAATGTAATCTTCCTCTGCCTTTCTGATTCTGGGACTTAAGTCTTTCCCCAGAGAGGGCCCCTTCCTATACCCTGGAGGAAGGAATGCTGACATTATAAACCTCCATAAACACCCAAGAGGACTGGGTTCAGGAAGCTTCTGGATAGTTGAGCACACAGAGGTTCCTGGAGGGTGGAACACCCAGGGTGGGCATGGAAACTGCACGCCCCTTCCCCCATACCCCACCCTAGGCATGTCTTCATCTGTATCCTCTATAAAATTGCTAGAACCCCAAAAGGAGATCATGGGAACCCCAACATGAAGCCAGTCGGTCAGAAGTTCCAGAGGCCTGGAGGTGCACTGGTGTCTGAAGGGGGTGGGGCAGCCTTGGGGACTAAGCCCTTACCTGTGGGATCTGACACTATTTTCTGGTAGACAGTGTCAAATTTGAATTGGAGGACACCCACCTGGTGTCTGCTGATTCATGTACAGAAAAAGAAAATACCCAGATTTTTGCCCACAGACGTCTTCTTCTGTGTTGATGATTGTCGTGGTGGTTTGAGAGTAAAGGAAAAACGTGGTTTGAGAGAGTTTTTCTCTAAACACGTTTTATACATCTTTAAACTACATATGATTTAGAGTTTCCACCATGCAAAACTACTTCAAATATTGATCAAATTAGTCCTGTGAAAAATCCTTTTGAGGCAGAATAAATATTATAATAAGAAAATTTTATTCTAACTTGGGAGAATTATTGGAACACTGATTTTATTTGGTATTTAAGGATGACAACTAAGTACAGCCAAAACTAAGGGTTACTGACTACAGTTAAAATGGATTATTAACAGAGATTAAGAATATTTGTGTTTACTCTGAATGTAGATATTATTACAAGAAAATGTTTGGATGGCTTTATAATGCTTGGAGGAAAGATGATTTTCCACTGAAACAATTTGAAGAAGAAGTAACATGCTTTCATTCTTGAATATATAAGGCTACATAGAAAAATAAAGCCTTTAAGCTGTCATCATACCCATGCATATTATTCACGGCATTAAGTTTAAGCTCAGGTTCTTTTTAAATATAATTCTATTGCACAATTATTTCATATCAAATGTATGTGTACATTAATCTTTGGAGTTACTGAAGAAACAAAAAATAAATTTCCTTTTTTTTTTTTTTGACAGAATCTCATTCTGTTGCCCAGGCTGGAGTGCAGTGGTGTGATCTTGGCTCACTGCAAACTCCCTGCAAACTCTGCCTCCCAGGTTCAAGTGATTCTCCTGCCTTAGCCTCCCAAGTAGTTGGGACTACAGCCACACACCACCACACCCAGCTATGTTTTTGTTTTTGTTTTTTGTATTTTTAGTAGAGATGAGGTTTCACCATGTTGGCCAGGCTGGTCTCAAAACCCTGGGATCAAATGATATGTCCACCTCGGCCTCCCAACATGCTGGGATTACAGGCATGAGCCATCACAACCACCCTCAATGTACCATTTTAAATTTGCTATTGGATACATTAATAAAAATGTATGTATCAGAAATTCAATCAACTCTTTTCATGTAGTGATAGTTAAAACTGAGACAAAAATGTAAAGGGAAAAGGGAGGTACTCTTTAAACCAGTTACTGTGTATTAAGCCTACCATGGATTTTGTGATGCCCGCAATCCAAAGCTTGCCACGTTGCATCCCAACCCTTTGTCGATGGGGCCTCAAGTGTCTAGCCATGTCCAGTTCTGCATGGAAGCTGGATGCATATGCCAGGCAGGGCAAGCTGTCTGCAGCTGCTGCTGGGAGGGTGGTGCAGATTCAACAGTTGGAGACATTGGTCACCTCAGCATAGATGTGGGCCCAGTCCATGATGCCATTGGAGCATGCCAAGCTAAGGCTGAAACAATAAAGCAAGCAAGGTACTAACAAGGGTAAATCATATCCCTTAGACAAAATGCAAGCCAACTTTTCATCTCTGGATAACTATGCAGCTGCCAAGGGCTTCTGCCCTGGGCAATGATACCACACCTTATCAGCTCCCCATGGTTCTTTTGGGTCCTGTACACATACCAAAGTCATAGGGGAGCTTATGATAGGCCATATAGACAGTATATATGTCTCTCTGAGGAGGGTTCCTTTCCTGGCCATTCGCTTATAAAAAGTCAATTGTGGAGGCCACACATTAAATACCCAAGGAGTAACATGTCAGTCATACTTAGACCCTCTCCCCAGGGGTCTATGATAGCCAACCATCTGCAATGAAGGGCTTGGAGGGTCCATGGCTAACATCAGTTTTTTGTTTGTTTGTTTCCCAAACTTTAGGGGCAATGAGGCAGGCAATAACAGAGTACGTTTCGTCCCCATACCTGGTTGGAGAAAGTCATCCTTCCTCTCATAGATTTGGTCACATGACCTGGCCCCACATAAGTCAGTGACTAACTAGCTAATTTCTTTAATTTCTAGGTAATTAACTACAAAGTTAAGCCTCAATAAACTGCCTAGCTATTGCTGCAGATTACCATAGGTGTCACCTCCTTGGTGATCACCATCTACATTGTCCTGTGTTCAGCTTATTAGCTACTTTGTCCACACTTGGTTTGAAACCATATGGTGTTAGTAGTGGGCTAGACTGCACCAGCAGTCCAGGCAGCAGTAGTACTCTGGCGAGACCTATCTGTATACCGTGCCTCATTAGGAATGGGGGGATGCCCTTCCTTAAAAAGTAATGGCTCAGAGTCTAGGGGTGCCTCAGGCCCCATGACCTTATCTCGCATAGGAATACAAGCCCTAAAACCTCTTGTAACTCTGCTGCTAAGGGACTTATACTCAGCATACTCTGCTGTTCTAAGTAGATGCCCCACTTTGCTAAAGTGGATGTCTGTGCTGTCCCTATCTTGGGGGTCTTTACCCATGAATGCATCCATCCTTCTATTACTGTTTCTCTATCAACAAATATTGGAGCTCAGCTCCCTTCCATAGTTGGGACCAAAAACCTACTGGTGTACTCAGGCTCTCCATGCACTGCTATGGGCCCTAACCAAAGCTATCTGTGATCACATGCATATCTAGCTTAAATGGGCACCCCTGGTCGACTACCCATAGGGCTTGTGCCTGCTAAATAGCCGGCTTGGCTACCAGGAAGGCTGTCTCAACCACTTCATCCCAATTCCAGGCAAGAGGAGCATTGCCGCTTCTAAACCTGCAAGAGAATCAGAGGTTACTATAACATCATCAGCAAAACCGAGACATATGGTGGGGCTATGCACATAGCCCAGTGGCAGCACAGTGAAAGTCCATTGCTGTCCTTCCCATGTGAAGGTGAACTGTTCCTGGCTCTCTAGAGCAATGTCAGTGGAGAAGAATGCATTAGCTAAGTCCACTATAAGTGGTACTGTCCCAGTTCCATTGTCAAATGGTTCATCAAGTCTGTGATGGAAGGTACAGCTGCATTCACAAGGGGGTGTTACTTTATTCACTTCTGATAATCCACTGTCATCCACCAAGTCCCATCAGACTTTCTGACTGGCCATACCAAAGAATTGTAGGGGCTATGTGTTCCATGCACTATTTGCACCTCCTCTAACTTCTTAGTAGTCTCAGTCATCTCCATATGACCCCCAGGAAAATGGTATTGATGAATGGAGGTAACTCATTGGAGTTGTGGCAAAACTTGGGGCTGGTGATGTGTATATCCATGCAATATCAGCTTTACTACAAGAACTCGGAGTCTGAATTATCTGACTGTAGTGTGTAAGTCCAGACCATGCAAAATGTCCACCGCCAGAATATATTCAGGTATGGGAGAGACATACACAGTGTATAGGTAGGGAGCCAAGCAGCCAATGACAAGATGCAAAGACAAAGGTTTCACCTTCACTGACTGGCCGCCATAACCGTCAATAAATGCAGCTTTGCCCGGAAACTTATCCGGGTTCCCATAAACTAGACTGCAGCCTGCACCAGTGTCTACCAGTGCTAGGACCTTCTGTATACTAGTGGGGGACCAGTGGCTTGCCAGCTCCACATATAGCATCTGATTGTCCAGTTCCCCCCACCGAGCCAGGCACCTCGGCCAGTTCCCAAATCAAACAGGAAGGGCCCAGTCTCTTCGCCTGTCTGCAAAAAGTTGAGCTGCAGCATCCAGGCGGGGCTGGGTTAAGCAACATTGTTTTGTCCCCTCTTGGGCATTTTCCGGAATTGTTGCTCTGGGACAGTTGCTGCCATAGAGCCAACAGCATTCCATTGGTGGACTGCCAATTTTCTCTTGTGCAACCCCACCTGCAATTAAATCAATCGACCTCTGCATGCAGGTCACCTGCTGGGGCCCCTTTTTATCTTGTGGGGTGGTCACCTGCAGAGGATGCACTTTCCCCTTCTTTATGGCGTGGACTCTCCGGTCCTGCGGATGGTCTTCTGCCTCCCTGAGGGCTACCATAACGGTAATCACTTCAGTGCCCCACATATGGGGTGAGAACAGCAGCTAGAGAGCCAAAAGCACTGGGAGACGCTGAGCCCAGCACAAGATCTCTTGTGAGAAGTAAAGCATTCATTATCTGGCCCCCAGGTGTTCAGATCAAACATAGCCTGCCGCACATTCATCTCCTGGAGTACCTGCACCAAATCGGTATATGATTGCCATTTTCTCAGTTTCTGGTATGTCTCCGGCATCATTCCAAACAGTCCGTATGGCTGCCATCAGACCCTCAATTACCGTGAGGTCACCGTGCCCTTGTGCCAACCAGCTGCAGCTGTTGATGAAGGGAGGGGTGAGTTGTGACAGAGGCCAGCTTCTCCATCTCAGAAGCAGAGCAAGAAATTCTGTCAGCTCCTTCAGACACTGCCAGCACTGTCTACCCAACTCCCTCAATTCAGTGCGGGTTTAAGCACCATAAGAGGTATGTTCCACCACTGTGTGGGGTCCCTATATGGCTGAAGCATGGTTTGTGGTACCCGGTGGCAGCAGTGATGCTCGCATGAACCCAAATGGAAACGTGTGAGGCAGTGGACAGGTCTCCTGCAAGTGTGGAGAAAGCACTGAAGCAGCTGGAGGCACACAGCACCAAGAAGGAATGCACGTTCACTTGCCAAGTCAGATGGGCGTTTCTGACTGCACTGTGTGAAGTACATGCTCAGTCCCACAAGTAACTGTGGGGGTCCCTGGGCTCTCCTCTGGGGTCCCATCAGCTTTTCATATTCTACCTTCTGATGAATCACAGAGTGAGACCACAGAGGAGGAGCTTCCTCCTCCTCCTCAGCATCAGACCAAACGAGAGTGTCCAGCTGGGAAGATGGGCGCAGGGGCGTGCTGACAGCTGTTTCCAACTCTGGCTCCAGATTGTTTATCTGAGTCTCTAAGTGCCCTGCCTGCACCTGGAAGTCCACTACCCTGAGGTCTTGCTCTGAGATGTGCACTTGGGCCCCCAAGCATGCACATTTCACCGGGAGGTTCCTTACCTGTGGGACTGAGCATGTACTTCACACAGGGCAGTCAGAAATGCCCATCTGACTCGGCCAGTGAACGGGCATTCCTTCTTGGTGCTGTGTGTCTCCAGATGCTTCAGTGCTTTCTCCACACTTGCAGGAGACCTGTCCACTGCCTCACACGTTTCCATTTGGGTTCATGCGAGCATCACCGCTGCCACCGGGTACCACAAACCATGCTTCAGCCACATAGTTGACCCGGGAGCCCCAAGGGCTGAAGATCTACTAACCTCACCCTGCCGACTATGCCAATTATCAAGTTCATGACTATGACAAATGTTATGTTCAGGGTCAGGTTCCAGCCTATGCTGTGGTCCAGAGGGAGTGGGTGGATGAGCAGAAAGAACACTCGGGGGGCCGTAGGCAAGTGAAAGATGATTTTATTCAGCAGCAGCTCTCATCAGCAGCCTACTCTCACACTGTCTGCCCTGTCTCAGCTGCTTAGTCCAGTGACTCATCTCAGCAGCTGGCTCCCACACACAGCTACACAGCCTGCCTTCAGGGTCAGCAGCTTAACTCTTCATCTCTGGGCACAAGCAGAGCCATGCTATGTCCTGGCTCCCCCTGTCTGTCTGCAAAGATGGACAACTCTGGCTCCCTCTCTTTCTCTGGGCACCAGCATGCCCGCCATGTCAAGCCATGTTGAGCTGAGCCCCGTGCACAGTGTCAGCAGGGCAGTTATACCTTTTACTGACAATAGTGGCATAGGGCCAAGGACAGCCTTCCCGCATTGTGGCTGCACGGCTGTGATAACTAGTGGAGTTACATGCCTGCTCTCTAAACTCGCTGAGTCACACATGATGTAAACATCCTACCTTGGCCTATCCTTGACCAAAGCACAGCCATGTTCCTTACACATATTGTCTTTGTGGAATCATTTTCCACAAAGTATCATGTTATAATTTTCAGAGCCACTTCTGGCACTCCCCAGATGCTCCTCATCAATGATCTTTTACTTCACCACCCAGTACTCTTTCTAATAATATGTTTCACCGTCAGGGACATTTGTCTTTAAGATAAATGTCTGAATTCTAATAAAGTAGGTAAAATACCTTCTGCCAGTGACACTTTAAGATTCATCCTAGCACTGATTAAGAATTGAATAAAGATTCTATGTAAAATCATTGACCTGAATATTGAACAGATTTATTTTTAAATGGGATGTATGTTTTAATCATACAACAGAATTTAAGTAGAGTAGAACTGAAAATTGTGTAATCAGCTATCTGAATAATACTAATGGTAACATCAGCCTGATAAATCAGCGTTTATACTCTTCCTTACTACTTAGCTTTTGATCCTCATGTTCTGGCATAAGAAAATAATATTTTGATGAAGAACTATTATTAGAGCTTCACAGAGCTGTAATTTTTTTAATGCAGAATTTGAAGTAAAATAAAAAACAGAGATGACTTTGTCGAATCCCTGTTCATAATGAGGATATGAGTCTTAGTGGTAACTGAGAACATGAAGCACAAAAAATACAGTGAACATTTTAAAATCTATATAACATTAGTTAATGTGTTAATAAACTATCTTCACAATATTTTAACTTAAAATGATTGTTATAAGCATATATAATTATGCTTTGTAAAGGATTTGAAAGTTTTACTCATTATAGAAATGCACGTAGTAGTAAGAAAAGTTTTGGATTCCCCTAAATTTTATATTTATAAAAATAATGGATGTTCATTTCTATATATGAGGAAGAAATTTTCAAAATTCTCTGGCCCTGTAACTTATTTTAAAGTTTAAAATATACTTCAGGTATAAATGAAAATATCTGTGAAAATACTGCTCAGTGGATTAAGTTCACTAAGCACATATATTTTTGGTTATCACAGAGTGAAATGTTGCTCAAGGATGTGGAAAAATATATATATTTTTTAGTTTTAGGAAAGACTTTGTGATACATAAAAGTTACATCTGATAAATGTTACATAACTCTCAATGCATTAGTCACAAAAAGGTTCTATTGAATTTATTTTAAAAATACTGCTAAGTTGATTTATGCAGATAATGCAATTACATGTAGTTCTTATTCTTTTATTTGCTTGATGCAATTTAAATTATACACACTGATTTGTTTCATTCTACCAAATAAACTTTTCCCTGGAGTTCCAAGGCACACTAGAAAGAGCGTTGCATTTGAGTGTTGGGAACCATGGTACAGTTTTAATTCTGCCAGGATCTTCTTATCATTAGGGTTGTCCATACCTGCCAAAAAGAGGTCAAGACTGACATGGACTGAGGCGGGGCTGGAAATTGACAAGGGTTGTTTCAGGGTAGAATAATAGAGTTAAATACTCTAGAACTAAGAATTTAATATTCAGCTTTGGAAGCAGCACATTATTACTAAAATTTACTTAAAAATGTAAAATTTCAAATAAACGACTAGATCTCCTTATGCCTCTCAATCCCTCTAGCTTCACTTGAAATTCTTGAACTTCCTTTAATTCCTATGTTCAGTGCAACCCTTGATAGTAATAAATTTCACTCCAAGAATCCAAAGCCATGGTTCATTGAATTTTTTACTGGTCAGATGGGAATAGAGTCCATATTCTACTCAATTACCTCATTTTTAGCTACTATGTAAGTGTTTTTTAGTTGTTGTTGTCTCACCATAATAGACTCCTGTTTTTTGATTCTCCCATTGATCTGGAATAAAGCAAGCCTGGCCATGAGCTTCTCTATAATTTCTAAAATGAACTAAATGAATATATTTAGTTATGATTTCAAGCTGATTCGTGGCTTGAATATAGTATAAATTAGGATATTGGCATTAGTGTACACTGCTAATAAAAACAACTCTAACATTCTTCATAGGAACCAGATTTTACATCAAGTGGGAAAAAAAAAAGACTTCGTTCAATTAAATGTTGGTTAGTTAGATGTGGGAATAAACAAAGACCACCCAAATGGGATAAGCAAAAATTATTTATCCAAATCTTGCTAAGGCAAGGGAGTCAACCACCACCGCTTGTATTTGATAGAGACTCAGTAGCAGGCAGGCCAGTTTGCAAGCTTGATAGTGGAAAAAGACTTCAGGTAACCTCCGATTGGAGACTGTTAGCATGAAAAAGTTGAAGACAGGCTAAATAGAGGTGGAACATTCCATTAGTTTGGTTAACGAGCATATTCAGCTTTCTCTGGTTTATCTGATCCCTCTGGAAAATGAAAACAATTAGGAAAGCTGCAAGTTATTGATCAACTCTTGGTCCCTTTTGGCTCATTGTGGGGAGGTAATGGTTTGGTTCCCAAGGGATTTGCTGCAGAGTTTGTGCATTATAGCGCTGTTTTTATATAAGTTCTGACCATTGTACATTTAGTCTCTTAGTCTTCTGCTTTTTATCATTTTCTAATGGTGTGAGGTTAAACAACTTGGAAGCCTAGAGATTAAGGTCCTCACTGTTCAGAGACTGTTCAGTTATCTCTATAGTAAACTGTATTGCCAGAAATTCTTGACCTTTCTGTTGTGTTTAAAGAGTTCATCTCTAATACGAACAATGCTCCAAACCATCCTATAATATATTCAAATCCCCGGGAGGGTAGAAGCTGTATAAATTTCAACTGAAGTTATTCAAAGGTCCCTTGGGGTTTGGTTTCTGGCCATGCCCTACCGTTATTTTTTTTTTTAGGTTTATGTTTTTTTACAGGTGATAAATGACTTGCAAATAACCTCAGCTGTGTTTTTAAGGGATTCTTACCAACATAAACTAAAATAGTAAGTGATGAGTCTATACCATGATGAGTAGTTTCATGGCAAAATTTATCTAAAATCCATGTGAAATCATCTAGTGCCGCCAAGCAGCTGCTTTGAGTATCAGATGTGATCAGAGTAAAGGTTACAATCAGATTATTTTTTGTCTTCTTCTGGAAAACCAGGGGCTAAATGTAGAAGATTTATAATTACCTCTTTGAATTCCTCCAGAGAATTATTCTTTGAAGATTTAGATAGACTCTTAACCTTGATTAATACTGATTTATCTTGGCATAATAATTGGCTAGAACATTTTCTGTAGCTTCCATTTAACTCTTTTATTATTATTTGCATGATACACAATTATTATAATAGGCACCTTTCTGGGAAGTAGGAGTGCATCTAAGAATTCCTTAACTTAGTTCCCATTTTTGATGGGGGTTCCAGCAGAGGTAAGACACCTTTTTTTTTCAAAGTATGCCAAAATTATGTGATGCTACAAAAGCATACATACTATTTACATACATCTTTAATTTCTAGTGTCTGGCTAGTTGATGATATATCTAGTAAATGCAGTAAGTGTGGCCAACTGTACTGATTTTACCTCAGGTAGAGAACTACTACTATAAGAGTAAGCTTAAATTAGTGACAGCATATTCTATTTGATAACCTCTAGTTTCAGTTTTAAGGTATAATTGATCCACATATAATAGATCAGAATTATTGAAGGGTGCCTATAATACATCCAGTCAAGGTACAGAGATTAGTAACTGAGGTAATAAGAACTGATGTTCTGTTTATTTCTGGTTAGGGCAGGAGAGTGGTGGGGTTTAGAGTGTTTCAGAAGTGAATAATAATGTAATAGGGAAAGTCTCAAAAGAGGTTAATTGGGTAGCTGAAAATTGTTGCATGTTATCCATCAGTAGTAATGTCAGTTCTGCACGACAAAGCATGAGGACAAGTAGGGGACCTAGGACTACTTCATTAGAAGCATGGAATCAACAACTTTTGTAGGCACAGCTATTGCTCTAAGACAAACAGAATGAATCTTTGCAATTAGGCCAGTGGAGAAGCTATAGGTTTTTGATGTTTCCTATGAAGTTGAGTTAAAACTCCAAGGACTTGCCCAGATATTTCATTCACAAATAGACAAAATGACTTTTAATAGTTAGTAACACCTAGGGAAGGCTGTTAAAAAGCATCTTAAGATTAGAGAGTCCATTTCATCTTTGGGCTCCCAGAGTAGAGGGTCTGTCACCAAGGACTTAGTCAATTCATAAAGAGATATTGCAATCTCAAAAAAAAAATTGAGATTGGTTAGTCTTCCAGCTAGCAGGACAGACTATTTTTTTCTGACAAGATATACCATGATGTAAATAATGAACAATGTCTTGGGAAAAATGTGATTTATCCTTTGAAACTTTGTGCCCCTTTCCTGCAAAGTCTGAGAGCAAAAATAAAACAAAACTTTTCAAAGAGCTTCCTTGTTCTCTGAGCAAAGTAAAAGAGCACCACATGCTGCACCATAACTGAACCTCAAGAGAAATGTAATTCCTTTAAGTCTTGATTTAGGACTGAGAAAAAATAAGAGGGGTTATCAAAGACTCTCTGGAGCATGACTATCCAGGTATGTTGTGTTCCTTCCGGGAGAAGGCAAAATGGTATTGATTTTCCTAGTCAAGAGACACACTGAAAAAGTCAGAGCAAAGATATATTATAGTGAAGCAAGTTGCTTCAGGAAGAATTAATGACAGGATGCTCACTGGGTTACGTATTACCAGGAAGAGAGGGATAACAAATTTGTTGATGGTTCTGAGGTCTTGAACATATTGATGTCCTCATCCATTTGGTTTCTTTATTGATAGGAAGGGAGTGTTACAAGGACTAGTGCTGGGTATAAGAATACCTTCATGTATTAAGCTTTCATCATAGGTCTGAGCCCTTATTTTGCTTCTAGCTTTAAGGGATTTTGGGAAAGTTTGGGTAACACTTTGGTATAATCTATCGGAACTTTAACGGGTCTCTTATAACACTATTTCATATATCACTGGAAAGTCCAATGCAACCCAACAGTGGCTATCTCCAAGTGCAGATCTAAAAATCTATGCTTTTTCGGCAGGTGGAAACTGTGATCTTTGTATCTGGATCACTACCAGGTATGCAGAACAACAATAACAAAAAATCAAGAGAGAACTTCATTTAGTTTTATTGATGACCCAAAGCGAAGTTTATAAAAATGGACAGAGGTCCAGTGTGAATGTCAAACTAAATGTGCTGTTTGGCTGGCTTGAAAAACAGGCTCATGGGCCTATGATCATGTGCTGCTTCTTTTATGATAAACACATTTAGATAGCACTACTCAACACAGTAAAACAAAAAGACAGCAAAAAGAAATTGAAAAAAGAAGCCCAATTCCACCAAGGATGCCAAGCAGATGGGAACCAATACTAAAACCAATGACTGAACTTGGAATAAAAACTCAAAGAATTCAGTGCAAAGAGAGCAGAGTTCAGACCAGGTGCTGACTTGTCATAAGGCATCACTGCTGCACTGGGTGATGGCTGGGGTCCAGAGCAATGGGCAATGGAGACCGTATCTTGTTGGAACCTCCAGAGAAACTGTGGAAATGAATGAAGACAACCTAAATGAGAACAAACAAAAGGTATTTATTCAGAGCTTGCTATAGGAAGGAAGTTAGCCACCATCACTTGCATTTGACAGAGACTCAGAGGTAGGCAGGAAAGTGTCAAAGATTTATAGTGAAAAAAGTTATGCACTAATTGCAGGTTGCTGGCATGGGGATGCTGTAAGCTGACTAAGTAGAAGCAAGGAATTCTATGTGATTGGCTAGAGAGCCATATTTTGCTTTCTCTGGTTGGTCATAGGTTGAAAGCAGGGGCAAAATTAGAGATGCTGGGAATTATTGACCAATAACTGGTTGTATTGGACTGACTCTTGTAGAGGTTGTGGTTTGTCTTCTTGGACTGATTGTAGGAGAAAAGGCCGGAGGTCAGAGCTTTATTGTTATATATAATCTGTATTTTGTCTATTTCTATACTCAGCATCTCAAGACCTTTGTGGATGAATAAAATATATGTTGCAATTGTTGTTTTGTTGTTGTTCATAACAGATTATGAGAAACAAAATATGTAATGGGAACAATTTTTTCCTGTTCTATGTGTAATATATTAACTTTCAAAGAAGCTGAAACCCAGTAACGTATTTCCCTATATTTTGTGGAGCTATCCAGTTCCTCATTGTCACAGCATTTATTAGAGATATATGTGTTTTCTCCAGAGTAAGAGACATCTGGGAAACAAGGTCTCCTGAAATATCATGTGACTTGGCCTCAGCAATTAGTATGAACAGAATGGAAATAAAAAATAAAAACACAAAAACTTCTGAAAGTAAACAGAATAAGCAATAACATAATACCTGTACAGATTGCATTAAAAGCTGTCATATGGTCAGAGAGGAAAAGTTCTTGGATGAGGAAGGGGAGTAGGTAGAAAAGAAAAGTGATAGAGTGGTTGTCTTGATATGTTGGAGAGAATGGAATTTCTAATTGTTGTCTGATGATAGTGCTTAGATGCAATAAAAAACAAAATCCATCTTTTAAATTAGTATATTTGAAGGTTAAGAAAACAGTTCCCCGAGCTCTCTCTCCAGAAGAGAGACTAATATGCTTCCTTAACTCTAGGGAATATATTAATTTGAAATGCATTTCATGTTCCAAATGCACCAGCCATCAATTTAGCATAATGATTGTACTTGGTAGGAAAATAACAACTTAAAACTAGATAGTAGCTCAATTAAACAGTAATAGAATTTCTTATACTTTATTTTACTAATTTTAACTGCAGTTTACTATTTCCTATTACATGTATTCAAATATTGGTAAATATATTTTATAAATGTACAGTTTCTTGATAGTAAAGAGAATGTTACAGAAAGTATAAAATTTCTTTAACAACGCATACTTAATGGCTTTAAAAAGAACTTTTTCTTTATTTCTTTTTATTTTTCTTTTTATTTAAAATTCTGGTATAATTTTAAAGACATTAAACATTTTCTAGTCATACTAATTAATATCATACTCCCCCTGAAGACATTCTCTCTTTCTTAGCTGTCTAAATTCCACTATAGGAAATTTATTTAAATTTACTCCACATAAATATTATAATACTTTTAGTGTGTTTTTATGTTACTTCTCTTAGTTAATTGTGAAATTTAGAGCACTTAAATAATTTTAAGAATGTTTAAATATTACTCTTCATTGCATGAGAAAAAACAGTTTAGCATTTCTAAAAGCGATTTTTGTATGCAAGATTCCAAGATTCAAATAGAAAAAATAATTTAAGTAATTATGACTATTTTTAAGCTCATTTATACTATCTAACATAAAATGTATTTCATTAATTGAAAAATGACTTCTATCCTTAGTAAATGTTATGCCTGACATATATTGAGCCATGGGAAAATATAAAATTTTATATTAAAATATATTAATTTTGCTTGTTATGAAATATGGCTGATACTGAACTGTAGATGGCAACATCAAGTACACACTGAACAGCAGTGGAATGTTCTTGGCCCACATACAAGAAAGAGCTTCCAGTTTTGCCTTGCTGTTGCTGAATGTTAGGTATCTTATTCTACTTTCTGGGAAATTAGATTTTTGCTTTTTTATTGCTGAGTCATGTTTTAGTAGAACATATCATTGTGAGACCGATTACATTTGTAGATAATGTAATCAAAACATGTGACAAATACAGTTTTTATTTTAAAGTGTGAAGTAATAACTAAAATAAACAAATGCGTCAGCAGTAAGGCAAGAAACAACAAATTTAAAGTACATGAACAAGCTCCATGAAACAGAGATGATAGTGCCCAAGCTGTTCTAAAGACCTAACACCAAAGAATATTTCTTTGAGAAATATTGAACTCGCATTAATAAAGGAAGTATAATAAGTTATTTCATTTCTATACTATGTTAATTAGGAAAGATCAGTTGATGACTATCTTAAAGGCACTTGTTTATCAAAACTTATGTTTAATGAACCATCTAAATATAAAAAATCTGGCATCTCATTTGGGGTATGAAAATTAAGATATAAATCTGTTGAACTTTAGGGATGAAAAGGTTCTTTCACAGATTGTTTCAGATTTGCATCCACAGTATTTGCAATTGACTTCTTGTAAAATAACTTGTGTGATAATAGCATATGACAGTGGAGGGAGTCAGGGATAGTTTGTTTGCTGAGAAAAAAGCCTTTGAAATTACCCCATGTATTAGTCTGTCCTCACACTGCTATAAAAAAAAAAACACCGAGAGAAGATAATTTATAAAGAAAGCAGGTTTAATTGACTCAGTTCTGCATGGCTGGGGAAGCCTCAAGTAACTTACAATCATGGTGGAAGAGGAACCAGGCAAGTCTTACATGGTGGCAGGAGAGAGAGACGTGAGAGTGCAGGAAAAATCTACCATTTATAAAACCATCAGATCTCATGAGAATTCACTCACTATCACGGCAACAGCATGGAGGACACTGCCCCCCATGATCCAGTCTCCTCACACCAGGTCTGTCCCTCAACTCCTTGGGATTACAATTCAAGATGAGATTTGGGTGGTGACACAAAGTCTAACCATATCACTCCATGTTTTATTGCAGCATTATTTAAAATTGCCAAGATGTGGAATCTAAGTGTCCATTAATGATGAATGGATGAAGAAAATGTGGTATAAATACACAAAATGAAATACTAGTCAGCCTTTCAAATAAGAAAAAACTGTTGTTTGCAATATCGATGAACTTGGAGGACATTATGTTAAGTGAAATAAGCCAGGCACAGAGAGACAACTACTGCCTGATCTCACTTATGTATGATAAAATGCAAAAGGTTGAACTCATAGAAATACAGAATAGAATGGTGGTTACCAGGGGTGTAGGAGGTGGGGGATGGTGGTTGAAAGATGCTGGTCAAAGGACACAAAGTTTAGTTAGATAGGAAGAATAAGTTTAAGACATTTATCACACAACATAGTGAATATAGTTAATAAAAATGTACTGTATTCTTGAAAATTGCTAAGAAATTAGATTTTAATAGTTCTCACCATGGAAAATGACGTTTGTGATGTAATATATAAGTTAATAGCTTAATTTAGCCTTTCCACAATGTATACATATTTCAAAACATGTTGTACATGCAAATACATGCAATTTTTATTTGTCAGTCAAGAACAAATAAATATAAGAAATTACACTACATGAAGACACAATTAACTTTGTCATTTAATACTGAGTTATTTTGAAGAGTTTATTTGTTTTATTTTTTTTTTGATGCTTCATTCTACACAGTGGAAAATAGAAATCAATAACACTCTCTCCCTTATTGTGCTTATATTAGGAAAAATTTAATAATGATTAAATTATCTCAGTGTTGACACCCAACCATTTAGATTCCTGATTCTATTCCTAAGCCTTATTTTAAAAGGACCATATTTTAATACAACAGAATACGTTAAAATAAATACAATTATGTATACGTACTATATATATTTGTAAATATAAATAATTAGGTGTGTATATATACACACATATACATATGTATATACATGTACATATACATGTAAAATACACATGTAAAATGCATATACATATATAATACATAGACACACATATATGTATATATCTATACATATATGTATACATACATACATATGTATGCATATATGTATGTGTGCATACATACATATATGTACATATACATATGTGCACGTATATGGGCATGTGTACAGACATATACATATATGTACACATACATATATGTATATGTATTAAAGTACATGTAAAATACATACACATATATACATACACATGTATATACATATATACATATACATGTAAAGATCTAAGTAAATGGAGAGATATTCTAGGTTAAAAAATTTACTTCCTGGCTAACATGGTGAAACCTTGTCTATACTAAAAATACAAAAAATTAGCTGGTCATGGTGGCATACACCTGTAGTCCCAGCTACTCGGGAGGTTGAGGCAGGAGAATCACTTGAACCCAGGAGGCGGAGGTTGCAGTGAGGCGAGATCGTGCCACTGCACTCCAGCCTGGGTGACAGAGCCAGACTGTCTCAAAAAAAAGAAAAAAATACTTTATTTTACAAATGCATTTAAATTTCAATAATTCATTAATGATTTACATATTTTTATGCATTTAATTTAGGTGAGAAAAAATGAGTAGACATATGTAATAATACAAATGTTTGTTTGTTTTGGAATTTACATTAAAGTTCTTAATTATTTTGTAACATCGTTAAAAACAAATGTAGCAAGGCATTAAGTATGTCATTGTCCATTACTACAACAACTTTTCACATTTATTCCCTATATTTTTCTGCCACAGCTGGTAATTCAAGAGAAAATTCCTGGCATCCCCTTCAAGTTGTAAAGTTCATGTTAGTTGAGTTGTAAGTAGTATAAACAAAAATAATGAGTTAGATTGAAGATTGTAATAAGATTCAGGAGATTGTGGTACTACTGAAACCTAAGACCTGGAATGGACAGAAGAAGCTATGAAATCCAGGGACCATAAATAAAATATACTATATAGTTAGTGGCCTATCTTTGTTAAGAGTAAACTTTTTTTTTCAGTTTTGAGAAAGAATCAAGGGACTAAATAAAACAAGTTGATCAGAGTTTTGATCCAAAATAATTACAAACTGAAAGAAGTCTCTGAGAATTCAAGAAGAAAGAAATCACAAACCTCCAGTGAAGCCTAAGGAATATCTTTGACATTCATAAAAATAAACTACAAAAATTCATACAATTCATACAAAAAAACTGTTTTTTTGGAAATAAAGAAAATACATTTTATCTAAAACTGTGTATTTCACATGTAAGAGTAATAAAGAAATAAAAATGGGAAAACCAAAATGTAATCTAAATACATAAATTTTATAAAACTGCTGTATGAATAGAAAATGAAATAAAGCTTATATGAATAGAGAATGGAAAAAAAATACAATGACTACCCATGTGTGTTATTATTGTTATACTAGAAAAGTTCAAATAAAGAATGTAGTGTACATTTCAGAATTGCTGAGAGTAACTCTCAAATGTCTCACCACAAAAATTGATGGGTAAATGAGGTGACAGATATGTTAATTAGCTTGATATAATCATTACACTTTGTATGCATATATCAAAACATCACCTTGTACCCCATAAATATATATAATTATGGTTTGTCAATTAAAAATATGAATAATAAAAAAGCTTGTGCTCGCAAGCTTATCTTGTGGATTTATTAGTAATAAAGCACTACTATATGCCAGTCATGAAGTCAAATGCCAACTGGTCCAAAGTCATCAATACTATTATGAAATTCTATGGAATTCAATGTATCATTGGTTCCACATAATCTCCCATCTTCAAAGTGTTTCTGCAAATGCCTATTTTTTGGATAAGTAATCAGTTAAGGCTGAAAGGTAGACTGTGGAGATATGATTTCAGAAGTAAGTCAGTTTGAGACCCCAGGAATGTAAGGGATTGCTGTGTGTAGTAGTGTTTGCAGACCATTGAAATTGATTATTTCCTATATGTATTTATATGAATTATTTGGAGTACATATATTCATGCATATATGTTGTTAATAATAAAATTCAGCATACTGAATATACAATTAATAATATATTGGTGATTAATTATTAATCTATTATATTATATATATATTTATTTAAATTGTCCACCTAAGTAGAACAGACAGTGGTATCAAAATCAAGAACATGGCAGAGTTTTAATGGGTGAAATATATAGTTTAGATGTTTCTATATTATCTAATAAAGCATGTCTTACTGGAAGTTCTATGGTGGCTTTTTAACTAGAGCAGAGGTAGACAATTTTTTTCTTCAAGGGTCATGTAGTAAATAGAATTAGGACTTGGAAAAAGGCAAAATCTGGATGATTATATTACCTTTTGATAACATTGTTTAAAATGTCACCACTTAAAAATGAAAAATGAAAACCAAGTTATGCCTATACAAAACGGGAAGCAAGCTGAATTTAGCCAGTAGTCCATGGTTTTCTAACCTGTGATCCAAACCACAGAAAGACTGTCTATATCAATAACAATTATTCATATTAGATATACATGGATTTTCTCAATCATAGAAATCTCAGCTATTTTTTTCCACTATGCTTTCATGAAATATTTTCTACCTCTGTTTCTATGTAAGCATACGAAGTATTATTTCTCTACATAATTGGGATGGCCATACATACTGGTTTTTCTGCATCACTATCAATCTATGAATATTATACTGCATTATTATTAATAGCAGCATCTTTCTCAAATATTACCATATTTAGATGATAAATTACACAGAAGTTATTTACAATGAGCATCATTTTGTTTCAGTTATTTTATATAGGTCATGTGTGTTTTACTTTTATGTTTCATTGTCTCAAAATTACTAATAGATGCCTTAATATATATAATTTAATAGATTTCAACCCATTAATCTATAAGAACATAATTAACATAGTCAGCTTCACATCTGTCAAACCACTCTTTTATTCTGTCTGTACCGTTTTGATTCCTGTCAAATCCACCAGCACTGCCTTACATGCTATCTTTATGCTCCAGATTGGAAACTGTTATTCCATCTCTCAGAATTTTCTTCATAGACGGTGATTGATTCCTCCCCTGTTATTATAAAGTCCTTTTCACTTAGCTGACAGGTTACTAAAGAAAGCATGGAGAATTTCCACCCATACCAGTTAAAGACAAACGATAAAAGAAGAACAAAGAATTTTCAGGCAAAGTAACTGTATGTACAAAGGCCTTGAAGCAGAAATAAATCTGGTGTTTGAGAAAAGTCATATAATTAGGGCATGATTTCCTAGATAGTCAATTTGACCAAATATATTGCTTTCTTTTTCTGAAAGTGATAACTACATTATAAAAAACTAGGCAACAATGCCACTTTATACCTTTTTTTAGCATATGAATTAACACACATTTATATATATGTTGGTATTTGCAATTTTTTATTTGCAGTCCTTGTTTTATCTGTTGGATGATAATTTTCTCCATCAATGTCTTACATGTTAAAATAGCTATGTGTTATTGTAAGACATTTTGGACAAGGCGGGCCACTACTAAAATTGTATTGTTATGCATCGGTTCTTGTTTTATGCACATAAAAATAAATTTAGAGAAAGTGGGTAAAATTAGTGTTAATTTAACTTAGCTTAACATTCTAAAAAAAAAAAAAAGCTATCCTACTCAGGAAAGGTATTTATAATGCTCAAAGGTAACAGGTTGTTGCTATATGCTGTGCCTCCAAATAAACCAAAGGATGAAAAAATATATATCAACTGGTGCAATGTTAATTACTTTTCAACATAACCATCAGTGTAAGAGGACAATCATCTTTTACTTAGTTAGTTAAATCTGCAGAAGAGAAAAGCATCATTTGGTTCCAGGACATTGGTTATATTGTATGAATGAAAGCTACTCATAATGTGCATTTTATACTAAAACATTTATGAATACAGATTTCCTAGAAAGTGAATATCATAATTTAAAATATAACCTAGGGAAAATATCAACATTATTTTCAAGCCTACATGGACTGTTTAATAAAATGAATATTTGAAAACTATGGCTGTGCAATACTATTGGCATTACATTATTGGGCTCCTGATCCTCAAGCCTTAAAAATCTTAACATTTAATACATGATCTATCTGTGGAGTCTAGCATCTTAGACATAGCTTAAATACATCAACTGTCTTCTCTTGCCTAATTACTCTGGCTAGGGTTTCCAGTACTATGTAAAATAGGAGTGGTCAAAGTGGCATCATTTCCTTGTTCCAGTTCTTAGATGGAATGCTTTCAACTTTTTCCCATTCAGAATGATGTTGGCTATGTATTTGTAATATATAGCCTTTATTATTTTGAGGTATGTTCATTCTATGCCTAGTTTGTTGAGAATTTTTATTATGAAGGGATGTTGAATTTAACAAATGCTTTTTCTGTGTCTATTGAGATGGTCATATGAATTTCTCCTTAAAACTCTTGATGTGATTGGAAAAGAGTAAGTCAAATGATCCCTGTTTGCTGATGATATGATATCTAGAAAACCCTAAAGACTCCAACAAAAAACTCTTAGTTTGATAAATGGATTCAGTAAACTTTCAAAATATCATTTTATATACCAATATTGACCCAGCTTAGAACCCAATCAAGAAGGCAACTCCGTTTACTATAGCCACAAAAAAATAAAATACCTAAGAATATATTTAACCAAGGAGGTAGAAGATCTCTACAAGGAAGACTACAAAACAATGATGGAAGAAATTATAGACGATGCAAACAAATGAAAAATTGTCTCATGCTTATGGATCAGAGAATTAATAGCATTAACATGACCATTCTGGCTAGGCATGGTAGCTGACACCTCTAATCCCAGCAGTTTGGGATGCTGAGGAGGGCAGATCACTTGATCCCAGGAGTTCAAGACTAGCCTGGTCAACATGGCAAAACTTCCTCTCTATTTTTTAAATTATAAATTTAAAAAATAAATAAATAAAATGAACATTTACCCAAAGCAATCTACAGTTTCAATGCAATTCCTATCAAACTACCAACATCATTTTTCACAGAATTAGAAAAAAAGTCCTAAATCTTATGAGGATCCAAAACAAACCACAAATAGCCAGAGAAATTCTAAGTAGAAAGAAAAAAGCTCAAGGCATCACATTATCTTACTTAAAATTATACTACAAGGTTATAATGACCAAAATACCATGGTACTATTATAAAAATAGACATATGTATAGGTCAATAGAATAGAATAGCGAACCCAGAAATAAAGCCATCTATCCACCGCCAACAAATCTCTGACAAAGTTGAAAAGAACATGTACTGGGGAAAGGACACTGTTTTCAATAAATGATTCTGGACAAATTGGATGGCTATATGCAGAAAAATGAAACTAGATCAACTCAAAAATCAACTCAAGATGAATTAAATACTTAAATGTAAGACCTGAACCTATTAAAATACTAGAAGCAAACTTAGGGAAAACTCTTCTGTACATTGGTCTAGGCAAAGAATTCATGACTTAAGAACCTCAAAACGTAAGCAACAAAAACAAAAGTAGACAAATGTCACTTAATTCAACTGAGAAGCTTCTGCACAGAAAAATAAACAATCAACAGAGTGAGCACACAGCCTAAAGAATGAAAGACATTTTTTTCAAAATATGCATTTGACAGGGGACGCATCCAAAATTTATAAGGAATTCGACTCAACACCACCACCAAAGCAAATAACCCCATTAAAAAGTGGGCTCAAAATGTGAATAGTCAGTTTTCAAAAGAAGACATACAAATGGCCAGCAAACATATAAAAAAGCTCAACATTACTAATTATCAGAGAAATGCAAATTAAAAACCGCAATGAGTTATCATCTTACACTAGTTAGAATGGCTTTTATTAAAAAGACAAAAAATAACAGATGTTGGCAAGGATATGGAGAAAATAAAACCCTTGTACTCTATTGGTAGAAATATAAATTAGTACCACATCTATGGAAAACATATAAAGATTTCTCAAAGAATTAAAATTGCAGCTATGTTTGTATTACTCCATTTTCACACTGCTGATAAAGACATACCTGAGACTGGGCAATATACAAAAGAAAGAGGTTTAATGGACTTACTGTTTCACAAAGCTGGGGAGGCCTTATAATCATGGCAGAAGGCAAAGAGAGAGAGAACTCATGCAGGAAAACTCCTCTTTATAAAATGATCAGATGTCGTGAGACTTAGTCACTATCATGAGAAAAGCACGGGAAAAACTTCCACCCATGATTCAATTATCTCCCACCCCAGGTCCCTCTTACAATGCTTGGAAATTTAAGATGAGATTTGGGTGGGAACACAGCCAAACCATATCAATATTCAATCCAGCAATCCCACTACTGAATATCTACCCAAAGGAAAAGAAACAATTATATAAAAAATACATCTGCACTTGTATGTTCATCGCAGCATAATTAATAATAACAAAGATATGGAACTAATTTAAGTGTCCATTGGTGGATGATTGGATAAACAAAATGTGGTATGTATACACAATGGACTATTATTCAGCCATAACAAAGAATGAAATCATGTTTTTTAAAACAACATGGATGAAAATGAGAGCCACTACGTAAGTGAAAAAATTCAGACAAATACCACATGCTCTCAATTTTAAGTAGAGCTAATAATATATATACATGGACATACACCGTGGAATGATAGATACTGGGGATACAGAGGGCGGGGGGATGGGAGTGTAGTAGATGATGAAAAATTACTTAACGGGTACAATGTACATTAGTTCAGTGATGAAATCACTAAAAGCTGAGACTTCACCACTATGTGATATATCCATGTAACAAAATTACACTTGTACCCCTGAAATTTATACCAAAAATGCCAACTATAAAAGGATAAAGCAAATAATTTTGTTGCTTAAATGTTTGTCTGAGTGTACCTGAGAAGGGTGCCTGCTGTCCAGGAATCCCATTTGTTAAGCGTTCATTACCAAGCTTATCCGAGCAGAGACTACAGGAATCCTAGTCATCTTAAACCAGTCATGTTAAAGTATGAGTTCATTACCTCTTTCCTTTAATTTTAAGTTTATACAAGTATGCTTCCATGTATTCTCTTTGGTTTTGTGGTTGGTATATCCATTTATTATTCAATGAACAAATATCTGTAAAGGACCAAAACCTGATTGACATATGTTTATATGTCTTAGTTTGGATTTCATCATAAGGAGATCCTGAGACAAGACTATGAGTACAAGTACTTTACTGGGGAGGTGAATTCAAGGAATACTGAGTGGGAGTGAAGAAGTAGTGGAGAGAAAGGAGGCCAGCTAATAAAAAGTATGGATTCATTAACATTAACAATTCAAAAATAAGACATTAAAAATATATATGTTTAGCGACAGGTTTGTGTCCATGGGTAATTGGGCTCAATGCTACTTAATTGAGATTATCTGAACAACTTTGTGAAACCTATTTTCAGAATATATGCCACACACTTGTGCCTCTGAGGGATGAGAAAAATAGGGAAATTATTTATCAATTCTTTTCTCTCATTGATGAATCCTCAAAACATTAATTTGTTTGCACTCTCAGGCTACCCCCCTCTGTGGGCGGAATAGCTTCCACAGCCAGAGGACCCACAGGCAGAGAGATGAAGAAGCCATTTTTCATATACAGAAAATGTCTGAAAATGCCCTCCCGAGGGAATGTGGGCAGTTAACACAACAGATGATAGTACAGAAATTACCTGTTCAGTTATCATGGGGGCTTAAAAATTAAATCACCTGGGCATAAATGTTTTAACTTATTATTTTTCTAATAACATTTTAAACACTATTTTATTGTAGCAATTTTGAAAACCTAGAATATAGTATATGGTTTAAAAAACACTAAAAGCACATAAACACCACCACCCAGGAACATCTAGTAATAAAATATGTCTACACACACACAAACACATACACATATAAAATTCTATTTTACAATAATTTTTACCATTTTGCTTTCTTCTAGTCTCCTATTCTGTAAATTCATATGCAACCACTTACACTTATCCTGTTTTGTATTTAAGATAATATTTTAATTAACCTATTCCTAATGTTTCTAAGTATTTCATAACAATATTTATCAGAATATTTACATAAGTTCCATCTACTCTAGTTATCATACATAATGAGAGTTGGTGTATGGTAGATACACCGTTTGGCAAAAGAACTTAAAATTATTTAAACAGAAGGTATCTAACTTTTTGAAAACTTTTACATATAATGCATATTCATTGTAGCAATTTTGAAAATCTCAGAAAATATTAAATATGTCAAAATCACATAAAACTAAACCACCCAGAAATAATGAATTATGCCATAAACATTCAATTCTATAAAGGGTGCAATAATCATTTTTGCCATTTTATTTTACTCTGCTATTACATAAATATTCACGTATATGTTCGTATTTTAATTTGTAAGATGATGTTTTTTAAAACCTCACATGCAATGTTTCAGTTTTTTAGTAATCACTTTTTCTCAGAAAAATTGTGTAAGTCCCATTTCTATTAATCACCAGCTTTTGAGTTCATAAATTATATATACTCACACACAGAAATATACAAACACTATTGTCACCACCACGAGAAAACACATGGGTTTGTCTTTTTTCTTCCAAACTAATTTAGAACTCATTTTTGGCACTTTTATACATTTCATTTAATATATTTCCTGTCAAAATGTTGTTATTTTCAGAATATATGCCACATACTTTTATATGTCTATATAGGGAATAATTTTTTTTGGAATAGGAATCTGCTTTCATGGCAATTGATACATATATGTATTTACACACATGTAAAATTTGCCTAAAATCAATAATTAGGTTTTCTTGATACATTAATAAATGACTGATTCAGGGTAGGGAAAGGATCTCTATTCAGCAATGTTGCTTCAAATACAGTAGAATAAACAAATAATTAGCTGAAAAGATGTTAAATCAAAAACTTATATTCAATCCACACTAAACATCAAATTAACCCAATCTAAGACTCACAATTCATAAACTGCGTAGTGAGCATACACACACACACAGACACATAAGCACACACACACAGTCGCTAATGTCCAACTTTCCCATTCTACCCCAACTCACTAGCTATAGAATTACTCAATTTATAGTTCAAATGTTGGATTTCGATAAAAAAATTGTTCTTGTTTGGGGAGCTAAATTAATTTGAAGAATCTTAGCTTTTAAAAGACTTTCTATGCATTATTACTTCTTTTTAGTTTACAAATGCATAATTTGTGAACTCCATTATTTCATATATGAAACACTAATGGAAAATTTCAAAGCCAAAGCAAATATTTTCAAAGTATTTTAAAGAGAACCCAATTTTTTAAAAAAGGAGGATTAAAATCACAAAGTATACTTTTTGTTGATAAAATGGATATATTTTTAGGCCACTGCCAGCTGTATTACTGGCTGAGGGCTATATACCATATTTTCTCACAGTGAAAAGATTTAAGTTGGTGGAGGAAACTGAAGAACCTTCAGGCATAGTCACTGTTTACGTAATTATAATAGGTTTATGACTACTATCAGTAATTTCCTACTTTAAATAATCTTTACAGAGAGAAATGGCTTCCAGAATATATGCATACCAAGTGCAAATCTGAAAAAAAATTTTCTGTGAAACTTATAAACTTATAGTATACTAAGAATGAAACAAATTTCAAAAGTTATTGAAAAATAAACAAAACAAAAACAAACCAACATCACTCCATGAAATAAAAATAAGTTTCCTAAAAAAAAAAAAATACATGGTTATGTTCGGATCCCTAGTTTTTGAAAAAATGTTATTAAAATTATATCAATTATAAATGTAACCCTGTTTCCACAAAAAAACCTGAAATGTCTATACATTTTCTATATCAGTCAATATTATGAAGCTTTTAAAAATGGAATTTACTGTAAAACTTTAAATAATCAAAACAAGGAAGAACTATGTCCCAAGACTATTTTTGTTATTTTAGTGCAAAATAAAAAGTAAGGAAATCATAGTACAATAAAAGAATGTGAGCATTTTCCTTGGAGGTAATATAATTGTATTAATCAGTGTGGACTGATATAACAAAGATATCATAGACTTGGCAGCTGTAACAAGCATATCTCACATTTCTGGAGGCTGCTAACTACAAGACCAGCGCACTGGCAGTTCTGATGATTGATGAGGGCTCCATTTCCTGGTTCATAGATGACAATTTCTAGCAGTATCTTCACTTAGCTGAACTGGCCGGGGGCTTTCTGGGATCTCTTTTATAAGGTCACTAATTACCTCCTAAAAGTGTCACTTCCAAATACCATCATATTGGGTATTAGGTTTCAAAATATGAATTTTGCAGGAACGAAAACATTCAGTTTCTGGCAATATTGAAACTTTTAATGATAAAGGAAAAAGCTCAAGGAGGCCTGAGATTTAGTTCTGCTTGGCCTGACCTATGACTAATTTAGTCTAGGAGTAAACAGTTAGGAATATATACAAGTTTATCATACCATGATATATGGTCGGAATGATTGACAGGTGGTTTCCAGAAGAGTTAGGAAGTGCCAGGACAGTAAAAATAGCTATTGAGAAAAGAGGACCAAAGCTTCTCAAAAGTTCTGATAATACTTTATAACCTCTGGCCATATTTTCAGCACTGTGGAGCAATGTAGAAATTTTAGAGCTAGTAAAGCTGTGTCTCTGCCTAAAAACTACATTTAATCTCTATTCTTTGAAGCTGCCTTGGAGCAGATAAGCTTCTATGTCCTTTAAATTAAAGAAACTTAAGTTATTCCTTATTTGTGTCAACTATCTTTCAACTCACCACCATTATCCTATCACAGTCATACATATTCTACAGTAGATATGTAATTTTATCACACTGCTACTGTATCTTTATTGTTATATATCATCTCATCACATTCTATTTTATGCTTTTTGAATTTTTGTCTTTTAATACTCTTTTGACTAGCATAAACTGTTTTGAATATAAGAGGCCTGAACTTAACTTTGTTTTACCATTTCCTTAAACCTTTTAAAATACTTCTTGCTGATTCAGATTTCTCAAACTCTGTAACAGAAAACGAGTTTAATTTTGGTTTCAAATATTTCTATATTTGGCACTTCAAATTACAATCCCTGTTTCTTTTGTTCTTCTATTTTGTTCATCAACCACTTATTTTTTCTTTTGCTTTCATTGTTTTGTTTTTCTTTTTTTATACTGAGATGTTTTAAAAAGATGATAATGACATTAATTTTATAATTACCTGCACTGACCATTTTACATTAGATCATGTCTTGAGTTGGTAAGAAGGAAAAATATTTAATGGTAACAATTAGTAATAATAATGTGATTATTACATTGATCAGTGAAATTTCATAGAGTATGTTTTATTTGCATTACACAATAATAAGTTAAAAATATATTAGTGTCTTATTTTAAAAAAGAAGAGATACAAGGTCAAAATATGTAAGTAGTTTTTCCAAAATCAAAATGGATAGACAATTATGTGGCTAATTCTGGAACCTAAATATAAGTCTTCTAACTTCATGCTAAGACTGTTTCACCTGCATGTACTCCTTTTCCTAAAAAAGTACAGGCTCTCAGAGGGATATAAAAATTGTTTCGATTGGCCGGGTGCAGTGGCTCATGCCTGTAATCTCAGCACTTTCGGATGCCAAGGTGAGAGGATCATGAAGTCAAGAGATTGAGATCATCCTGGCCAACATGGTGAAACCCCGTCTCTACTAAAAATATAAATATTAGCTGGGCATGGTGGAGTGCACCTGTAGTCCCAGCTACTCAAGAGGTTGAGGAAGGAGAATCACTTGAACTCAGGGAGGTGGAGGTGGCAGTCAGCTGAGATCATGCTACTGCATTCTAGCCTGGCAACAGAGGGAGACTCCATCTAAAACAAACAAACAAACAAAAAACAAAACAAACAAAAAATTGTTACAAAATGTGAAACAAAATAAACTTGATTTGAGAGTGATTATATATTTAGTTTAGAACTTTGATCTTTGTAGGCAATGAGTTAAAATAGTACTATCACTTTCTTTGTATAATTTGGGCATTCAATTAGATCTTGAAATGTTTTGCTCAGTTATCTCTAAAATAAATGAATAAAAAATAGTGGGAACTGGTATAAGAATATAAAAATAAATATAAAATATACAAATCTTTGTTTTAATTTTTTGTGGCAAAATATAAGCCTTTGCCAAGTTTTTATTGTTTATTCAGTTAGTTAATTACAAATATTTTAAAACTTTAAAAAATATTCTTTATTTCCTACAAGAATAAAGTGCATGCATGTAGACATGTTATCATCACTACTAGATTATCGTTACAAATAAGAAAGAAATTTTAAAATTTCCAGTGAACCACTCCTTCTCCATGTTTTTCAGTGGGAACTCAAATCTCGGCTTCAATTAGATCTACTTTTATATTTTTCCCAATAGGGTAAAATTTAATTCGTATACACTACAGGTTATATTTTAAAACATACCATGTGTGACAATTCTGTTTCCAACATGAACATTATGCTGACATTGCATTTCTAAAGTGAGTGATTCCTGACACAAGGAGACATCCTAGGCTACTGACCTAGAAAAAGCTGGCTCTTCTTCAGCCAGTTTCGTTTCTCTCAGCTACTAAGAAAAAAACACAAATTCAGATGCTATTAATAGCCAGATTCTAAAATCTACCCTGTCATTGTAATATCTATTTAAGCCTCTCAAGTCTCCCAGATTAATGGAAGCCATTGAGCAGAGATCTACTACTGGGTCCTGTATTGGAAAGTGTTGGGTTTCTTTGTCAAACACCAATGGCATGAAAAATCTTGATAATAAAAAGTCATGAATATACCTTATTAATTTAATTTATATATATTGTGATGATTGTAATTGCAAGTAGGATAGCATAATTCAGTTATGAATTGTTTGAGAAGCTATATTTATAAATGTAGTTTCTCAAATTATGAACAGGAAGAAAAGTATGACTTACAGGTAACTAACAACGGTTTAGCACCATGAACTGTAAATTTAAATCATTTGGCCCCTTTATAATAAAATTAAAACACTTCTTGATACACAATATTTTTAAAAACCAAGAAACTGAAATTAACTCTAATATTAATTTGTGTTTTAATTTTTGTAATGATATGTTACAATTTAAAATTGTTTTATAGAGAAATTTTATATTTATTCAATTGTGTTTCATTCTGTTCAAGATTTTATAATAATTAATATGTTTCTCATTTGGAACAAGATGAAATAATTCAATAAACCATATTTGTTATAAAAATAAACTCAAAATTAATCTTAAACGCTCTTTTTAATAATTCAAACTATGAAAAGTTTTACTACTGCTTTGATGTACTTAGTAACATAAAATATTTTGTGTATTAAAACAAATAAATAGAATAGAATAATAGCCACAGAGAAGATTAAAATTATTAAGCATAAATATTTCAAATAAGGAACTTATAGAAAAAGTAAATACCCACATCTCTTTTGCAACTAGTGCTCCCAAACATAAGACAATTAATTTAAAACATATCTACCTCTGCGCATTTAAAACAATGAAATAAACATGTCTTTTCAAATTCTATTTGTAAATATTGCAAGCATTAAATTATTCTAAAGTTTAGGTTGTATTGGTTAATATTTAAGTATCATCTGCATTTAATCAAGTCAATATATATCTGTATTTATTAAGAGTCTGTTTTACATGCAAACACTGGCTAAATATAGAGAAACTGAAGCAGTAGAACTAAGTCAACTAACAGACGTGTATGTATATGTGTGCGCGCACATGTGTGTGTGTTTTACATCTTCAAGAGCCACACAATACTGCTGGAAAACAAAACTGAACACATAAAAAGAGAAATTATATGTGAAGTTATAAAACACTTCTGCAGAAGCAACACAAATATTTCAAAATATTGCAAATATGCTAGAATACGTCTTAAGAATTGTTATGATCAGAAAGAGTTAAAGCCACATTCATATTTAAAATGTTGAGATTACTTCCCTTGAATTTAATTTATTATGCTGTGCCCATGACTTCCACTTGATACTTGACATTTCCTTCTTTCTTTCCCAATCTGAGCTTTCAGCTGAACCGCAAAGAATGAACACGGTAGAAGTCCTTGTCAGGAACTAAGTTCAATGACACAGCAGAGAATTCAATTTCCTGTTGTGGCTTAGAGGCCAAGGGCATGATCAGTTTATTTCCAAAGGGTCAACTTTGTATGGGTGTCCTTTGAGTGACGTGGCCTGAATGCAGAAACTTCTTGTCTGATTTCTCAGTCTCACTATACACTTAAAAGAAAATGGAAGCGAAAGTATCTCTCATGCTTACTACCTAGGTTGACTCTTTTCAAAATACTCCGATCTTGTCACATTCAATGTATCTATATTGAGTTCTTTAAGAGGCAGCTGTAATATTTTAATCAAGATCAAATGCCAATTCTTCAGCACTGTTTCTATTTTATTATGCTAACTTCTAAAATCAAGCCCTACTTAGAAAAATTAGTTGTAAACCAAGATAAGTTAGCTGGGTGAGGAGTAGATACATTAGTGCTTCACCCAAGATACTAGTACGTATTCACAGAAGGAGTAGATAATGGTGTCTAAAGCATCAAAAGTTTGGAGATGGCCAAGTAAACTGGATTATTTTCTTTCTGTCTTTTTTACTTGGAAACTAATGTTAATAAGAAAACTTTCAGTACACATCTCATAATGAAAGCCAGATTGCACAGAACTGAACAGTGAGTGTGATCTGAGAAGTGCTGACAGTGCATAAATCTACTCTTAAAAATTTTAAATTGGAAGGTGATGATATATAGTAAGCAATTGTTAGGGTCAAAGGTAGTTATTTTATTTTACTTTTTAAGCTAGCATAGGCTTGAATCTATGTTTATAGTGTTCAATGAGCCCATGGAGAGAAAAACAATGAAGAAGAAAGAACATTATTTATGAAAATAGATTTCTGAGTATATGGATGTGGTTAAAGTTTCCATTGAGAGAGTGACTTTGAAAAGGTAGAGAAAAATAATGTTTATTAATGATTAAAGTGAGGTAAATTTGAGCTGTATTGTTAAAAGGTGGGAGAGTATAGGTGGGAATTGAACAATGAGAACACATGGACACAGGAAGGGGAATATCACATTCCGGGGACTGTTGTGGGGTGGGGGGAGGGGGAAGGGATAGCATTAGGAGATATACCTAATGCTAAATGACGAGTTAATGGGTGCAGCACACCAACATGGCACATGTATACACATGTAACAAACCTACACATTGTGCACAGGTACCCTAAAACTTAAAGTATAATAATAATAAAATAAAATAAAAAGGTGGGAGAGTAGAAAGAGTTTAGGTAATTAATAGCTAATGCTAATGCACTCTATTTAACAATGAAGATAGCAAGATAATAGGAAGTGTAGTAGTAAGGGTTTATGGATATTGATTCAGGACTAAAATGATGCTAAGAAGAAAAAGAAAGCTTGAAAATGCAGAAAATCTAAAGAGTTTTCTGCAGAATGTTGGTATCTTTCTCTACAAATAATTTTTCATGGCTCAGTATACCTGAGGAAAGAAAGTTTTTAGGACTGATCCCAGAGTGGCTATTTGAGGGCAGAAAATGCAACATAACAAGAGTGTAATGGCCCTTAGATAGCTGGAAAGAGGAAGATTACGTGGTTGATCATAAAATACAAATGAAATAAAAGAGAAAATTCGATCAGTAGCATCAGATAAAGTGATTCTTACTGGAGAATAAACGTACAAAACTCTTTGATGAGAAAGCAAAGTGACACATAAACGACAGATATGAATATGGAGCTCTGACTGAAGATACAGATATTAAGATTTATTATTTCTGAGGGTGATTACAAGGCTCACTTCTGGCCAAGGAATTGAGAAGTTGAATTTGAGAGCAGGTGAAGTCATTTAATTTGAAGAGACAAAAGTTTATTTTATGGTGCTTATTATTCTATTTGATACTGAGACCTTACATGATGCTAAGGAATGAAAGGTAGAGAAGAATATGAGCCTAGTGCCAAAGTCTTCAATAAATGTGGAAGGGGACCAAGAAATACATATATACTGGGACAAGGAGCAGAGATTTTCCAAACTACGCTTCCCAGTGGAGCCAATATATCATAATTATTTTGCTTTAAGCATGTATTTCATTATGCAACTAATAACTTTCTGAAAACAAGAGACTAATATGACTTCTGCTCCTGTCATTTAACTCAAAGTGTTTCAACCCATTCCCATTATTTATAACTACATGGGTCCTGATTAAAATACACCTATGGGGTAAGATGCAACTGGGATACAGTGAGAAGACTGGTACTCCTAACTGTCAAAGGTAATTATTTTAAACTGTTCTGAGAATTAGGAGAATAGAGTTAACACAGAGCTGTTGCTAGGATATAAACATTTCTCAGAAATTTTCCATATACAAACTTCATCAAGATCAATAGCTTTGGTTACTCTCCTCTCAAATAGTAATTAATTGAGAAGGGCTTAGGGCAAATTAATTACTTCTTTTTGTTTGAGCTTACTCATTAAAAATAACTTTCACATAGATCATAATAAACAGGGTTTGCCACAAAGTAAGTGCTTAATAAGTGTTGTTTAATAAGATTCTAGCAATGAATACAATGCTTTATAATATTATTATATTAAATGTAGAGTGAGGAGGGAGCTGGATGTAAGGACAGTTTTAACTTACAATACAGGAAAATAAACCCTTATTTCTTACTCTGTCTGAGAAGTAATGGGGAGGTTGGGTGGGGGTGGAAGAGAGAGAGAGAGAGCGAGAAGAAAGGAGACTAATTTTTATGGCCAAAACAAAGGTATTTCCATGGAACCTTTTGTTAAAGCCTCTGAAAAAGAAAAGAAAATGCCTAACATATTCTAGCCAGAAAAAAAAAAAAAAGGTTTTTGGAAAGATTAACTGAATATTTGTTAGTGTCTGTGGTTTGTTTAATTAAGTCTAAAAAGGTATGTCTGAAAAAAGTAATTTGAGTGTGAATTTTGATACATAGACCAGACTGGAACCATATGAAGAAAACCACAAGCTTTTTGAGAATTGTGTTGGCAAAAATGATGACAGTCTGGATCAAAAGGGAATAAGATGGTTTAATATGAAAAATACTTCTGTTCCTCCACTTTTTAAATTGAGAAAGCAAGCTGATAAAGCAACTGAGCTACAAAGAAAGGCATATTCTACAATTACTTTTGCAGAAGCGGGGAAGCAGGAAGGCAGGAAAGGACAAACCTTTTAAAGAAATCAGCCAAGAGCTTTGAAAAACAATGCACTGGGGAGCAAATTTTAGGGAACAAAGCTGAGGCATAAACAGAGGATAATCTGAGTCTATAGGGAAGAAGGACAATATTTTCCAAGTAGGATTTCCAATAATTATGAACCAGTAACTTCTTTCTTCTTTGGAACTCTCATTCTCCCCTTTTGCAAAGGGAGTATTTATTGCAGTTGTTCTGTCCCGGTTCCATCATTGGGTATATTTGGCAATTAACATGTATTTTCATAAATCTTCAGATCATGAAGAGCTGTATCCAACCTTAATGTAGAACATGGTATATTGAACTTCAAGGCTAATAACATGCATAGATAGGATTTGTGAGAACTTGATATGAAAGTAAATACATTTCCATATGAGAGAGATATGTGTAATTATAACCAAGAGAGTGAATGCGATAGAGGTAATTGTTAGCCTCTATTTAGAGAGAGATATGTGTAATTATAACCAAGAGAGTGAATGCGATAGAGGTAATTGTTAGCCTCTATTTATTAATTATCTCTGTATCCACAATCTTTCACATCCCATTATGTATTTTGTCTCACTAGAGGAATACAGAAATTCTTTTTGTTAATTTTTTTAAGCGAAAGCAAGTGTGTTAAGAAAGTAAAGGAATAAAGAATGGCTGCTCCCTAGGCAGAGATCTGAAAAATTCCTCTCCAGGCTTGAATTTGATCTCCACTGTTAACACTATTTTTGGCTAAAAAAATGTAGTAAAAATGACATGTGTCATTTTAAACCCTAGGTCTTAAGGAGAATTGCATGTTTCTTCTTGCCCACTTGTTCTTCTGCCCATGCCATCAGAAAACTTTTCACTGGATATCTGCTGTCCTGTCTGCTGGGCTTTGAAACAATACTAATGGGTGTGTGTGTGTATGGGTGTGTGTGTGTGTGTGTTTAACTTTAAATACATAAATGATAAAACCCCATGTGCGATGAGGAGCTAAGACCTGGACGTGGGGTGAAACAGCTCAGCTAGGCACAACAGGTATTACATGATCTGTAGTAGATCTGGATGCTCATCAGGATGAGATCATATCCTTATTTCCATAAGCCATTATGTTTTTGGAAGATGAATTGTCCTGGAGATATCTTATATATCATTTGCCTTCTTAAAGCCCTAAATATGTCTCTGTGTATGATAATTATGTCACTTATTTAAAATTACCTACACACAAACACACACACAGATTTGTATGTGTTTTTATCATGACATAGTTTCAGGACCTTGAATGTAGGGAAATAATAGAAACTAAAAGAATGAACTTCATAAAGTTTCCCTAAAGGAGTGTGAGAAAACATTTTAAATTTCCTGTTTTCAAGGCATGATAAATCTCTTGTTTTATTCGTTTAATTCCCTTCTTATATCCTTACCCCCAATTCAATTTCTCTTTCAATAGATGACATTAGATGACTAGGGGTCATCTAATGTTTATTACCGCTGTGGTTCTATATGCTTTTGGAAAATTTGAATAGCCATACCAGATACATATAATACATTTATATACATTATACCATTTTATTAGTATTTCACTAAATCCTATGTGCTTAAGACACATTCATATTGGTATTAACATTTAGAACTTTGATTTCTTCTGCTACATTTACCACAGGCTATACATGCATTCCTCCATTAATTGACAACTAAGTTGTCTCCAATTTCTTAGCATTAAAGATAATGCTACAATCTCTCCTCTTAAAAGGCATTTGAATTAAGGAGAGAAACTGGGCTTTCTGAATGCTGAAAAGAGTCAGGAATCTATAAATTCTGCTTCATGTCATGAGATATTTGAGGTCCGGTAACACATGTAGAAAGATAAATAAATTAGAGCCAGCAAGATATTGATAATATTCTACTCTACAATTTATTTTTCTCCCCATTATGACAGTTATTTTTTTAAAACAACAACAACAATCACAAAATGCATGATATGGTTGGACAATTTGAGGTGGAATTAGAAGGTCTTGAGATGACAGTACTATAAAAAAACAAATAGTGGAAATAGGATATGCAGTATAAGTTTTCATAAATATTAGTGGAGCAGAGGGGGGGGGTTTAAATGGCATGCAGATTACTATATTACCAACACAGGCTATTTCTAACAACACAAGTTGTCAGTTTGAGAGGTACTTTTCAAGAAAAGAGAACGGGACCTCCTCCTTTTAAAAAATGGAAATATTATACACCAATAACAGACAAACAGAGAGCCAAATCATGAGTGAACTCCCATTCACAATTGCTTCAAAGAGAATAAAATACCTAGGAATCCAACTTACAAGGGATGTTTAGGACCTCTTCAAGGAGAACTACAAACCACTGCTCAATGAAATAAAAGAGGATACAAACAAATGGAAGAACGTTCCATGCTCATGGGTAGGAAGAATCGATATCATGAAAATGGCCATACTGCCCAAGGTAATTTATAGATTCAATGCCATCCCCATCAAGCTACCAATGACTTTCTTCACAGAATTGGAAAAAACTACTTTAAAGTTCATATGGAACCAAAAAAGAGCCTGCATTGCCAAGTCAATCCTAAGCCAAAAGAACAAAGCTGGAGGCATCACACTACCTGACTTCAAACTACACTACAAAGCTACAGTAACCAAAACAGCATGGTACTGGTACCAAAACAGAGATATAGACCAATGGAACAGAACACAGTCCTCAGAAATAATGCCGCATATCTACAACCATCTGATGTTTGACAAACCTGTCAAAAATAAGAAATGGGGAAAGGATTCCCTATTTAATAAATGCTGCTGGGAAAACTGGATAACCATATGCAGAAAGCTGAAACTGGATCCCTTCCTTACACCTTATACAAAAATTAATTCAAGATGGATTAAAGACTTAAATGTTAGACCTGAAACCATAAAAACCCTAGAAGAAAACCTAGGCAATACCATTCAGGACATAGGCATGGGCAAGGACTTCATGTCTAAAACACCAAAAGCAATGGCAACAAAAGCCAAAATTGACAAATGGGATCTAATTAAACTCAAGAGCTTCTGCACAGCAAAAGAAACTACCATCAGAGTGAACAGGCAACCTACAGAATGGGAGAAAATGTTTGCAATCTACTCATCTGACAAAGGACTAATATAGAGAATCTACAATGAACTCAAACAAATTTACAAGAAACAAACAAACAACCCCATCAAAAAGTGGGCAAAGGATATGAACAGACACTTCTCAAAAGAAGACATTTATGCAGCCAAAAGACACATGAAAAAATGCTCCTCATCACTGGCCATCAGAGAAATGCAAATCAAAACCACAATGAGATACCATCTCACAGCAGTTACAATGGTGATCATTAAAAAGTCAGGAAACGACAGGTGCTGGAGAGGATGTGGAGAAATAGGAACACTTTTACACTGTTGGTGGGACTGTAAACTAGTTCAACCATTGTGGAAGTCAGTGTGGCGATTCCTCAGGGATCTAGAACTAGAAATACCATTTGACCCAGCAATCCCATTACTGGGTATATACCCAAAGGATTATAAATCATGCTGCTATAAAGAGAAATGCACACATATGTTTATTGCAGCACTATTCACAATAGCAAAGACTTGGAACCAAGCCAAATGTCCAACAATGATAGACTGGACTAAGAAAATATAGCACATATACACCATGGAATACTATGCAGCCATAAAAAATGATGAGTTCATGTCCTTTGTAGGGACATGGATGAAACTGGAAACCATCATTCTCAGCAAACTATCGCAAGGACAAAAAACCAAACACCACATGTTCTCACTCTTAGGTGGGAATTGAACAATGAGAACACATGGACACAGGAAGGGGAACATCACACTCCGGGGACTGTTGTGGGGTGGGGGGAGGGGTGAGGGATAGCATTAGGAGATATACCTAATGTTAAATGACGAGTTAATGGGTGCAGCACACCAACATGGCACATGTATACATATGTAACTAACCTGCATGTTGTGCACATGCACCCTAAAACTTAAAGTATGATAAAAAAAAATGAAAACATTAGATTTAAAAACAAGCTTCAAATAAAATACCTAAGACTATTTTAAATAAAGATATAAAACAAAAGAGCAGAAATCTGGAAGTAAAAACAATCTGAAAGTTCATACTAATTCAACATCAAGAGACTTGAGAATGTAAAAAGAAATAAATAAAAATAAACAAGCCAACAAATCATACTCGAGAAAAACAAAATAATATCATGCAATGGGAAATGAAAGGAACATATTCCATTTTTTCTTAATTTGTTTATTACAGAGCCTTCATAATGAGAGATTATCTTTATATTGACCATATTCAATGCTGATCCCTACTTGGCAGGTCATAGAAGTGCTGCATAAAATTTCTATAAGCTGTCTTTTTTTTTTTTTGGCTACTTCAGTTTTCTAAAGATATGCAGCAATAAATGTATTAAGGGAATCAAAGAGCATGATGGAAGAGAGGGAGGGAAAGAGGAAGACAGAACACAGACAATGAAATTACCTTTCAGGTAGCACACTGAATTAACAAGATAATTGAAGTATTAGAAAAGAAAAAGAACAATAAAGCAAAGAAAGAAAGAGATAGAGAAAAGGAGGGAGTGAGGGAGGAAGGGAGGGAGGGAGGAAGGGAGGAAGGGAGGAAGGAAGGAAGGAAAAAAGTAAGAGAGAAAAGAGAGAGAGAGAAAGGAAGGAAGGGAAAGAGAAGAAAAGAAAGAAAGAAGAAAAAAATAAAAATAAAAAGAAAAGAAACGAAAAGAAAGATAGAAGGAAAGAGAAGAAAGAAAGGAAGGAAGAAAGGAAAGAGAAAAGAGACAAAAAAGAGAGAAAGAAAGAGAAAGGAAAGAAGGAAGGAAAAGGGAAACAAATGAAGGAACATAAAAAAGAAAGGAATTGAGAGAGAAAGAAAGCAAGCAAGAAAGAAAGAGAGAGAAAGGAAGGAAGAAAAGAAGACAGAAAATAAAGAAAAAAGAGAGAAGGTAGTAAGAAAGAAAGGAAGAGAGAGAAAGAAGGGTGGAGAGAAAGGAAGGTAGAATGAAAGAAAGAGAAAAAAGAAAGAAGGAAGGAAAAGAAAGGAAGGAAGAAAGTAAAGAAAGGGAAGGAAGTAGAGAGAGAATGGGAAGGAAGGAAGGAAATAATATAGAGAGAGAGGAGGGAAAGAAGGAAGAAAAAGAAACAGAAGGAAGAAAGGGAAGGAAGGAATGAATAGAGAAAGGAAGGAAGAAAGAAAACAAGAAGGAAGGAAATGCATTTGTATATATAGGTAACTCAAACATGGCATGAATTGCAATTGTATCAATGAATTTGGTAGAAAGATTTTTCATGGATCTCTGCTTAGTATGTAACGCAGCTGCAGTGCTCAGTTGAGCTGGCATTGTGATGCTGCAGCTCTTGGAGTGGATGTGGTGAGATGTCAGCAGGGATCTTGGGATGTGGAGATGCAGGGGCTGTTAGGCCCCAGGGCACGGTGCAGTCTGGTGGAGTCTGGGCTCTAAAATGGCAGCATGCTTCAGGTGCTTGGCTCTTGGGAGTTGTGTGGGGCCCAGCAGGACCTCTCTCTCTTCGGAACAATGCCATCAGGTGGATTCCAGGCAACTCCCTATACCAGTCTCAGTGCTTGCAAGCGCTGAGGGCCTCTCCCATGGCTAGAAATACAGAGGATCATAGTGAGAATGTGGACCACTGGGAATCTCTCACTCACCTTTTCTCCTGCACAGAGAAGAGTCTCCTGGCTCCAAGTTGATCTTGGCCAAGTTGTCTGTTTCATTTTCCTCTTCTTTCATGCTCCACAGCTTCTCTGCCACTTAACTGCTAAATTTCGATGTTCTCTCTTAGATACTTTAGTCAACTTGTGATTCTGTACTCACTAACATGGTCCTTCCTTGCAGAGATGGCAAGTGTTGGATGCTTGTAGTCAGTCTTCTTGAAGCCCCCTCACATAAATAGTTTTTATGCCTGGAAATGACACAGCTTTCCTTTTGCTAAGCCTTTAGTTCAAGCGTTTGAGTAAATCAATTTAGAACTTGAAATTCAAATTCAAAATAAAGGAGAAAACTAAAGCAATTGTAATTATCCGTATTTTAGACACTTTAAAACTTTTTTCCTTAATGGTAGATAAAATAAATACTATTTATTCTGAATATATATAATATATATAGTAATATATATATATTAGTAGAAGAAGTAGAATTTCTACAAATGAACTTGTTGAGAATCAGGATGATCTCACATAGATTGTTTTAACATGAGACTGTCTCTTAAATCTTCTTTGAAGTATATACATTCTCAGGGCTTATAGACAGAATCAACTCTTTCTCCATTGTGTTCAAAATGAGGTCTAGACATTTTTCTTCTTTTAAATATTTCTCCATGATTTTAGTCTCTGAATTTCACATAAACTCTGAATATATTTATAGTTAATCTTACTGGAACTAGAAAAAATCTAAAATCAATTTATGGAGAGGAAATCTTTTAGAAACTGGCTTCTGAAAATATGATGTAAGGCCCACCAGCCTTGACATCATTTGGAAAATCATTAGAAATGTAGAATGTCAGAATTTATCCCAGGCCTATTGAGTTAGAATATACATCTTAACAAGTTTTATAGATAAGTGGGCACATTAATATTTGAGACACATTGCTTTACAGGATGAATCAAAGGTTGGCCTGATGCTAATCATTTTCAGTGTCCAATTTCTTCAGGATGTTCAGGTACTTATTTGCTGAAGAAACATCCATTTGATGAAAATAGATTGATCAAAATATCCAGTAAAAGCCCTCTATCATTCATTTAATGCTATTTACCATTTGGTCATCATGAGTTGATGTAGGAGATCGGTCAGGGTGGTAGGAAAATTTGGAGAAAGATGCAAAGCTTCTTGGAAGGCCGGAAGGTTTTACGAAAGCTTCAGAAAAGGGTTTGGCTGAAGGCAGCTGAATTCTCTCAGAGTAGATAACAAGGAAGTGTAAGGGAATTGATCTAGATAAGTTAGTTTACTTAAGCCTGGAAACCTGGCCTTTAATCATTCGCGTGCAGGACTACCCTCTCTCTGGGAGATGGTGGGGGGTGAGGGTGTGACTATGTGAATTGCCCACAAGTGTGTTGACTCAAGGCCTTTGTCATTAAATTTATACTGAATAGATGCCCACAATGCCAGCTTGTCAGTGCTGTGGCTGTTGACTCTGTACAGCACCTTCCTTGGTGTCTGTGGGTGGCCCGATCCCCTAGCCCACTCTTTCACTGGATATCGCTGTCCAAGTGCATTTGTTCATCCGTAGTTTAGCCAGGGTCTGCAGGTCAGACCCAATAGGTTCAGTATTATCATTTTACCTTTCTATACTCACAATTCAAAAAGAGTTTCAAGGCTGAACACGGTGGCTTATGCCTGTAATCCCAGCATTTTGGGAGGCCTAGGTGGGCGGATTACCTGAAGTCAGGAGTTTGAGACCAGCCTGGCCAACATGGTGAAACCCCGTCTCTACTAAAGATACACAAAAAATTAGACAGGTGTGGTGGTGTGTGCCTGTAGTCCCAGCTACTTGGGAGGCTGAGGCTGGAGAATCAATTGCTTGAACCCGGGAGGTGGAGGTGGCAGTGAGCTAAGATGGGGCCACTGCACTCCAGCCTGGGGAACAGAGTGAGACTCTGTCTCAAAAAATAAAAAAGTTTCATGGACCCAAAATAATTCTGTTGCATTTAAGCTATTAGGACAGAGAGAGATACAGAGCTGTGTGTAACTCTATTATTTAAAAATGGACCTAGTTCATTTTTACACAATACATGGGAAAGGACCACAAAGCTATTTGTCATTATTAGAGGTCAAATCCAAAAAATAATCTCACTACTGTCCATTGAATTGCTGAGACCCTAAAGCTTTGGAAATGCATTCTCACTTATTTTGAATAAAATATAAAGGACTCTTTATGTTCACAACTGAAGGTTAAAGTCATACTTTATATTTACTCTAAGAATAGAGTAATACTACACATATTTTTCCTAAGCATATTTATACAATTAATATATATTTATATAACCATTAATATCTAAATAAAGTGACAGCATTTAATTTTATAGTATGAAATATTACCTAAAATTCCAGAAGTCTTAACTTTTACATTCTCAACAACGTTAGTAAGTTTTATTTGATTTTATTTAAGACCACTGAAATAACATAGTTAAATCTACAAGGTTTAAGGGCATGAGATCAATTATAGCTAAATAGTACAGAAAGGGAGAATAATTATGCTTGCATCCCATTTGTTGACAGTTCTAAAATACGTTTTGCTACAGAGTAAAAGTGTTAGACTTATGATGACCAATTATTATATGATTTTAAATTCTGTTATAGAAAGCCTAGAGGGATTCCTTTTTTCTTATGTTTACTTGCCAGTTTTTAGCTTGTCCAAGGATGGGCAAAATTTATCATTTTTCTGTTTCAGTCGTTCAGTGCTTGTGAATTGTTATGTTATTGTTTCAGTTTGGATAGATGTGCAATTCTTACATTTTGCTTGAGACTCTGGTTGGACTCAATACCCAGATACAAAATAAAAGTCAACAAAACCTTTCAAGTTTTCTATTAGATTTGGATTGAAATAGGTAAAGTCAGAAATGTTGCAAACCAAATTGGAAAAGTGAAAAATAGCCCAAGGGCAATAAAGCTCTTAACTATAAAAGTAGTTAGCAGCATCATCACACAATTTAGGACAACACCAACCTATACACTGAGTATAGATAATATCAAGTTTCCTCATTGAAGAACTGAGTGTCTGCAATTTTATGCTCTTCTTTTTTAATTGTACCATTCAACAAATCTTTGCTTGTCACAGCTAAGAGTCAAAATTAACTCTATGTGGTACAGGATACACCTAGGTACTTGCACTAATAACTATGTATGTGTTAACTAACATATTCTTTTAATAAAGTTTTCCATTTTTAGTTCATTTTAAAAATGATATGTGACTTAGTCAAATATTCTCAAAATTCATGAGTGGGCAGAAAGTCATATTCAAAAACAGTTATTAAAAAGCTTATTATATGCCTTTGATTTTAAATTAACACCAGTATGATACTTTTCTAAAACTCATAATAAACATAAAAACTGAAATATGAAAATCCAGCTTCAAAACAACTCACTCCTATATTTGATTTGACCCTTATATGTTAAAACTAAATACTAACCCCAAATTATGTTATTTAATAATGCAAAATTATAAGTAATATATTACAAAGATAATTAAATGCTTCTCTATATCTGAGAATTTCAGTTATCAAATTAAAATAGAATTTTATGGCAGCATCTAAACATTGCATCTTAGATTATTTGTTTTCTAATTCTATAAGTTGATAGCTTGGTAGAAAGGAAAGAACATCACTGGGGTCAGATGGCATATTCTATCATTGCAGTATTTTAAATATAATTGTTCCTTTTTGCATAGTCCTTTATCAGATTTTTACATGTAATAAAATGGGTTTGTGCCTGTGTGTGTGTGTGTGTGTGTGTGTGTGTGTGTCTCTGTGTGTCTGTGTGTAGAACAGCTCCAGGTTCAGGTTCAGATACAGGCACACCTCTGAGATATTGATAGTTCAGTTCCAGACCCCTACAATAAAGCAAATATTGCCATAAAGAAAGTCATATAAATTGTGTGGTTTCCCAGTGCACTTACCTATAGGTACAGGCACACCTCTAGATATTGCAGGTTCAATTTCAGACCACAGCAACAAAGTAAATACTGCTGTAAAGCAAGTGACATAAATTGTGTGGTTTCCCAGTGCATTTAAAAGTTATGTTTATACTATACTGTAGTCTATGAAGTGCGCAGTAGCACTATGCCTAAAAAAGTACATATCTATCTTATTCCACTAGTGTTGTTACAAAGATATACCTGAGGTAGGGTAATTCATAACAAAAAATATTTATTTGGTTCACAGTTCTGCAGGCTGTAGAAGAAGCATGGCTTTTTCATCTGTATCTGGTGAGGGTCTCAAGCTGCTTTTACTCATGGTGGAAGGGGAGCTTGTCTGCAGAGATCACATGGCAAGAGAGGAAGCAAAAAAGAAAGAGGAGGAGGTAACAGTCTTTTGGAACAACCAGTTCTCATGGGAACAAGAAAACTCACTCTGCAAGAATGACACCAAGTCATTCATGAGGGATGTTCCTCCACAATCCAAACACCTCCTACACTGGAGATCAAGTTTCAACATAAGACTTGGCAGGGCCAAAAAAGCCAATAGAAATACCTTAATTAAAAAATACTTTATTGATAAAACATGCTAATGATTATCTGAGCCTTTAGTGAGTAATAATATTTTTGCTGATGAAAAGTCTTGCTTCAATGTTGATGGCTGTTGATCAGGTTGGTGATTGCTGAAGGTTGGGATGACTGTGATAATTTCAAATATAAGACAAAGATGAAATTTGTGGCATTTATTTTCTTTTCCTTCAATGAAAGATTTATCTGTAACATGTGATGCTGTTTGATAGCATTTTATTTATAGTAGAAATTCTTTCAAAATTTGAGCCAATTCTCTCAAACCCTGCTAATGCTTTTTCAACTAAGTTTATGTAATATTCCAAGTCTTTTCTTGCCATTTCAACAACGTTTGCCGTGTCTTCATCGGGAGTTGATTCCATCTCAAGAAACCAGTTTCTTTCCTCATCCATAAGAAACAATTCCTCATCCATTCAAGTTTTGTCATGAGATTGCACTAATTCATTCACATCTTCAGGCTCCACTTCTAATTCTACTTCTCTCGCTATTTCCACCAAAGCTTCAGTTACTTCCGTGACTGAAGTTTTGAAACCCTCAAAGTCATCCATGAGGGTTGAAATCAACTACTTCCAAGCTCTTGTTTTGACCTCCTTCCATGAATCAAGAAGTGTGAAAAATGATGGTGGTATTTTGATGGGAATTTCATTAAATTTGTAGATTGTTTGTGGCACTATGACCATTTTCACAATATTGATTTGATCCATCCATGAGCATAGGATGTGTTTCCATTTGTTTGTATCATTTATTATTTCTTTTAGTGGTGTTTTTTAATTTTCCTTGTACAGGCCCTTCATGTCCTTAGTTAGATGTATTCCTAAGTATTTTATTTTACTTTTTGCAGCTATTGTGAAAGGGGTTGAGTTCTTGATTTGATTCTCAGCTTGGTTGCTATTGGTGTATAGCAGAGCAATGGATTTGTGTACATTAATTTTGTATCCTGAAACTCTCCTGAATTCCTTTACCAGTTGAGGAACTTTTTAGAGGAGTCTTTAGAGTTTTCTGATATATGATCATATCACCAGCAAATAGCAACAGTTTGACTTCCTCTTTACCGATTTGAATGCCATTTATTTCTTTCTCTTTTCTGATAGCTCTGTCTAGGACTTCTAGTATTATGTCGAACAGAAGTGGTAAGAGTGGGCCTCCTTGTCTTGTTCCATTTCTCAGTGGGAATGCTTTCAACTTTTCCCTGTTCAGGAAATGCTGTGGGAAAAAAGTCAAATTAACACCTATAAACATGATGGAAAAGTGAATTTTAGCATAGGTCTGACTAAGTATATAACCTGAGAATAGGGGAAATCAGTGGACAAAGCCTCCTATAATAGCAAATACGGCTCCTACTGATAAGATGTAATGGAAATGAGCTACAACATAATATGTGTCATGCAAGACAATGTCTAGTGATGAGTTAGCTAGTACAATGCCGGTCAGACCTCCTAATGTAAAAGGGGATATAAATCCCAGGGCTCAAAGAATTGTGGGGGATCATTTGATGTTGCTGCCATGTAGTGAAGCTAACCAACTAAAGACTTTGATGCCAGCGGGGAGGGCAATAATTATAGTGGCAGAGGTGAAGTATGCTCCTATATCTACATCTATTCCTACTGTAAGTATGTGGTGAGCCCATATGATAATCCTAAGAAACCAACTGATACTATGGCTCATACTATGCCCATGCACACAAATGGTTCCTTTTTTCCAGAATAGTGTGTTACGATGTGGGAGATTATCCAGAAGCCTTGTAAGATAAGGACATAGACTTCAGAGTGGCCAAAAAATCAGATAAGTGTTAATGCAGGACAGGGTCACCTCTGACAGCTGGGTCAGACAATGTAGTGTTGAGATTACAGTCAGTTAATAGCATAGTAATGCCGGCGGCTAGGTCTGGAAGAGAAAGAAGTAGAAGAACTGCTGTAACTGGGGCTGATCAGACGAAGAGGGGTGTGTGATGTAGGGATATGGCCAGGGGATTCATGTTAATGATTGTGGTAGTAAAATTAATAGCTTCTAGAATAGAAAAGATGCCTGCTAAATTAAGTGAGAAGATGGTCAGGTCCACAGAGGATCCTGCATGTTAAGATTCCTGTTAAGGGAGGATAAACTGTCCAGCGGGTCCCACTGCCAGCCTCTACCATTGAGAATGCAAATAACAGTAGGAAAGGGGGGGAGGGAGAAGTCAGAAACTCACGTTATTTATTCGGGGAAATGCCATATCAGGAGAGCCAATTATGAGAGGAACTAATCAGTTGCCAAAACCTCCGATTATGATTGGTATAACTATAAAGAAAATTATGATAAATGCGTGGGAGGTAACAATAACTTTGTAAATTTGATCATCTTCTAGCAGAGTACCTGGTTGGCCCAGTTCTGCTTGAATAAGGAGGCTTAAGGCTGTGCCTGCTATCCCTGCTCATGCACAGAATAGTAACTATAATGTTCCCATGTCTTTGTGGTTGCTTGAAAACAATCAACGGTTGATGAACATAAGTGGAGTGAAAAAGGTAAAATGGCTGAGTAAACATTAGACTGCAAATCTGAAGATGGAGGTTAAGGCCTCTTTTTACCAGTCCCGAGGTGATTTTCATGTTGAATTCAACATGAAAATTCAGACTAAGTTCAAAGGAGCAGCTTCACTCCTGCCAGGGCTTCTCCCGCCTTTTTTCCCAGCGGCGGGAGAAGTAGATTGAAGCCACTTGATTAGGGTGTTTAGCTGTTAACTAAATTTTCGTGGGTTTAATTCCACCAATCTAGAGAGGGCTTAGCTTAATTAAAGTAGTTGATTTGCGTTCAATTGATGCAGAGTGGAGTCTTGCAGTCCTTAGGTTTGTTGCAGAAATTAAGTATAATTTACTTGCTAAAGGCTTTGAAGGCCATTGGTCTTATTTAACCTAAATTTCTAGATCATAGATAGTGTTAATGGAGAAATAGGTAAGAGGAGGGTAGAGATTATAAGTGGGGGGAGGGGTAATATGGACTTTGTGTTTTTGAACCGTCATTTTATTTTTATGTTATTAGATGTGGGGAATATTGTCACTGAGGTAGAGTAAATTAAGCGTGTGTAAAAGTATAGGTTGAGTAGGGTTATAATATCTATAATGGTTGGGGTAATAAGACTGTTGTTTTTTGTAAGTTCTTGGATGGTAACTCATTTAGGGAGAAATCCCATTAATGGGGGTAAACCTCCTAGGGATAATAAAATTAATGGAATTATAGGTGTTAGTCATGTTAGTTTATTTCAGGTGTGGAATATTGATAGGGTTGTAGTGCTTGTGCTCAGATTGAGTGTAAGAAATGCGGTAATTGTTAGAATAAAGTAAAAAATACTGCAATATAATTATTCAAACTCACAAGTGAATTATTTCTGTTGTTTATTGAGATGGAATAATAAGTAACTAAACCTTCCCACCCACTAAAATATCTAAAAATGGATAAACTGTGAAATATCAGTTTTCTGACACCAGACATTGAGCAGTCCTGGGTAATAATCCATGAGATAGGGTAAGCAAATTATTTAAGGCAAATGTTTGTTCCAGCTCATTGCCTGGAAAGAGTTCCAGGCCACAGGAAAGGAGGGTAATCAGGGGGGAGCCTGACTATCTCTGTGGGTTAAAGAGACCAATCTGAGTGTTTATGAGACTAAGGCAGATTGATTTTGCAGGGCGTAATACCAGGGAAGAGAGAGTTGTACTGAGAGAGCTAAGAAGATATGCAGAGGGTACCCCTCAATTCTTCACTTAAATATTGATCTGCTAACGCATGTGATGAAACTACTTGAAGCAGAGACAATATTTCCCCCCAAAAATAGAGGGAACAACACCTAGTGCCATCCTTGGTTCTGGAATGGTTTCTATTTCACTATCCAGAGTAAATCACCTCATAATCCCAGGGACAAATGAATAGTTCTCAGAAGGATATTCCCTCAGTAGTATGTCAACATTAGCTGTAAGTTAGAAACTGTACTGGTTCTACATAAAATCCTTAAAAGCATGGCTCAAAAGGATCAAACTGCTGTCAAGTAACTGCACCTCAGAACAAAGTTCGAGAACATGTATAGGTATATAAAAATCATCCAGCACCCGGCAAGTTAAAAATGCCAATGCCAAGATTACAATTTTTAAAAATCCCAAGCATTCAAATAAGAAGGAAAACATAGTCCAAAATGAGAAAATTTAAACGATAGAATCAGGCCTGAAATAATAGTGATGACATTACAGCAGAAAACAGGTTTTTAAATTTTTTTTTAATACCTGACCAACTAAACAAACAATTAGCGATTGTCAAGGATTTGGAATATATTTATCTGTATTAGTTTCCTATTGCTGCTGTAACAAATAACTAAGCTGAGTGGCTTAAAGCAACCTAGGTTTATTTTACTATAGTACGGTTCTGGAGGTCAGAAGTCTGCAATGTGCCTTACAGGGCTAAAGTCAAAGTGTTTATAGGGCTATTTTCCTTCTGGAGGCTCTAGGGGAGAATTCTTTCCTCTGACATTTTCAGCTTCTAGAGACTGTTCGTGACCCATCCCTCCATCTTCATATCCAACTTTGTAGCACATTTCTTCTTTCTCTGACCTCTTGCCTCCTTCTTATCATGATCCAATTATGTGATTATCCTTATAAGAAGGAGGCAGGACATCAGAGAGAGAAAAAAAATGTGCTTATGTTGTGATTATGTTGTCCTCTCCCAGAAAATCCAGAATAATTCTTCTGTCTCCAGATCTTTAATTCAATCACATCTGAAAAGGCCCTTATGCACTATAAGGTAACATATTTGCAGGTTCCTAAGATTAGAATGGGACCACCTTTCAGAAGAGGCATTATTCCATCACTGTTTCCTTCCTGTGAGGCAAAATGGTCATTCAAATGTATTTTCCAAAGTTCTTCCCACTTGGAGGATTTCACTTTTCTGTCCATCAGTGCCACTCTAGACAGTAGTTGAACTATGCCAGCAGTCCAGTTCCAACAGTGACAGCATACTGTGTAAAACAAGCTCATTTTTTCCCTCTTTTAATCTGGGGTTAGGAAACTCCTTATTAGGCCACATGCATGTGTGGACAGTGGAATGGTGATGCAGCAAGTGGATGTGTCCTGAGAATCTGAGCCCCCCGCTCACACAACTTACTCATTTGTGGCAATCTATTCAAGCCTAATTTCATATACACTTACACATGTACATATATCTTTCATTTCATAATGGGTTCCTGCTGCATGTGATTAGCACTATGATTTGATGGATCCTCATTGCAACAGAGATTATAGAGTAATTGGTGCCCCATTATTAAACAATTAGTCTTTATCAGGGTTCTGTACCAAGCAATGAGCTGGTTCCCAAAAGAATACCATGCAGCCATAAAAAAAGAATGAAAGCATTTCCTTTTAAGCAACATGGACACAACTGGAGGGCATTATCCTAAGAAAATTAACACAGGAGTAGAAAATCAAATGTCTCATGTTCTCACTTATAGGCAGGAGCTAAATATTGGGTACATGTGGTCATAAAGATGGCAACAATAGACACTGGGGACTACTACTAGATAGGGGAAAGTGGGAAGGAGTATGCGTTGAAAAACTACCTACTGGGTACCTTGCTTCCTACCTGGGTGATGGGATCATTTATACACCAAACCTCAGCAACATGAGATACACCCATGTAACAAACCTGTACATGGGCCCCCTGAACCTAAAATAAAAGTAAAAGAAACAAAAAGAAAATATTAACCATAGAGAAGAACCTAAATACTTGCCTCAAAACCCAAGAGTTTTATGCTGTGATTCTTTTCTAAGTCTCTACACAGCATCCTTACCTTGGACACATTCAGACAAACTAAGTCTGATGTGTCATAAGGCCTATGTGGCAGGGGGACTGGCACAGCCCTATGAACATGCTGCAGAGGTCTCTTTTGCTCTAAGCCCTACTCATTTTTAGCAGCTTTACATGTTACACAGGAAATGGGTCAGAGCAGCACATTCAGTTGACATATGTTGACTCCTAAATTCAAAGAGCTCCAGGACTGATACAGAGAGTTACTTTCATGGTTAATGCTAAGATCAACTGTATTTTCTAAAAAATCTAAATCTATGGAAATAAATTCATTTTCTCTCTTTTTTTCCTTCTCTCAAATTTTCCTTTAAAAATTACATCTAAGAAAATCTTCATTATTTTTTATTGATATATAGATGGTATATATTCTAAAGTAATAAAAACAAGTGATTAGCACTTTCTGAGAATGTTCTCAATTTGTGATGCTTAGTATTCTTAAACTCAGTTCCATGGTGACATGATTTAAAAGGGCAACAACGGGTGGTGATGCAATTATTGGCTGAGCTGAAAAGTCCCAGTGGGTGTTAGAATCCACTATAAAACAAGTGTTTAAGGACTCATTGTCAGGCACTATAACATTCAGATGTCTGAGAAAGCTTAGTACAGTTGATTGTAATAGGGCAATTAAATAGAAAAGCACCTACTTCTGTATTTATTAGCTTTGGTATTCCATGGGTATAAGCAACCCTTAGATCCTCAGATAATCTTTTTGATAATATATTATTTGGATGCAAGGGATATTGAACAAAGCATAATTGAAAAAAAGAGTAGGACAAAACAAGTTTTACTGCAGTTCTGAAAAAGAGAGAAAATAACATAGCTTTCCCTACCTATAAAATGTTAACAGGTATGATTAGTATTAGGGTTTAGTAGATGGCAGGCTATGGCCAGGCCTATCGTACGCCTGAGGATGCAGAGGAGTAGCAGATTAAGAAAGAAAGTGTTAATAGCTAATGAGCAACCAGTTTTTTTCTATCCCAAGGATGTGGGGGAGAGAGGGAGAAGAAAAACAGGGAAGATCTATCCCCATTTGTGAACATACTAATCTAGATAACAATTACTACAGAAATACAGAGTTCTTACCAACTGAATGCTGATAGCAAGATGCACCATAAGATGTCTGTATACAACTGCTTATGATAAACAGATGTGGGATTTATGGAATTTGGGGACATAGCCTGCTGCAAAATTTCATTGTCAATTATATAATTTATAAGAGATAATAATGGAGATGTTTTAAATGGACTGAAATAGTGCATTTGGTGTAAGTGATAGCATGACCTGAAGCCTTTAGAGATGTCTTTCTGAAAGGTAACTTTTCTATCCTAACAGAATAAAGACAATAAAACCATGTTCTAGCCCCTTTTACCTAGGGTTCCTTGCTCCATGCCAGCTGCATTACATGTATAGGAAATTATGGAGACTTGGGGGCTTTAGGTTTACCTATTTACTTGCATCCTCTTCTTGTGAACCCATAACATTTTCTTTTACTCTACTGATATAAGAGTAAACTGAAATGAAAAAAAAAAGGTTAAGTAATAGCTAAGAGATTATTTTTAACAATCTTTGAATCTAGTTCAGATTTAACCTGGTATAGACCTAGAGAAGGACTGGCTTGCTTATTTAATTTCAGGATGACTTTGTTTAAGTGGGAAGGATAGAGAAAAGTGAACAGAAACTTCTTCCACATATACATATAAACGGCCTAAGAATACACAAGTCCTCATTAGAGGCCTGCCACGTTAGAAATATTGAGCTGCCGGATCATTTACCTGAATTTGTGAGTATTTTCCATATATGCTTTTTAAACTTTAATGTGCATGTGAATCATACTGGGTATCTAACTAAAACTGAAATAATGGTTCAGTTGGTCTGGGGCAGATCCAGACACTAAAAAACAATGCTAATGCTTCATGAACCACACTTTGAGTACCAGGGCTCTAGGGGGTTGTGAGAGTGGACTTTTGCAATGGGAGATATGGTAGTGCTATATGGAATGCAATGGCAAAGAAAATGTAAGTAAATATTGAGAAGGAGTTTTTCTTAGAGGAGGAAGATACGGTATGTAGGATACCAAGACCCAAGCAGACAAGATTGAGCTGTGGAACAGGAGGTCAGTGGTAGCCTCTTCCCTGGATATTAGACCAGTCCTTCTGGTGAATCTCTGCTAAAGTACATGCTGCAACATATGCCACATGCTGTAAGCTCTGAAAATAATCTTCAAGAACATATTCCATTTTTTTGCCTCTTTTTCTGCCCTATGTACAGCTTCTCAGATATTGTGCTTCAGTGACAGCTCATATGCTTACATACATAACAAGGGTGTCTGGTGCCAAGAGGTCTTTGCTAAATTAGTATTAATGTTGCTGAAGAAAATCTGAGAGTATATAAATAATATCATAAGGACATGTTAGAGTGAGTCCTTGCATCGTGATGATGCTTCCAGAACCTTCTGCTGCTACTTTATTCTATTCAAGATACAATTGGTGATTTGGTTAATTATTAACAGGACACCAGATTTGAAGGTGTTGAAATGAGTCCATTACCTGAAGGTGTTAGCCTAGGAAAAAAAATGTGCATTGCTACTAGAGTGCAAAATAATACAATCATTTCGGAGAATGGAATGCCAAATTTTCGTAAACATACACATATCCCATGTCCTGGCCATTCCACAGGTAATTCCAAAGAGAACAACGTAAGTGTCTATCAACTGGAGAAATGGATTTAAAAATTGTAGTATAAAAATTTAATGGTATACTTCCAAGAAATAAAAAGAAATAATCTCTTAATGTGTGCAACAATGTAGATGAACCAGAAATACAATAGATTGAGCTAAGAAATGAGGAAACAAAAGAGTTCATACTGTGTTATTCCATTTAAATGAAGTTTAAAGACATTCAAAACTAACCTGCAGTAGAAATCAGAAAACTATAGCACAAGGCCAAATCAATTCTGCTCCCTAATTTTGAATATGTATAGCACTGAATAGAGCATTTAAAAAATATTGTTAAAGGATTATTAAAAAACGAAGAATATATGAGACAGAAATATGGAGCCCACAAAACTTGCAATATTTATTGCCTGATATATTTTAAAAAGTGCACTGATGATGCTGGCTGCATAGTGATAAAATTTAGAAACTAATCACCTCTTGCTGACTGGAAATTGACTAGAAAAGGAGCACAAGGAAATTTTCTAGAATGACAGAAATGTTTTATACATCATTGTAGTTGTGATTATGAGGGTCTTCAATTGTCAAAACTCATTAAACAGAACATTTGAATTGTGTAATTTTATTATAATTTGTACTTCAAATATATAATGGCATAACTTTAAAAACATCAAAATGTAATACTATTAAGAATAATGAGATGGTCCTAAATTAGCATCTGCCAGCTAACCCCTTGACAATCCTGGGAACTCAAAATAAAAAAGCAAAGAGCCTCTAACAGATCCAGTTCTGTCTCTTAGAGGTGGGCTCTTGAAAAGCTAGCCGTTGATTGGTCACTCCATGAGGGAACAATTTCTGTACTGGTGCTGAGTAGACTCGTGTTATAGATCAAGATAAATATCAGAATCCCTGCTGTAATGCTTGTCGCTGACAACTGGGACATGTGTCAACACCAGCAAGGATTGTATCACAGCTGAGGCATGCATATCATAGCTCCATGCACAGCACTACAGGGACAATTCAAATGTATCCAGTACCTAGTCAGTGACCATGCTTATGTCTCAACAAATGACACCTCCACCACATCAAGTGTTCTTGAAACTCCACCCAGAAAATACTAGACTTCTCCCTAGGAGTCAGCTGAATAGCTTTTCTGCTTTTCTAGGCTTTGCAAATCTCCAGACTAAATACTAAAGGAGAGCCAGTAGTATTATTACTAACCTGTAGATAGTCTAGATTATTATTGTTAGAGGTCAATTTGAGTAGAATCCTGGTGGCTTACTTTAAAAGTATGTTAAATACTGGCTCACAAAAGTTGTTGGATAAAATTAGTAAAGGTAGCCAGAAACAAAAGTACTGACATAGACTGAATATGAACATTATTCATGATCTTTTTTTTACATCCTGATCACTGTCAATATGAGCTTGGCATGGTCCTGGGATGAAGATGAATGGAGGCCAGGTGTGGTGCTCATGCCTGTGATCCCAGCACTTTAGGGGGCTGAGGTAGGTGGATTGCTTGAATTCAGGAGTTCGAGACCAGCCTGGGCAATATTGCAAAACCCCTTATCTCTACAAAATACAAAAAAGTTAACCAGGCATGGTGGTGCGTGCCTATAGTCCCAGCTGCTTGGGAGGCTGAGATGGGAGGACAGCTTGAGCATGTGGATATTGAGGCTGCAGTGAGCCATGATCAATGCCACTGCACTCCAGCCTGGGTGACAGAGCAAGATCCTGTCTCAAAACAAACAAACAAACAAACAAACAAACAAACAAATAGAAAAGATACAGTGGAAAGCCAAAGAGGTGCTAATACAGAGAAATGAGGAATAATTAGCAGAGGAAACATGCGGTGTCAGCCTGACACCCAATCAGCCAGGCAGATAGATGATTGTAGATAATCTGGGAAAATGTATGGGTGGTAGAGAAGGTAAGAGAAAGTGATTTAGGTTATCATGATCAAATGGCTACAAGTAGATACAATCCCTTTATAACCTGTAACAGTTGTTGCTGCAGAGAAGATCCTGGGCCCTGTTTGTATATAGATACTATAGCAATAAGCCAAGTCACTAAACTTATGAATTATGGAAGTCAGATATGATAGATTTTAATGTCACTTCATCATCAAACCACAGCTTTTGTGTTACCTTTCTTGACAGCAGTTTTGAAGCCAGAGGTGTGATCCTCAATAAGGCGAGATAATAGCAGGAATAACTTATTTTGTTAAGTCCATTAAGAGTATCCAAGTAGTATGTTTAATTCATAAATATTAGAAAGTAACAAATGCTGGGAATGTGCTGAAAAGGGAGGATGCCTGTACACTGCTGGTAGGAATATGACTTGCATAACCACTATAAAAAAACAGTATGGAGATTCTTCAAAAAACTAAAAACAGAACTACTATTTGACCTAGTGACCCCGTTCATGGGTATATATCATAAAGAGAGGAAATCAGTATATCAAAGAGATATCTACACTCCAGATAATTTGTACTCCATGTTTATTGCAGCACTATTTATAATTGCCAAGATAAGGAATCAACCTAAGTGCCCATCAATGGATGAAAGAAAATATGACATACACATTGAAATATTAATCAGCCACAAGAAAATGAAATCTAATCTTTGGCAACAATAGGGATGGACCTGGGGGACATTATGTTAAGTGAAATAAACCGAACACAGAAGCACAAATGTCTTATATTCTCACTCATATGTGAAAACTAAAAGAATTGATCTAATGGAGTGGAGGTGGAGAGTAAAATAATGTTTACTAGAGGCTCAGAAGGGTAGTGGGTGAGGAGAAAGGGATAAAGAGATTGGTTTTAATGGGTACAAATATGCAATTAGAAGAATTAAGATCTAGTGTTCAGTAGCACAATAGGGCAACTACAGCTAACAATAATTTACTATGTATTTCAAAATAGCCAGAAAAGTACATTTGGAATGTTCCCAACACAAATAAAGAGTAAATGTTTGAAGTGATACATATCCCAATTCCCCAGATTTGATTATTACACATTGTATGCCTGTATCAAAATATTACATGTACCCCATAAATATGTACAACAATTGTGTATCCATATATATAAAAAATTGGCATTGGTAGAAAAAGTAAAATTATTCATCTAGAACCAGGGAAGTTATAAAAATGGCCACACCGAACTAGTGAACATTGTTATATAAAAATTTGGACATAAAAGCCAGAGACTTATCTTTGACATGAAGAAGCTATTGAATATGTGGAAAGGTAATATAAAACTCTGCATAAATAATATTTAAATTTTTAAGAAAATTGCCAGGTGTAAACCCTGTCTCAGGGACTTGTAATATTTAATATGACTTAATGCAGTAATGTACTCTAAGAATAATATTGTATAATTGAAGTTATGGAAATAATTTTGAAAAATTAAGACACACTATGAGAACAAGCAAATATGGCATATACTCTTCTTCTGAATGCTATAAAAAGTTGCCCATAAAATAAATCAAAAGGCATGAACATAGTTTTTCACATTTATCAAGAACAAAGATATAAAGGGAAATGAATTTTATATTTCTTTAGAAAGTCCAGTCTCAAGGGGACAGATGTGGCAATTTCCAAAGTGACACAAGAAGCATATCTGATTACAACTTGCTAGGTACAAGGTGAATAACAGTTGACAAGTGAGATTACAAATGTCAATCTATCAAATATTTGCTTGTTTCTTAATTTTAGGAAATGTTTAGATAGTGTTACGACGTGAGGAATGTACATCTGGTGATAGTATATCTCTACCCTTAATTATGCCATAAGAAATGAACTAGATTTGGGTACTTATTACTAACTTCACGAGTAAGTACCATATGTACTTGCTTTTTAAATGTACTTACTTTTAATATGAAAGAAACAGGTACTACAGTGATGTGCTAGCTTTAGTGTAGGAGTTGGTAGGGGGCAGGAGATTAATGGTGTGGAATAAAAATGTGAATATGAGAAAACAATGATCAACAGCACAAGATTGCCAGTTGCCTTAAATACTAAATTGGTCATGAAAAATTGTCCTTTATAAAAACTCTTTGAAATATCAAGGAGTGTGAAAATCTCAAGCATGAATTTTAAAAATAATGATAAAATACTTGTGCATAAAACATTATTTCTGAGGTAGGCTAAAATGTAGTTCCTTACATGGTAAATATTTTATAAGAGGGGCACTCAAGTGTTTATGTAATCAGAAATATAATAAATATGAATTATGTTGTTTTTAAAATGTATTTTTTGTGGTTTATTTTTCTTTATTTCATTTTAGATCCAGGGAGTACATGTGCAGGATTGTTGCATGGGTATATTGCATGATGCTAAGGTTTGGCCTTCTAATGATCCTGTCACCCAAGTAGTGAACATGATACCCAATAGGTAGTTTTCTAACCCTTGCCTCCCTGTGTCCCTCCCTCATTTTGTGATCCCCAGTGTTTATTATTCCCATATTTATGTCCATGTGTATTCAATGTTTAGCTCCCATCTATAAGTGAGAACATGTGGCATTTGGTTTTCTGTTTCTGCATTAATTCACTTAGGATAATGGTCTCCAGCTGCATCCATGTTGCTGAAAAGGAAATGATTTTGTTATTTTGTATGGCTGTGTAGTATTCCATGGTGTATATATACATTTTCTTTCTCCAATCCACGGTTGATGGACATCTGGGTTGATTCCATGTCTTTTGCTATTGTGAATAGTGCTGTGCTAAACATATGAATGCAAGTGTCTCTTTGGGAGAATGATTTATTTTCTTTTGGGTAATAAATTCCCAGTAATGAGATTGCAGGCTGAAATGGTAATTCGATTTTTACTTCTTTGAGAAATCTTCAAACGGCTTTCCACGGTGGCCAAACACATTTACATTCCCTGCAACAATGCATAGGTGTTCCCTTTTCTCTGCAACTTTGTCAACATCTGTTCTTCTTTAAGTTTTATAGCCAATCTGACTTGTATGAGATGGTATTTCATTGTGGTTTTGATTTGCATCTCTCTAAAGATTAGTGATGTTTGTTAGCTGCTTATAGATCTTTTGAGAAGTGTCTGTTGATATGCTTTGCACACTTTTAAATGTTTTTTTTAAATTTTTTTTAATGGTTGATTCGCTTAAGTTCCTTAAAGATTCTGGATATTAGCCCTTCGTCAGATGCTTGGTTTGCAAATATTTTCTCCCATTCTTTAGGTTATCTGTTTACTCTTTTGAGAGTTTCTTTTGCTGTACATAAGTGCTCCAGTTTAATTAGGTCCTATTTGTCAATTTTGTTTCTGTTGCATTTGCTTTTGAGGACTTAGTCATAAATTCTTTGACTAGGCAAATGTCTAGAAGAGCATTTGCTAGGTTTTCTTCCAGGACTTTTACATTATGAGGTCTTACATTTAATCTTTTAAGACATTTTGAGTTAATTTTTGTATATAGTGAGTTTTGCAAAGATAGGAACAAGGACTGAGTAGAAAGTATCTCCTTATGCTGGAACATCCTGTTTATAGGAGAAAAACTAACCTGGATATATTCTAGGATCTATGTGTTTCCTTAAAGTCTTAGTTTGATTAGTCACATTTAGCACGAGTGACTTCATTTTGGTTTAATTTTGTCTGTTGGTGCGTAGGGAATGAGCTCAGTCCAAAACAAGGGCCTCCTATAATTTTGTTTTTAAAAAAAATTCCCCCTTTTTGGTCAGGTTCTCACTTAGGTGAGAGTGTGAACAAAACTTAGGGCCTTAACGCAATTCCCAGTTACAATCACTTTGGGTTTCTGACCTCAACATGTCATTCACAGGTTACAGTGTCTTCATGGTCATACATTTATTTCAGCTCTTGCTATTCCAGTGGAAGAGAGAACATTTGAAATTCTAGAGATAGCTGTATGCAAACATTTAAAACCTTTGAGAGAATATAGTGCACCAGGAAGACTATTTTTATGACTATCAGGTAGATAATACCAAGAGTTTGGAGTATGCTCCTTACCCGGGGTCCCCATAAACCGAGCAACCTAAAATCAAATATATCAAAGAATGGGCTAAAGAGTCTAGTCACTTCAATAAGCAGTCTCTTTGTTAATCCCCTGCAACTGAATCTCTATAATACCTAATGTTTTCTCCATAGGCCATAAGTGCCAGCAGCTCCACAGATACTTTTCTGTTCAGCCAGTTCTATTATTTAACATAACTTTCACAAGAGAATTTAAAGTCTGTTGTGTAACCATAGCCTTTACAGTAGAATCTTCTATAGAGCATATCATGAGGGATACATTTCTAACCATTGCCCCTTTTATTCCAAACCATGGAAAAAGGACCTAACAAATGAGGCCCTTCTAGAAGACTGAAGGCCTCCTGGCAATGTTTTCTTTAACCTATGATGTGGGTTAAAAGGAGTGAATCAATGTTCTGTTTTTGACTGATTATGAGGCAACATATGTACCATTAAAGTTTCTCACTTACACTGGACCTTTATTTTTTATCTATTAAAGTATAAGTTTATCCATGTATAAGGCTGGGTGCAAAATCATTCACACATAAAATTATACCCCATAAGTGCACAAAACAAACCCCCTTTTCATTTCATTCTATTGTTCATAGAGTCATAAACAAGGAAAATATTCTAAGATAAGAGTCTCATAACAGTAGAGAATTCATGTTCTTGGGAAAAGCTGTTCACATCAAGGATGCCATCTTCTTCTGGGGAGAAACTTTCCTGGTTAGCTTTACCTTAAGGTTTCCAATGGGTGTACTGTTCCAAAATTGTAGAGGGATCCTTCTTGGTTGTGAGATTGTGAACCCAAAGTTCAAGGTCCCAAAGTTTTGCTGTAGTATGGATGGCAAGGACAGTCTTTCTCTGATGTTCTCAGAAGATCCAATCTTCAGGTTCTAAATTATGAAAGGGTTGATTTTCCCAGTCAGAGAACCATAAAGAGCTTTCTTGATGTGGTGAAAATACACTGTAGCATAATAATCTACTGTTATAACATTAGCCCTCTTGCATGGGAAAGCTTTTATACAACCAGAAAACAAGCAATGAAAATGATAATTGAATGAAATTCCTTTATAAATGTTTAAATGGCCCCATCAAGTAGCCAAATGTACCTGAAGCTTTGATTGTTTTCCTAGGAATATGGGTTTGACAAACCAAACATGGATTATAAACTATTTTAGTAATCAATAAGATACCACACTGATATATTTAATTTAGATCATTTTATCTTTTCCATGATGAGTCATGGAATGCAGAACTTTTAATAACAAAAGCTTTAAGGACTCAGGAAGGACAAGATGGTCATTCTAGTTTTCCAAGTGTCCATGCTTAATTAACATTAGGCTTATATCCTCTTAAATACCAGTTTTTTTCTCCAAATTAAGTGCATAGCATTGATAACTGATGGGTTTGCATGCGTAATTTGACTTAGACCATGGAGTTCATTCAAATCGTATATATAAACAATTTCAGTACTGGCTGATTTAGCATGCAAATCTGGCAAAGTATTTCCTTTATATTCAATTTTTTTTTCTACTTGGCTTAGCAGTTTTATAACTCAGTCAGTTTTTTTCATTAAAGTTCCAGGAATTCTTATCCAGTTCAATTCTTGGGGAATTGGGGAATTCATGGGGAATTCTTACCCATGATGTGATTTTAATGTTATTAGAAACCTGTATTCAAGAGTGCTTTTCAGGGTCCTTTCCATCCTTTCATGAACCTCCTCAAAGACACCATATTCTAGGATTTTGTGTACTTGTGAAGCTTCATGCATCAGCATGAAGCAATTAACTGTGGAAATGACTTTAAACAGTTATACTTAAAAACACAATTGACAAGGAGATTTGGTTATTTCTGTGGTCTACAATAACTTAACATAATAACCATAATTATGATTGATAGCATATACTCAGGCATATTAGAATTTTAGAAACTCAATACAATTTTGGAACATATTGATGACATACACAAAAATATAACCTGAAGAGGGTTAAATATTAATCTTTTTTCTTTTTTTTTTTTTTTTTTACAATGATTCCCATGTAACTAAACATGTCAAATAATCCTGTTTACCTCTCTGTTAGAGGCTTTGGAGCCCTCTATGGCATTGCAAAATTAGAGGTCAGAAAAGACAGTTTTAAAGCTGAAATTTGATTTTGGGAAGACTATCAAACATGTTAAAGGTTTAAACACTTGATATGAAATAGAATTCCAGGTTACCGTAAGTCATTCATTTAGCTGAAATAATGAATCAAAAGTTTTAAAAAGGCAAAACCTTTTACTGATTAACAGAGGGAACACTTAGATTTCCAAACAATCTGTCTTTTGGCATTTCCTTCTTTTATCAGTAGTTTATTCAAAAGGCAAACAAAATCTTTCATTATCTTTTAATATTACATGAAAATCTTGTTCAACAGAGAAAGACAAATTTCATCCTTGCATTAGTGTACTATTACTGTCAATAACAATTTTTATTAAAACATTAGAGACAAATCTATCCAATTTTAATCAGTTTGATCATAAGGTGAGATTTTCATAAACATTTTACAACCCTTTACCATTTTTGTGAAAGAGCATATTAGTGCTCTAAAAAAACCTCTTGTGACTTTATTCCAATGCTCAATTTATAGAAAAACTTAAAAATATCCTTTTAACTTTTGCCAGTGTCCACATAGAACTTCTTTTTACAAGATTAATGTTTTTACAAACTTTCCACAACTTGTTTAAACCTTTAGCTTTATATTATTCAATTTAAAACAATCCTATCAACCTTATTCAGTTTTAAACAATCCCTCTAGACTAGGCAAAATTTACATTCACATGCCTTCTTATAATCATTTACTAACACATTTTACTTTTCTTACACACCTTGCATGTAATACAGCTTTTTATTTCAGCAATCTTCATTATGTGTGATAATAGTAACTCTTAGCAATTTTTAATGTTGGTGAAAAATCTGGTAAGTTATTTTAATTACATACCAGGTGGAGTTAAGGTCTGACTCTTTCCAGCATAGCTAGGGGCATGGCTAACTTCACATGTCCCCAGGCCTTACAAAGCTGCAAAACAGGCAAGTTGAACAATTTTCAAAAGCCAAAGAAGCAGTCTATGACCTTAAAGCATTTAGCAAGACTAATATCTGACCTGCCTAATTTAGACCAAATGTCTTTATTTTACCAATAATCTTAAAGCTGTTTATATTTCCCAAAGATTGCTAAAGTTACATAAACTAAAATAGGTTATAGTTTTTATTTTTCTTTTAAAATATTTGATTTAAGTGCTTATTTTCTCCTTAAGCCAATTAGAGTTCTTTTTTATATAAACATCACACACACAACACATATATAACTACTCAGACAGACAGAAGATCCAGCAGTGGTAGCATGTTTCATTTACCAGTTTCTGAATTGGATTACTGGTCTCAAGGTGGAGCCCTTCAAGAAACAGGGCTAGAAAAACATGCAGTTTCTAGGGCCTAATAAGCAGGCACAGGTGGAAGACAAAAAAAGTTCCCCAAAATTAAGGGTCCCATTTTTATACCAGATCTTAGATCCCGAAAAGGAGGAAAATGCTATGGCAGAAGACAGTGCAATGTTTTTACTATGCATTTTATTGCATGGCAACCCTAAATCAATTAGCCCATTTTGCAATTAGCCCATCCTTCATGGGAGCCTTATTTCTTAGTCGGGGGGTGGGGATGTTGACGTTGTCATACCTTCCAGTTGGCCAAGACCATATTTCTCTTATTCAAATGTGCCAAGAGCCTCCTATCACCCCATAACTGCCATTAACATTGCTAAAAGTATATCTAGTCTTAACATCTTCAGAGTGTTCTACCCACCTCCCATTTCTGGGATTTCAGGAGGAAAACAGAGATTTTTCCCAAAATGAGTTCTGTGCTGCCTCCTCTGTTTTTCCCAAGGAGTCCCATGCTGTTAGAACTTGACTATCTGTTTTTAATTAAGCTTTCTTTTTTTGAGGAGGAGTAGTCGCACTCTGTCACCCAGCTAGAGTGCAGTGGCATGATCTAGGCTCACTGCAACCTCCATCCCCTGGGTTCAAGAGATTCTCCTGCCTCTGCCTCCTGAGTAGCTGGGATTACAGGTGCCTGCCACCGTGCCTGGCTAATTTTTGTATTTTCAGTAGAGACAGGGTTTCACCATCTTGGCCAGGCTGGTCTTGAGCTTCTGACCTTGTGATCCACCTGCCTTGGCCTCCCAAAGTGCTGGGATTACAGGCGTGAGCCACAGCGCCCAGCCCCAATTAAGCTGACTTTTAACCATAGTATTCTTTTAAAAATTCTTTTCAAGCCCAGTTTGGATCAGAAATTTGCTCAAAGAAACTCAGAGAGCTCAAAACACAAATCTGTGGAGCTCTGAAATGGGAGAGAGAATTTACCCAGAATTCCCAGTCACTCTGAGAGATCAAGGGACACAAATGGGTCCTTGCAGATACCTTGCTTGTTCTCTCAGTGCTCCTGGAGGTCGTTAAAAGCTCTACTTCAGACCCTGCTTCTGACACCATCTGTTTAAAGAAAAACTTCAGGTGAATTAAGTTTTAAGGAGTTTGAGCAATGAATGTTTCACGAATTGGGCAGCCCCCAGAATCAGAGCAGATTCAGGGAAACTCCCTACATATATACTTTTTGTTAATGATATTTGGTATTTTCTCTATTTCAAGAGGTAGTTGTATTACTAGTAAAACTGAATATGAGCTAATATGCATTTCATTTCAACAATGATATAGAATTGAGACAAGCTTGTTATTATGTGTTACCATGAAAAGTTGTGATCATCAGTGTATGGTGTAGAAATATTTAGATCCTCCTTTTTCCTCTTCTTTTATTTTTCGTCTTCTTTTTTGCAGTAAAATTTAGAAAGCACTCACGCAATAATTATTGGTGCCAAAACTGCTCTAAAATTTAGATATTGGCCCATCAAATATTTACATAACTGTCTCTGTTTTCTCTGTTTTTCCCTGCCAATATTGTCATTCTAGCTTTTTTTAAAATATATGTTGCAAACAAAGTAGGTCCATTACAGGTGGATGGAGCATCCAATTGGGGTTGGAAGCACCACCTGACCTGTACTCTTATCTTTCAATGTGACTGCTGCTGTTTGGTTGTGGGTTTCTTTACCAACTTTGTAATTTTGAGTTTATATAAACTGGAAGTGAGCAGCTATTATGCACTGTGAATCTTTTAATCAATGTTCAATCTATATCCAAATGATATGGAGTCAGTATCATACAGCTTATACCATATGTACCCTACACAATACAATCCCTAAGTTTCTCTAGCTATCATTCTGTGTACAATGTGTGTGTATGTTTATGTTTGCTGTTTGTCTTTTCAGCAAGAATGTACAATCCACTGGGCAGGAAATTTGTCTGCTTTTATTCCTTGTTATGTACGTAGTACATAGAACACTGCCTGACACTGAATAGACGACCAACAAATACTTGTTGAATAAGTTGTGTTGTTTCAATGTTTCAAATACTTTGAAAAAAAGTATAATAAGAACCACAGCTAAGGTTTGGCAATTCAACATGATATGCTGGAGGCAAAATGTTAGTAAGAACCATTTTGTTTATAACAGAATTTACCTTGAAATTGCTTGATGTTTAAAATTCTAATTTTAAGGGTAGGCTCCACCTCTGGGGGCAGGGCACAGACAAACAAAAAGACAGCAGTAACCTCTGCAGACTTAAATGTCCCTGTCTGACAGCCTTGAAGAGAGCAGTGGTTCTCCCAGCACGCAGCTGGAGATCTGAGAACGGGCAGACTGCCTCCTCAAGTGGGTCCCTGACCCCTAACCCCCGAGCAGCCTAACTGGGAGGCACCCCCCAGCAGGGGCACACTGACACCTCACACGGCAGGGTATTCCAACAGACCTGCAGCTGAGGGTCCTGTCTGTTAGAAGGAAAACTAACAAACAGAAAGGTCATCCACACCGAAAACCCATCTATACATCACCATCATCAAAGACCAAAAGTAGATAAAACCACAAAGATGGGGAAAAAACAGAACAGAAAAACTGGAAACTCTAAAACGCAGAGCGCCTCTCCTCCTCCAAAGGAACGCAGTTCCTCACCAGCAACGGAACAAAGCTGGATGGAGAATGATTTTGACGAGCTGAGAGAAGAAGGCTTCAGACGATCAAATTACTCTGAGCTACGGGAGGACATTCAAACCAAAGGCAAAGAAGTTGAAAACTTTGAAAAAAATCTAGAAGAATGTATAACTAGAATAACCAATACAGAGAAGTGCTTAAAGGAGCTGATGGAGCTGAAAACCAAGGCTCGAGAACTACGTGAAGAATGCAGAAGCCTCAGGAGCCGATGCGATCAACTGGAAGAAAGGGTATCAGCAATGGAAGATGAAATGAATGTAATGAAGCTAGAAGGGAAGTTTAGAGAAAAAAGAATAAAAAGAAATAAGCAAAGCCTCCAAGAAATATGGGACTATGTGAAAAGACCAAATCTACGTCTGATTGGTGTACCTGAAAGTGATGCGGAGAATGGAACCAAATTGGAAAACACTCTGCAGGATATTATCCAGGAGAACTTCCCCAATCTAGCAAGGCAGGCCAACGTTCAGATTCAGGAAATCCAGAGAACGCCACAAAGATACTCCTCGAGAAGAGCAACTCCAAGACACATAATTGTCAGATTCACCAAAGTTGAAATGAAGGAAAAAATGTTCAGGGCAGCCAGAGAGAAAGGTCGGGTTACCCTCAAAGGGAAGCCCATCAGACTAACAGCAGATCTCTCGGCAGAAACCCTACAAGCCAGAAGAGAGTGGGGGCCAATATTCAACATTCTTAAAGGAAAGAATTTTCAACCCAGAATTTCATATCCAGCCAAACTAAGCTTCATAAGTGAAGGAGAAATAAAATACTTTACAGACAAGCAAATGCTGAGAGATTTTGTCACCACCAGGCCTGCCCTAAAAGAGCTCCTGAAGGAAGCACTAAACATGGAAAGGAACAACCGGTACCAGCCGCTGCAAAATCATGCCAAAATGTAAAGACCATTGAGACTAGGAAGAAACTGCATCAACTAATGAGCAAAATCACCAGCTAACATCATAATGACAGGATCAAATTCACACATAACAATATTAACTTTAAATGTAAATGGACTAAATTCTCCAATTAAAAGACACAGACTGGCAAGTTGGATAAAGAGTCAAGACCCATCAGTGTGCTGTATTCAGGAAACCCATCTCACGTGCAGAGACACACATAGGCTCAAAATAAAAGGATGGAGGAAGATCTACCAAGCAAATGGAAAACAAAAAAAGGCAGGGGTTGCAATCCTAGTCTCTGATAAAACAGACTTTAAACCAACAAAGATCAGAAGAGACAAAGAAGGCCATTACATAATGGTAAAGGGATCAATTCAACAAGAGGAGCTAACTATCCTAAATATATATGCACCCAATACAGGAGCACCCAGATTCATAAAGCAAGTCCTGAGTGACCTACAAAGAGACTTAGACTCCCACACATTAATAATGGGAGACTTTAACACCCCACTGTCAACATTAGACAAATCAACGAGACAGAAAGTCAACAAGGATACCCAGGAATTGAACTCAGCTCTGCACCAAGCGGACCTAATAGACATCTACAGAACTCTCCACCCCAAATCAACAGAATATACATTTTTTTCAGCACCACACCACACCTATTCCAAAATTGACCACATACTTGGAAGTAAAGCTCTCCTCAGCAAATGTAAAAGAACAGAAATTATAACAAACTATCTCTCAGACCACAGTGCAATCAAACTAGAACTCAGGATTAAGAATCTCACTCAAAGCCGCTCAACTACCTGGAAACTGAACAACCTGCTCCTGAATGACTACTGGGTACATAACGAAATGAAGGCAGAAATAAAGATGTTCTTTGAAACCAACGAGAACAAAGACACAACAAACCAGAATCTCTGGGACGCATTCAAAGCAGTGTGTAGAGGGAAATTTATAGCACTAAATGCCCACAAGAGAAAGCAGGAAAGATTCAAAATTGACACCCTAACATCACAATTAAAAGAACTAGAAAAGCAAGAGCAAACACATTCAAAAGCTAGCAGAAGGCAAGAAATAACTAAAATCAGAGCAGAACTGAAGGAAATAGAGACACAAAAAACCCTTCAAACAATCAATGAATCCAGGAGTCGGTTTTTTGAAAGGATCAACAAAATTGATAGACTGCTAGCAAGATTAATAAAGAAAAAAAGAGAGAAGAATCAAATAGACACAATAAAAAATGATAAAGGGGATATCACCACCGATCCCACAGAAATACAAACTACCATCAGAGAATACTACAAACAACTCTACGCAAATAAACTAGAAAATCTAGAAGAAATGGATAAATTCCTGGACACATACACTCTCCCAAGACTAAACCAGGAAGAAGTTGAATCTCTGAATAGACCAATAACAGGAGCTGACATTGTGGCAATAATCAATAGTTTACCAACCAAAAAGAGTCCAGGACCAGATGGATTCACAGCCGAATTCTACCAGAGGTACAAGGAGGAACTGGTACCATTCCTTCTGAAACTATTGCAATCAATAGAAAAAGAGGGAATCCTCCCTAACTCATTTTATGAGGCCAGCATCATTCTGATACCAAAGCCTGGCAGAGACACAACCAAAAAAGAGAATTTTAGACCAATATCCTTGATGAACATTGATGCAAAAATCCTCAATAAAATACTGGCAAACCGAATCCAGCAGCACATCAAAAAGCTTATCCACCATGATCAAGTGGGCTTCATCCCTGGGATGCAAGGCTGGTTCAATATACGCAAATCAATAAATGTAATCCAGCATATAAACAGAGCCAAAGACAAAAACCACATGATTATCTCAATAGATGCAGAAAAAGCCTGTGACAAAATTCAACAACCCTTCATCCTAAAAACTCTCAATAAATTAGGTATTGATGGGACGTATTTCAAAATCATAAGAGCTATCTATGACAAACCCACAGCCAATATCATACTGAATGGGCAAAAACTGGAAGCATTCCCTTTGAAAACTGGCACAAGACAGGGATGCCCTCTCTCACTACTCCTATTCAACATAGTGTTGGAAGTTCTGGCCAGGGCAATCAGGCAGGAGAAGGAAATAAAGGGTATTCAATTAGGAAAAGAGGAAGTCAAATTGTCCCTGTTTGCAGACGACATGATTGTTTATCTAGAAAACCCCATCGTCTCAGCCCAAAATCTCCTTAAGCTGATAAGCAACTTCAGCAAAGTCTCAGGATACAAAAATCACAAGCATTCCTATACACCAACAACAGACAAACAGAGAGCCAAATCATGAGTGAACTCCCATTCACAATTGCTTCAAAGAGAATAAAATACCTAGGAATCCAACTTACAAGGGATGTGAAGGACCTCTTCAAGGAGAACTACAAACCACTGCTCAAGGAAATAAAAGAGGATACAAACAAATGGAAGAACATTCCATGCTCATGGGTAGGAAGAATCAATATCGTGAAAATGGCCATACTGCCCAAGGTAATTTACAGATTCAATGCCATCCCCATCAAGCTACCAATGACTTTCTTCACAGAATTGGAAAAAACTACTTTAAAGTTCATATGGAACCAAAAAAGAGCCCGCATCACCAAGTCAATCCTAAGCCAAAAGAACAAAGCTGGAGGCATCACACTACCTGACTTCAAACTACACTACAAGGCTACAGTAACCAAAACAGCATGGTACTGGTACCAAAACAGAAATATAGATCAATGGAACAGAACAGAGCCCTCAGAAATAACGCCGCTTACCTACAACTATCTGATCTTTGACAAACCTGAGAAAAACAAGAAATGGGGAAAGGATTCCCTATTTAATAAATGGTGCTGGGAAAACTGGCTAGCCATATGTAGAAAGCTGAAACTGGATCCCTTCCTTACACCTTATACAAAAATCAATTCAAGATGGACTAAAGATTTAAACGTTAGACCTAAAACCATAAAAACCCTAGAAGAAAACCTAGGCATTACCATTCAGGACATAGGCGTGGGCAAGGACTTCATGTCCAAAACACCAAAAGCAATGGCAACAAAAGCCAAAATTGACAAATGGGATCTAATTAAACTAAAGAGCTTCTGCACAGCAAAAGAAACTACCATCAGAGTGAACAGGCAACCTACAACATGGGAGAAAATTTTCGCAACCTACTCATCTGACAAAGGGCTAATATCCAGAATCTACAATGAACTCAAACAAATTTACAAGAAAAAAACAAACAACCCCATCAAAAAGTGGGCGAAGGACATGAACAGACACTTCTCAAAAGAAGACATTTATGCAGCCAAAAAACACATGAAAAAATGCTCATCATCACTGGCCATCAGAGAAATGCAAATCAAAACCACTATGAGATATCATCTCACACCAGTTAGAATGGCAATCCTTAAAAAGTCAGGAAACAACAGGTGCTGGAGAGGATGTGGAGAAATAGGAACACTTTTACACTGTTGGTGGGACTATAAACTAGTTCAACCATTGTGGAAGTCAGTGTGGCGATTCCTCAGGGATCTAGAACTAGAAATACCATTTGACCCAGCCATCCCATTACTGGGTATATACCCAAATGACTATAAATCATGCTGCTATAAAGACACATGCACACATATGTTTATTGCGGCATTATTCACAATAGCAAAGACTTGGAACCAACTCAAATGTCCAACAATGATAGACTGGATTAAGAAAATGTGGCACATATACACCATGGAATACTATGCAGCCATAAAAAATGATGAGTTCATGTCCTTTGTAGGGACATGGATGAAATTGGAAACCATCATTCTCAGTAAACTAACGCAAGAACAAAAAACCAAACACCGCATATTCTCACTCATAGGTGGGAACTGAACAATGAGATCACATGGACACAGGAAGGGGAATATCACACTCTGGGGACTGTGGTGGGGAGGTGGGAGAGGGGAGGGATAGCATTGGGAGATATACCTAATGCTAGATGAAGAGTTAGTGGGTGCAGCGCACCAGCATGGCACATGTATACATATGTAACTAACCTGCACAATATGCACATGTACCCTAAAACTTAAAGTATAATTAAAAAAAATAAACAAATAAATAAATTAATAAATAAATAAAAAGAAAAATAAAACCAGCTCTTCCTCTAAAAATAAAATAAAATAAAATAAAATAAAATTCTAATTTTAAGTATAGTAGAACAATAATAACTCTAGGATATTAAATGACAGCACACCTTTAGCCAGAAGTTATTTTTTACTAGATCATTTAATTAAGTGAAGTTTATGAAAATTATAGGCATGAAATATATTCGTTGTGCTATCTTCTTCACTTAAAGTCCTGAAGCATGAGACGATGGTGTCCACTACTTAACTAGTGGAAGAAAATGACTGGGAAAAAAATAGATAATATGACATTCTTCCCTTCTTAACATTCCTTTCACAACTCTGTGGTTGTTGTCTATTCTTATCAATCACCTATGGCACAATATGTTGATTTCCCTTAGCTCCATTCAAACTTTAGGCTTTAAAAAAATTAATATAATAGTTGCTGTGGTTGTGTTGGTCTCTCTCTCTCTCTGTGTCCCTCTCTCTCGTTTATTAAAAAACTTATTCTTTGCCAGGAATAAGGAAGCTGAGGCTGAATAATTGTCAACATAATCTAAATTAAAGCCACAGGTCTGTGCTTTCCAAGACCCAATGTGCAAATGTGATTTTCTAATAATATGTATTCACTGTGAAGGAAGTAAGTTGGTTTTATATATTTTTTAATTTTTTGATAATGATTTTATTTTAAGAACTGTTTAGGTAAGTTCTTAATTGGTTTATTCAGTATCACTTATGCCAGAACCAAGCATAAGGAAACAATACCACTTTTAACACACTGATAAAATTAAAATATTTTCACACTCATACATAGAATATTACAAAGTAAAATAAACAAATGTGAGGTAATATCTTGCTCATGAGAAGTTTTGACACTGAGACTTATGTGTTTTGACATTACCTAAACAATGATAAACAACTTATCCTGATTCTGAACCCATCAAAATGACCACAGATGACAGTCAGAATATAAAGTTGTGGACACTACTTAAGAAAACCAGTCAATAGTATGAAACCATACAGAACAGTTTCTTCCTAATAGGTATTATGTTGGAAAATTTAGTTTTTAACATATGTTTTTATCTTTAAAAATGATTGAGATAGTAAGGAATCTTAGCAAGTAGCAGGAGGAATGCAGCCACTGTGTTCACATCTTCCTCAGAGAAAAGCCTTGGAGACTGATTTTTTACTCACCTGCTTACTACAGAGAAGCCATATGTGGACACTCGCACCTCTCGGTGACTTTATTTAGCCTAACAAATTAATTCAGGGACAATCACTTCAAGTAATAAGATATAGCTGAAAAATATAGGAGACAAGCATTGATTTCTTCCATTCTGAGCTATGAAGTTGATTCTAGACAGGTTCAAAATCAGAAAACATTTCGCCATGAGGCAATTTCAGTGATCTATTGTTCCCCCCAGTTAAAGGAAGCACCAGGTAGGCCATGTCCAGGCTTACTGTACTGAGACTTCCTGTATTCCTGGCGATTCAGTAAGAAAGACAATATTGAGTTAAGTATCTGTGTTGCAGCAAAGATTTTCTTATACAGTAATAGGGTGAAGTATTGAAATGTTTACCTTCATCTCCAATTATTAATAGTTAAATTGTAAATAGTACTGAGCAAGTCAAGATCACAGCTATATGAGAAAAAACAGCAGCATAAAGAGATAGTTGGTGTGGGTGGGAGATTAATATTTAAAAATAAATCTCTAGTTAGTAGACAAATATCCAAGCAGACGAGGTAGCCATGAATCCATAAAGGGAAATGGAAAAAGAACTTTCAGAGAAAGAGTAAAAGCTATTAAAGTTAAGAAATGTATGCAGTTGTCAAAATAAAATTTAGTACAAATTTTTTAATACACTTAAATTATAATATGCATATTTAAAAAGATCAAGAATCAAAGAACATGAGAAAAATCACTTGTAGAAATACATCCAAATGTCCATGTCTCTATTTATAATGATATACAAAATGTGAAATTCTACCATTCCTTTCTCAACTACCTTTTCCCTATTCATGCCATTTCTTGTCTGCTCTTTCATATTTGTTTTCTTAGTGGTCTGCTTATTTTAGACTGGTGTTTACACAATTCTATTATCATACAAAACTGGAATAATCTTTTGGACTCATATTGTTTTCGCATTACTCCTAGTTGACCCATTGCAACACATCCCTATTGTGCATATAATAGAGTCTGTCAAATCTTTCAACCTTAATTATTGTAATTCATGCTCAGTTCATGTTCCTCTCATTTAGTTCTTCAAACATACCAAGTCATTTTCTACCCTGTTGCCTTGGTATAAGATGCACATTATGTATGTGTCTCTTCATACGACTGGTTCTTTTTCGCCTTTCATTTCCTCCTCAGAAATAGCTTCCCCAAATTTCAGTATAAGTAGATGCTATTTTGCTATTCTTTTTCACAATGTTCTTTCATTTTTGATGGGAATAAAAATGATAGAGTCAAATTGGAAAATTATTTCATAGTTTCATATAAAATTAAAATATGCTTAACTAGTGAGTTGGTAATTTCACTCAAGAGATGAATATGTACCCAAGAGATGACAACATGTGTTCACATGAAAATATATGCACAGCACTATTCATTGTAGCCAAAAATAATGAACAATTTAAATTCCCATTAGCTGGAGAGTATATGAAAAATTTTGATATCTTCACACAATGGTATACTAATCGACAGTAAAAAATTTGACCTATTGATTCATGCAATGACATGTATAAATCTCGAAAACACACTGCTTAGCTTGACACAATAAAAAATGTATATTCTATGAATCTCTTTATATGAAATTCCAGAAAAGGAAGATCTAACTTATAGTGATAGACATCAGAATAGCAGTTTTTATGGGGGTTGGTTTTAATATAATGGCACAGAAATAAACTTTCTGGGGTAATGAAAATTTATCATATTTTTATATAAGTCTTGGTTACACCATTCATTATATAATACATGGTACAAATACATTAAATTATATACTTCAGACCTGTTTATTTCACTATATTTAAATTTTATTTTAATAATAATAATAAAATAATAAAAATGATTTGTCCTGCTGTTTTTCTATATGTCCTTTGTATGCTTCTATTTGTATTGTTAAAGTTACTTGGACTTAGCATGGTTTTTAACCACAGCAACAACCACAGATGTGCTGTCAACATTTTCTTGGCCATTTTTTTCTTTTGATTTTTTTCTCTTTTATTCTATATAGTTTCTGTTTGATATTTATGAAATACAAAATATATTTCTAATTAATATATGATAGGACTGGATGTTGGCACTTCAGATTTTTTACTATCAATTTTGTGATTTTCCCCAACTTTGCTCTACTTATCATTTTATCACATATATTAGTTCTCCTTATCAATATATTGTTTGGATTCTGTATGTTTTTGAAACATCTGTAAATGGTATAATACCGTGTTTTTACTGATATATTTAACTTGGAATGGTTAGAATAAGTGTAATGCCCTTATATGCCATGAAATGTTCCAGGTTCATGGCGTTGGATTTTCTTCTTTCAAAGGCCTGCTGGCTCCAGTGATTCCATATTCTAGTTATACTGTGTCCCTCTTCATGAGTCCACATGCATTTGTGTGTGTTTGAACAAAGCAGTTTCCTTTTGAAAGAGAAAACATACTATTTCATATACACACTTGAATTACAGAGATTTAATTAGGATATCAGTCTGGCATTTTTGGAATAATCATACCTAGATTTTTCACACACTTTCTGACTGAAGATCATATATTTCTTGATTTAAGTCACTCTTCTTATTGTCCTATTTTAGTTTTGACTTCCCTTTGTATCATTAAGTGAAATAATTTTTCTTAAACGAGGCTGAAAAGCTAATGCTCTGCCTTCTCTAGAGTATATTCACTGACCCTAATTTACTAATCTTACTCAATCTTTATATATATTCCTGTACAATCACATTAAAAACCAATCCCCATATGTGTGTGTGTGTGTGTGTAATATGTGTATATGATATTTAAGATACAAATATTCTTTTTGCTGTATAATACCCAGTGAATTGACTTATTTTTATGGCATGTATTATTATATTTTAGCATCCCTATATGCATAGGAAGATATTTAATTATGTACATCTGGCATATGTGTATATATTTACTCATACTTAACAACCGTGTTTCTCTATTTCCATACTTTAAACCAGAGGCTATGTTTCATGACTTTAAGTTTCATTCTAGCAAACATTAATAATTTTATAATTTTATTTGGAAACATAAAAAAATTGCCATATGACACTTTAGATATTAAGGTAAAATACATATATGTCAGGTTTGCTTTATGAATTAAATAACTCTAAGGAAGTCATTGAGATGGAGACATTAGGAAGGGCTCAAACAACTCTGTTAGCCTCTATGATGCAAACAAAAGAGGTAGTAATGAGGTCCCTAGTTTTAGGGAGATTGCACGCAGAGTTTTGTGTTTTGGTGTGTGTGTGTTGGTTGTTGTTGTTATTTGCTATTATTTTGTTTTTCTTTTCAAATATCTTTCCCAAAGTAATAATTTGGAAATAAACATAATTTTAAAAGAGGTTCTATTACATATACTCGGTTTTTAACACATATTATTCTCTTTTCCATTGAACCATATTTGAAAAATTCAAGTCATGTTTGCATATATATTTGATATTCCTGATTCAATTCTGTTTCATTTCCATCATTTCAAATCATTTATTCTAAATTCTCATGAGGCGCTTATAAAAATTAAAGAACTTAAATCTTTTATGATTCTATTTAAAATATTATTAACATTCACAGACAATTTTTAGATTGATTTAATAACCTTAGACATAGGTAAAACTAAGGTTTAAAATATTTTTATGTGACTATAAGGAATATAAGGAAAAGGTGAATTAGTAAAGTGCTCATGCCATCTTAATATAAAATGTACTAATTAACATTGATCCTTATGGAAATGTTGCTAGTGGTCTAACATAATACAAATAAATAAAATATGAAAATATAATTGATGTTTACAAACAGACTTCTAGAAAATCCTCAATGGCACATGCAGGAGAAATTTCACAACAATCTAATTTGTAATGCAGTTTTACTACATTTCAACACACATCTGTTCTCTCCTCTACTACAATAAAAACAAACAAACAAACAAACATATTTGACTTCTATTCAAAACCAGATTATTTTTTTACAATGGCTTCCAGACAAACATTACATTCCTATCTAGCATAGAACTCAATATACATTTCCTAACTGAAATTTAGGCAGTTGCTTCTATTCTCTCTTCCTGTTGTTACTTAGAAAATATATACTTCTGGTCCTAGAAATTTAGCCCCACTGGTTACCTTCAGAATATCTTTATCCTTTATTTTCCATTATTTATTATATCATTCCTTATTAAATTTTCAATATTGCTTGATATAGTTTGGATATGGGTCCCCACCTAAACCTCATGTTGAACTCTAATCTCCAATATTGGAGGTGGAGCCTCATGGGGGGGTTTTGAATCATGGGGTGGGTTTCTCATAAATGGTTTAGTACCATCCCCTTAATGCTGACCTCGCGATACTGAGTGACTTCTCATGAAACCTGGCTGTTTAAAAGTGTGTGACAACTCACTCTCTCTCTTGCTTCTGTTCCCACCAGGTGAGATGGCTGCTCCCCCTTCACGTTCCACTATGATCGTCAGCTTCCTGAGCCTCCACAGAAGCAAATACTTGTGTTATACTTCCTGTACAGCCTGCAGAACCTGAGCCAATTCAACCTCCTTTTAAAATAAATTATCCAGTCTTGGGTATTTCTTTATAGCAATGTAAGAACAGCCTAATACAGTACTATAAATTGTAAACAACAAACAACAAAAATGATTTTTATTTCAATTTGCATGTCCATAGCTCCTTTCATAACCACACTCCAGTCCCTGTCATAATTAACATATAACTAAGCTCACTCATATATAGACACATACATATATTTATATACACATACAGAAATACATTTTAATTTTAATATACTTAGATTATTATCTCTTTAATGGAAAAGGAAACTCCTAATACCCATATTCAGATGAATTCCATAAATCTAGAATCTTTCTTTGTTTATGATGCATACATTGTCTTTTTCAATAGTGAACACTATTAAGGCACTAATGTTCTAATAGGAAGACGATTTCTACACAAATTATTGTAAGAACATTTTTCTGGGGGTGGACTAAATTCTTATGATACCTCTTTTTAAAAAAGTACTCTAGTTTGTTAGCTAATTATAAAACCCTGGTTTAGTTTTCTTTTTTAGAATATTGACAATATAATGCAAAATGATATTTACTGCATAGTTTATTGTGAAAAGTAAATTCAGTAATATATGTAAGGCATCTAGAAGTGCCTGGATTATATAGTAAGCAAATAATAAATGATAATTTCATTAACACCATGTGAGTGACAAGATTCCAAAAAAATCATTTTTTCTCTGTTTCAGAATTTCCTGAAAATGTATTTTTTAAGTGTATAAGAGTGTACAAGCAAATATCATCAGACAGACTTAACTCCAAAGCATGCATTTCCTCTTAAATGTGAACAGCCTGTGCTCCAAAGAACAAGAAGCAGATAAATTTCTGGCACTATTTAAATTTATTCAAAATATGAGCTTTTATTGTTCAGAGTAAAATCACTTTGTGTTGATTTAAGCAAAATTGTAAAACAAGTTTACTAAATAAATTGAGTGTGGACCTTATAGAGATAGTAACTCAATACAATATCATTCAAGTGTCCCTTAGAAATGATAGCTAAGATGAATGAGTATAGAAATGATAAAATAAAATTTAGATGCCTGTACATGGCTCTGTGGACTACCAGTAGAGATCACAAGGTACCAACTCATGGAGTTGAGGACAAGTTGAGGAGTCCTTCACTCTTTCTGAACTTCTCAGAATGTCATACTAGGTTCCAGGTGCAGTTTGAACCACAGTGGTAAGGAGTTCTCAAATGAAGACTACACTACAGGAATATTGTCCCAGTTCTATTTTCTCATTTATGGGTTAAGTATGATAATGACTTTGTAAGCAGAACTTTGAAAGCAAGGGTATAGATCATTTTCTTACAGCCATTCCTGGAAAGCCAGCTGTTCAGTACCTAGAGTCCTTTGATCCTTAAAAATTAAAAAAGTAATAATGCAAAGTAGTAGTGACATTAATTATAGGACATGAAAAAAAGTGATTGATTACATCCAACTCTGGAAATTTGATTTCTGGTGCTGCCATTGCTTGATGCCAGGTAGGGATGGAGGGAGGAATTATTATTCACCCCGCAATCCCACTTGAATTCTCATAGTAGATAAACCTTTGCATGATCAAGAAGCAAAATAAAATTACAAATGAAAAAATACAGCATCTCTTGTAAAAAATTCTGAACAGATTTCCTAGAAAATAAAAAAATAAGGAGGATTCATTTACTTGTGAAATCTTAGAATGTTTCAATGCCCTAAGTGAGGTTTCCATAGCAATTCTAGGAAGCCTGATTTGGATTGTGACAGCCACAGCCACAAATTTTGCTTGTAGTATGCAGAATTTTCAGGGAGTTCGAAATGGTTTAGAAAAGTTGTAAAAAGCATCAATTGATGCCTGGTAAAAATATTTTAAAATCTTGTTTGAATGTTTTGTTATAAAAGCTATATATATATATATATATATATATATATACACACACTTGCTTTATATTTTTATTATTTTTATTTTATTTATAATAGTACTTAGCATGTTGTTTCACAGTTATTTAGATAAGCATTTCTATGATAGTTTATTTTTAGATTTATGGTTGCACATCACCTCTCCTGATAAAAATAGCTTCTTTTTCTGCCAGGCACTGTGTTAAGCAATTACAAGCATTGTCTCATTTAATTGGAACACCAACATTTACATTTTACAGGCCAAACCACAGAGGATTAGAGAGGTTAAGTAAATGATCCCATGTTACACAAATAATACGAGTTGGATCCCAAACCTAAAACATCAGTTATGGTTGATAATAATAGCAGGGTGCAATGCATTGTTACAGATTGTATTGTGTCCCCACACAATGCCATGTCGAAATCTTAATCTCTAGTGCTTCAGAATGTGGTCTTATTTGGAAATAGAGTCTTTAAAGAGGTAATCAAATTGACATGAGCTCATTAGGGTGAGTTCTAATCAACATGTTGGGTGTGTTTCTCAAAAACGGGGGGATTGGACACACGAACAGATGTGTACATAAGAAAGGCAATGTGAATACATATAGAAAGAAGACAGTCTTGTGACTGGAGTGATGCATCTGTAAGCCAAGGAATGCCAAGGATTGCTGGCAAACACCAGAAGCAAGCAGGTGCAAGAAAGCATTCTCACCTAGAACCAACAGATAAAATACTGCCTTACTCACACCTTTGTATCAGATTTCTTTCAGTCTCCAGTGCTGTGACACAATAAATTATAGTTCGTTTTAAGCTACCCAGAGCTATGATGCTTTGTTATGGCAGCAATAGGAAATAAATTTACCTCTTTAACAAAATTACTCCAGGAATTCTAATTTTGTGATATATTTGAGAAATGCAATTTTAAAGTAAATAGATGAAAGGAATATATCTGTAAAACATGAATGCTGTCTTATCATAAAGTGCTACTTCTCTCTGAATTTTAAACGTTTTGTAGCAATGAATTTATGTACTATATATGTGTGGGTGGGTTTGTGCCTGCGTGTGTATATATCTTGGGAGATACTTTCATTTATTATATGATATTTGTTAGCTACTGGGTCAAATGCCTTAATATTCAAACATTAATGGAGCAAGGGGAGTATTAATATCCCCTACTGAAAATTAATGAATGTCTCAAAGATTCATACCTGAAGTCATTAGAGAAAAGTACACTTGGGCAAAGTCCATAAAATTCAGCAGAAAGGGTTATTAATAGGGAATCACCAAAGAAGCAGTTTGGCATGCTCTGTATCTTATGGATAAAAGTTTAATCTTTTTGCTAGCACTGAGAAACAACAGGTTTAGTTTGCGTTCCACCCAATAAAAAATTAAACCAATCGATAGATGTGGACAAATAAATAGGTGTAGCTCTTTAAAAAAATCTCCCCCAGTAATATTTACAAGGTTTGAAAATAAACCTCCTAGATTTTTATCCTTGATCAAATCACATGATCAGAAAAACTTAAACCTGTACAGTGTTGATTTATCTCAGGACAATTTGATTTTGTTGAATTGCATTGTATTGTATCAATTTATAATTAGTAATTTTAATCTATTAATCTTTATTAAATAATAATATAATAAACTTTAAAAACCCATTGTTCAATATATTGGATGGATGATGTGGAAGACATTGATCAATAGAATTTGTTTTTCTTTATATGATTTGTTCTAGATAATTTGTAGAAAATAAATACTACGAAGAGTTGTGCTTGAGGCTAACATAACAATCTTAAATTCATGGTGTTTTGTGTATGTTTGTATCTCTCTCCTAGAAAGAGCTGTTAGAAAGTTGGTGTCACATTTGCAGAATATGTGGAATTTCAGCTCACATGAAATTGTGTACTATGCTTATTCATAATATCTTATCTTACTACTATATAATTCTTGTCTCTCCTTCCTACTTACTTGTAATTGCTATTTTTTCTATATCTCTAACTTCTTACATATTGCATTGCTGTTTTGACATATTGCATACCAGAAATTTTTATTCAGTCTGAGATTAAGCCAGAATCCCCATATAATGACACTTGACATACTTATTTGAAGTTAATGTACTATATATTTTTATGGATATAAGCATGGTTAAACATCTCAAACACTGACATATTTGCAGAATTTATTTGCTAAAACTCTCAAGTATACTTGTAGCAAAAAGACAGTATTTAATACTATTATTTGGCAGCTTGACAGACTACTTATTTTGAAGGAATTTGTCACTATAAAAAAATCTAAGAATGTTAAATACATGAGTTCATAAGTAAATAAGAATAACATCAATTAATCAAATACAATAAGTTAAAGGAAAATCAGAGTGGTAATTATAGGCGATTTAGCTAGAGTGCTACATTATGTTGAATCATAATTTATATGTAAGATCCACAAATTTTAAGTTGAATTTTGAAAACTATGTACAGCCATGTAACCACCAACCCAATGTAGGCATAGAACAGTTCCTTTGAATCAGAAAGTTCCCTTCTGTCACTTTTGCATTAATCCCCATCTCTGCTTTATTTTGTCTGTACTTTAGCACTCCTGTAAACAATATCACATAGTATTACTCTTTAGGGTCTGTTTTCTTTTGCTTAGCATAGTGGTTTGAGATTCATATACATTGCTGCATGTGCAGTTAATTCATCCTTTTTATTTCAGAGTAGAATATCATTATATGAATATAACATGATTTGATTTATAACATGTTATGAATATAATTTCATAAATGCCTGTTGATGGACATTTATTTTGCTTCAAATTCTATAGTATAAAGAAGGTGCTATAAACATTATTGAAGAAAAATTTTGAAGATCTTTTATTTACTTATTTATTTTATTTTCATGGGTACATAATAGATATATATATATTTATGGGGTATCTGAGATATTTTGATACAAGCAGGCAAGGCAAAATCAAAACATCAGAGTAAATGATTCATGTATCACCTCAAGCATTTATAATTCCTTTGTGTTACAACATTCCAGTGATACTCTTATTTATTTTAAAATGCACACATGAATGTTGACTGTAATATCACCCTGTTGTTCTATTAGGTCATATGCCTTTTATCTAACTATATTTTTGTACCTATTAACCATCCCCACTTTCTCCCTCCCGCATTACCTTTTGTAGCCTCTGGTTATCATTATTCCATTCTCTGTTTCTCTTTAATTTACTCATTTAGCATGCACAAATTCCAGGGTCTGAAACTACACATTCATAGGGTAGGTATATATTTAATTTAATAAAAGTGCGACAAACTGGATTCTAAAATGGTTGTAATATTTTATGGTATACATAGAAATGTATGAGAGTTCTAGTTTCTCCACATCCCGATCTCTATTTTGTATTGTCAGACTTTTTAATTTCAGTGATTCTAATATATATGACACGGAAATGTTCAACTCCATGATTACTACTGACATTCAACATTTTTTCACATGCATATTTGCTATTTGTCTATCTCCCATTGTAAAGATTATGGCCTTTTGAATTAGTCTGTTTTTATTATTGTTTAATTCTTATTTTTATCTAGATTTGACCCTTTGTCAGATACACAGTTTTCTGAACTTTATTTCAGACTTTGACAAGTCTTTATTTCTTTAAGTGTGTCTTTTGAGGACCACATGATTTTAATTTCAATAAAGATAATTTTATTAATTTTTAAAATCACGGTTCATGTTTTCGGGACTTTGTTACAAAAAAAATAAAAACCTTGCCTGACATAATAATAAAGATATTTTTTAAAATTCTAAGTTTTCTTCTAAAGTTTTATAGGTCTAGTTTTTAAGTAAAGAACCATGATTGATCTTAAGATAATTTTATTATATGGTGTGAAGCATGGATCTATGTTCATTATTTCCATGTACTTATCCGGTATTTCATCATCATTTGTTGGAAATATTTTGAGCTTTGGTTTTGATTTACTTAGTGGCATTGACAAAAAATAAAAATAAAACAACTTTATGATATATTTGTAGACCATCTCTTCTGTTGCATTTACTTATTTGTTTATCCTTAAGCTAATACTGCACTGTTTTGATTAATATAGCCTTATTGTAATTATTGAAAGCAAATAATTTAAGTATTTCATTTGTTTCTCTTGCAAGATAAATTTAACAATCTAAAGCCATTTGTATTTCCATAAAATTTTAGAATCTGTCAATTTGTATTTTAAAAGACTGCAAAGATATTGATTAGAATATATATTTATTACTATTTTATGTTAACCATATATATATGAGAATAGACAAAGTGTGAATAGACATATATATGACATTTGATAATTACAATTCTTTAAAGAAAATATTTTATTGATGCATGTACAGATAAATGGACCAATGAAATAAAATAGCTCAAAAAGTATCAACAACCAAAATGAAAACTTCATATATAAAAAATGAAGAGATAGAATTGTTACTCATTGGAGAGCCAATCAACTACTTAATTCTTGGCCATGGATGATAGGTAATCTATGGGAAACAAAATAAAATTGGAATATTACACAATTTATTTAAATCATCCATGTAGTTACACTGTATCAATCAATTTCCTGTAGACTAAACAATAAGTTAAAATATTGTAAGAATATATAGGAGAATGTCTTTGTGATTTCTATATTAGAATTTTTAAATGCTGTAAAAATCAATAAATTATTAATTATAACGATTATCTTTTTTATTGTCTTGTGTATTGATTTTAAGGAGGATTTTTTAAAAATCTGGATTATAATTCTTGAGAGACAGACAGAAAGAGAGATAAAGGATGCAGAGTCAAAAATAAACCAAAGTGAGGATAACATTTTTATACAAACAGGGAAGTTAAGAATATTATCAATGTGGATATCAGAGTGAATATGAAGGATTCATGAGGGTTTTAATTGTATTTTGATATATATTTTGTGATGGCATAGCTTATTTTTCATGTGACTGTTTGGATAGCAACCTGAGAGAATTTTTATTAACTAAGTAACTCACTCCTCCTTTTGAATTGATTATATGAAACTCAATGACAATGTTGTAGCCAACACAAACTATTCTCCTAGTTCTCATTGTATATTTTAAAAATTAAACACTGTACAACTCCCTTGGGCATTTCATCCAGATATATAGGATGTACACTCTTCATAGAGACTGTTAATATCACTTAAAAAATAAGAACACCAGAATTTTTTCACAAGTGTAATAGGGCATGAACAATGAATCTTTACTAGGCTCTACGTCTCAGGTTATAAACATTTTTTTTATTCATTGCAAAATTTTAAAAACAAAATAAAGAATTGGATGCTTCTCATGTTATACAGCTTTCAAAGTCATAGTGTTCGAAAAATTTTGTTTTATTTAGAAGAGTTTTTATTCTTAAGTAGGCTTTCTCCATGCAGCATCAAGTATTGACCCTAGGAATTACAAGCTTATTTAATTTATCTTTAACAGTATATATAATTGTTTATATATACTGAAATGAGAGAGAGGCAGAAAAACAAAGTAAATGCAAAACCTATATATAAATTTTAAGATTAAAAGTTGCTATTTTGTATAGTAAATTTGTATTTGTTAGCCCACAGATATAACAAAATGTATTGAATTATAAAACAATTAAATCATTTGGTACTTTGTAAAAATGATATTAAAGCAGTACAACTGACTTTTTATTTGTTATTTGCAAGAAAAATAAATACAAGTTAACCAAAACTGAAAAGCTTATCAGGTGGTATACTGAAACAATTAATAAAGGTATTGCCATCTAAGCAATATTTCATTTAAAATAATTTACATAAACCAGTTTACAGGGAAATGCTATAAAGTGCATACAAACATAGTTACAGGCATAACTTCTACTCCCAGAGCCTCTGAATGGGTTCCAACAAAAGAGACACTGCACATAGTATTGCTGAGGATAGTGAATAAAAATATATCTCAAAATATATCATGTTCTTAAACCAATAATTTAAACCTCTGTAGGATATAACATTGCTGTGTGATTCAGAATAGCCTCCTGTGTCTTGCTCTCATGGATTAAGTGATTAGGAAAAAAGAGAGCTAAAATGAAGCAAATCTTAACTAATTGTCTGTTTTATAATGGTACTACATATACAGTTATTTGGATTTACTTATTTCTAATCACCATCCAGGAGAATATATACACTGTTATTTAAAAGTTACCCTTATAATTCAATATTTGAATGATTAGTCTAGATAAATATCATATAAATATATCAATGTATAAATCTGCTAATATTGTAACCAATGATTTAATCTTTAAAAGCAAAAGAAAAGAAAGGCATATTTAAAGGCAAAAGCGTTTGGGTATTCAAATCTTGGTTACTAAGTAACTGAAATATTATTTTTATTTATTTCACACTATAGAAAGAAACATGAAAATAACAATGGTAGGCCTTTTGAAAGGACAGTTTGCTTGTCCAAGAGTGTTATAAAGACACTGGATTTTTTAAAGTAGATGTTATTCTTATGCAAAAAGGAAAATACATACACATATAAAATGTTTTTCTTTTCTTGTTTAGTTTCTCCATTACACCCATATATTACATATATTATACCTGTAGTACTCACATAGATTTTCCACTCAATATATTGTGATCTCAATCAAGATACAGACATTAATTTGACATGTAACCAAACAACCATTGTATAACACTGGAGGGACATCCCTCTTTCATTCTGTTTTTCTGCCTCTCTCTCATTTAAGTATATATAAGCAATTATATATACTGTTAAAGATAAATAAGCTTGTAATTCCTAGGGTCAATACTTGATGCTGCATGGAGAAAGCCTACTTAAGAATAAAAATAACAGTGGTCAACAGAAGAGAGAGAGAGCTGGTAATCTTGAACAGATGAAAGGCTATCCATAAAATGAGCTTCTTTGTTTGCACTTCCCCTTTACAAAAACGGACATCTTTTATCGCTTGAGATATTTTGGATTGGAGTTTTGGCCTTGAAATTGAAATATCACTGACCAACACGAAGATCAAGGTTAATGTCTATATATTATGGATAAACAATTATCAGGCTCAGAGTAATTAAATGAATCAGACAATATGCAGGTAAAACCAGTATGTATTAGAGGGTAAATTTTTTAGCATTTGTTGAGATCTGTAACGTTCAGCTTTCATGATGCTGCAAACAATAAATTTTATTTTTAGATTTTGTATTGATAAAACAGAGAAATCTTTATCTGACTTATTTAACACTCATCTCCATATATATTAAAATGCCTCAGTCCTTATTATACCATAACATCTTAGAGGAGTAAAATTAAATATAATTCACTTTTTAAAATCTTTTTTTCATAGAACAGAAAATTTTACCTTCTTTCTTCTAGGATTTATAATTTTCTGATAAGTAACATACATTTAAGATAATCCTTCATAATACCTTTACAAATCAGGTAGGTTAAAGATTTGAAAAATTAATATCTGTATCCCCTCCCAAATCACATGGGGTTTCAAATATAGCAAGGGGGTTAACTGATGTGGCATCTAGTCATATATCTGTAACATTAGTAACAAGCATATCTCTAGAGGCTTTTTTCCATTAATTTTCCCCTGTGGTTGTGAAGAAATGTTCAAATGTCAAGAAATGGTACATTAAGTTTTTTTCTTTGTAATATGAGTAATATAATCGCACAAATCTATATGACTAGAAAATAAAAAACTCTACTTTAAACCAAGATGATGATTGATTGAATGTCCATATGTAATTGCTGAAGTTTGTGTATTTAGAAATTGTTCAAAGATAATTTTGGACAATTTCTAAATATACCAACTGTTTATTATAATCAGATGTGCATTTTAGCAAATGTACTCAATGTATTTTTTGCTATACACATAGTAAAATAAAATTACTGCAAGATTTTTTAAAAAGTTGAACAAATTATTATTAAATTGAAATAATACTAATTAATCACTGTCAATATTCATGGATAAATTTTACTGTGTTTATGGGAAAATATATTATTTTATGATAATAATCCCATCTCAATAACTTTTGACCAAGCATTTTGTTTATTTTTTTCTCAATATCAGATAATATACAATTTTGTAGGTTGGAATATGATATCTAAATTCACACACACACATAAACATGTATACATGCATACTCATCCATCTCTCTTGAGATATTTAATTTGGCATATCATTTAACCCAAACTAAGTAAAAATTTCATGCTTCCTTGAAAGGGCAATGCTATATTTTTGTGTACTGTGTGTTTATCTTAACATTACTCATGAGAACCACAAAATATGAAATTTTAATATTATGAGAACAAGAATTAATATGAATGAAATAACCTAATGAAACGACCTGTCCTCATTCATAGATACATATGCTAAATGACATAGATTCCCATATGCTAGAAGAAGACACACATTTATAGGTATGCCACATTTTTTCTCATAGACCATCTGTCTTATGAAAGTGAAATTCTCATAATATTGTATCTCTCATCTGCTCTCACAAAATCTGTGAATGGTTTACCAAAAGAGAAATGAAGGCAGATGTGGGTAACTTCTGGGAGAATTTCTGTCTCTTTAACATTTAGAAATATAAGTATGAAAGTTGATGGCAAGGAAGGACAGAGGTATCCATATACACTGTTTTTGGATCCTCCTCCAGGTAAACAAATTGTCTATATCAATCAAATATTTGTTTTCTCTTTTTACACAAAAAAATACCTTTATAAATGTAACATAGGATGAGAAACAATTTATATTAAAATATTGAAAATTAATCTTCCATTTATTAAAGTAGGAATATTGTATCCCTAGATACTATTAGTATAAACTTTTGAGCTATGTTTTTTAAGGGAAAATATTAATTAATACGGGAAAATATATTTATTAAATTTTATATATAATGAAATTATAAATATTTTATCATAATATAATATAATGTTCACATTTTAGATATAATTATTGATTATTATACCAATTGTTTTATAACTGCTAAATAAAATATACTTTGATATACTCTTAAATGTGTAATTTTTCATTCTTGTGATGATACAACTACAGGCTTATCTTTGTAATTATAAAAATATCATCCCAAGAATGATTAATTAATCTATGCCTTAAAATTCTCATATGAAGATAAAATAAACTGATCAACAGAAACAAAATAGTTAAAAGAACATATTGCTCATGGTATTAACCCACTCCCTCCCATTTTCCTATATGTTTTTTCTTCTAATCTTACATCACAACAGCCCATAAGAGGAGTTAGTGAAACAGAAAATATTACTAGGAGGTGAGGATGAGGAAAAAATTCTAAACAGGCAAATTCAGACTGTTTCTTTTGACTGTGGAGGGAATAAAACTAAAGATTATGAGATGTTAATTCATCAAGGAATAGAGAGAGAGAGAACAAGAATGGAAAACAGGAGAAGAGAGGACAGGAAAAAGAGTATAAATAGTACAGGCAATTTTGACCACAATTCCATTTATACTACTTATAGTTTAAACACGTTAATGTGTAGAGCCTAATTTTAAAGTTTAACAATATATATGTATATAACATTAATTCAATAAATACTTATGGAATACCTGTTATGCCTCTAACATTCTTAAGGAACTGAGGATATAACAATGAACAACACAGACAAAAATTTTTGTCCTCATGGAGCTTATGTTTTATGGAAAAGAAAAAAAAGGCTAAATAAGTGATACATTTGATGTGATTAGTGCAATAAGCCAATCAAAGCTAAAAGACGTGTGTGTGTGTGTGTGTGTGTGTCCACGTGCATGTATGTGCCTGTGTGTTGGCCACAACACTGGGAAGACGAAATGTAGGCAACATACCAATGGAGGTAAAGGAACTTAACACAATGAAATTTGGTTGAGAGCACATCTGTCATTGGGAACAGCAAGTCCAAAGGCTCTGAGGTGAGACCTGCTTGAATCTGTTTAGAAAGATAAAGGAGGGGGTGGGGTTTTCCTCATGCAGAAGTTTACCTGGTATTAATCAAAATTTTCACTTTTATTTTATTTTACTTTACTTTTATTTCTTATTTATTTTTTTGAGATGGGGTCTTTCTCTGTCGCCCAGGCTGGAGTGCAGTGGTATGATCATAGCTCACTGCAGACTTGATCTCAAGCAATCCTCCCACCTCAGTCTCCTGAGTAGCTGAGACCTCAGGCATGCACCACCACGCCTCATTATGGTTATTATTTGTAATTTTTGTAGAGACAGGGATCTCACTATGTTGTCTAGGCTGGTCTTGATCTCTTGGTCAAGTGATTCTCCTGCCTCAAGATGGGAAGCCATTAGGAAGGTTTGAGTGGAAGGCTGACATTTTATATTTTTTATTTAACAGGATCCCTGCCTACTGTGCTGAGAATTAAAGGGAACAATGGGGTAGGAGAAGGAAAAGCTGATTGGAGTCAATTGGGGGAAAATTCTAATAAAAGACTTTTCCAGTTTGGTCTCAAGATGAAGTGCTGGAGGTGAGGAGAGATGGGCAGATGTAGGTGAGAGAATTTTCTGACAACTTGAATGTGTTCAGAGACAGAAAGATCCTAGTCAAGGTTCAACATAGCCCCTTTTACAAATAAGACCTCAATCAAAAATGCAGTATTGGTTTCCAATTTTGTATGAAAAATAAAAAGTGCATAGCAATCCCCCTTCTCGGTGTATATGCAAAGGAACTGAAATCAGTATGTTTAAGAGGTATATGCACTTCCATGTTTATCACAGCTCTATTCAGAATAATAAAGATGTGGAATCAATCTAAGTGTCCATCAACAGATGGATGAATAAAGAAAATGTGGTATGTATACACATTAGATCACCATTTTGCCTTTAAAAAGATGGAAATCCTATCATTTGCAACAACATGAATAAAACTATCAGACACCATGCTAAATGACATGAGTCAGGTACAGAAAGACAAAGCACTACATCATCTCGCTTACATGTGGAATCTAAAAAAGTCATAGAATAGGAGAGTAGAATGGAGGTTGCCAAGAGCTGTGCCGTGGAGGTGGGGGTGGGGTGAAAGTGTGGAGATATTTGTAAAAGGATACAAATTTTCAGTTAGACAGGAATAGTAAGTTTTTGAGATCTATCACAGAGCATAGTGACTATAGTTAATAGTAATGTAATGTATATTTCACAATTACTAACAGAGTAGATTTTAAATGCTCTCACCAAACAAAAAAATAAGTATGTCAGGTGATGGATATGTTAATAAGCCTAATTGAATCATTGCATAATGTATACATATATCAAGAATCACACTGTACTCTTATCATTGTTATTTTTCAAATAAAAATAAAATAAAAATTAGCAAATAAAAACTATATTAGTTGCTCACTGAATATGTGCATGATGTCTTCCCAAATTCTTCCCAACTGTGATTTCAATTATGTGACATCTGTCTTTTCTGCTAACTTTAGTATCCATCTTTGAATAAGATGTCATTCTGTAGTGTACTAGAATGGTATAGACTGTAGAGAGCTGTCCAGCATGAAATAATGCTGAGTTCAATGAGGCTATCTTAAAACATTTCAATCATAAGCAAAATGACATTTGAAAGTAGACTTGAGATCTCTTATGGATTGATCAATCTTTTCACTCTGTCTACTTGAGAGTATGTTGTTCTGGAAGTAAGGTCTATGACTATTGGAAGATTGTTGGCAGCATAAATCAGCATTTGTTTTAGTCTCAGAAGCTGTGCATATAGGTATGGGGAAAGGGAGAAGGTGGCAGTATATGTACCACAGATCATTTATTTAGGTGACTCCTGTCCACCAGAGGGAGGTCAACAATCTTTGTCCAATCTAATGGAAAATTATGCAATTGAAGATCCATCAGGATAAAGAGATCACACACATTTGAAATTCCTTCTAATGTTTGATGCTCACTGCTTATGAAGCCTTCTTTTTGTTCACTCGGGGGCATTCAGTGCTCAGGGTCTAGAGACTGACTTTATGTTGGTCTGTTCTTGGATTCTGATCTGTGTAAGTGATTTCTCTGCCTTCATGGCAATGCCTTTACATTTTTCCCTCAGTATTGTACTTACCTTTCTTCTTTTTGAAAGCTTTAGCCCTTATTTCCTGCCTGTGCTTCCTAACCAGGCACTTATTCTTTAATTTAACATGTTCAGAGAGCTGCCTTCCCTCTGTCAGAGAGGAAACTACTCAGTAGCAAGTCATATGTACTTTTCTAATTTTATATCAAAAAAAGCTTTAGGTGGTATTTGTTAAATGTTTCCTTTTATAATCAGTATTTCACATTGCTTTGCAGAAAAGTCTATAGATTTATTCATCTTCTACTAGAAAATTGTTCCTTCTTTGACTCTCTTGGTCTTATTTTCAGATATTTTCGAAAGATCTGGGTTAGTTTTTTCTTTGCATGTTTTCTCTTAAAAAAATAACAATTTCATCTACTCTGAAAGCCTTCTCTAACACTCATCCTCCAAATACAGATTAGAGATGCTTACATATGCTGATATAATATGTTGATGTTTAAGCAATCACCACAATGTATTTTAATTATGCTTCTTTATCAATATTGTCTATTTTTCAGTAAAATTGCTGACAGCAGAAGTCTATCTATTTCACTCCTGTACTTGTAACATGTAGCTCAGTACTCAGAGACTAGGTGATCAAATACTATAGAATTCATTAACTAATGGATATCAATGCTATGCAGATGACATCCAAAGTGGTACTTACGACTAGAATTCCTCTCCTGTGTTCCATTCTCATATATTAAATATTTATTTGTCCATATTATATTCTACGTTCTAAGACAGTCCCATCATTTTTTACCCAAACTAATTTCATTTTCATTCTTGAAATAAAAATGATTCTAAGCCACAGTCACACTCATAAGCTTTAAAACCTCCCACAACCTCTTTGCAAGCTCTTTGCAAGCCATTCTATGTTCTATATCATCTGCTCAAGCATGATTTCCTTGTTGTTTTCCTTCTACTCACAAAGAAAGAGTTTTGATAGTGGAAAATGTATTCATTTTGGTAAGAGGAATGTACTATTTGGGCTTTTGTTCTCTGATTATGTACCTTTGAAAACTGGCAAGCCCCTTACTTGTCTGAAGAGATCAGGCACAGTCAGGGTGGTATGGCCGTAGGACTCCCTTACTTGTCTATGGCTTGGTTTCTTTCTATAAAAATGAGATAATGATATTCTATGTTTTTTGATGGGGATTAATTATGACAATGTATGTAAAGCACTTAGAAAAGTGCTTATTGTATGCTGACTGCCCACTTAGCATAGCTGTAATTATGATGTTTGCCTCTTAATCTGACCAAGTTGAACTATCCCTTAGTCCACTTACTATATTGTACTTTAGAAACTCTGCTAATAGACATAGAGTGTTGCTGAGTCTCTACCCACTTGTATAACAAACCATAAAAAAAAACACAGATGGTTTGTTAATTCTCCTTGCTCTTCTTTTCTTTCTTTTTTTTTTTTTTTTTTTTAGATGGAGTCTCGCACTGTCGCCCAGGCTGAGAGTGCAAGTGGCGCGATCTCAGCTCACTGAGCTTCGCCTCCTGGGTCCACGCCATTCTCCTGCCTCAGCCTCCCGAGTAGCTGGGACTACAGGCGTCCGCCACCACGCCCGGCTAATTTTTTGTATTTTTAATAGAGACGGGGTTTCACCGTGTTAACCCAGATGGTCTCGATCTCCTGACCTGGTGATCCACCCACCTCGGCCTCCCAATCTCCTTGCTCTTCTTTAGAGCAGAGATCATACATAAAGCTGTCTGTACTCTTATAGCTCTGTTCACTTCTTCTATTCACTTGTTTCCATTTCCTCTTGAATCTGCTCAATCTGGAGTTTGCCTCTGGCACTCACCAAACTTCTCTAGGTCACCAGTGGTGTACATATATTGATAACTCAATAGTAATCACTCAGTTTTCCTCATATTAGGTCTATCAGCAATCATTAGCACAAATTCTTATTTATTCTTTCTTCTTGGGGAAGATACCACATTCTTCTGTGTTTTCTCCAACAACCACATTCTCTTTTTTTAAGTCACTCATTCTAGTTCTTTCTGTTTTAATCAATCTCACAAATGCTGGAGTACTTCAGGACTGAACGCTTGGAACTCTTCTTTTCTCTGTAAACATTTACCCTCTTTTAGTACTTTCATCCAGTCTTTTGTGCATAAATAAAATACATATTTTGATGACTTCTAAATTTCTACCCCAAACCTAAATTTTCCTCTAGAAATTGTGCTATCACTATTCACTCCACATTAGAAAAAATGGATTCAGCATTGATTAACCTAATACAGGTTTGGCTTGAATGTCATATCACTGGAGACTACATGAATCACCTGTTTAACATTGTGCACCCCCACCCACAATCCATCTACCAACTCCTCTTGCTTACTTTGTCTTCATATAATTTAACACTACCTTATTTTTCTCTTTTTGTCATTCTAACCCTTGTCCTTGATCACCTCTTTCATTGCATCATTGTTATTATCCTTGTCATTACTATAACATACATTTCCCTTATATTATAATAACGGAAATAATATAATAAGTATTAGATATAAAAGACAAATGCATTAACACTGTAAGCTCCATGAGAACAGTATTTATATCCAATACTTCCTACTCTGTAATTGGCAACATAATATAAATATTCATTGGGTGATGAAAGTATGTTTTGTGGAGAACGCTCATTCATTTTAGTATGTCATACATTAATACTTAGAAGCTCTCTTCATGTGACTGAAAGCATGAGTAATATATATACAGTAATGATATATATGAGTAATATATAATATATACATTATTAATCTGTGTTTCAATAACGTAAGAGCGTGTTCCAAAATTAATCTTATGATTTTACATTATATATTGCACATTATATATCATAAATAGTACAAATTAAATATTATGTTATATACAATATATCCAGGCCTAAGAAGAAAAATTATATAGAAGGAATCAATTATCATTGTTTTGTAGATCTGACTGAACTCCTCATTAGCTGATTTCTCCACGTTTTATGCTTGGATGTTATATAGAGAAAACTGATCCATCACGGTGAGTCTATAAATATGGTATATGATTCACTTTTCTATATATACATAATTATTAACCTGATTAGTTTAATCTTTTCTCTCCAGTGAATAGCTCCCTGATTAGTGTATGTCTTTATGGTGTATATCTGCATCTATCTATCTATCTATCTATCTATCTATCTATCTATATTTCTGATTTTTCATTATTTCACTGTTTCACAAAAGCATTATTGTGAAATAAATATTGACATTGTTTTCTCTTCTCATTATTTTTAATGTCCCATGGTCAGAAAACCTCCATGACTAATGCCACCTTACACATTGCATTTAGTGTTGGCTTTTAAACTTGTTCATTTAAAATTGAAAGTGCTGATTTTAGCCATGCGTTCTTCAATTCTAGAACTTATATGCACTGAATAGAGAAAATTTGGGGAAAATTCAGACAGTTTAATGTCATATATCCCATATGCCAATAGGTGCCACCATTGCACTGTGACAACCCTTTACGCTGTGGTAACAAAGAAAATTTAAGTATGAAATAATTAAATATAATTTGGGGGATATATGCAGCACTTAGTTGTTTCTCTCCCCTTGCAATAGAAATGGAAAATTAATTTTTCATGGAAGAAAATTTCTTGCTGTTATTCCATGTAGTTATGTTACTAATATAACCAAAAATGTTGCTAGACAACATTCCTGCGAGTATTCTAAACTTTTACAAACCCCAATTTTTTATTAAACAAAAACTAAAAGAAAATAAGCAAAACAAAGCAAAGGCCCACATCAGATTTATGTCTCATGTCTGTATTTACAAGTCTTTCTCTGAAAGTCTTTCAAAATTAATCTCTTGCTTAAATTTTACCATAGAAATGTAGTAATACTGTATAAAGTAATTTAATGATGTCACATGAAGTGTCTATTTAAAAAGCCATAAGGTCATCAGACATGAAACTCAAACTTTATGTAGAGAGAAACAATAGGCAATCATTAAAAGTAATTTTCTCTTTTGTGTTAGTGAATACATTCAGTTTACAATTTGCTGTCCATTGTATTCAAAGATAACATTCCTATTACCCTCATTGCATTTTCTTACAATTTCTGCTAAAATTAATTTGTCATTTATAGTTTTATTTTTCCAGAAAAATTCTACATACTGCCTTCTAATTAGTGGTTTGTGCTATCATTAGTGATATTCATCTTTCTTCTGTTTTTATAGAAAATAATCTCAGCTGACATAGAAATTTCTCCAAAATAAACTTACTTATATCTGAATGCCCCGTTCCAGGTTAATTTTCCTACCCTTCGAACTTAACTGAAGCATACTTATGAGAGACTTATTTTAATAGAGTGAGCAAAAGTATATTCTATACTATTTCCTGCTTCAATTTTATGGAACCTTAATCAATGTTGCTCAAATTTCTATGCTCATGTATTTTTTAAAATTCTCTCTATAGAAACATGGGCATAATTTCCTCTGAATACAATTTTAGAAATGGCAACAAAATTCAGAGTACTGTTAAATATAACAACACCATCTTTATCAGCTTTTAGTACATATCATAGCTCAGTAAAATTTTGTGATGTTGGAAAATATAAGAAATATGTTTGCAGCTAGGCGTGGTGGCTCAAGCCTCTAATCCCAGCATTCTGAGAGGTCGAGGCGAGGGTATCACCTGAGGTCGGGAGTTCGAGACCACCCTGACCAACGTGGAGAAACCCCCGTCTCTACTCAAAATACAGAATTAGCCGGGCATGATAGCACACACCTGTAATCCCAACCACTTACAAGGCTGTGTCAGGAGAATCACTTGAACCCGGGAGACAGAGGCTGCCATGAGCCAAGATCGCACCACTGCACTCCAGCCTGGGCAACAAGAGCGAAACTCTGTCTCAAATATATATATATATATGTTTTATATATATATAGTTTGCTTCATAAAGAATTACGAAGATAGACTTTTCCATGAGTTGTGAAATTTTATTGGAGTTTTCATCTGTCTTTTGACCAAGATTTTACTCTTAAAGAAGGTTATATATTATTATTGGAATGCTAAGCCATCTAGTTCTTACCTCTCTAATTAGCTTACTTCCTATTTTGCTATTGATATTTTCAAACTCACTTGTTTGAAATGTATTTATCTTCAGGGTTCTGAAAGTTTCCACACATGTATACTAGGGGCAGAGATATTTACTTTCTTCATGAAAATCAAGTATTTTGGATGAAATTTAAGTTTTTATGAAAATATAACAACTTTTTCCTCTTTCTCAAAAAAACAAAGAAGAAACCTCCCAACACTAATGGTAGGAACCATGGGGAAAAAATGACAAAGCAATTGCTAGCTATTCCACTAAAAGAGCAGAACAATGGGCTATCCTATAGGCTAATCAAGGAATTTATGCCATTACCAAAGCAAAGAGACTGCCAGATTTTGCTTGTGGTAGACTAAGACAACAGAGTATTTTTTGTTTGTTTGTTTCATTCTTCTATGTTCTGAGTGGAAGATTAAAATGCAATTTTCTTGTTTCAATTCCACATCATGTAATATGTCTATGCTAGGGAATGGAGATGAGAAAATAACTTTTTTTTTTTTCAGTTTGTAAGACATCAATGCATACAGAACCATGGCCAGGCAGGGCAGAAAGGACTTTTAATTACACAGAGCTCCTTCAGTTTCAGCCAGATATTATAACTCACGGCGTTGTTAATTTTCTTCCTTAGGAATGATTAGTGTTCTTTCTGTGGAGGAAGGGCATAATGGGTACACTCAGATCCAGACTTTAGGTAGAAGAGGTCATCATAGCAATTACTGAACTATGCCCAGTATCTATTCTCTCTTTCCCTCCCTCTCTCTCCCTCTCTCTTTCTGTTTGTGTGTATGCCTCTCTTTCCCCTCCCTCATTCTTGTTTGTTTGGGGCATGTGTGTGTACTTGGAGGGGCCGTAGCTGCTCATCAGAAGGCTGCATTTCTTAATTTCCTTTGCAGCTCATTTTAGCCATATGGCTTAGTTCATGCCTGAAGTATGAGAGTGAAAGTGATGTGAACAAATATCTGGGTAATTTCCTGGAAGTTACTTATTATAGACTTAATTCACACTCATAATTGGAGCACCTTGACAATCCACATTGCCAAGAATGGTAGAACCATAGCATCAGTTGGACACTTATTTTTTTACTAGTATGCATGAGAAAAATAGTATCTGTCTTTGACAACCCTCTGCAATTTAGTTTGTCTTCTAACACTTTAGTCACTGAACCTCCAATAATACAAGTATGGTGCTATAATTTTTCATATGCTATTGCTTTCAAGTAGTTAATATTTTATTTACGACTTTTAATAAACACAAGCAAAATTGGCTTATACTATTCTCCTCTCATTCTTATCTGTTTTTGAAATTATCATTTGGTTCAACCTGAGAAAGCAAATTACAATAAAAAAAATTATCATTTGGTTAGTTTAATAATGTACATGTAGATATTGTATTTAAAAATAGAAAGCAAATTTAGTCATTTTCTATGACTGAAATACATGATTTTTTCATGTATCATGCACTAAGGTTCACATTCTTATTTTCTTATGAATATAAGGCAAGCTGTTTTAGAACTTGTTATTTTTCAGTCAACAAGTCATAAAGAATATTTCTGGTGAATTAAATTCAAGAACATCAGAATGCACAGACTTTCTGGAATAGTGTGCATCAGTGCTAACCAAGAAATGTTTCTGAAGTACTAGAGATAATTATCTTACTTACTTTGTGAATCTGGAGGTATTAAATTTAGATCATTTAAAATAAGTGGTCGGAATCATATCAAAATATCCAGAAAATTCTTTATTTTATTATATTTTATTTATTTATTTTACCAATGTTCATAGCAACTCTATTTTGCAAACAGCGACACGGTGGAAACAACCCAAATGTCCATCAGTTGATGAATACATAAACAAAATGTGATATATCCATATCGTAGAATATTATTCAACCATAAAAAGCAATGAAGTACTGATAAATGCTACAACATGGATGAACCTTGAAAACATTATGCTAAGTGAAACAAGTCAGATACAAAAGGCCATGTATTGTATAATTCCATTTATACCAGATATCCAGAATAAGCAATAGAAGAAGAAAAGCTAAATATTGAGCTCTTGCCACATGCCAGATACTGTCTGAAATTCTTTATTTTTTTAATTTTTTTATTACACTTTAAGTTTTAGGGTACATGTGCACAATGTGCAGGTTTGTTACATATGTATACATGTGCCATGTTGGTGTGCTGCACCCATTAACTCGTCATTTAACATTAGGTATATCTCCTAATGCTATCCTTCCCCTCTCCTCCCACCCCACGACAGGCCCCAGTGTGTGATGTTCCCCTTCCTGTGTCCATGTGTTCTCATTGTTCAATTCCCACCTATGAGTGAGAACACGCGGTGTTTGGTTTTTTGTCCTTGTGATAGTTTGCTGAGAGTGATGGTTTCCAGCTTCATCCATGTCCCTACCAAGGACATGAACTCATCCTTTTTATGGCTGCATAGTATTCCATGGTGTATATGTACCATATTTTCTTAATCCCGTCTATCACTGTTGGACATTTGGGTTGGTTCCAAGTCTTTGCTATTGTAAATAGTGCTGCAATAAACATACGTGTGCAAGTGTCTTTATAGCAGCATGATTTATAATCCTTTGGGTATATACCCAGTAATGGGATGGCTGGGTCAAATGGTATTTCTAGTTCTAGATCCCTGAGGAATCGCCACACTGACTTCCACAATGGTTGAACTAGTTTACAGTCCCACCAACAGTGTAAAAGTGTTCCTATTTCTCCACATCCTCTCCAGCACCTGTTGTTTCCTGACTTTTTAATGATCACCATTCTAACTGGTTTGAGATGGTATCTCATTGTGGTTTTGATTTGCATTTCTCTGATGGCCAGTGATGATGAGCATTTTTTCATGTGTCTGTTGGCTGCATAAATGTCTTCTTTTGAGAAGTGTCTGTTCATATCCTTTGCCCACTTGTTCATGGGGTTGTTTTTTTCTTGTAAATTTGTTTGAGTTCATCGTAGATTCTGGATATTAGCCCTTTGTCAGATGAGTAGATTGCAAACATTTTCTCCCATTCTGCAGGTTTCCTGTTCACTCTGATGGTAGTTTCTTTTGCTGTGCAGAAGCTCTTGAGTTTAGTTAGATCCCATTTGTCAATTTTGGCTTTTGTTGCCATTGCTTTTGGTGTTTTAGACATGAAGTCCTTGCCCATGCCTATGTATTGAATGGTATTGCCTAGGTTTTCTTCTAGGGTTTTTATGGTTTTAGGTTTAACATTTAAGTCTTTAATCCATCTTAAATTAATTTTTGTATAAGGTGTAAGGAAGGGATCCAGTTTCAGCTTTCTACATATGGCTAGCCAGTTTTCCCAGCACCATTTATTAAATAGGGAATCCTTTCCCCATTGCTTGTTTTTCTCAGGTTTGTCAAAGATCAGATAGTTGTAGATATGTGGCATTATTTCTGAGAGCTGTGTTCTGTTCCATTGGTCTATATCCCTGTTTTGGTACCAGTACCATGCTGTTTTGGTTACTGTAGCCTTGTAGTATAGTTTGAAGTCAGGTAGTGTGATGCCTCCAGCTTTGTTCTTTTGGCTTAGGATTGACTTGGCAATGCAGGCTCTTTTTTGATTCCATATGAACTTTAAAGTAGTTTTTTCCAATTCTGTGAAGAAAGTCATTGGTAGCTAGATGGGGATGGCATTGAATCTATAAATTACTTTGGGCAGTATGGCCATTTTCATGATATCGATTCTTCCTACCCATGAGCATGGAATGTTCTTCCATTTGTTTGTATCCTCTTTTATTTCCTTGAGCAGTGGTTTGTAGTTCTCCTTGAAGAGGTCCTTCATGTCCCTTTGTCCCTTGTAAGTTGGATTCCTAAGTATTTTATTCTCTTTGAAGCAATTGTGAATGGGAGTTCACTCATGATTTGGCTCTCTGTTTGTTATTGGTGTATAAGAATGCTTGTGATTTTTGCACATTGATTTTGTATCCTGAGACTTTGCTGAATTTGCTTATCAGCTTAAGGAGATTTTGGGCTGAGACGCAGGGGTTTTCTAGATATACAATCATGTCATCTGCAAACAGCATATATAGTTAATGTTTTTGAGTTATACTTTTAATAAAAAATTACTTGCCACTGTTTAAAAATAACAGTAAAGCAACTGTTCTGATCAAATAATGACATGTTTATTTTAAGACATATTTAATAGCCTGGTGAATTAATACATTATTTATACCCAGCAACTACCATTTCACTTTTTCACAAATGTTACTAGATTGCGGAAAATTAAGAATAATAAATTAGTAAATAATCTCAACTATATTTCAGAGTAAATAATCTCAACTTACTCTATTTCAGATACATAATTTATATTAGCAATATTTGACTATTCAAAAATAAGTTGGAAATTTTTGTTTGGAACTATATCTAAATTCTACTACAAAAGCATATTGAGCAAGTTATTATTTGTTGCGGGAAGTAAAATTTGTTTATCATGTTTTGTAATAAAAGCAGTATTGAAAACATGTCATTAAATAATTCATATATGTTTTTCTCAGTATGGGCCAGCTCAGAAAATGGTCTAGGCAAAATGAAATTACATTCAAATTTCTGAAAACATACTTATAAGCTATTTCTTGTCTCTAGAGCATTATATATGTCCACAATTGTATAACTATTTTATAAGTAAAAATGAATCATGCAAATAAATATTATAGTTATCTTCTAAAACTAATATAGTTTGTGGCTGGCTTACATGTGTCACATACTCTATTTCCTTTGAGAATTGCCAAAAAAAGACATTTAAATGGAAGCTTAAACATTGAATACCTGCACATACTAAATGTAAGTTACAAGGATATTCATTTAACTGTGATTTTTAAATTCCTATCTACATTGTCTCTGAAGATCCGAGTGAATGAAACAATTAAAAATAGGGTAATCTCATAAAAAGCACTACATTCAACAGAGTGTGACGGAACCATTAAATAAAACCATCTTACTGTGGAGTTATGATGTACCAACATTTACTGATTTAAGTAGACAATGCCTTAATTGCTATGGGCAAGAATGTAAGAGTTTTCTGGTTAACAAAATGTCTATAAAATATTAATAATACTTTTTGAAGCATAATCTATTCACTAAAGCCAAAAAGTATATGCATCCTATAAGGTTTTACATTATTTCTATATTTTGAAATACCTAATTCCATGCTTTAATATGTACAGGCAGTTCAATGATACTTGAATGTATGCTACAATCTAGGCACTGTGATCAGTACTGGAGTTAGGAAAAAACGTAAGATGCTTTTTTTTTTCTGCAGTCAGGGGACTTATTTTTGAAAAGTCACCAGTGCTGTAAATATATGTTTGCATATTGTTTCATACATTATAAAGTAATCTCACATTTAACCTATTTGACTCTAAAAAAAATTTCCTGTGGTTCATAATAATCATTCCCATTTACAAACACAGTCACTCAGATTCTGACAATAAAAGTATAAGTTTACAATAACTTTCAAGAAACATGCAAATACATATATTTGCATGTTGGTTTTATTTCTAAATTCAGTGTTATTATTACTTCGTCACACTACTTTCATTTTAGTAAAAAACAGAGACTCAAATCCATCAAAACACCGGCCAATGTCATATCCTGTATGGAAAATGAGGAACATGAAATCTGTTCTTAAAACCACCAATTCAGGATTATGTTCATTACTACATGGCCTCCTAAGTTTACTGACAAACCTAATATTATATGTCTAACTAGGTCTGCCATAGAGATGGCTAAGAATTTTATTTATTTTTTTAAATAACTCAAAATTAAAACAAGATCAAAAGTTACTTAGATTCATCCTGTCCATTCTTTTCCATCAATTCAGTGGACTCACTTGATTTCCATGTTGGATTTCCATCTCTTCCTTGTGCATTTTAGTTATTTTTTTGAGTATGCGAAATATTAACCATTTATGAAAACATTCTTTATAACAACGTATACACACACATTCACTTTTGACCATAAAAAATATTGTAAGGAGGCCGGATGCAGGGGTTCACGCCTGTAATCCTAACACTTTGGCAGGCTGAGATGGATGGATCACGAGGTAAGGAGTTCGAGACCAGCCTGACCAACATAGTGAAATCCCATCTCTACTAAAATAAATAAATAAAAACAAAATTAGCTGTGTCTGGCAGTGTGTGCCTGTAATCCCAGCTACTCAGGAGGCTGAGGCAGGAGAATCGTGTGAACCTGGGGGGCAGAGGTTTCAGTAAGCTGACATTGTGCCATTGCACTCCAGCCAGGACAACAGTGCAAGACCCTGCCTCAAAAAAAAAAAAAAATATATATATATATATAGTAAGCAGTCTATCAAATTAAGTTAAAAATGTTACAGGTGGTCAATTGGTTGTTGTTATCTTTATGCTCACCAATATAATTTATTCTTTGGATACCATTTGTACCCTCAGCAACTTCAAATATTCTATATCTATTTCTGCATTCATTATATGATTCCATATATATACTCTATTTTCTCTGTTTAAGGCACCCATTAGTCCTACCTCTTTTATGAAAGCCTTTCAAAATGGCTATGTATTTATCTCTCTCTTCTTAACATGAAGCAGATAAAATGTGACTCAGCATATATTAAGGAATTATTTTAGATCTTTTTTTCTTAAGTTTTTTATCTGGAAAGAATTTCAGATGATGATCAAAAATTTTGCAAAATCAATTAAAACAATTCTGTTCCTGCATATATATCCTGGAATTTAAAATAAAAGTAGAAAGAAAATAACAAAGCAAAACAAAAAGAAACAGTTCTAGTTACTTGTATATCATATTTTTAAAAACTTATTACAAAACCACAGTACAAATATGAAAGCCGGAAACATAACATAGATACAATACTATAATCTCTAGACTTAATTTACTTTTAATAGTTGTTTTACAAGTGTACTTTTTGTTGTCTAGGATTAAATCTAGTTGTCATGCTTTTTCATTCTCCTTTATTTTTTGTTTTCCCAGTCTTTTAAAAAATATTATGATTTTTACATTTTTGAAAATATTGGCCACTTATTTTGTAGAATTTGAACTTGTGTGATATTTCTTAGTTATTATTTCTCAGGGCATCATATCAGCAGGCACAAGGCATCAGATGTGCCATTGTTAGTTGTGTTAATTTTGTTATTTGGTTATGGGGTTGTCCACTAAGTTTCTCCACTGTTAACAACATTTCTACTTTAACTAAAAATATGTTTTGCTGAGATTCTTTGAAATTTTTCTCTTACCATAATTTTCAATTATTTTTACCATCCATTGATAAAATTCATGTTATACCTATTACCATAATGTTTGTCAAATGGTGGTTTTTAATTTATACTATATTTTACATTAGTTGTAATACTACTATAATAAAGAAATTTCCCTTATTTTTTAAAAAAAGTATGCATTACATTGCTCATGTACATTAGTGTAGATTCATGAATTCTGATTTTATTTTTTGTGTAATACTCTAGTATGGACCATTATCTTTTGTGGCTCATATTGTCTCATGTTTGGTTGGACATTATGAACCTCTTAAATTGATTTTCTATCTATTACACAACTTCATCATGCTTTGAATACTTTCATACGTTTTGGGACCATTCTTATATTGGTTCTAGTTCCATTTTGAACATTTGTATGCTACTCCTGCAATTATCCATTTCTCCAATGAGTCTGGTTTCTAATTCTGGAGATGGAAATTCACAAAATAATATCCAGGTCTTAGATATACTCATTGAGTTGTCACTACTTATCGGTCTTCTCAGGGAATAGAGATAAATGCATCACACATGCATACACACACACATACACATACACATACACACACATCTCTCTCTCTCTCTCTCCCCCACCTCCCCTCCCTCCACCTGAGTTCACACTGACACCTGGTCCACAAGGTTTATTTTAGCCTTCATTTTTAAATTTTTATCTGCTTTATCTGACAGTGAAAAATCTACCTCTTATTATCCACATTTTGTTTGTTTAATTCTAGAATATAGATTAAATAGTTGTGGAATTGCTAATCTATACCCCATGCAAAGCAAGCTACTTACTGCAACAACACAGTTGCTTATAGTTCTTTCTTTTAGTTTTATCAGATATAGAGAAAATACCATTTTCCAAAGTTACTTAAGTTAGTTCTTTTCTTCACTACCTCCACTCTCTTTTGTGTGCAATTATGATATGCATTTGTACTATGTTAGGTTCATTTGCTTTTGTGTGTTTTTCATTTTGGATCCTCTTCTCCAACTTGATTTTAATTATTGTTCTTTGAGCCTGTGAAACTAACCACTATAGGCTTTAGTTTTAAAATATTGATAGGCCTCTTACATTTGTTTTTGCCTTATTTCTCTGGCCATTATAAACTTATTGAAGATAGAGATCAGAGAGATTTCATGTAAGTTCTTTTCTCCGAAGTGCTTGGGAAACATACAGACTTTGATAACCACTTATTTCTTAATGATTACAAACAGAAGAGAAATCTGAGTATCTGCACTATTTTCTCACAATAATTTCATGAACAAAACCAAGAGTAGAGATAGGTAATTTAAGGAATGGCACAGTCTTGGAACAAACTGCTTTGCATTCAAATCTTAGCTCCGAAACATAATAGCTTTGTAACCTGGATACAGTAAAATGACATATTTGAACTAGTTTTCCCTTCCATTAAAATGCAGATACTGTTAATTGTGATAATGGAATATGATAACGTATAAAAAGGTATCTCTCAGGAACTGCTGTTTGGTAACGTATCAGATATTACATATGAAATAAACATATGTGCTGTGTTCTTACAACCACGTGATTGTTACTCATAATATGTTTAGCAAAGTGTGTTGCAATAGAAGTGGGGGACTATATGCATTTTTTTCTAAAAAAAAGTCCTTTCAAAATTGTTACCAAAAGAAAATCGAAAGCTCTTTCAATCTGTCAAAATATTTTCTATTGCAAATGGCCACCTATTAATCTAAAGAGGAATTTAAATAATATCCAACACAATAATAGAGGAAAAGGCTATAATTTAGAAGTAAAAGAATATTCTAATCTAATGATCACTTATTTTTTTCTCATAAAATTGACTCCTACACTATTAAAGGTCAAGTCCATGTTTGTACAAAGGAGCTTTTTAAATAAACACTAAAGAGGATTTTCCAACCCTTTAAATTGTTAAATCAAGAGATATAATTTTTCATACAATAACAAGGCTTTTAACTAATACTATGAGAGTTAATAATAATCTTCCTACAACTAATATCACACCAAATATCCAGTTTATCATTCATTCATTTGTGAATTCAGCCATTTCTTATGGAGTTTTCACTACCTGTGAGGCATTGACTTAATTCATTGTGGTATAGAAATGAAAGGCATTGTCCATGACCTACATACTACTGAGGAGGGTATATATGTCAGGGTATTCTTACATACAAATTATCTGTATAGCATATCTTTTCAAAGTTACATAGATATAACAGAATTAAATCAATGTTTTCTTTTTATTTTTTTAATACAAATAATGGATTCCTTACAGTAGGTAATAGGTAAAAACACTTAGAAAAACTCGCAACAATTAACTCTGCAATTTAATATAATAATGGACTCAAGCTTGAAAACTGCTGATCAGATAACTTAGGTGGAATGTTTCTTAACCTGGGTAAACTTAAACAATATTATGTTTCATTATTGTTACAGCTTATATTTAAGAATTGACTTTCTGTACATTGATAGTAGATTAATTTCCCAATGTTTTTCTCTGTTACGGAGAGATGGAGAAAAGAGTAGAGTGAGAAAAATATTGTGTAAGGTCCTCATGGGAAAGTTTGCTTATTTTCAAGTCAAAACCTCACTTTGGAATGTTGACACAAATAGTATTGACCAAGAAGGCCTTAACATTGTTTCTCTCAGTTTGGCTAAACTTTAGACAGGTTTCTTCCTGACTGTACGCCCCTGAACTCCCAAACATCTACTTGCAGAAAACTTGCAATTATGAACACTTTCTTTTCCCCTTTAAGATGTACATCTTATTCTAGTCTCTGGCCAGTTCCACAACCCAGAAACCCCTTTCTCAAGGAAGATACTGCTATACTTGTCATTTGTGACTGGCTTATTGCACTTAGCTTAATGGTCTCCAGGTTCATCCACGTTGTCAGACCTGGAAGAATTTCCTTCTTTCTAAGGTTGAATAATATTTCACTGTATGCATATGCTACATTTTCTTTATATAAGATATCTAAAATAGTCAAACTCATAGAAGGGAGTAGAATGGTTGTTGCTGGGGGCTTGAGGGAGGAGGAAAGTGGAAGGTGTTTAATGGGTATAAAGTTCCAGTTAGATAAGATAATAAGCTCTAGAGATCTGCTGTACAGCCTGGTGACTATACTTAACAACACTATATTATACACTTAAAAACTTTGTCAAGAGGGAAGATCTTGGGTTAAGTGTTTGTAATACACACACACACACACACACACACACGCATAAACATATACACACAGGCATGCAAAAACAACAAGAAAAAATACTTACACAAGAAAGAGCATAGAGAAGCTCTTGGAGGTTATGGATATGATTATAACCTTAATTGTGGTAATGGTTTCATAAGTATATACATATGTTCAAATTATCAAATTGTAGCCATTAAATATGTGCAGTTTTTTTTTTAATCTATTACAGCTCAACAAAGCTCTAAGAAAGAAAGAGCCCCTGTCGCCAATTATGCAAGGGAGTGTAGAAGCCTTTTGTAAACAATCAGCCATTACACAATATAGATGGCCTGATCACTTTGAACAAGCTCCGCCCTAATGTCCTCCAGTATTTTTCCAGTAGCTCACCACAGCACTTAAAATCTCTTTTGTTACATATACTATTGTTTTAAAATGTGAACAATTAAAAAAAATCTATGGAGTAAATTTTAAATAATCTTTCAACCACCTTTTTCACTCTCACTCAAAATTTGATGATTATTTATTAGAATTACTTCAATATTTTTACATACATGCAAACATACAAATAAAATAGTTTTGATTCATTTATTATTTGTTCAGAATGAAATTATGTTTCATTGTGTTCTACTTTTTCTTTTACTCAGTTAACATTATATTTTGAAGATATTCTAGGTTGAAGCACAAAGACATACTTTATTATTTTAATCTTTTCTATAATACCAAATTGTCTAAATTGGCCACAGATATTTTAAGCATCCTTCTAGTGCTCAATATTTAGTAAGTTTTTTTAATTTTACTTTTCCATAAGTTATTGGGGTACAGGTGGTATTTTGTTACATGAGTAAGTTCTTTAGTGGAGATTTGTGAGAACCTGGTTCACCCATCACTCGAGCAGTATACACTGCACCATATTTGTTGTCTTTTATCCCTACCCCCCTCCCACTCTTTTCCCCAAGACCCCAAAGTCCATTGCATCATTCTTATGCCTTTGCGTCCTCATAGCTTAGCTCCCACATATCAGTGAGAACATACAATGTTTGGTTTTCCATTCCTGATTTACTTCACTTAGAATAATAGTCTCTAAGCTCATCTAGGTCATTGCAAATGCTGTTAATTCATTCCTTTTTATGGCTGAGTAGTATTCCTAACTGTGAGATATATATATATATATATACACACACACACACACACACACACATATATGATATATATGATGTATATGATGTTATCTTCTATAACTTTTATAGTTTCAGTTCTTAGGTTTAAGTCCTTAATCCATTTTGAGTTGATTTTGTATAATGTCAGAGATGAGGATCCAGTTTCATCCTCCTGCATGTGTCTAGCCAATTATCCCAGCACCATTTTGAGAAAAGGGAGTCCTTTCTCCACTTTATGTTTTTGTTTGCTTTGTCAAAGATCAGTTGGCTGTAAGTATTTGGGTTTATTTCTGGGCTCTCTATTCTGTTCCATTGGTCTATGTGCCTATTTTTATACCAGTACCATGCCATTTTGGTGACTATGGCCTTATTGTATAGTTTGAAATCAGATCTTCAACATAGTACTGGAGGTCTTAGCCAGAGCAATCTGACAAAAGAATGAGATAAAGGGCATCCAAATCAGTAAAGAGAAAGTCAAACTGTCCCTGTTTGCTGGCGATATGATTGTTTGCCTTGAAAACCCTAAGGACTCCTCCAGAAAGCTCCTAGAACTGACAAAATAATTCTGCAAAGTTTCCAGATACAAGATGAATGTACACAAATCAGTAGCTCTTCTACTACATCAATAGTGACCAGAGAATCAAGCCAAGAACTCAACCTCTTTTACAATAGCTGCCAAAAAAATAAAAATAAAATACCTAGGCATATACCTAACAAAGGAGTCAAAATACCTCTACAAGGAAAACCACAAAACACTGCTAAAAGATATAATAGATGACACAAACAAATGGAAACACATCCCATGCTCACTGATGGGTAGAATCAATATTGTGAAAATGACCATATTGCCAAAAGCAAGCCACAAATTCAATGCAATCTCCATCAAATACTACCATCATTCCTCACAGAGTTAGAAAAAACAATTATAAAACTCATATGGAACCAAAAAAGAGCCTGCATAGCCAAAGTAAGACTAAACAAAAAGAACAAATTGGGAGGCATCACACAACCTGATTTTAGTAAGTTTTTGAATGTTTCTGAACATGTAAGAAATAGTCTCAGTTTATTACAACATCTAAGCAATATATTCATTCCCCATGGATTTTAAAGAACACAAAACTCACTTCCCTTTTCTATTTGTGTATTATTGTATTATAATCATGCAGTTTTATTTACTGTGACTCTCAAATACGTTTTGAAAACTAATAATATGACTTTTCCCTCATCATTTAAAATTAAATTTCTATTTTTAGCTTTGTTTGTTGCATACTATTTACACTTCGCAATCAAGCCATTTTAGATTTTCTACAGCCATACTTACTGTCACATAAATCTTTTCCCTTCATATTTCTATCATTTATTGTTAGACGTGTTTCAAAGACACTTAATTAATTGTATAAAAAATATGATTGTTTTTAACTTTTGTGTGTGTTTAATGACTCATTCTAAAGACAAGAGGCTACAATTACCTTGAAAAACAGTAAGATAAGTTTTATAAAAAGATCAAAAATTAATTATATTAATATAGTATCCAACAGTTAGTAGGTGGTTTAGAAAACATCTAGATATTTCCTCTACTTAATAAATAAGTCTGTTGGGGGGGAATATTTGCAAACCACACAAATTAGTTAATATCTGGTAATTAGTTCTTATCCAAAATATATAGGGAACTCAATTGAATACCAAGAAAACAATCTGATTTAAAAATGAGCAAAGGACATGAATATACATTTATCCAAAGAAGACAGACAAAAGGCCAAAAGGTATCTAAAAAAATTCACAACATAAGTAATTATCAGGAAAATCCTAATTAAAACCACAATGAGATATCACTTAATACCTGTTAGAATGTCTATTGTCCAAAAGACAAAAGATTACAAGTTAGAAGAGGATGTAGAGAAAAGAGAATCCATATACAAAACTGTTAGTCATAATGTAAATTAGTACAATCATTATGAAAAATATAGTATAATGGTTCCCAAAAAAAATTAAAAGTAGAACTACCATATGACCCAGAAACCCCAGCACTGGGTAGTTACACAAAGGAAATGAAATCAGTATGTCAAAGCAATATCTGCTTTCCCATGTTCTTGCATCATTATTCACATATTTTCCATACTTGATAAATAAATATGTTCTATGTCTGTGATAGCTTATGACTTCTCTTAGAAAATGCATTCCATTTTACAGGAGTCAGTAATACATTTCCCAAAACTGCTAGACGTTTATTTTTTTCTTTTGTTTGAACTCACATCTTGATTTCAATATTTTATATTTCTGGGATATAGCCCAGATCCCAAGAACTTAGATACGAAATTTTGCTTTACTCCTAACTTAGTGATTTCCTTTCATGTTTTTAATTCATAAGTTATTTACTTTTCCTATCATGAGGCATCACGTTTAAAAAAATGTATTTCTATAACATAATAATAATTTGTGCTTTTTGTAGGAGTATAAAAATTATGAGTAATGGCTTGATAAGAAATATGAAAATATTTTGGATTTTATGAAAAATACAAGCTATGTGAAAATAACAATACCTGTGAAAGCCTAATTTTGTTTTTATTTAAAATATTTTTATTGCAATGATATACCAAAAAGAGAGTGTTCATTTGCAAACATTGTTAAAATTGGTTATAGAGCCTTGATTAATTGAACTGGTTAGCCGCTTTATTTTCTTTGGATATTTCTAGTGTTTAGCTATGAAGTTATAGTCATATTTATATTTGCATATAGTCATATTTATTTTGCTACATAATTGCCTAAGGTTTGGGTGTTAATTGCACTGTTGAAACTAAACATTCTTCTTTCTGCAGCATACCAACTTTCTCTTGTTTGGAGTTTCAGTCCCTAGTGTTTTTAGAAACAATGCTGCTTCTCCTCATGGTCATTTGGAAGACAAATTTAGAGATGACATAATTTGTTTTTGATTGCAGTAAACTAAATTAGTCTGTTTCTGACAGAGCCTCTCAGGAGACTGCAGCTATGAAGTCAGAATTCTTAGTCCAGATTAATCTCTTTCAGCAGTAAACGTAAAACATGATAATATTTCAAAGTTATATTTGGCACATGACACTCCAGTGGTTGATTATAATTGGATCTGCATTGCTGATATATTGCAAAGACTGATTACACACATGAATAGTGTTATTTTATTGTTATTTTGAAAATTTGGTGAAACAAAAGAATCCTAGTATATAATAACTAAAAAACATATAAATAACTAGAATTTTGAGACTCATATTAGCTGAATTGCCAAATACCAGAATATGTGGCAGAAGTGAAAGTAATATTTGTTGCTTTTTCTTCCAAATTTTTTTTTCACACTATTATGCCTTGCTGGAAAACAATAGTATCTTGTTTTGATGATTAGTCAAAAATATTCAATACCATGGCCTAAGATAGGAAGCACTAAAGTAACTTTTTCTGGAAAAGTAGAATGTGAACTCATCCCTGGAGAACTAAAAAATTTGGACACATGAGGCAAATAAGTGGTGGGGACCATTACATAAATAAATAGCTAAATTTGAGGAAGCTCTTTAGAAATATATAGAATTGTGTTTCAGATTAATGTGTCCCTTTGTAGTGGAAACTTTGAGTGACAGTTTAGAGAATATGCTACCTTAGAAATTCTACTATTGGCTTATAGTCTGTTCTTTGGCTTGTAGGCTTCCATGCCTAGTTTTTCAGTATCTTCTATTTTATTTTTCAGATGTAAAACACTGAAACACAAAATATGGAAAGAAAGAGACTGAAAAATACCCAAATTGAATAATAAAAGTTCAAGAGGCTTTTGTGTGTAAATTTGGCTTGGTGAACATAGAAGAAAAACAAATGTTTCCTGTTACCAAACCAAAGTATTAATAACTAGAAGGCTTGTGCTATCTCAATGGAGTGATATTGGTCAATGATTTCAAAATTTCACATTTCATAAGCTAAATTTTTGGAGTTTGTATCTCAATATACGTGTATTTAATTACGTTTGTAAATTACATGATATGCAGTAAACAAATTTATTATTTGCTTTTAAAACAAAAATATAGTAATTGAAGAGCATGAGATTAAAAAAAAAAACATAAAATTCCCCAAATTTCTGTTTGTTATACCAATGAATACACTCTAGGATGTATACATCACAACTTAAGAACTGCTTCTCTGGAGCATATCTCATAAACTTTACAAATTCTCATGCACAAGGGGCGCTCTGCTCCAGATGTTCCTTGGATGGGCAAAGGGAACAATTTCTTGTAAAATTCATATGGAGGATATTTTCTAAATAAGTACAGTTACCCTTTTTTGTGTCATTGAAATGACAAAGCACATTAAGTAATGCAACTTATAACCAGATTGCGTTATTTTGTTAAAATGTGCAGAGGGTACATTTTAAAATATAGCTTCAACTAGAAACTATATATAGATGAGTATAGGGGTTAAAAGAAAGTCTGTCACCAGAGTACATTTTCATAACCACATGGTTATACTCAATAGAATTGGAAAGACTTAGCCGGGGGCGGTGGATCACGCCTGTAATCCCAGCACTTTGGGAGGCTAAGGTGGGCGGATCACGAGGTCAGGAGATCGAGACCATCCTGGATAACACGTCTCTATTAAAAATACAAAAAAATTAGACGGGCATGGTGGCGGGCGCCTGTAGTCCCAGCTACTCTGGAGGCTGAGGCAGGAGAATGGCGTGAACCCGGGAGGCGGAGCTTGCAGCTTGCAGTGAGATGAGATCGCGCCACTGAACTCCAGCCTGGGTGACTCCGTCTCAAAAAAAAAAAAAACACAAAAAGAATTGGAAAGGCTTATTATTTGTATATCTGTGATTGAGAATGATAAATACTATCCATAATTTCTGAAATGTTATTTATACTCAATTTCTAAAGAGGAAAGGATCACAGTGATATTAATTGCTGAGTCTAGAAAATTTGCCATTCAATCTTTATTCCTGTAGGTTTTTTTTTCCCCATTGTCTCACTTTGTTGCTGAGGCCGGAGTGCAGTGGCACCGTGTCGACTCACTGCAACCTCCGTCTCCTGGGTTCAAGCAATTCTCCTGCCTCAGCCTCCCGAGTAGCTGGGAATATAGGCGCCCATCACCACACCTGGCTAGTTTTATATATATTTAGTAGAGATGGGGTTTCACCATGTTGGCCAGGCTGGTGTCGAACTCCTGACCTCAGATTATCCACCCACCTTGGCCTCCCAAAGTGCTGGGATTACAGGTGTGAGCCACTGAGCCTATCCATCTGTAGTTTTATAATATGATTTTTCTGTTCTTTTAAATTATTAGTTACATGGTTATCAACACAGTATGCTAAATATTTCAATCAGGAAGTAAATTCAAACAGTTATAATGAGTTTAAGTGTTAAAATTGCCCTGCAGTCTTATCAGTGACGTGATAATCAATTCTAGTTCATGAACCCTTGATTTGCACTATCCTATACAAATGCTATTAGCCACTAGAACATTTCCATCATCATAGCTCTATCGAACAATACTGCTTTAGTACTTTTTAGAACTTTTTATTCCTTTTACTCAGTTTGTATTTCAATATTTGCTTTTCCCCCCATGCATTCTAAATTAGTTAATTTTTTTTAATTTTAATAATGTATTTTATTTAACCCAATATATCAAAAGCATTATTTCACATATAATTACTATAAAATTATTGAGGTGGTTACATTAATTTTTTCATACCTTTTCATACTAACTCACATACATTTTAAACTTACAGTACCTCTGAATTTGGACTGGCCATATTCCAAGGTTAAATAGCCAAATGCTGCCAAACACTACATATTGGACAGTACAGCTCTAACTATAGCATCTCTTAACTTTTCCCTTGGCATTTCAGTGATTTTACCTAAATTTTATTCTGAGAAGCTGAGAAATAAGATCCCATGGTCTCTGTCTATAAAGGAAACAGCTCAATAGAGTTGTGAAGATGTCCAATATATACAAAATCTTACATATCTCAGAACATTCAAAAAGAGTCAGACCTATCAAAATGGTATCAAGAAAGCAAAAGGCTACAATGGGCAGATATTTTAAAATAAAATGCTAAGACTTTAAAAGTTTCATCATCATTGTTAACTTTATATTTTCTCTGCACTAACACTTTATCTGATGAGTTTTGAATCTCACATTTTAATTTTTCTGTGATTAAATTATAGGTTGGACATAATATATGCTATGACAGATAATGAGATATACAAGCAGCAGACTTACAAAATAAAAAGAACTAACTCCTACTAAGTTTATGACACACTATGCACTGTGCTAGGCACTTTCATATATTGTTTTATGTAACACTTGGCAACAACACCATGAATACTATTATTGACATTTAAAAGTGAGGAACAAAGAATTTAAGTAATTTCACCAAGTCTCATAGCTAATAGGTAAATGGTAGAGCCAGGATTTAGACCCAGAGGCAAAGTCTTCAAGTTTTCTTTTTTTTTTTTTAATTATACTTTAAGTTCTAGGGTACATGTGCACAACGTGCAGGTTTGTTACATATGTATACATGTGCCATGTTGGTGTGTTGTGCCCATTAACTTGTCATTTACATTAGGTATATCTCCTAATGCTATCCCTCCCCCTTCCTCCACCCCACGACAGGTCCCAGTGCGTGATGTTCCCCTACCTGTGTCCAAATGTTCTCATTGTTCAATTCCCACCTAAGAGTGAGAACATGCAGTGTTTGGTTTTTCGTCCTTGTGATAGTTTGCTGAGAATGATGGTTTCCAACTTCATCCATGTCCCTGCAAAGGACATGAACTCATCCTTTTCTATGGCTGCATAGTAGTCCATGGTGTATATGTGCCACATTTTCTTAATCCAGTCTATCGTCAATGGACATTTGGGTTGGTTCCAAGTCTTTGCTATTGTGAATAGTGCTGCAATAAACATACGTGTGCATGTGTCTTTATAGCAGCATGATTTATAATCCTTTGGGTATATACCCAGTAATGGGATGGCTGGGTCAAATGGTATTTCTAGTTCTAGATCCTTGAGGAATCACCACACTGTCTTTCACAATGGTTGAACTAGTTTACAGTCCCACCAACAGTGTAAAAGTGTTCCTCTTTCTCCACATCCTCTCCAGCACCTGTTGTTTCCTGACTTTTTAATGATCACCATTCTAACTGGTGTGAGATGGTATCTCATTGTGGTTTTGATTTGCATTTCTCTGATGGCCAGTGATGATGAGCATTTTTTCATGTGTCTGTTGGCTGCATAAATGTCTTCTTTTGAGAAGTGTCTGTTCATCTCCTTCACCCACTTTTTGATGAGGTTGTTTTTTTCTTGTAAATTTGTTTGAGTTCATTGTAGATTCTGGATATTAGCCCTTTGTCAGATGAGTAGATTGCAAAAATTTTCTCCCATTCTGTAGGTTGCCTGTTCACTCTGATGGTAGTTTCTTTTGCTGTGCAGAAGCTCTTGAGTTTAGTTAGATCCCATTTGTCAATTTTGGCTTTTGTTGCCATTGCTTTTGGTGTTTTAGACATGAAGTCCTTGCCCACGCCTATGTCCTGAATGGTATTGCCTACGTTTTCTTCTAGGGTTTTTATGGTTTTAGGTCTAACATTTAAGTCTTTAATCCACCTTGAATTAATTTTTGTATAAGGTGTAAGGAAGGGATCCAATTTTAGCTTTCTACATATGGCTAGCCAGTTTTCCCAGCACCATTTATTAAATAGGGAACCCTTTCCCCATTTCTCGTTTTTGTCAGGTTTGTCAAAGATCAGATTGTTTAACAAGTGTTGCTAAATGCTTTCAAGAGACCACAACTTTGCTAGATGCTATGTATTGTCAAGTTTCTGTCAGAAAATTTTAAGACATGGTTCTTTTGTTCTGGCAATTTATATGTTATGAATAATCTCACTAACAGTCATTTTGTTAAATGTGTATTGATTTGATAAATATTATGTGTGATCCATAAAATGTATGCATATATTTCTAATTTATTTTGAATTAACTAGATAGACACATAAATTCACATATAGAGTGATGTTTTCTTTAGATGATAGTTTATATATAAAGGAGAGATGTGACTATAAGACTTCAGGTTACACTTGGTAGACAAGGGCATTAAGTTCTGACTAAAACCTGACCATGATGAGCTTCTTCATTGGAACTGATTAATGATAAGTCAAAGGATGCTGAGTAGCAAAGCAATTCAAGTACAGCATTAGAAGCAGAGAGAAAACAGAAAAAAGTGGAAAATGGTTTGTTGGTTTACTTTTTCAATCTATTTATACAGTGGGGTTAAATTGTATCTGCTAAATAGTTTTGGTTCAAAAATAGTATAACCCATGGGAGTACGTTTTAAAAGATCAGGATCTTGTGCTGTACTTATTGGCTGTCCACATGCAAAAAATTAATCGGATCTTATGCCTTTTGCCAAAACAGGCTCAAAATAGATCACACACCTAAATGTAAAACACAAAACTATAGGACTCTTAGAAGATAGCATAGCAGAAAAACTTAGATGACCTTAGATATGGTAATGACTTCTTAGATACTACATCAAAAGCATGATTCATGAAAAAATAATTCATAAGCTGGATTTCATTAAAATTAAACATGTCTGCTCTGCAAAAGACAATGTCAAGAGAACAAGAAGACATTATAGACTGGGAAAAAGTAGTTGCAAAAGAAATATATAATAAAGGACTGTTATCTAAAAGATACCAAGAGTTTTCAAAACTCAACAATAAGAAAACAAAAACACTTGATTAAAAAACGGGCCTTGACAGACATATTATCGAAAATACATAAAGGTAGCAAATAAACATATGAAATAATTCCCACCTTATGTCATAATAAAGGGAAATAAAAGTTAAAACAACCATGAGATATTGCTTCATTCCTATTAGAACAACCAAAATCTAGAACACAGACACCACAACATTCTAGCAAGGATGTGGAACAAAAGCATCACTTATTGCTGGTCGCAATGTAAAATGGCTCAGTCACTTTTGAAGAGATTGGTAGTTTTTTATAAAAATAAACATACTCTTAGCATTCAGTCCACCAAGTGTGCTCTATGGTGTCTACTCAAAGGAGTTGCAAACTTATGTTCACACAAAACCTGCACATGGATATTTATAGTAGTTTTATTCATAATTGCCCTAACATGAAGGCAACAAAGATACACTTAGGAGATGAATGGATACATAAAATACGGTACTTCTAGAATATGAACTATTACTATTCAGTGCTAAAAAGAAATGAGTTCTCAAGCCATTGAAGGACTTTAAATGCATGTTACTAAATGAAAGAAGCCAATCTGAAAAGAGTACATACCTTATACCAGCTATATGACATTCTGGAATAGATAAAGCTATGGAAAGAGCAAAAAGATAAATGATTACTAGGAGTTGGCAGTGGGCAGGTAGGAGGGGAGATGATGAATAGTTGGTACACAGAGTATTTTAAGGTCAATGAAAGTGCTTTGTGTGATACTATAGTGGTGGATACATGTCAGGGTAAATTGTCCAAACTCACAGAATGTACATCAACAGCAAACCCAAATGTAAATGATAAACTTTTGGTGATTTTGTGTCAATGTTGATTCATCAACTGTAATGAATATACCACTCTAGTTGGGGGATGTTGATAATGGGGGAAGGAATGCACGTGTTGGGTAGAGGGTATATGGGAAATCTCGGTACCTTCTCAAGTTCGCTTTGAAACTAAACCTGTTCTAAAAAACCCATTAATTCTTAAATAACATGTATGTTATTATCAAAGGAAAGGCTTTTGTTTAAGCATGAGTTAGATATGTGTACCGAAAGGCAAGAAACCAGAAGAGAGAAATATGATTGTCAGAACAATCAAAGTAAAGCTAAGGGTCAGTAAATGTGGAGGCAAATGTATTATCTATGTAATAACGTAAAATATTTGGAAAATGAAGTTAGAATATCTGGATTGGAAGTCACCTCCCTCATCTATTCCTCACTTCTCACTCTTTATTTGCTCTTTCTACTTATCTCAGCCAAAAACTTGAAAATACCTTATAGGGAATGTCAGAAACTGGTTTCATTATAATGTTCCAGCCTCATTTTAAAACACTTCCACACTTTCTGTGCTATGACCATTCTGTGCTTTTTTTTCTCTTTCAAATGCCTAGGATCTCTCTCATTTCTAAGACTTTACAAATACTATAATTTCTATTGAAATACTTTCCATCATCCTCTTTATCTTCTTAAACCGCTATCTTTACAACATTAGTTTCCATGGAAAGCTTTTTTGACTTTTTACACTGTAGTAAGTACTCCTGTATTTGCTCCCATTAGTATCTAGCATTAATGCTACTTTAGTAGTTATTACAGTCTACTGGAATTTTCTACTCTGTATGGTGCCTATGATCTTCAAGAATCCTGAGGAAAGATTTCACAAATCACATTTATTACCTCTTATTTTTATAGCATTAGGTATACTAATTAATATTTTTAAAACTATTTGTTGAAAAACAAAATGCTTAGAGAATTTAAATAATACACAAAGTCACAGAGCTACTGACACTTAGGATACGGACAAAACAGCTTTACCTTCCTTCAGAGTTTTCTATCTCCAATGCAGAATCTTATTTGACCTTATATTATTACAGCTTTGTGTTGAAAGCGTATTTTCTCAAGTTCATGCTCCCTTTTACTATACCTGTGAGTGATACAAAATGAGAGTGTTTTAGGAGGGACAATATGTGGCATGTCTATTTATGCTAGAAGCCACTGTAAAATCTTATAGAGTGATTTAGGGATGATTTTTTAAAATAATATTTTGTTGGTAGATTTCAAAGCAAGCTTTTTTTTACAACTTTGCACATTCCATGGTCCATTGATATTAGTTGACATTTCAAGCAATGGTCTTAAATCTAGCTCCTCTACATTCAGTCTTTATTTCATTAATAATAGAAATGAGGAATACACTTTTTTTCTTGCCTAGTTCACTTAAAATTCAAAGACACAATTTTAGCCAAACACAATAGTAAAGATGTAGATGTGTGTATCAACAATAAAATATAACTTTATTTGGCCTTAAAAACAAGAAACAAAGTTTATTTTTTAAAGGTCTTTAAGTGGAAAGAACTGTTTATACATTCCTCTTTCCGCATTAAAGATACTTTTTACATGTATATCCTGAGGTATTTTTCATCAGAAAAAATATTTTAAAAATCTGAACTTTGTAAAAACTGTATTAGTGAATAACTCAATTTAGAGTTTTGTACGCACAAAAAATACGTGTCTACATACCGACAGGACTGGATGCCTATTGTCTTTATTCTCAAGCATCATTTCACTTATTCTGTAAATAAAACTTCTATGTCTTGTAAGGAACTCATCCATAAAGTTCAAATAAGGTAGAGATTGACTCTTAGCCACAGACTGTGTGCAGCTGTTCATGGGGCAACTGTGTTTACCTCAATATTGAGCATCTGACATGTGAGGGTTCAGTCAACGTCCAAATGTGTGATTTGATACATAGGAGAGAAGGCGTCAATGGTCTGAGGGTTGCCACAGACATCTTGTTCATTTTGTGTCTATAAAAATAAAATTAAGCAGAAGCAGTCATGAGATACTGTGGTAGGGATTTGAAATTTTTAGTCACCTAACATTTGAAAACGGCTTCTTTACAAGTGAATCTCAGTGTGGAAGAGAAATAAAGTAGATGTTTTCTCTTCACTATTCCCAAAAGCAAGACCATAAGATGTGAAGTATACATGACCAAATAATAGCCCAATTTGGGAAGCTTAATACTGAAAGAATAATGTAAAAATAGAGGAATAGAGGTTACTTAGAACAGTGAATTCAGAGTCCAGGCACATAGCAGTGAATATTCTGTGTTGTTCTAATTCTGTCACTACATTTTTCTTAGTCTAGGACCTACCCGGTGCATTGCAGCATATTTAAAATCTCTGGTTCCACATATTAAATGTTAATAGCAAATCCTCAAACCACAAATGGACCAATAAATTTCAAAAGGTCCCAAAGGCAGTCCCTAGTGAGAAATATTGTTTGGCCTTGCTGAGAAAATTTTTTGTTCCCTGCCTACTTTTTGAGTCTGGTTCTTGAAAATTCTTGCAAATTTTGTGAGCTACAAAATATTCTTTCCAACCATTTATTTACTGCTTGAATTAGCAAAACTTGATTTCTAATGTTGAAGACTGAAAACTTTAAATAATACAGACACAAATTCCTAACAGCATATTTGAATTCCAATGATGACAGTCATTTTTTTTCTTTATTTCTACACTTAGGTAGCATGAATCAATGGATTTTCCTTTTGGCCTATTACAGATCGAGTTGGGTTTCCGTCATGTCACCAAATGAAATATTCTTGATTAAAAATTTATGTCTAAAATGTCAATTTTGACCTGGAGAAAAAATGAATATAAACTTGAAATATTCTCGTTATATCGAGAGCTTTACCTGTGCTACTTCTACCACCTAAAAACTAAGCGTCAACTTTTGCTTTAGAGGTGTACTCACTGTCTGCTCTTAGAATCTCTTTTCGCATAAACATGCATATCTTTCTTTCATGTTTCATACAGGTCTCTGTCCAAATATTAGTTTATAAAAGACTATTCTGATGTTTATTTTTTTCACATTTTACTTTTACATATTATTGATTTATCTGGTTATATGCTTGTTGTCTGCTTCCTAGAGGTAGAAAGTCAGATCCATGAAAGAAAAAAATTGATTTTGTTTAAAGTTCCTTTTCTGGCACCTATAACACAATACTCCAAACATATAACAAATGCTAATATATATTGACATATGATTTAATAAATTAGGTGTACATGTTTATTTTTTATTTATACACATATACAATTGTCATTTTGGAGGAATTTGTATAACTCCAAGTAGGTAATATAGATAATTATGCTCCTCAATTGAAGACATATTATGATCATTCTAGATTTTAGATTCATTTCCATTTAGATTTCAGATTCATTTCCATTAATAGGATAAACTTTATCCTATTTTTTGATTGGACATTTTTATTATTGTTTAATGTAATTAAATTATACTAAAAATTCCTCCTTCTTTGTTATCTCCTTCTCTCTCAGGTGAATACTCATTTAATGTATTATTGAGATATATCTTCTGGTAATACATGTAACACTGTTTTTGTATGAATAGATTATTTTAATTAGCTCCAATTATATTGTTTTAGATTTTTCTTATTACATTTCTATATCTATGATTTTTAAATTTAATCACATTGCTGAATATATATTCATTTTGCTTTTGACTATTTAGTATTCTATATTATGCATCCAACATATATTTTATTTGTTATCCTATTAATGGAATTCCAGTGTATTTTTAGTTAACTGCTCCCACTAGCTAAATTACAATGAATACCTAAACACATATATGCTGTTAAAATTAATGGTCTTGCTGTATCATAGGTAACATGCATATTAAGGTTTAATATATATACTTTATGTATTTATTGATTATTTTTATTGTTTTTTTTTTTTTTGAGATCAAGTCTCGCTCTGTTGCTCAGGCTGGTGTGCAGTGGCATGATCTTGGCTCACTGCAACCTTTGTCTCCTGGGTTCAAGAGATTCTCCTGCCTCAGCCTCCCAAGTAGCTGGGACTACAGGTGCATGCCACCACGCCTGGCTAATTTTTGTATTTTTAGTAGAGACGGGGCTTTACCATGTTGGCCAGGCTGGTCTTGAACTCCTGACTTCAAGTGATCCGCCCGCCTTGGCCTCCCAAAGTGCTGGGATTACAGGTGAGAGCCACAATGCCCAGACACATTATTTATTTTTCTAACGAATGTACTGTTGATGTTTCTCTTCCAAAAGATATGATGTTGTGAAATACATGTCTGAAAATTAAAGTGTTTGCTTCATGCTATTCTGAATTTTAAGTACTCTTCTAAAACACAAAAACAATTATTGCAAAATAAGAAAGAAGGTATTCATTGCAATCTAAAATTTTCTAGGTGAATTTAAAATTTAACCTTATTTCATATGTAAAAAGTAAAAACAAAACATATTTCTGCTTGCTGGTCACTCTAAGATAAATAACATTTGAACTTGAATAAGATGTTTCAATATAACATTTAATTATGAATAATGAATTATTTGCTCTTGAAATTTTAGCTTTGCCCAAATAAAGTTATATGACTAGTTTTGCAAAGACCTGTCAATTTTATTTTCCATCAAATGCAATGTAAGGCAAAAAACTGCATCTTATATTGACTCTGGCATCATTTCAAATTTCTAACTTTTTTTTTTTTTCTCGAGATGAAGTCTTGCTCTGTTACCCAAACTGGAGCTTGGCTCACTGCAACCTTCACTTCCTGGGCTCAAGAGATTGTGCTGCCTCAGCATTCCAAGTAGCTGAGATTACAAGCGTGTGCCATCACACTTGGTTAATTTTTGTATTTTTAGTAAAGACGAGGTTTTACCATGTTGGCCAGGCTGCTCTCGAACTCCTAACCTCAAGTGATCTGCCCACCTTGGCCTCCCAAAGTGCTGGGATTACAGGTGTGAGCCACCATGCCTGGCCTCAAATTTCTAATCTTTTTAAAGCGATGTTAACAATTTTATCTGAAAGAAATGGCACCATATATGCATTAAATTCAACTGGTTATCTTGATAAAATTAAAAACGCAACAATATAAGAGTGAATTTTGGAGGCAAATATCTCTCTTGAAAACATAAAATTTGAAAATATTATATCTCATGAATTCTAAGAGGTTTTTGTTTAAAGATAATAATACACATGTGTGACTATCAGTACCATACCTATTTACGAACAAAAAATTCAAAATGTTTTATTACTAAATTCTAATACTGCTCATTTATGTGGTAATTATGATTACTTTTGTATATTATTATTCATATATAATCAGTACTTCTCTTATGGAAGATAAAATGCAGATGTGTACGTGTGTGAGAGCACATGTTAAAATTGTGTAGAAAGAGATAGCTTATAAATATGGTAAAAACATATACATTAAATATAATACCTTATAGTTCTAGTAAATGTGCTACAAAAATACTACAGGGTCATGCATTCTGATATAAAAAATAATACACCGTGGGAGAAAAGAAACAGTATATTTTACTTCATAAACCTAGGATGTACACCACAGCTAATAAAATTCTTAGTATTTGTTGTGTTAATTTGAAATAAGTTAAAGAAGCGATGTGTATGGTGGTAAGAATGCTAGATAAAGAAACAGAAGCTTTAATTCAAATCATATGTCACCCACACAATGATGCTAAACTTTTTGAGTTCCTAGATTACATGTTATTCATCTCTGCAACTGCAGTACATGAGTATCATTGGTACCCAACATTTCACAAATGAATGAATGTTTAAAATAGTTAAATAATGCAGACACCACTTACCAGGTGAATGACATGGACCAAGGTAATCACTGAATCATCTTAAATTATAAAATAAGATTAAGCTGTATTTTACAAAGTTCATACAGTACATGATAGCACTGTGTGAGCATGGTGGTCTCAGGATTTACTATGCCTCAGAAATGAATTCCTGGTTTCAGAGAGCTCTTAAAGCAGTAATTAAAACTAAATTTGTGTAAAATTGGGTGTAAGAAAGGAGTTGAGAGTTTATTCAGAAGAACAAATTAATTACCTAAACATAGTATGACAGTGTAAGGTGTTACCCCAAATGGCTCACTTCTAAGAAGGACAAAAAGCTCTTTATTAATAATTATGCCAGGGTAATAGGCTGAGTCATAAGTGTTCCCAGTAAGCTCAAACACTTCTTCAGTGGTACTACTTGATACATGTTTGATTATAGTTATCCATAGGTTAGTCAGAAATAAAGCTAATATACACTATATCTTTCACAAGAAAAAATTTCATTTCATATTTTCTCCAAAATATTATGCTACTCAGATCTCCTCTAATAGAAAAATAATTGAAGTCAACCATAAATCTAGACTGTGTGCATAATAAACCATATGCATAAATGAATCAAGATGTCAATTAAGTAGCTCAGAAATATAGACATCATCAAGTATATCCTACATTTAATTTACTGGGGTCAGTACATTTTTAAAAACCAATTGCCATGATATTTTAGAATGCAAATCACTCATGCTGGTTCAATTAGATCCAGAGTTAAAATATTTTAAGTTCAGGCCGGGTGCGGTGGCTCATGCCTGTAATCCCAGCACTTTGGGAGGCTGAGGTGGGCGGATCACGAGGTCAGGAGATCGAGACCATCCTGGCTAACACGGTGAAACCCCGTCTCTACTGAAAATACAAAAAATTAGCTGGGTGTGGTGGTGGGCGCCTGTAGTCCCAGCTACTCGGGAGGCTGAGGCAGGAGAATGGTGTGAACCCGGGAGGCGGAGCTTGCAGTGAGCTGAGATTGCCCACTGTACTCCAACCTGGGCAACAGAGTGAGACTCCATCTCAAAAAAAAAAAATACATACATATATATATATATATATATATATATATATATATATATATATATATATTTTTTTTTTAAGTTCATCTTGTGTGCTTTTTTCAGACATGTATATCATTTAGTACACCATTATAAGTTCTTATAATGTTTTATAATTTCTGTAATTATATAATTATAACTTACTTATAATTAAGTAAATAAATATACATAATTTGCTGAGATGGTATAATTAAAAGCAATGTTTATTTTTATCTTCTACTATGTAATAACAGCCAATCTGTTTTCCTCTGAATGTATTTTCTCCATTATTTTGTTCTTCATAGACAAACTGATAGGAAGCTTAAAAAGCAAACAAACAAACAAAAAAACCTTGATACCTATAATACATATAGTACTTTTGTGCTCACTGTTTTCCAGTTTCTAATTATCCTTTATAATTTGCTCCTGCTTATTTTTATAGATCTCTCAATTTTTCCTCTTACCAAATATAACTAAGTAATTACAAAGAAAAGTACAGCTTTATAACAGAATAATTTAACAAAATTAGAAACATTGGAAAGTTAAACACTAAACAGTTAAAGAAAGTTACTGCATTGGCATGAATATAACTGTTTTCTGTGATGACAAATCAATCAGTAAGAAAAATAATCAACAAGCAAAAATGAACTGTTAGAAATAAAAACAATAAAACCTTCAAATACTTATTTTAAAACACTTCAGAATCTTTAAGGACATTTTCTACATGAGCTGTTCCAATTTTAATTAGACAGGATGTGTAAAGAAATAACCACTGTAGCCAAATTTCTAAAGAATAAAATCTGTCACTAAGTATTAAATTCTCCAAGAAAGAAAGTCTCGCAACACTCGTCTACATGATGACAAACTTCTGCTCTGAAAGTGTGCCACAAATTACTCCTTCAGTTCTCCTATTAACAATTAAAATTGTTTAAATATATGGAATAACAAGGAAGTTATCTAAGCACAGTTTATAATTTTGCAAAATCAAGCAAATAAAGGTAAAATAAAAGTACGTTTCATGAGAAGAAATACTATGACTCCACACCTTGGTATTTTCAACGTCTAATACTATGCCTGGCACAATAAAGGGAATTCATTTAAAAAGTCTTAATTGCCTTGAGAGCTTGAAGTGGCTGTATTTTATTTCTTTTTATTATATATTATTATTTTTACAATTAATAACAATGCAATTTTTTAAATTTTATTATTATTATACTTTAAGTTTTAGGGTACATGTGCACAACGTGCAGGTTTGTTACATATGTATACATGTGCCATGTTGGTGTGCTGCACCCATTAACTCATCATTTAGCATTAGGTATAATAAAACATCTACTCTTAGGTCAGGATTTCAGGGAAACTGACTACATGCAGATGTTTAAACAAAAAATGCTCTAGATAATAAAATCTTTAATGGAGCAAGCATAGCTTATTGAGGCTGACACCTCAAGCCAATTTTATAGGCAGCTCTAGAGATAAAATGGCCTTTCACAAATGTCCCATATTGAAGAAAGGAGATCATGCCTTTGTCATCCAGCATCCTCCCTGTGGAGGGAGACAAACTTTCACAAGGCAGCTCCGTTTAGTCTAGAAGATGTGATTCTCATAGGCAGCCCACACTTGTGGAAGTTTAGGAATAAGCTCCTTCGTCTTGAAAGCAGGACCTTTGTAGAGCACCGCCTCACAATTTTCCAATCATTCCATTCCATGTGCCTTGAACAATGGACTAAGCCATTCACACATACTTGGAAATCTGCAAATGTTCTTATCTCAGACTTCATATATTCCTCCAGAAATTAGATAACCACGTGATCATGTATACTCTTTCAAGTTTTTCCTGTTTAGGGTGTTTTCCCCTGATGACTGTTTTCCAAGTACTTAAATGGGGCTGTAGTGTAGCAGTGTTTTATTTTCAGCATATACCCATACACTTAGCTGACCCATTACAGAACCAATTTTGGCATTTTCTCCTCCATCCGTTGATTACAAGAAACTCTTCATTTGGCCACAGATATGGGCTTGTAAAGAGCTGCAGTGTGATGGATCATTTGGGAATCTGGGTCATGGCTCGTGCACTTCACTTAAGCTCTCTGGCCCTGATCTCACTTAATTCTAAATGAACCAGTTTGTTCTCCCTGAACCTTATAAGTTTTAGGATGTAAGAAAAGACAGCCTATGATAGGCAATTCTGCTTGACAAGTCATGATCAGATATTCATCATTACATTTCTTAGGATGATTAGAACTGTTTATGGTAATATGTATAATTTTCTGCTGCAAGTGGTATAGGCGTATGCCAGAACATTCTGGGAACTACTAGAAACTCCACGTGGGTTCTTTTTCCACCTAGGATAACTAATAATATCAGTTGCAATTAAGTATAAGTAAGGGAATAAGTAAGCTACATAGGGTCTGCTTGTTTGTATGGCCCATTTAGCAAGGCATTTTCTAGATCATGAAGAAGTCCACCATATATCATCTTTTCTTCTTTGGTTGGAGGTATGAGACACTATAATTTTTATTTTGGACAAAATGTCCCTGCATGCTCCAGACCACCGATGTGTAAGGTCCTGGAGTGTTGATAGAATTCATCTCCCATCTTGTGGAATGCATGCATCTCACCAAAGTTCTTGCTGCACCTTGCTCTTTCAATCTATTTAGCCTGATGTCAGCAAGATAGAGGATAAATGTCATATTCTAAGAAATGTTCAGATTGTCCATGTTCTTCCATACTGAAACATCAAGTTAGAGATCTAACAAAGACTTAAGACAAAACTTTAAAATTATAACTCTTAGTCCTACTAGGTAAATGTGAACTTCTCCTCTTCCTCTTTCTTTGTATGTCTGGAAAAGCACATTTGCCAGATCCATGGCTGCAGAGCACGTGCTTGAAGCTATTTTAATCTGCTCCTGAAATTGATACTACACTGGCACACGATAAAAATTGGAGCTAGTGCTTGACTGTTACTGTGATAATCCACTGTTCTGTGCCAGGATCTATCTTCATTGTTTCTCTCAAGAAATTGGTTGTCATTCTAATTTTTTTCTCTTGTATGTAATATGTCTTTTTCTCTGGCATCTTAAAAGATATTATCTTCATTCGTGGTTTTCAGAAGTGTCTTTATATTGTACTTATTATGGCTTCATTTGCATTTTTCTGATTGTATAAACTTTTTTGCATTTTTGAACATAATGATTTATCAAGTTTTGAATATTAAATCAATATTTTACAAAATACATTTCTAATTCCTGCATTTCATCTTTTGGGCCTTAAATTACATGTATGTCAGACTGCCCTAGATTATCTCAGATCAATTGGGCTCTATCTTTTTTAGTTGTTTTTGCTGTTTACATTAGTTTAGATTGTTTTTATTGCTAAGCATTTAATTATTAATATATTTATTTTTTCTTCTCCTTTCTCTAAACTGCTTTTAATTTCATCCTGTATAATTTTAATTTCTGTTATTGTATTTTTCATCTCCAGTAGCTTGATTTGAGTCACTTTTATCTTTTCCATTTTTCACTTCATTACATTCATTTTTCTTGTTCGTAATAGCTGCTGTAAAGTCCTTGCCTGCTTCTTTCACCAATCTTATCATTTCTCATCATTTTCTATCATTACTGTAATTATAATTTATCTACTTCTTTACATTTATTTATCTTATAAGTTCTATTATTTGAGTATTATTTCTCCCAGAATTTTTCTTGATGTCTTTTAATTTTATATTTATATTTTTCATTATCTATGTTGTTTCTTTCTCTACTAATTGAATTTATTCTTCTTAAGGGCCACAATTTCCTACCTTTGCATGATGGTATATTTGATTGGACATTTGGTATCATAACTATTATACTTTTGAGTGATTGTGTTTTTTTTTCCTGTAAATGGTGATGTTCTTTGCTTCTACTGACAATTTATTTGTGAATTGATTGAATTTTTTTAAGTTTTCCTAAAGTGTTTTAGTAACAGCTGACTTGGACTATTTTAGCTGTACAACTGAAACATTGCAACTGTGAAGTTTTCACTAAATGTCCAGGTGTCTTTACATTTGCAAATTCTAACATAAGCATCTTTTAGCCCTTTGTGTGTTCTGTGACTCTAGGGTTTATCTTGCCTGCTTTCCATAACTTGGGAATCCTAATCCTCTGCTACATGTTTTTACAGCCTCTGAAAATAATAAATTCATATACTGATATGGTTTGGCTGTGTCACCACCCAAATCTCATCTTGAATTCCCATGTATAGTGGGAGGGACCTGGTGGGAGGTAATTGAATCATGAAGGCAGGTCTTTTCCCGTGCTGTTCTCATGATGGTGAATAAGTCTCATGAGATCTGATGGTTTTATAAGGAGGAGTTTACCTGCATAAGCTTTCTTTGCCTGCTGCCATCCACATAAGATGTGACTTGCTCCTCCTTGCCTTCCACCAGGATTGTGAGGCCTCCTCCTTATAACGGAAGCAGAGCATAAAAGCTCGAAAAATTTTCAGCCTGACAATGTGACAGAAAAGAAAATTCCATTTACTGAGGAAAAATCCAAGCCAACTGCAGAAATTTGCATAAGTAATGAGGAGCCGAATGTTAATCCCCAAGACAATGGAAAAAATGTCTCCATGGCATGTCAGAGGTCTTCACAGAAGCCCCTCCTATCACAGGGGCCTAGGAGAAAAAAGTGGTTTCAGGGTCCAGGCCCAGGGTCCCCATGCTGTGTGCAGTCTAGGAACTTGTTGCCCTGCATCCCAGCCACTCCAGCCATGGCTGAAAGGGGCCAATGTAGAGTTTGGGCTGTGGCTTCAGAGGGTGCAAGCTGTAAGCCTTGGCAGCTTCCACATGGTGTTGAGCCTGCCAGTGCATAGAAATCAAGAATTCAGGTTTTTAACCTTCACCTAGACTTCAGAAGTTGTATGGAAAGGCTTCGATGCCCAGGCAGAAGTTTTCTGCAGGGACAGGGCCCTCATGGAGAAACTCTGCTAGGGCAATGCAGAAGAAAAATGTGGGGTCAGAGCCCCCACACAGAGTCCCTACTTGAGCACCACATAGTGGAGCCGTGAGAAGAGTGCTACCGTCTTGGAGACCCCAGAATGATAGATCCACTCATAGCTTGCATTGTGTGCCTGGAAAAGTCGCAGACACTCAATGCAAGCCCATGAAAGAAGCCGGGAGGGAGACCGTGCCCTGCAAAGCCACAGAGGCGAAGCTGCCCAGGACCATGGGAGCCTACCTTTTGCATCAGTTTGACCTGGATGTGAGACATGGAGTGAAAGGAGATCATTTTGGAGCTTTAAGATTTGACTGCCCTGCTGGATTTTGGACTTTCATGGGGCCTGTAGTTCCTGTTTGTTTGTTTTTCCAACTTCTCCCATTTGGAATGGCTATATTTACCCAATGCCTGTACCCCCATTGTATCTGGGAAGTAACTAACTTGCTTTTGATTTTACAGGCTTACAGGCGGAACGAACTTGCGTTGTCTTGGATGAGACTTTGAACTGGACTTTTGAGTCAATGCTGACAGGACTTAAGACTTTGGGGGACTCTTGGGAAGGCATGATTGGTTTTGAAATGTGAGGACATGAAATTTGATAAGCGCCAGGGACAGAATGATATGGTATGGCTGTGTCCTCACCCAAATCTCATCTTGAATTCCTGCGTGTGTTGGTAGGGAGCCAGTGGGAGGTAATTGAAACATGGGGGCAAGTCTTTTCTCATGTTTGTTCTTGTGATGGTGAATAAGTCTCACAAGAACTGATGGTGTTATAAGGAGGAGTTTCCCTGCACAAGTTTTCTTTGCCTGCCACAATCCACGTAAGATGTAACTTGCTCTTCCTTGCCTTCCACCATGATTGTGAGACCTCCACAGCCATGTGGAACTGTAAGTCCAATTAAACCTCTTTCTTTTGTAAATTGCCCAGTCTCAGGTATGTTTTTATCATCAGCCTGAAAATGGACAAATGTATATACTTTACCACTCTTTTAAACTACAGTAGTAAAGTAATTCTATTACAAATTACTCCAACAGAGCCAGAAACAGAATTCCTCTACCTCTTCTAATTATATTTTGCACCCTTTTTCATATTGCATTCTCTGGAGAAATCAAAATTAATAATTTGGTGTGCACCATTCCTTATATTTACTTATAGGTAGGATAATTTTAAATTTCGGCTGATACTATAAATATTTCTAAGAAGCATTATTTTACCTATTATAAAAATATTAATCATATTTCCAATTTTAGGTGATAAAAATGTAAATTATCATATCACTTTACTTTGCTATTTGTTCTATCTAAAATGTATTTAAAATTTATTTTTTTTGGATTTCAGAAATTTCACCAGCATATGTTATTTGTTACTTTTTCAGTATTACTCCTGAAGTTTTGTGTAAACCTTTTCAACTGAAACACAATTCCATCAATGGTGTAGAAAGCTTTCTTCATTCATTCCTGTTCTTATTATTTCTCCTCCATCTGTTGATGTTTACTATATTGTAACTTCTATTATTTAAATATTTGCTCTCCTGGAACTCTTTGTCATGTCTTTTAACCTTATCTCTGTGTTTTTCAAATCATTCTAATTTCATTCCAGGGTGTGTGCCATATTTTATTTGTTTTGTATTTCAAAATATAAAGTTATTTTGTATCTCTTTCTGAAAGAGGTGATTTCTTTAAATTTATTTTATAATTTCTAAATTTATTTTGTGTAACTTAATGTTTTTCTGGAATCTTTTGTTTGGTTTGGTTTTCTCTTTTGCTTTCACTAAGCTCTCCTTTATGGCAATATACTTATGTATTTATATTGGTCTTCTTTCTTCTTTTTATTATTTCAGTCATGATACTTCAGCCATTGTGTGTGGTATCTTTCAACATTTGTTTTGGCTTTTCAGACTAAACAGACAATAAAAATAATACCTGAGTATTTTCCTCAGTGGCCTGATGTTGACTAGATGAACAAATAGTACTCCTTTCTTTTTAGGGGCAGCCTATGTTGAAAGACCCATCTTTTTTCAAATATAATATGTAAAAGGTTATTGGCAAGTTGACATTAATCCTCTATCAATGCTAAAAGAATATAAAATCTTAATCTTCCTACAGTTACAGCTAGGGATGTCATACTGATCTGCTCAGAAAATCAAGAGATTGGTTAGACTCACCCTATAGCTTTTTCTAAGGTACAGAGGTCTTCATAATTTCCTTGATGCCAAAAACATTAAATACCTACATGTGCATTTCTTTTGGCCCTATTTAGAACTCATATTCTAAAATGTAATGAGGATCTTCAGACTCAAAAAATTTGTGATGGTTAATTTGGTTGCTAAATTATACTACCAGAGAGGTAGAAGAGGAGACAGATATGTTTAAGTTACATTCATTCCAATAATTAGTGTACGTACTTATGCTAATACATTTTGTATTCCCTAATGGTATAACATGAGTTTGAAGATACAATAGTTGTCATTCTGTTAGAGATTAATAATAAAAATATCACATAAGTCTCAGATATCAATCTCAAACTTAGCAATCATGTTCCTAAACATTTGAATTACAGCATAAATTAATTTCCCTAAATGAATTTGAAGTGATTTATACAACTGACTTTAATGATTTATGTAAGTAAAATGTATGTGCTTTTAAAAGATAAGTACTATAAAAAGTATAACTTAACAATCAAAGACAATTGAGCACACTGCACTTACAAAAGAGTATTTTAGTATCTTAGTGCTTAGGTGACTAACATTTATATAAATAAGAGTGAAGTGTAAGAAAACAAGAAGATTTGAAAAATTCTAAATATTTGATAGAGTTTCTCTGAGAGAGGGAGCTTATTTTGTTTAGTGTGCTTTATACGTTACTTCAGATCTGGACACACAAATATATGTTTGTTCATATGAAATTAACAGAAATTCTGCATGGGCACTAAATATTGAATGTTGAAAGACTGCGAAAAAAGTCACATAATAACAAACCTCAGGTATTGGAGATGGCCAAGAAACTGAGAATTCAAGGCCAGGAATACCTAATATTTTAGAGTTAAGTTCCTTTTTGCATTGCAATGCAAAAATTCTTTTAAGGGAATGTCTTTCTATATAAATTCCTTTCATTTCCCTATATTTTAAGTGGAAACATTCTTCCCATATGAATCTAAATGATTAGAGTGATTTCATGAAAATATTAGGGTAGTGTCCCATTTGAAGTCACCAAATATAAAAAAAATGGAGAGCACTTGTTTTGAATTACAACAACCCATAAACAGAAACGACTGAAAGGAATCAGAAACTGAGAGACAGAGATGGTAAGTAACATTTGGCATACAGCAGCACTATTACCAAGTTTAAGGATTAGGGTTGAATTTCATCTGGAACTAAATGAAAAGTTTCACAAGTAGAAAAATGTGTTTAGCAATATAAAGCCAGCACTGGTGAAGAGCTTGAAATGCAGAAGTGACTATTGTGGAACAAAATAATTTCTAGAGGAAATGTGAATGGACTGGGAGAGGAGAAGTATTGAAAGAAACCATACAGTCAAAACAAATTACAGGAAGAGGTGCTGAAATATCGGTCACAGCAAGAATTCTTAGTGGAGTATGAGCAAAATTAATTCTAAGTATGTTAATTTAGAATCTAAGAACTGAATTTAACCTTTAAAAATCTTATATATTTGTGTTATAAACTTTAATCCTGAGTCTTCTTAATACGAACTACAAGTAAATTAACTTTTTAAGCTTGTTCTGGTAAGGTAGGCTCACACCTTCACATGGATCTTACAGAGTTTTTGAAAGGGTGTAACTACCACCAGTAAAGAAAAACTAAGGTAATTAGATGATTTGAAGAAACCTTAGAAAGAATGACCTACAAGGAAGTGTAGAACCAACCTCAATAAGAAAATAAAATAAATTATAGCAATTTTTCATTGTGTTAGCATCTTATAAAATGTGTATTTTGTTAAGTGTACTCAATGACACACTAATATGAAATGTTACATAATTTCTGGAAATTTTCCTTCTAAAGATACCATGCTTCTTTGTTAAAAGTCTCATTAAAAATGGGTACAAATATCTTGAAAACTATCCACACTTCCAAATATTGTTATTTAATTAATTTTCACTGTTTACTTTTTCACTTGTCTATTTTTTCTCTTTTCACTATTTCATCTTATTTTACAATCAAATTCATTACAATATCCTGTATTTGTCTTAAGTCCTTCTTGCTACTTCTTTGTAGTTCTCTTTTGTTTCAATTTCCATCTAATCTATTCTCTTACACATATTAAATAAACATTTTATGTGATATCATCTATTAGCTAATGTCTTATTTTTTCCTCAGTTATGAGATTACGCTTGTCATGTTTGTATGCCACTGGAAAGAGGGAATTATAACCAGAAACTAATTATACAAAAAGAAAAATTATGCATTATTTCTAATACATGCATACACTATGTATCTAATATATTTATATGATACATATCTATCTATCTATCTACCTACCTACTTATCTATATGGCATAGCTAACAAGAGCCAGGTTGCTGACACAAGTCTTTTTTATTCTATCATTATTTCCAAGTAGCCATGTTGTATGGTGAATTCCCATGAATTTGTCTGCAGTAAGTCAATAAGCTGATTGTCAGGAATCAGAGAGACTAATATGTTATAAGAGAAGATGGAGACTTCATAGTGTGATTTTGGATGTTAAATAACTGAGACATCAATTGTGTTTTGTTTGTGAGCTGCTATGCTGTGCTCTTCATCTCCTCTGAGCCTGTCTTAGAACAATGAATGTAGCACTGTAGTGAGCCAGCCTTTGGAGACAGATTGATTGACTTTGACATTAGCTACCTGTGTGAACTTGATCAAGTAAACTTGTGTAATTAGTTTTCTTGTTAGGCAAATATACATAATACCGATCTCCACTTCATAGGAAAAATCTAAGTCTAAATTGATATAGAATAGCGCCTACCCATATTCAGTACTGCCTAAGTGGTAAATATTACCCAGACCTTGCTCCCTCTCTATTTTTCCCTCTCTGCCTCGGTTCCTCTCTTCCCTTTCATACACACTGGAGCAAGTAAAGTTAGGTGGGTGATATCCTAGATCCATTATTCAATAATATTTCTATGTAAAAAAAAGAAGTTGTTTGAGAGTACTCCAGAACCAATCTTAGTTTTAAATAATTTGAGCATGATGAAATGATGAGAGTTTAGCAAATGCCATGATACATAGAGGTTGCAGTTTAAATTTAGGCACCTTCAGATAGAAGAGCAGAAATAAAGCAATGATATTTATTCTGTGTATGATGATTATGGGAATATTTTCATGATCAGTGAAAGTAAAATGGATGTATTGCTCTTTTACCTTTGGTAGAAAATGTTAGAGCATAAATGTCCATGGAAGAGGAACACTTTATTTGTCCCTAGAGGATAAATCGCTGAAGCAGCACAGGCCAGAATCCTGACAATTTGTGTACTAAGTCACCCACCTGTCACATGTGCAGAAATTGTTTTGTAAAATGTACCATAGCCAAGGAAGTTTTATTCAAAAGACAGAAAAAAAAATCTATGCACAGCAAACAATTTGTCAAATTTCTTTTAGAAGTATGAGCTCTGAACATATGGAGCAGTGTCAGTCATTAAAGAAAAATGAAACTGCAATGTGTCTACAAAAACGCTTTTCTGGTAGAAAGAGCTAGTTGTCTGTGTGTATCCCTTAAAAGAATATTCAATATCTGTAGAAAAAAACGAATATAATGGTCAATTTCCAGTATGTACCTGGGCATCCTAAAAGTGTTGACTTTGTGCTATTACATAGTATTAAAGTAGCATAATATCATTAAGATAAAATGTTTACTACAGTGCTACCTTTGCAAGTGTCCTAGTTCTACATTCTGTATCAGACAGCTTGAATTTAAAAATGTAATTACATTTGTTCAATAATCCATACCAGTCTACACGTAATGCATCTATTTTTGACAATTTATTGGATTTAATACAGCGAATGTGTCATTTATTTCATATCATGTTTTATAAATAGAACAAAGTATGTATTTTATACTTTAAAGATTTTAAAGTAGTTATCAACTAATTCCCTACCGTGTAATTTTTATAATGATGCCTGTGTAACATCAGTTTAAGAATTTAATAATGTAGGCCAGGCCGGCGGCTCACCCCCGTAATCCCTGCACTTTGGGAGGCCGAGATGGGCAGATCACCTGAGGTAAGGAGTTCAAGACCAGTCTCGCCAAACATGGTGAAACCCTGTCTCTACCAAAAAATACAAAACTTAGCCAGGCATGGTGGAAGGTGCCTATAGTCCCAGCTACTCAGGAAGCTGAGGCAGGTAAATCACTTGAACCCAGGAGGCAGAGGTTGCAGTGAGCTGAGACGGTCCCCCCTCCAGCCTGGGGGACAGAGCGAGACCCCGTCCCCAAAAAGAAAGAAAGAAAGAATGTAATAATTGATTAATTATATTTCCTTTTTCTATAGTGATTATACTTCAATGTTTTTACATAGTAATAGCAGGATGTTGTTTAACAAACCTGAAATCCAAAGTCAGGAAATCTGAATTTCTGCATTCAAGCACAATTTCAGCACATATTATTAATGTTAAATTTTATTTTTAAATACGTCAACTCCTGTGAACCTCAATGCCCACATATATGGAATAATACAATTAATATTTTTGGTACATATTTTGTGTTAGATATAGGGCTCACAAATGTGTACTCATTAATGATATGAGGTATAGTTTTGCTGTCTTTCCTTATTAAAATGAGAAACCAGGCTTAGTAATTTTTCCAAGGTTACAGAGCTCCTGGTAGGGCCAGGATATTGACTCAGGCATTTTTCCTGCAGAACTTACAATCTTAAAAAATGGAGTGTCCTATTTGTGTTAGATTGGCAACAGTAATGGCCCTGGAGTTTCACTCCTCCTTGTATTTATACTCTTGTGTAGTCAAGGTGTAATTCTCTGCACCTCAGCTTGACCATGTGTTCTGCCTTGGCTAATGTAGGGACCCAGGTAACAAATATCACATAAGTAGAGTTATGAATAGCAATTATACATTGGGCCTTGTGCTTCTGCCCTCTTGAAGAGAAGATCATGTCCCAGTCCAATCTGCTTACTCTGAAAGGAGGATGAGAGAAATGTGACAGACACTGAGCCCAGATGTCCCATTTATCTCAGCCAGACAGCCTTGATAAGCTAAGCCCCACTGAGATCAGTGAATTTCAGCCAATGACACATGAGCTATAATTATACAGTATTGTATTATTTTTGTAATATTAGTATGAGTTTGGGAATATTTCTTATAACCCAATAGCTAAAAGATAGACTACATCTCTAACTATAACATAAGAGGAATATTTACATCTCAGGTTTATGGAAAGGCCAAAATTTGAAAATATTTATATGTGGGAATAGGTATTCAGAAATGTGTTATTTTTACTTACTCTGATTTATACAATTTTCTAAAGAGTTTTTCAGGTGGTTTGAGAGGGCAAAATAAACTGTAATTTGGACACTACTCCCCCACTTTCTGTGAACATTGTTTATCAGAGATTACATTAACTCTTAAAACCTAAGGGCTTAACAGATATTTGACAATTACCCGGAAATCTTCACCCAGCTTCACTTCCAACACTGAAATATAATGGCCGATTGGATAAACATCTGATCAGTCATTCTATTTCTTCTTTGAATCAAATTCTATATATGCCTCTTTTTCTTTAATAGCATTCACACTGGCATAATGCAAACTTTCATCAACGCTTTCTAAGGCTGGATTAACAGTTCCAAGACCTATAAATAGACTACCAGGAAGTTGGTGCTTTTAGGCTAGCTACTTTCAAGTTAATCATCAATGCTCCCACTAGAATGATCTTTATAGCAAACAAATATGCACATCTGACTCAGATATTTTCAGAGACTAAGCATGTTTTATTGGATACATTCTAAATTATTTTGCATCACATAAAATACCTGTATATTTCTCTTTAGTTTCAATTCCTAACATTTTCCCATATTACACAACAGCCTTTGTCCCCCAAACACAAAATAAGCAAATCACAAGGTTCTGGATGAGCAGAGTTTCTTAACTATTTTATTTCTTGGCATATGCTAAGTCTTTACTGATTTGTATATAACAATACATTTTTCTGCAAATATTTTTTTCTTTCTTGGACCTAAGATAACTACAATTAATCTCTTTAATTCTCTACTCATATTATTAATTCTTAATCTATCTTCCCTATCTTTCTTTATTGCTCTCACTGCAGCTCTATTCAGAAAATATTTTTTCCTTTATAATTAATGTTATCTTCTCTAGAATATGTATTTCATAATGATCATATATGTTCTTTCTTTCTATCTGATTACATAGCACTTGAATATAATAAAGGTTTCACCAACTATTGGCTAAACACATTAAGTAAGTGATTATATAATTCATAGACAATCTATTCATATTTATTGATGTGTTTTTTTGAATAAAAGTAATCAAATTCCTATGCTATAAACTTGATAACCTGACAATTATTTAAGTTATGATGCGTATGTATGGAGTTGTATAAAATATTGGACTAAGTTACCATCTCTAAACTGACCTCAAAGTGTTGCAAAATTAACTAATAGTAAATCATAACAGATACTTACTATTAATATTTTGAGAATGTGAAGAGAGGATGTAAAAATTCTAAGTAGATATTCTGGATGGGTTGAATTTGCATGCTTACAATGAAATTTTATCATTGCACAAAGATGGGCTTCACCTCAGTGTTATTTTTAAGAGAAATAGTATTCTTTCATATGTCATATTGGAAGACTATCAGAAATTTATGGAATTATTCATGACAATTAGACTTTCTAATTCATGACATAGTTTGACCCAGCTAACATTTAAGCTCCCTGTGATGAATTAAAAAGTCAAGGGAGGAATTAATGTATAATGATGAATCCCCTCTATTTTTGCTGGACATTAAGTCTATTTACATGTAAGCTTGATTCTAATTTTGTGAAACATAACCTTAGTTTTAGCCAAACAAAGTCATCTTATAAAAATATTTGAAGTAGACCAGGCACAGTGGCTCATGTCTCTAATCCCAGCACTTTGGGAGGCCGAGGCTGGCAGATCACCTGAGGTCGGGAGTTTGAGACCAGTCTGACCAATATGGAGAAACCCCATCTCTACTAAAAATACAAAATTAGCTGGGCATGTTTGCACATGCCTGTAATCCCAGCTACTTGGGAGGCTGAGGCAGGAAAATCGCTTGAACCCGGGAGGCGGAGGTTGCAGTGAGCCAAGATCATGCCATTGCACTGTAGCCTGGGCAACAAGAGCAAAACTCCCTCTTAAAAAAAAAAAAAGAATTCAAAGTATAGGCAAATTTATTGTTAACAAATAGTTATTGAGCACTCTCTCTCCACCTATGCAACAATGTAGAGGAAGCATCACAGTAAGATTATGGGATATATATATATATATATTTACATTTTTAATATGTATATATATATATATATATATATATATATATATATATCCCATAATAGAAAAAAATGATGAAGGAGGAGCAATATTCAAAATAAAGCAAGGTAATAAATAAGTAGTAGAAAATCTGAATAGGAAAACAAGAGTTTTAAAAAATCAACTGGCATGTAGAATCTGTTTTTAGTTAGGAAAATAGTTGATAAAAAATGGGTGGAAGTTGAAGTGGCTGCACATGCCCTACTCAGTCTATTCTGGGTGAAATAATAGCAGAGGGTAGAAGAGAAATGCCTAACATCATTGACAATTTCCTAATTATAGAAGAGGTTAGCAAACTTATAAAAGGGAACATGCAATCTGAATAGTAATTAAAGGAGCCAGCCTCAAAGTTTCAAAGCACATTTTAAATAATTTTGTAATGTGCTGATTTTTAAACATCATTTGAAGTTATTGAAAGGAAATAGACTGAGTTGAAAAGTTATTCTTATTTTTTTCCTAAAGCTAGAAAAAATAAATTAGGCTTTTTGGCATAGGGAATCTAACTCAAACTGAGGGGTTAGTTTTATATCTAGAAACTACATGATTTGAATAAGCAGAAGCCATCTAACAACACATTGATAACTGACATAATTTAAAATTAACCAATAAAATAATCCAGCATTGTGTTCACAAAGATGCTTTCATTAGACACTAATTTTATGCTCTGAAGCATATTTTCTTTAGATTTTTCAAACTAAATATTTAAAAATTAGAAAAATTATTATAATCAACCTAAAATAATTAACATAAACAATTAAAATGTTTAACATAAACAAATAAATCGATTTTTCAATATTTTACCCAACTAGCAGGATTATAGTGATTTAATAATTATTTTTGATTTTTAAATTAAGCTTGGTTTTGTCTAAGTAATTCTCATTGGTATTCAGTGGAGTAAATACATTTTTCACTCCCTTTTACATATTAAGAAATGAAGATTGACAGAAGAAACTTGCTTATGTCAGAGAGATAAGTGGAAAAATACAGATTATGTTGGATCATTGTGGAACATATGTGTAATTGGAAAACAAGAAAAATATATACATTTGTATACAAATAATATTAAACTGTAAATTAAGTGCCATAAAAGCAAATAAAAAATAAACTGGGAAATATTTACAGTACATATTACAAAAAGTTCATTTTTAATGTGTATAGGTTTCCAATATTCATAAGAGAAAAAGTCAACAAAAGAAAAATAAAGTATATAAGCAATTTGCAGAATAAGTGTGCATGCATATGTATGTAGGCTACTGATTTCATATTATATATTATATATAATATATAATCAAGCTTTGTAATATTTAAAATCAATTAAATTAAATAAGAATATTTTATTTTAAAATCAATTAAGTTGAATTCGTCAATAAGTTGAAGTAACCAAAAATATTCCTTTCTGACTTGAGCTATAAGATTTTAAATATTTTACATTGTTGATGAAGAAATAAATTCAATGTTTCTGAAAAACTAATTTTACACAATATCTAAGATGGAACATTTAAATGTGATTTGAAACATTAATTTGCCTTCTATGAATAGGTAAAGGGAAATAATCAGAATGAAGGCAAAATATTAAGTACAAAGTTTCTCATTACAACATTATTTAGGCAATAGCAAAAAATTGATGAAAATTAGAGCAATAATAACAGTACTATAATTTTTCTGTAAATTATGGCATATTCACATTCTTAACTCTTTTAAAGTCAATAGAAGCACATTTATGTTTCATTTTATCTAAAATAACAATTAAGATCGTTCTTTTAACTATGTCTACTTTAGAAGTTTAGTTACTCAACCAATATTCTTGCTAACAAAATATGTTGATTTTATTTAATCAGAGTGATTAGACATCACTCTGCCTCTAGGTGACCTACATATAGAAGACTACATCCTGAGCTTATATGAAATTTGTGATTCATCTGTCTTAGTGGAACCATGACCCTTATTGATCATGAGTTTAAAGGTAGGTATGTGACCCAATCTGGCAAAAGCAACAAAATTTAGCCTTCTGAAAGCAAAACCTGTTTATTAGCGGGTTACCATTTTGGAAGGAAGAAAATAACCTAGGTTCTTAGTAGCTTTATTAAGCTGCAAAACTGCTAATTATATTATGTTTGAAGTTGCCTTACTTTTAAATCTCCAGTATGTGAGAAAACAAATTTCTCAATATTTAATTGAGTTTGAGCTTGGATTTAATGTTTCAAATACTCAGTAAATTCCTTATAATAACTAATACTTAGACAAAAAAAAAAAACCTTACCTGTAAACACTGTAAAAATGTCATCCACTCCCACAAGCAGAATCCTGAAGATTTTTTTCAGAAATAATAGAAACGAGAACAATGAATGTGGTGATCACTTAACAGAGCAGCGGATGCAGAAAAAGAAACTGTTGGGGGAATAAATAAAGATTCTTAAAGGAATATCACAAACAAATCCTCTTTTGAACAGAATAATTGCTTTAGAGGGGACTGTAAGGAAGACTGGAAAGGGAACAATCAAACTATTATATTACAGCTTTCATGCTGGATGCCATTATTGATGTGAAGGCACATTTCAGAGCTGACATTCAGTTTATAGAGAAATTTTACTGAGTCTATAAGCTCCTATTTGTTTGCATTCTCCTTTAAAAGATTCTTTGTGGTTTAGTTTGAATGTCTTTCCCTCTCCCCCAACCCCTGAGAAATTTCGTATTTATTCGTATCAAAAGTCTGGGGTCTTTTAAATTGCTATTAATATAGTAGGCCTGGATTGGCCATGAAAATGTTTCAATTCAAGCCCAAACCAAAATGAGACTAGCCAGTGGCCTCAAATTCTCAGCAGAAATGTTTTTTCTTGCAATAAACGATAATGTGATGGGAAAAGTTTCTTTGACATTTGTCTATGTGGGCCAGGATTTCATATCCAGTTTATACTTTTTTGAGCATATAGATGTATTATTTTTGACATTTATGCAGAGATTTTTCAGATTCTGCATGGGTCCAAGTCCCCGCTATCCACTCCCATCTCACACCATTTGCCAAGCTGTCTTTAAAACCAAAACCCTCAATCTGCTTGTATTGGTAATGATAGTGGGGCAGCTAGTTACTTCAAAGCTTATGTATTTAACCAAGAGTAAAGGATTTACTTCATTTTCTTTCAAGTGCAGTCTTTTATTTTAAAATATAAGATTCTGGAATATGTATCTAGAATTTTTTAGTTTAATATTTATATATTTAATTTAGATGACAGACTTATTTCAGGGTACCTAGTCTGCCATTTTGCTAGAAGAGAAATCTTTGGAGGAAGAATTGTCCCAATATAATTGCTTATAAAATATTAACAGGAAAACACCATATACAATGTGTTTGTATGCATGCATGTGTGTATGTCACTTAGGTAAAGTTACATATATATGTATGTATGCATACATGCACATATGTGTCTGTACGAATGTGTCTATGCAGGTGTATAAATATGTATATGCCTATATGTATGCAAAATTGACATTGCATACATATTTCCAATAAATATAAGCATGTTTGTATGTGTGTATATACATAGCTATGTGTATATTTTAAGAATGTATTTTATCAATCTATAAAATATATTTTGTCATTGTGCTAAGATGCTTAGTGATTTTATATTCCTATTTCTTCTGTTAATCATCTTGAAAATATATAAAGCTAGTATTCATTAGTTTATACTAAAAAGTAGGTTATTTAAAAACAAAAAAGATTTTTCTAATTTCTCAAACTGCAATTTACCATTCTGTCCTAAAAACTCACATAATACTTTAGACTTTTAATTTTTTTATTTATCTTTTTTTTTTTTTAGAGTTAAGGTCATATTATGTTGCCCAGGCTAGAGTACAGTGGCTGTTCACAGGTGCATTAACAGGGCATTACAGTCTCCAACTCCTGATTCTCCTGCCTCAGCCTCTGGAGGAGCTGGGACTATAGGCACACGCCACTGCTTGTGGTTTTGTTTTATATATAGGTCTTTATCTGCTTGTAGATAATAAGCTCTTTAATGATGTCATTCATGTTTGTTCCATCTTTTTGATTTATAGGAGCTAATAAAATGCAATTCCTTAAATAATATTATACAAAAGAAAGAGATGGTTTAGACAAAAATCCTCATAGCCATTTTAGCAATACTGAATCTATGAAAAAGCCAGTTTGATGTACTCACAGTTTACATAAGAAACCTTGAGAAGGTATGGGTAATCATGTTTCAAAATAGCTCCACATTAATAATAGAAAATTTTAGAAATTATTATATAATTTTTAAATATTAAAACCTCTTCTGAGTTTTGTGTTTCTATCTTAAACTTAGAAATACTGATGTTTTGCCTCTTAATTTAGAATTAACCACGTTTTGCCTCTAATTCGAAAACAGGACTACTAAACAACTATTGAAAATAGTGTATCATCTGTTTTGAGATTTACACCATCCATCTATTAGTTCTTAAAAGCTGTGATCTGAACTGAAAATACTCTGAGTCTTTGGTGTTAGGTGTCATTTGTTTGATTTCAGCTAGTCTTCAAATTATAGTCCTAAGTATTTTAGCTCTATCTAATTACACTTCAAGTACAAAAGGAAACTATTCAGTTCTCTAAGTTACAAAAAAGATTTCAAGAAATTTCTACCTAATAAAGTAACCATTACTAAGGCACAATATAAAAAGGAAAACTTTATAGCAAAGGGACACCAGCAAAGAAATATTGACACAATAACATATTGGATATTTGCTTTTTGAGTGTCAACTGTTGCTCAATGCAATTCTACCTAATAATGATTTTTAAGGTTACATCAAATGTTACAATCATGAAACCACTTCAGTCACTCACGTTTAACTTTTTTTCCAAATGCTTTTCCACAGAGTCATTTATTAGGATAATCATGTTAAAAATAACACTAACAACAATTTCAGCTGAATGCATACTTTTCACCTTAATCCTTATGTATATTCTTGAGGTAGTCTTTATTATTACTGTTTACACATAACGTTGAAACAGTCATATACCTAATGTGACAGAACCAAGAATTGACAACAAATCTATCTCCATACCTGTGCCAATTGTCATCAGAGGAAATTAATATACTAATAATTTTCTAGAAAATGTTTTACTTATTATTTTATGCCTTTTATGACTTTATTTCCTCCAAATTAAATGGCATATTTTTTGGCAAACAATCTTATAAGTTAAAGTCATTTATTTTCTTCATTTTTTTCCCTAAAAATTAAAAAAGAAAGCAACATTGTAGATCTTTCACTACCTGATTTCAATACTCACTATAGACACAGTCTGTCTTAGTTCATTGGTGTTGCTATAAAGAAATACCTGAGTCTGGGTAATTTATATTTAAAAAAAAAGGTTTACTTGGCTCATAGTCCTGCAAGTTATATAAGAATCATTACACAAGCAACTATTTCTGGTGAGGAGTTCAGGAAGTTTCCACTCATTGTGGAAGGAGAAAGAGAGCAGGCGTTATATGGCAAGAGAGGAAGAAAGAGGGAGGGAAAGGAAGTGCCAGTCTCTTTATAACAATCAGTTCCCACAGGAACTGACAGAATGGAAACTCACTTGTTACCAGGAGGAAGAGAAAGGCACCAAGCCATTCATGAAGGATCCACCTTCAAACCCAAATACCTCCCACTAAGCCCAACCTGTAATATTAACAATGAATTTTCACATGAGATTTGGAGGAGGCAAATATCCAAACTATATCACTGTCTGAAAACCAAACCAAACCAAACCAAACAAAAACAAAACCAAAACAAAATACAACAATTCCAGGAGTTTGACGCCATCCTGGGCAAAATAGTGAGACCCTATCTAAAAAATATGTGTGTAAAAATAAAAAAAAGAATAGACACATAAACTAAGTTGTATATAAAAAGTATAATAAAGAACTTAGAAACAGACATACACAAATAAGTCAACAGTTTTATACAAATGCAAAGAGGCAATTCAGTGGAGAAATAATAGCATATTCAAAAATGATGCTGAAATAATTAGACAGCCCTATGCAAAATGGTGGTACTAGATAGACTTTACCATTTAGAAGAAATTAGCTCAAAATGGAACATAGATCTAAACATAAACAGTAAAACTGTAAACTTCTAGGACCTAACATAGAAAAATATCTATATACCTTGGGTATGGTAATAAATCTGAATTACAACACCAAAAGCATAATTCATGAAAAAAAAGATAAGTTAGAATTCATTAAAATTATACTTGTGCTCAATGAGAAACACTGTAAAGAGAATGAAAAAAGTCAGAAATTGGGAGAAGATATTTGCAAAATACATATTTGATAAAGAACTTGTATCCAAAATATACAAAAAATTATTTAAACTCATCAATAAAACAACAAACTAACTTAAAAATGGACTATCATCTGGCCAAATACCTCACCAAAGAAGCTTTACATATGGCAAATAAACATACAAAAGGATGCTCAACCTCTGTTGTCATGAGGGAAATGCATATTAAAACGTGAATGAGGTATCAATACACAATTATTTCAATGACCAAAATCTTGCAAACTAGCAATACCAAATGCTGACAAGAATAAAGAGCAACAGGGAATTCTCCTATGTGGTGCAGCCACTTTGGAAAATAATTTATCAGTTTCTTACACAGCTGAATATCATCTTACCATAAGATCCAGCAACTGTGTTCTTCAGTATTTAGCCAACTTTTAAAACCATACGTGCATACAAAATCATGCGCATGACTATTTATAGTGGTTTTATTTAAAATCTAACCCAAACTGAAAGCAAGCAGTGTCTCCAATAAGCCTATCAATAAGCGAATACGTGTACAAACACTGGTTCATTTGTACAATAGGGTATATCCAAGGATAGAAAGGAATGTGCTGTCAACCCATACAGAGATGAATCCTAAGTGTATATATGTAAGTGACAGAAACTCTGAAAAGGCTATATTCTATAATATGCCATTTACATGACATTCTGGAAAAGAAAAACTACAGAGACAGAAGTCAATGGTTACTAGAGTTTGAGAAGAGGGAGTCTGAATAAATAAAACACAGAGAATGTCATGGCATTATGCAACTATTTCTTGTGATGCTGTAATAGTAGAAAATGACACTATACATTTATTAATACCAATTGAAAGTTATGACAAAATAGTGAATTACAGCACAAATAGTAAAACCTAACATATGAAGATTTTTTAAAAAGTTAGGAAGTTGGAACTTCCCAGGATGGAATGTAAAATGTGACAAAATAATTTAACTGTTTTACAAGTGTAGCAAACAACTTCACTGAAGCATGGTATGGGGAGATGTTAACCTGAGCAACTTTGATGAGTGGCATATGAAAAAATACAGGTGAAAGGAACTATTCATAAGCACTATACTCTATTCTATAAAGTTGTGTCTTATACGGGAATGAGTTAACAATTCTAGAGCCAATATATAAGAATGCAAAAAGTGAACAATTAAGTAAATGGATAGCAGATGGCAGAAACCGGGTTTCTTAGTTTGAATGTTAGATTACAGATCAGCAATGAGAGGAGACTGGGATGATGTATGTGGTAATGAATTAGCTCAATAATGATACAGTGGTTTCATGCAGGAAAACGTATAGATTTGTATCCAAATAGAGGTTGATATACACACACAGATAAATTTTTGCTTTGCCAGCTAACAGGCCTAGGAACAACCAACAACAATCAATAAACAACAATCAATAAACAACAATAAATGAACAAAAAAGGAAATAAAATGCAAAGTACTTGCGAAGGAACCAAACTCATGCCACATCCAGAATTATTATGTGTACCATTAAATTTAGAAGACAAGAGAGCAATCCATATTTACATCTTTAGGAAAAAAAAAAGTCAGCTTTTATATTGGATACAGGGAGTACACATGTAGGATTGTTACATGGGTATATTCGACCCAAGTGGTGAGCACTGTACCTAATAAGTAGTTTTTGAAACCAAGTCCCCCTCCCTCCCTTCCCTAGTAGTCTGCAGTGACTATCATTCCCATGTTTATGTTCATATGTGCTCAATATTTAGCTTCTGCTTATAAATGAGAACATAAGGTATTTCATTTTCCATTCCTGTGTTAATTCACTTAGGATGATGGCCTCCAGCTTCATCCATGTTGCTGCAAAGGACATGATTTTATACTTTTTATGGTTGTGTAGTATTCCATGGTGTGCATGTACACATTTTTCTTTATTTAATCCACCATTGATGGACACCTAATTTGATTCCATGCCTTCACTATTGAGAATAGCATGGTGATGAACATATGAGTGCATATGTCTTTTTGGTGTAATGAACTATATTTCTTTGGCTAAATATCCAGTAATGGGGTTGCTAAGTCTAATGGTAGCCCTGTTTTAATTTATTTGAGAAATTTCCAAATAGCTTTCCACAGTGGCTGAACTAATTTACATTCCCACCAGCAGTGTATCAGCATTCCCTTTTCTCTGCAGCCTTGCCAGCATATGTTGTTTTTCGACTTTTTAATAATAGCTATTCTGACTGGTGTGAGATGATATTTCATTATGCTTTTGATTTGCATTTCTCCAGTGATTAGTGATGTTGAACATTTCATAATGTTATGTCTTATGTCTTCTTTTGAGAAGTATCTGTTTATGTCTTTTGCCCACTTTTTAATAGTGTTACTTGGTTTTCTCTTGTTAAGTTCCTTGCAGAGTCTGGATATTCCTTGAAGAGTCTGTATATTAGACCTTTGTAAGATGCATAGATTGCAAATATATTCTACTATTCTGTAAGGTTGTCAGTTTACTCTGTTGACGGTTTCTTTTTCTATGCAGAAGCTCTTTAGTTCAATTAGGTCCTGGTTTTCAATTTTTTTTTCATAATTGCTTTTAGGGACTTGACCATAATTTTTTTGCCAAGGCCGACTTTACTAAAACTTTTCCAAAAAAAAATCAAGGATAAGGGACTCCTCTCTAACTCATTCTGTGAAGCCAGCATAATCCCAATACCAAAATCCAGAAGAGACACGACAAATGATAAACAATTTTAGCAAGATTTCAGAATACAAAAATCAGTGTTCAAAAGTTAGTAGCATTTCTACACACCAATAATGTCCAAGCTGAGCATCAAATCAAGAGCACAAACCCATTTACAATGGCCACAAGGAAAATGAAATAACTAGGAATATAGCTAACCTAGGAGGTGAAAGATCTCTACAAGGAGAACTACAAAACACTGCTGAAAATATCAGAGATGACAAAAATAAATGGACAAACCACTTATGCTTGTGGATTGGAAGAATCAATATCATTAAAATGGTCATACTGTCATTTTAGCAATCTACAGATACAGCACTATCTCAATCAAGCTACCAATGTCATTTTTTACAGAATTAGAAAAGAAACAATTCTAAAATTCATATGGAAGTAACAAAGAGCCCAAATATTCAAAGCAAACCTAAGCAAAAAGAACAAAGCTGGAGGCATCATACTATCCAACTTCAAACTATGCTATGAGGCTACAGTAATAAAACAGCATAGTACTGGTACAAAAACAGACACATAGACCAATGGAACAGAATAGAAAACTCAGAAATAGAGCCACACACCTACAACCATCTGATCTTCAACAAGGTTGACGAAACAACCCTATTCAATAAATGGTGCTGGGATACCTGGCTAGGCATAATACAGAAGATTGAAACTAGACTCTCACTTTTCACCATATACAAAAATTAATTCAAGATGGATTAAATGTAAGACCTCAAACCATAAAAATCTGAGATGAAAACCTGGGAAGAATATTTTGGCCAAAGTTGTTTAAATCTAGCAATACAGCGTTCTGTGAGGCTCAGCATGTGCCTTTCATTTCCAGGACTAAGCAAATGTTCCATTTCTAATTTTTCAGGCATCAGAAGCATATATCACTTCTTTCCACATCTCTCTGGTCAAAATCATCTTTTCCCAAATTTAGGTTTTTATATTTTTCAAATACAATGTATTAGAACTTGTAGAAAAAATTAATTTAAGAAAAATATACTCACTAAAGCTCTATTAGGTGTGTATGTGTAGAATTACAAATGATGTCAGGGAATGTAGCTCTTCTATGGCCCTATAACCTGCATTGCACACTTTAGTGCCAGGTAGTAATCAGTGTTTATATATTTTTTGTTTTGTATGTGCAAAAAATAATGTTTATTATAATAAATTGAGTAATTGTTGGGAGAAAAGAAACATAATGGGCAAACTTCAAAACATCATAAATAATCCATTAAAATTATTTTTATCCTATGTGTTTATAGCCAATAAGCTTCATCATAGTAAAGTTAAAACAAGAAGAATTGTTCAGTGAATTAACCATAGTATCAACCATACTTTGTCAATTTTAGTCTCATTGACTTTTTATAGTATTTGAACACACTGACTGTGCATCTACATTTTGTCAGACACTGTGTACAGCAAGTATTTAAATAAAAAGTATATGAAACTGTCTCTTTCTTCACAGGCTCTCAGAGGTAATAAACATAATTGACAATAATTAAAATACAATATGTGAAGTAACATGTTATAAATAAGTTCAGATTTTATGAGGGTAAAGGAAATCACTACTGTGAAATCTACCAATAAAATGCATTCAGATAGAATAGAAGCCTTCTTGGCTCCTGTTCTTTATAGCAAGCTCATTCAGACAATTCTTCTGATGACATTATGGCAGAGTTTTACCAGGAAATTTGTTGTTTTATCAAATCAGGGAGTTGTATCAGTAGGTATCACACTTTGGCCTATGTCTTACATGATGAATAGGGCTTCAACAAGTGGAAGCAGGTGAAAGGGCACTTAAATATGAGCAAAATAAAAGAGGCAAGAAAAATAATTGTGTGTTCATCAGCTAGCATGTGGTTTTATCTGTGCAAAGCATAGCTTTGGTTACGGAAAGAACAGGACGTTAAGGCTGTATATAGATAGAGCCAGATTGTGAATGGCCTTATTTGCTGTAATGAGTTTGCTTGCCACTGTGAAGCTACTGAAGAGTTTTTACAAAAATAGACACATATTGAGGAAAGAGTCAGTATAGAAAATGGAATGATTGCAAGTAGGGAAATATGCTCCTCTACCACTATTTTAGTAGTCCATGGAAGATAATGAAGAACTAAAATGACAGTGAAAATGAATAAGAGGTCAGGATGTTGAGAGACACTGGAAATATAATGAAATATTATGAAAAGACTGGATCTGGATTAAATATTGACTGCTGTGGAGGTAAAAGTACCTTAAAATATGGTAGAAAATACAGGAGAACAAATACTTTCATGGTACATGATAATCAAAAGGCATTTGAGAGAAGTTAACATGAGTTGGAAGATAAGTACTAAGTTTTTAGAAACATGATTTAGAACTGCTGATCTACATATTTGAATATCCAACATAAAGTGAGTAGTTGAAACCAAGTCATAAGAGTATCAGATATCATCCAGGAAAATAATACTTTTTTGAAAAGTAGACAAAACTTCAGGAAATACATCATTTTTGTCATAATTTGTTTCTTCTAAGAATAATTTCCTATATGTAATTTAATAAGGCTTTGCTCTTAATAATCTTAACTACTATATAGTTGCTGTATGTTCACCATTTTAATTGCAATACAGAAGCTTGCAGTTTTCCAATGCATCTGTTTTCAGAAAGAGCAATCAATGAGAAATGAATTTCTTTCAGTTACCACTTAAGTAATATTTGGGTGGTAATGTTTGTTTATATCAAACTACGTTTGCCAGCTCTTTGGCCCTTCAGTCACTAAACTTAAAAGGAGAGGGAGAATTAGACTGACACAGCCCCTTTCAAATTTAAAACAAAGCACTTATCAAAATATTGACTTTGGCTTTATATTCATCTTCACATTTGATAATGTCATAAAAGCTCACAGATGACATTTACTTTCCTTTTAAAGAATGTAACTTACACCTACTGTTTTTCAAGTGTAAATTTTAAGAATAATTGAAATGGTTAAGCATTAATTCTCTGGTAAGGGAAAACCTAACTTAATTATATTATAGATATAGAATTTTATTTTCCTGATATAATAAGTCTGACAGTAGATTCTGCTTATGTTGGTTTCATGGTTCAACCACCTTTAAGTTCATGTCTATGATTCTTCTGTTAATATTTCTCACAAGGTTGCTGGATGGCTACTATGGCTATACTCACTTGTTCACTTTAAAGAAAGCATGATGGAAGAACTGAGAAAGTTTGCTTCGGTAAACTTTGTCTCTTTTTATAATAATATTATTTTTTAAATTTAATTTTAATTAGCCAACTTCTGTTCACTTCTCATTGATTGGTTTCCATGCAAGTAAAGGAAACTGAGAAAGTGGCCTTTTGGTTTTTCAGTTTGCATGGCAGGCGAAAGCTAGAAAAAGGATTGGGAAAGATTTTGTGTGAAAATTAAGTGTCTTCAACAGCAATATGAAACATGCAAATTTTCTATTAAATCGAAACTGTAACTTGAAATTTTGTTCCAAGTAAGTTTACAAATTTTACTTATACTAAGTACATACATAAGATAAATTATATAAATATTATTATGATATATTAATTACTAAAGTTTCTTTTATAGTATTCCTTCTTTAGCTTTTTGGATATAAAAATATTTTACTTACTTTTAAACTATCACCCTCATCCTCTATGCTTATTTTTATTTCTCATGCATATTTAATCTTGAACAGTCAACAACATAGTGATACTTCATTTGAAATATTGCATTGTACAGTGGAAAGCACATTGGGGAAGAAATCGGAAAATCTGTATGTGAATTCTCAACTGTTTGCTTACTAGATGTATAAACCTTAGCAAGTTAATAAAGCTTTCTGTAATCATTTATAATAGTAGGATATTAATGTCTCTGCCTAATTCAAACTTGCTGTAAAATTAGAGATAATGCATGTGAAACTAAGATGTAAGGAGGTAAACAATGCTTGATACTGATATTTGGGGAGAAGAGAATGTCTTTAATATTTTAAAGTTATTAATAAAAGTACACTAATTCTTTGGAGGACAGACTATTCTTCTATAGCAGAGTTACATTACTTTAAGATAAAGCATCTTCCAATATTACTAGTTAGCACACATCTACTGGCACTAACAATCACAGTCACCCAAACAGATTCAGAATGAATGTAAAAACTGATGGTAGGAATAGTAGAAATAAAATCCCCAACATGGTCCAGAAACAACAGCACTTCCAGAGTAATCCTGTAATTTTTATGCTAATAGTATATTATGCTAACTCTTGGGTTCTAAGAAAATTTAGGCTACAGAGAGTTACATTAAAATCTGACTTAGCTTACTATACATTTTGCCTAGGATTGTCACAATTTTTAGTTTATCTTATCAGAATCAAAGTAGACTGTTAAATAAAAAAAATTTTAATCTTGTGAATTTTAATAAAATTTTTGTTGAACTTTTTGACATTATAAAAGGACAGGATGTGCTTTTAAAACATAAGCTACTTTTAAAAGACGATTTCCATTCTTACTGTATTGCAAACTCGTTAGACTCTGTAAACAAAAGTGCCCTAGTACTACAAGGTTCATTTATGACAAGCTCATAATAAGAATAACATGTAATCTATGAAAGCTCAGATGGAACAATCTAAGACTTTTGTTCAACTACTGTGTCAGGAAATTTCTTCTCAAACCATTGAATTTTAGTTTAACATATACCTTTTTGCTTTATTAATATACCTTTGAGCAAGTAAGATAATTATATATGTAGGAGTCTTTACAATAAAGAGAAAAACAGACAGTATTGCTAAGTAATAAAATATCTATGACTTAGCCAGTATGTAAAGGTTCCATTTAAAAAATAGTATTGTTCTGCTCTTTTAAAGCAAAAATCACCTTTAAATCCCTTAGGAAGACATCAAGCTGGAAATCCACATATCATCTCTCAATAAGTCCAAAAATAGCAACTTTTCCTTCAACAGGAAAATGGATCAATACTTCTTTGTAACAGCACATGGTACGCAATTGGCTTACATTAGGGCTATGTTATGTAAAAAAATAAATACTGTACCTTTAAGTACCAGAACCACATTCAGGTGAAGGGAAGCTCAGAAAAGAGAGGCACCTGCTGCTGCTATTTAAGTGCGTTTCTCTGAAAAGGTGAGATCACTTTTGGCCTTTTTGCTTTATGTTTTAGCAGTAGGATAAAATTCTAATCCCAATTGATCCCTTTAGAAAGAGAAGATTTATATAACAAAGAAAGGCAAATGCTTGAAAATTACCTAAGAGATGTAATGGTGCAAATGTATCAACATTGCCAGAAGACAAAATTTGAAAATAGAAGCCTACGTATTCTGGCCTGTCTTTGTATAAAATGCATCACATTGCCTGTAATCCCAGCACTTTGGGAGGCCAAGGCGGGCGGATCACGAGGTCAGGAGTTCGAGATCATCCTGGCTAACACAGTGAAACCCCCTCTCCACTAAAAAATACAAAAAATTAGCCGGGCGTGGTGGCGGGCGCCTGTAGTCCCAGCTACTAGGGAGGCTGAGGCAGGAGAATGTCCTGAACCCGGGAGGCAGAGCTTGCAGTGAGCCGAGATCATGCCACTGCACTCCAGCCTGGGTGACAAAGCGAGACTCCATCTCAAAAAAAAAAAAAAAAAAAAAAAAAAACATTAGCCGGGCGCAGTGGCAGCCGCCTGTAGTCCCAGCTACTCGGGAGGCTGAGGCAGGAGAATGGCGTGAACCCAGGAGGCAGCGCTTGCAGTGAGCGAAGATGGCGCCACTGCACTCCAGCCTGGGCTACAGAGCAAGACTCCGTCTCAAAAAAAAAAAAAAAAAAAAAAAGCATCACATTACTTTTTCCAGCTTGTGCCAGTACCACAAAGACTCTCCAATATTTATTATGTAATAGTTAGTACGCATCTATATATCACTTGATGGAAATTTACTTATTAAAATTCGATGTGGTATATATAGATAGATATCCAGGTAACGAACACACCTCATAAGCTCTTGGAATCACACCATTAATAGTTTTTCCCCCCAAAAGGAGAAACTAATATAAAGTACTGGATTTTCATTCATACCGTGCCCGGAATTGGTTGGTTCTTGGTCTCACTGACTTCGGGAATGAAGCCGCGGGCCCTCTCTGTGAGTGTTACAGTTCTTAAAGGCGGCGTGCGGGAGTTTGTTCCTTCCAGTGGGCTCGTGGTCTCGCTGGCTCAGGAGTGAAGTTGCAGACCTTCCCGGTGAGTGTTACAGCTCATGAAGGCAGTGTGGACCCAAAGAGTAAGCAGTAGCAAGATTTATTGCAAAGAGCAAAAGAACAAAGCTTCCATAGTGTGGCAGGGGACCCGAGCAGGTTGCCACTGCTAGCTGGGGCAGCCTGCTTTTATTCTCTTATCCGGCCTCACCCACATCCTGCTGATTGGTAGAGCCCAGTGGTCTGTTTTGATAGGGCGCTGATTGGTGTGTTTACAATCCCTGAGCCAGACACAAAGGTTCTCCACGTCCCTACCAGATTAGCTAGATACGGAGTGTGGACACAAAGGTTCTCCAAGGCCCCACCAGAGTAGCTAGATAGAGTGTCTATTGGTGCATTCACAAACCCTGAGCTAGACACAGGGTGCTGATTGGTGTGTTTACAAACCTTGAGCTAGATACAGAGTGCCAGTTGGTGTATTTACAATCCCTGAGCTAGACATAAAGGTTCTCCACGTCCCCATCAGACTCAGGAGCCCAGCTGGCTTCACCCAGTGGATCTCGCACTGGGGCTGCAGGTGGAGTTGCCTGCCAGTCCCACGCCGTGCGCCCGCACTCCTCAGCCCTTGGGTGGTCTACAGGACTGGGCGCCGAGGAGCAGGGGGCGGCGCTCATCGGGGAGGCTCCGGCCGCACAGGAGCCCACAGTGGGGGTGGGAGGCTCGGGCATGGCGGGCTGCAGGTCCGGAGCCCTGCCCCGCGGGAAGGCAGCTAAGGCTCGGCGAGAAATTGAGCGCAGCGCCGGTGGGCTGGCACTGCTGGGGGACCCAGTACACCCTCCGCAGCCGCTGGCCTGGGTGCTAAGCCCCTCACTGCCCGGGGCTGGCAGAGCCGGCCGGCCGCTCGGAGTGCGGGGCCCACCACAACCACGCCCACCCGGAACTCCAGCTAGCCCGCAAGCGCCGTACGCAGCCCCGGTTCCCGCTCGCGCCTCTCCCTCCACATCTCCCTGCAAGCTGAGGGAGCCGGCTCCTGCCTTGGCCAGCCCAGAAAGCGGCTCCCATAGTGCAGTGGTGAGCTGAAGGGCTCCTCAAGTGCTGCCAAAGTGGGAGGCCAGGCAGAGGAGGCGCCGAGAGCAAGCGAAGGCTGTGAGGACTGCCAGCACGCTGTCACCTCTCAATACTACAGACAGGTATGTAAAATTTACTTCAGGAACTTTGATTTTAGATGTGCAATGAGAATAGTGTGCCTGTTTCCCTGGTGTCAGAGGCTGTAGCTCAAAGTAATATTAATCAATGTAACATGTATTTGAAGTCTGACTTTAACATTAATGTAATTTCCTTAAATAATATATCTGGATAATTACATATTAACATATTTTCCTAAACTTTCAGGAAAATTTATACTCCTGGAAAGGGGGGCATGTAGTTATCTGTTCTAGGGGCACACATTTTCAAAATGCGTAAATCCAAATGCACATTGAATCTGAAAGGCCAATCTTTTCTAAGAAAGGGCCATAGTGAATAATGGAAAAAGATGGAAAGTTCATGTAAAAGCCTCTTAAAAATTGTACTTTTTGCAATGATTCAAAGATGTCTTTTAAAAAGAGGAAAGTAAGAATACTTTTTCTTAGGGTCTCTTATTCCTAGACTGGAGTATAGTGGTGCAATCACAGCTGACTGAAGCCTCGACTTTCCATCCTCAAATGATCCATTCCCTCACCTCAGCCTCTCGAGTAGTTAAGAATACAGGTGTGCACCACCACATCTGGATAATTTTTGTAGAGACAGGTTTTCACCATGTTGTCCAGGATGGTCTCTAACTCCTGAGCTCAAGCAATCCACCAGACTAGGTATCCCAAAGTACTAGGATTACAGGCGTGAGCCACTATGCTCAGCCCAGACTATCATTTTTTAGAAAGTTATATATTTTGAAACTGCACATTATACCTATGTTAATAAAGTGATGTGACTCAAATGATTGGGTTCATGATAGAGATGAAGTGTGGTGAAGTGTAGAAATCCAGGAAGGGGTTTATTATAATGTTAGCTATTGTAATAGTTATGTATAATTAGGAGTCAGCTATTGGGTTATACATTAGTTAAATATTACTGTTTTAAAGTAACCTTTCTGAGATTGCAGAATTTGGAGAGTAAGGATTATAATTTGTAGATTTTTCTCAAGATTTTTGTTATATAGAAGAAAAATGTAAAAAATTTACTTTATCTGAACTATTATTTTTAGTAAGAAAATGAACAGTAGTTGAGAGAAGAAATGTATCACCTTAAACGTCAAGTAGACCTGACATAAGGGAACAGGGTATGTGAATAGTGATACCTTAACTGGAAAAGAAAAATAGCACTAGCTGTCTTTCTTGGAGACAAAGGGATATACAGTACAATACTTTATTTGTCTTAATCTTAGAAGGGGTGTCGCAATATGATTCAGATCTTTGAACTCCTGAAATCTTCACAAATGGGGGAAACCACTTTGTGCAGACTTTATCCCCTCCATGTGAACATGGGTCTTACTATAACATCCATTGTAATTAGATGTTAACATGTAGTTAACTCATTCTGATTAACATGTTATCATTGCTATATCACCTGTGTGATGCTCTGTACAGTATCAATATGTTAAAGGTTCCCACAGAATATAATATGAAACAGTTGAAAAGTTGATGTATCCCTTGGGCAAGAGAGTAACTGTGCATTGCTGTCCTACTATCTTTTCTATATATAAGTGATTTTTAATTTTTTTCTTGTCATGAGGATATATAATTTGCCACCCTGTTTGCTGTAATGTTTATACTATTTTATGTTCCTGCAAGCAATGTATGAGGGCTCTACTTTCTACACAACTTCTGTAATATTTGATTTTTGTCATTAGTTTTAATAACCATTGTAGTAAGTGTGTAGATGTGTCTAATTACATGTGTGTGTGTTTTTGTATATGTATGTTTGCATGTACCTTAATTACCAATGATGGTGAGCATCTTTTAATGGGTTTATGTCACATTTATTTCTAGTCTGTTCCCTTGCTTTATGTGTCTATCCTAATGCCAGTATCACAGCATCTTGATTATTTAGCTTTACTGGAATTTTTGAAACCTGAAAGTGTAAGTTCTTGTTTTTCAATAATTTTTCTTTTCAGGTTGGTCTAAATCATTTGCATTTTTATGTATAGTTTTTAATCAGTTTGCCAATTTCCATAAAAAGTGCTATTGGGATTTTTATAGGAATTTCATGAAATCTCTATGTCCATTTAGGGAGAACTGCCATCTTAAAATTATTAAGACTTCCAACCCATGAACATGTAGTTTTCTCCATGTATTTGCCTCTTATTTAATATATCTAGGCAATGTGTTGTAATTTGCAATGCTGCAGGTCCCCATTTAAAAAAAACTGTGTAAAAATGTTTTATAATGATTGATGTTTTAAATTGAATTAGTTTATTAAGTTATGGGTTGTTTATTCTGAGGACATAGAAATTCAATTGATTATGCACATTAGTAGTGTATTCTGTAGCTCTACGAACCTTGTGTTATGAGAAAAACTTGGGACTGTAACATCCACTATCACAGACTGGAAGGCTGCCAGGCAACCAAAAGATGACTCAGACAAGTCCAGTTTGGTAAGTTGATTAACACTTACATATGGGAGACTTCTGAGCAGCAGCCGGGCAGCTTTAAAGAGTCCTGCCGCTTTTCATCTTTAAGCTGCTTTCAAGCTAATTTTCTGGCTTTTTGCCTACTGTGCGTGTGTGAGATGGGACTGTTTTCCTTGGTAGGCTCTCAGCTACTCGCTGGGATGTTTTGGTTCTCAGGGACACCTGCTTCTCGCCTGGCATCCCTAAGAATCCAATGGCTGGTGTCCCTGAGAGCCCATGGCCTTGACTCACTGACTAGCCTTTAAGGTTCAAGCAGCAGGCCTACATCCTTAAGTAATCTAGTGGGGGACCTGTCACACTAGACCTTACTTATGAGCTCTAGGCTTTCGTTCTGCTGTGTTTTGGGAAGAAAGAGATTTGGTATATTTCTAAAGATTTCATATAACATAAGCATGTCATCTTAAATGAAATCTATTTTACTTTTTGATTTTTTCATCTTTATACATTTAGTTTAGTTTTCTTGTCTCATTTACTGGCTAAAATCTGTTTGTTTGTTTTTTATTCTTGTAATGAGACTATTGCAGTAATTTCACTGAGAATTAATGGTGGCCTAGGTCAAGGTAAACAACGGATGTGTTGAAAAGATATGAGATAATGTTTAACATATTTTGAATGAAGTTCCAACAAGATGTGTTAATATATTGGATATGGTGAATAGAGAAGAATGAGAAGGGTCAAAGATCAGTCTGAGCTTTAATATATAAATTAAAGCCATATAAATTTAGCCATATTAACATAATTATACTTAATATATATATTTTGTTAGTAATGCAGTAAAAATGTATTTGGATGTTATGCAAAACATAAAAATTACATGTAATATGCATTTGTACAATTAATTGTACAAAAATAGTGTACTTTAATGACAAAATTTCTAAGAACCCTAACATTTGAACAAAAGAATGGTATCATAAACAAAAAAATGGCATTTGAATTTTTCCCTCTTAACTTATTATCAAGATTAATGGAGCATTGATTGTGTGCATACACTTATAAAAGTGCTAAATGTAGAAGATGATAGAAGATGATATTAGAAACGCTTCACCTAGAAACTTCTCAAGAGAATTTGGGTAAGGAGAGTTAATTAAATGTTTCTGTGAAGTGGAGGGGAAGAAATTAATCATCTTATTAATTTAAAATACAGTGATATATAAGTTACAGTAAAACAGGGCAAGTTTGTGACTCTTGGAGAAATGGATACAAATGATTTTCTTAGACAATTGACATTGATTTGCATATGATAAAGAGATAATCCATTGGAAATGGAAATTGGCTTTGAAATATTACAAATACATTTTTTGAGACTTTCTATTTTGGGTTTCCTTAAAAGAGAACAAAATAAAATATTTAACTCTGGGCACTTTATTGTGATAGTGTCTAGTTGTGCACAGACATGGTTAACATAACCTTCCAGACATAAGTATTTAAAATGATTTTGTCATTATGCAAGCAGAGATAATTCATGCTGATATGTTTTCAAAGTACAAAATGTAACATTACCACTAACACCAGAATCTAAATGGAATGCTGTTTCTAGCCACTGAATTATTAGAAGTTTAAGAATACAAATTTGAAATAATTGTGCATAAGGCACTTTAGGCCAGTTCTTAAGACTCAAAAAGACAGGACCAATTTGTAACATAAACCTTTCTTTTTCTTTTATGGTTCTACAAATATTATAATTGTGCAGTTTTATAATGTAATTTTTAATGCTTTCCCTTGATGTGCCTACATAAGAAAATGTTAGGATAACATTTAATAGATTCAGTAATTCCAGCAACATCATTGTTTCTAGTGGAAGACACCCTTATAAATATCATAAAAGCTCCAGGCTTCAATTTGACAGGGATGTAAGGGAGGTTAGGACTCACTTGTTTCTCAGAGGACAGCTGAGTTAAAAAATCTTTTAAAATTCAACCGTGGCAAATATGTAGTCTTTTTCATATTGCCAGCATTGCACTGAATATAAAGTTTTCTCTCCCCAGGTCAATAGTGTTTATGTAAATAAAGTCAAGATACTTAAGGATGAGTTACGTAACAACAATCTCACACTTTAGTTATAAATTAAATGGGCTGAAGTTGCTCTATCTATGCCTCCTTTCTGCTACTGAATTTTAACAATATTTTCATACTGTGGATCCTCAAAATAATGGCTTACATTATTCCCACTTTTTCAGAGCCTGCTACCTCATTGTTTCCTTACCTTAGCCCAAATGAGCATGACAAAAGCCAACTATAGCAGTAATTTTCTTTTCTTATCATCTCCGAAGTATTAGAAATAGGGACACTTTTATTCCACCCTGAAAGTCAGTTTCTCCATTGCTTCTTATTCTAAACTTTTCAGCCATCACCCACTTTTTTGCCATAGTATTCATATATGCCTTCCTTCCACTCTCAGTGTTGTTCTCAACTAAGATGCTGAGAGTGGTTCTCTACTTTTTTTTTTATTTTATTTTCCTTTTCTGGAAAAGCTATTTTACTTCCATGTGTTCAGTTACAGGTAAAAAATTTCAAAACACTTTTTCCATCCTGACCACACACCTAAACTCTGTATGTCCATTACCTAATCAATATTTCTGATTTTTATCATAGTCTTTAATAGTCATCCTGCCATGACTGAACAAACCCTCACATGCACACATACTCAAATGAACACTTTTTCATGAATTCTATAGTAGACTTGAAGTCATGTTTCAAAAAGTATACATGCCTGAAACCTAAGCCACTCCTCAAGTTACTGAAAAAGTTCTTTCTATAAACAGAGAGCCACTGATTCAGGCCAGGCAGTCTTTTAGTTGTAATATTTTTATCAAAGGAGTTTTCTAAAGAAATTTTTCATAGTAGTCTGATGCTAACACATCTTGCATGACTTGCTACTTGATAGGTACATAATGTTTAAGTTCCCAGGGGCTCCCTTTGATTTTCTGTAAAATGAGGGTATCATTCGCCTATTTTGTATTTGTTGCCTATGCTTTTGAAGTCCTAGCCATAAAATCTTTGCATAGACCAATATCCTGCAGTATGTCCTCTCTGTTTTCTTCTAGTAGTTTTATAGTTTTGTATATTATATTTAGGTCTTTAATTCACTTTGAGTTGATTTTTGTATTATATATAATGCAAGATATACATCTGCATATGGATATCCAGTTTTCCCAGTAACATTTATTAAAAAGGGTGTCTGTTTGCCAGTGGTTGTTCTCAGCATCTTTTAAAAAAATCAAGTAGATATAAAAAAGTGGATTTACTTTTGGGTTCTTTATTCTGTTCTATTGGTCTATATTGAAGTAAAGAGCTTCTGCACAGCAAAGGAAACAACAGAGTGAAGTGATAATCTGTTGAATGGAAAAAAATTGCAAACTATTCTTCTGACAAGGGACTAATATTCAAAATATATACGGAACTCAATAGCAAATAACTAACAATGTCATTAAAAAGTAGGCAAAGGACATGAATAGATATTTCTCAAAAGAAGAAATATAAATGGCCAACAAGTATATTTGAAAATTCTCAACATCACTGATCATCAGATAAATGCCTATCCAAACCAAAATGAGATGTAATCTTACCCCAGTTAAAATGATTATTATTAAAAAGACATTTAAAAAAACATGCTAGTGAGGAAGCAGAGGAAAGGAAACTCTCATACACTGGTGTTGGGAATGTAAATTAGTATAACCATTATGAAAAACAGTATGGAGATATCTTAAGAAAACTAAAAATAGAACTACCCTATGATTCAGCAATCCCACTACTGGGTATTTATTAAAAGGAAAGAAAAACGGTGTATTAAAGGTATTCCTGCACCCCTCTGTTGCAGCACTATTCACAACAGCAAAGCTATGGAATTATCTTAAGTGTCCTTGAATAGATGAATGGATAAATAAAATATGGTATACATACACAATTAAATACTTGTTGGCCATAATAATGAATCAAATCCTGTCAATTGCGGCAACATGGTTGAAACTGAAGTTTATTATGTTAGGTGAAATAAGCCAGGCACAAAAAGACAAATATTGCACATTCTCACTCATATGTGGGAGCTAAAAAAGTTGATCTCATCAAGGTAGAAAGTAGAATAATAGTTTTCAGAAACTGAGAAGGGTGTGTGTGTGTGTGTGCGTGCGCACTGGGGGAAGTGTGATGAAGAGAGCTTGGTTAATGGGTACAAATATAGTTAATAGGAGGAATAAGTTCCAATATTCAATAGCAGAGTAGACTGACTATAATAACAACTTAATATATATTTCAAAGTAGCTAGAAGAGAGGACTTGAAACATTCCCAACACATAGAAATGATAAATATTCTGGGTGAGGAATACCCTAAGTACCCTGACTTGATCATTACATATTCTATGCATGCGCCAGAATAACACATGTACCCTGTAAAAATGCACAAATTTTATATATTTAAAAAATTGTTTAATGAAGGTATCAATACTGTAAATCATACAGCTGTTCTAGTGAATCAGTGATAATATTATAGTATAAATTATTTAGAATGATAAAGCATACAGTAAACTCAAAATAGTTGCCATAATAATACTTACTATTATGATAACACGTTAAGATGGAAATTTTATCATTTTAGTAATTTAGTTACTATTCACTGACATTTGCGTCTCACTGCAGAGAGCTTGGAGAATCCTAGGTGTTTGTATGAATATTAAGTACACTGATGGGAAATCAATGGGGAAAAGAATCCTTTACAGCAGCTTAAGGCATAATAATTTAATTCATATTTATTTGTAATATGTGGGTTATTTAAATAACCTTTTATATTTTATATTTAAAGAAAATTTGCAAAGATAGGAAAGAACATTCTCATATGCCACATACCTAGTTTCCCCTATTAACCTCTTCAGCCGATATAGTACATTTATCACAACTAATCAACAAATACTGATACATAATTATTTACTAAGATCCACATCTTATTAAGATTTTCCTAGTTTTTGCTTATGTTCTTTGTGTGTTCCAGGATTCCATCCAGGATACAGCATTAAATATAATCATTATGTCACCTTTTCTAGAATGTCTCATAATTTGTTGGATGCATATAGCGGTCTTTCAGACTTGCTTCTTTCACCTTACCAATATATATTTAATGTCTATCCATGTCTTTGAATGATTTGATAGCTTATTATTTTAATTAGTGGATAACTTTCTATTGTATGAATTCACCATACTTGTGTATCCACTAACCTATTAAAGAACATATTTGATCCTTCTAGTTTTGACAATTTTGAATAAAGATTCTACAAACATTCACATGCAGGTTTTTGTGTGAATATATGTTTTAAAATTAGTTACATAAATATCTAGGAGTTCAGTTGTCTGATCATATGGTAAGATTGTGTAGTTTCATAAGAAACTCACAATCTCTTCTTCAAAGGAGCTGTACAATATTGTATTCCTAGCAAGAGTGAATGGGAATTCCTATTGTTCAGCATCGTTGTCAACATTCGGTGTTGTCAGTTTTTCAAATTTTAGCCATCCTAATAGGTATGTATACTGGTATTAAATTGTTGTTTTAATTTGCAATTCTAAGATGGCAAATGATATTGTAATCTATTTACATGTCTAGATATCATCTGTGTATCTTTTTTGTGGTTGTGCTTATTCAGATCCTTTGCCCATTTTTAAATTGTTTCGTTTGTTTTCTTATTTTTCAATGTAAAAGTTCTTTGTGTATTTCAGATGCAAATTCTTTATCAAATATGTATCTTGCAAATATTTTCCACTATTTCATGGTGTTTCACTTTTTTAACATTGTCCTTTGTAAAGCAAAACTTTTTAAATTGAATGAAGTCCAATTTAATTTTTTCCCTCATTGATAGTGCTTTTAGTGTCATATCTAAAAACTTATCAAAAAACTGAAATACAGATCTTCTACAATATTTTCTCCCAGAAGTGGTTTATATTTTTTATTTCTATATTTAGGTCTTTAAATCATTTTTAGTTAATATTTGTAAAATGTGTAAATTCTGTGTCTGTGTGTGAGACAGATTTTACGTATTTGTCAACAACTTTTCCAGCACAATTTGTTGAAAAGACTATTCTTTCACCATCGACCATCGTATTGCCTTTGAACTTTTGTTAACAATCAATTGATTACACATTTTGGAGATTCTCCCTTGTTGCTCTTTATCCTGTTCAATTAATTTATATGATTACTGTAGCTTTACAGTAAGTCTTCAACTGGAGTATAGCGAGTCCTCCAACTTTTTTCTTTAGTATTGTTTTGATTATTCTAGGAGTTTTGCTTTTCCACATAATCTTTAAAATAAGTTTGTCAATGTTAACACATTAGCTTGCTGGGATTTTGTTTGGGATTGCATTGAATCTATAGATTAAGATAATAAAAATCAATATCTTAAATATATGGAGTCTTTTAGTTCTTGAATACCGTATTGGAAATCCTACATAAAATGATAAGGAAAAAAACAAATGAAATAAAAAGCATTCTGATTGGAAAAGAAAAAAAAAACTAAAGCTGCCTGTACTTGCAGATGATATGATTTTCTATGTAGAAAATTCCAAAGAATTAACAAAAATATGAAAATTTAATTTTTAAAAAAAACTTGGAAATAAAACAGGAGTACTGTACATTGTTGAATGAGAGTGCTGTGAGAGGACATTCTTGCTTTGTTCTCAATTTTAGAGAAAACATATCAGGTTCTCACTATAATGTATAACATTAGTTCCAGAATTTTTATAGATATTCTTTATCAAGTTGAGAAAGTCCTCTTTATTCTTAGTTTGCTATGGCTTTTATCATAAATTGGTGTTGGATTTTATCAAATGCTTTTCTGCTTCTATTCGTAGGATTATATGATTTATCTTCTTTAGCTTAATGATGAAGTAGATATTACATTCATTCATTTGTGATTGTTGAGCTACCAGCTTTGTATGTCTGAAAAAATCCCAATTGATCAAGGCAGATAAATTATATTATAAATTTGGTATTCAATTTGATAGTATTTTGTTAAAGACTTTTGTGCCTATGTGCATAAGACATGGGTCTATGTGTTTCATTCTTGTAATGTCTTTATCTGATTTACATATTAGGGTACTGCTGACCTAATTAAGTGAATTAGAAAATGTTCCCTCTGCTTCCGTTTTCTAGAAGAGATTGTAAAAAAAAATAGGTATAATTTATCCCTTAAATGTTTGGTATACTTCAGCAATAAATCCTCCTAGAATTTTTTGATTTCTTTTTTGTTAGGTTATAAATTATTTATTCAATTAAAAAATAGATCTAGGGCTATTCTTACTTCTTTCGTGATTTTGTTAGTTTGTGAATTTCAAGGAATTGATCTATTTAAATTATAAAATTTGCAGTAGTAAAGTTGTTTATAATATTGCATTATTTTCCTTTCAATGTCTGTAGATGTCTGTAGAATAAGAAATTTGTTTTCCTGCTGTTAATGTATTGATTTCTGCTCTAAATTTTACTATTTTCTGTTTCTTAAATTGCTTTAATTTATCTAGTTCCCTAAGGTGAAATCTTAGAGTATTGGTCTTACTTGTCTTCAAATATACCCATTCAATTTACACATTTTCATCTAAGCATGTCTTATGCTACATTCAACACATTTTGATAATTTTTAATTTTATTCAAAATATTTTGGAATTATCTGGAAATTTTTTTTTTTTGATAAATGTGTTACTTAGAAATATGTTGTTTACAGCTACTTGGGAGGCTGAGGCAGGAGAATGGCGTGAATCCGGGGGGCAGAGCTTGCAGTGAGCCAAGGTCGTGCCACTGCACTCCAGCCTGGGTGACAGAACGAGACTCCATCTCAAAAAAAAAAGAAAAAAGAGAGAAAGAAATATGTTGTTTAATCTCCCAATATTTTTGTAATTTTCTAGCTATCTAGCTGCTAATAATTTCTACCTTATTTCCTTTGAGGTCTGAAAACATAGGCTGAATTATTTATATTATTTTAATGTATTACAATGCATTTGATGGCCTGAGTGTAGTCTATCTGGTGAATGTTCCATACGAACTTGTAAGAAAGACATTATTCTGCTGATATTGAATAAAGTAACCTACAAATATCAATAAGATCAAGTTGATTAATGATGCTGCTTAGATTATTAATATCCTTACTAATCTATCAATTATTGAGAGAGATGTCAAAATCTTCAGTTATCATATTGGACTTGACTATTTTGTTCCACTGTTCTAGCAGGTTCTGTGTCATGTATATTAATATTCTCTTGGAGATGCATAAACATTTACGGACATTATGCCTACTTGGAGAATTGACACCTTTATCCCCTTTTATCCTTGGTAATCTTCCTAATCCTAAAATCTGCTTTTCTATAATCAGTACAGTTACTCCAGCATTCTTTTGAGTAGAATTAGTATGGTAATTCTACTCAATTACCATATGGTAATACATTCACTTATTTCTTCTTTTTAAAATTGAGGTAAAATTCACATTAACATAAAATTTACCATATTAAAGCATTCAATTTAGTATTTTCACAATGTTGTGCAACTACGACAACCATAACAAGTTCCAAAATGTTTTTATGATGCCAGAAAAAAACTCTGTACCCATTAAACAGTCACACTCCATTTCTCTTGCCCTACAGACTCTGGCAACCACCATCATGATTTTTGTCTCTATAGGTTTACCCATTTTGAATGATTTTTTAAGGGCAATTTTATAATACATAAGCTTTGGAATCCAGCTTTTTTCACTTAGCGTACTATATTTAAGGCTCATCCATGTTTCAGTATGTGTCAGTACTTTGTTCCTTCTTACAGGTGAATAATATTCGATTTCATATATATATATATATATATATATATATATATATACACACACACACACATACACACATACATATTTACAACAATTTTTTTTTTTTTGAGACTGGGTCTCACACTGTCGCCCGGGCTGAGGTGCAGTGGCACGATCTTGGCTCACTGCAACCTCTGCCTTCCCAGGTTCAAGCGATTCCCCTGCCTCAGCCTCCAGAGTAGCTGGGATTACAGCCTCCTGCTACCATGCCGGCTAATTTTTTGTATTTTTAGCAGACACAGGGTTTTAGTATGTTGGCCAGGCTGGTCTCGAATGCCTGCCCTCGTGATTCACCTGCCTTGGCCTCCCAAAGTGCTGGGATTACAGATGTGAGCCACAGCGTCCAGCCTATAACAAATTTTTAATCAGTTCTTCCATTGATGAACATGGATTGTTTCTGGTTGTTGGCTATTGTGAATGCAGCTACTAGAAACATCAGTGTTCAAGTGTTTGTCTGAGTACCTATTTTTAATTATTTTGGGTATAAAACTAAAAACAAAATTGTTGTATTATATGGTAAATCTAGGTTTAACTTTTTGAGGAATTGCCAAATGTTTTTCACAGTGGCTGTACCATTTTACATTTCCACCCAAAAAGTACAAGTGTTCCATTTCAACACTTATATTCCATTTTATTCTATTTAAAATGTTCCTAGTGGGTTTGAAGTGGTATCTCATTGTGTGATTGCTTTGCATTTTCTTGTAACTAATAATGTTGAGCATTTTAATGCATTTTTCTGATCACTTGAAATCTTTGAATAAATGTCTACTAAGTTGCATTGTCAAATTTTAATTTAGTTTTTATATCTGCTGTCGAAATGCATAAATTATTCATATACTCTGGATTCTAGACCTTTATGAAATATATGCATATCATTTTTTCCATTTCAGAAATTGCCCTTTCACTTTTTAGATAATGCCTTCTGATACACAAAAGTTTTTAATGTTAATGAAACCAAATTTATATATTGTTGTTGTTTCTTGTGCTTTTATTTTACACTATCTGTGAATGTATTATTGAATTCAAGGTCATAAATATTCACCCATATGTTTTCTTCTAAAAGTTTAATAGTTTTAGCTCTTAAAATTTATTTTTATAAATTCATTTTAAGTTAATGTTTATATATGGTTTCAGGTAAGGACACGACTTCTGTCTTTTGTATATGGATATCCAATTGTTCTAACAACATTTGTTGAAGAGACTTATTATTTTCTCTTCAAAAGGTAGTGCCACCCTTGTGAAAAATCAATTGTCATAAAGGAATGGGATTCATACAGGAATTTCAATTCTATTGCACTATTTTAAAAGTCTATTTTTATGCCAATACCACACCATTTTAATAACTATAGCTTTGTTGTGAGATTGAAAATTAAGAAGTGTGACCCTACCAACTTTGTCTTTTTCAATATGTCTTTAGTTTTCTAGGCTCTCTTTTCTTATGAATTTTAGGATTCATTTTCCATTTATGCAAAAAAAAGATAATTTGGATTTGGGTAGGATTATATTGAATCTGTAAGTCATTTTTGGTAGTGTTTCCCTTTTAATAATGTTAATCTTCCAATGCATGTACATGGGATATTTTTCTATTTATTCAAATTTTTAACATTGTTTTCAGTAATGTAATGTAGTTTATGCTGTGTAAGTCTTACCTTCTTGGTTAAATTGATTCTGAGGTATTTTATTTCTTTGGATGCTATTGTAAATGAACTTAACTTTTTTGGATTATTTATGCTAGTTTATAAAAACACAACTTATCTGTATGAGTTGATTTTGTATCACGTAACTGATGAATTTGTTTTTTAGCTCCAATTTTTGTGAATTCTTTGGAATGTTTGGAATTTTTTGAATAGATATATTCATGTCATCTGTGAATAAGTTAGCTATATGTCTTTTCTTCTATTTCCCAAAATGTATTTTTACTTTTTTTCTTGTCTAATTTCTCTAGTTATAACTACCAACACAATGTTGAATAAAAGTAGTAAAATCAGGCATCATTGTGTTGTTCCTGATTTAAAAGAAAGACTTTTAGTTTTTAGACCATTGAGTATAATGTTAGCCATGGATTTTTCCTAAATCCCTTTATTAGGTTTAGAAAGTTAACTCCTATTCTTAGTTTGTCAACTGTTTTGTTGTTGTTGTTATTGTTTTCTAATAATGATAGAATGCTGGTTTTCTCAAATGACTTTTCTGCATCAACTGAAATGATCATGTGGTTTATATTATTCCATTAATGTGGTATGTTACATTGATTAATTTTGTATGTTGAGCCCTCCAACTTTATTGCTTGTGCTTTTGTGATTTTGCAATGAATTCTTAGATATAACATCAAAAGAACAAGCACCAAAGTTGGAGGCCTCAACATTTTAAAAAAAAAGTCTTGCATATTTGGAATAAATCCCACTTGGTCATGGTGTTTAATGATTTGAATATGTTACTGCATTTGGTTTGCTAATATTTTGTTGAGAATTTATGTGTCTGTACTCATAAGCAATATTGTTCTGCAGTTTTCTTTTTGAAATGCCTTTACCTTTTGTATCAAAGTAATGCTAGCCTTATAGAATTAGATAGTAATAGTCCCTTATCTTCTACTTTTTGGAAAGCTGGAGAAGAATTTGTATTAATTATCCATTAAATCATTGGTAAAATTTATGAGTAAAATTTCTGTTCCTTGGCTTTTATCTGTTGAAAGGGTTTTGATGATTAGTTCAATCTGTTTGCTTGTTACAGGTATGTTCAGGTTTTTAATTTTCTCGAGTTCATTTAGAACTTTTGTATATTTTAAATATTAATCCATTTTGTGTTATCTTATTGCTGTAGAATTGTTTGTAGCATTATCTTTCTGTCATTTTTTTATTTTTAAAAAGTCAGTTATCTCATTTTCATACATAATTTTAATAATTTTCTTCTCTCCTTCATTAGTCAGCCTACCTCGTTTTGTCATTTTAATGATCTTTTCAAATAATTAATTTTAGATTTTGTTGATTCTATTGTTTTTCTTTTCTTTATCTCATTTAATTCTGAACTAATCTTTATTACTTCTTCAAATGATTTTATAGTTTGTTCTTTTTCTAATTATTTAAATTGTAAAGGTAAGTATTGATTTAAAATTCTTTTTTATTTTTTAATATAAGCCTTCATAGCTATGCATGTCCTTCTTATCACTGCTTTAACTGCAGTTAAATATAAATTTTGGTAGGTTGTATTCTCATTTTTGTTCATCTCAAAGTATTTTTTCATTTCCCAGTGATTTATTTTTTGAATTATTGGTTGTTCAAAAGTGTGTGGTTTAAAATCTACCTATTTGTGAATTTTCTAGTTTTCTTTATTTTATTGATATCTATTGTCATCCCATTTGAGCTAAAGAAGATATTTTGTAAGATTTCAAACTTTTTAATTTATGGAGTAATGTTTTGTGGACTAATACATAATCTATCTTGGAAAATATTCCATTTGCAATTGAAAATATGTATTCTGTTTTTGCATGCTACCATGCATATGTCCTTTAGGTCTGCTTGTTTTTTACTGTTGCTCAAATCCTCTATTCCTTATTAATTTTTCTCTTTAGTCCTATTCATTATTAAAAGTGGAGTATTAAAGTTTCCAATCATTATCATAGAACAATTTGTCCCATCAACTCTCTCAGTGTATGTTTCATATGTATTGAGAGTCTATTTTTTGGAGCATATATGTTCATAATTTTTATATCTTCAAGATGGATTTGAATTTTATTATTATATAATGTTGTTTTGTCCCCTGTAAAAAAAATTAACTTAAGGTCTATTTTGTTCTGATATTAGTTTAGCCGTCCTAGCTCTTAATTGGTTACCATTTGCATTGAATATATTTTCTCATTCTTTTTCTCTCAACTTATCTGTTTAATTGGATCTAAAGTGAGTCTTTTGTAGACAATATGTAGTGGTTTCATATATGTTTTAAAATTTATCTGCCAACCTCTGCCTTTAAATTAAAAAGTTTAGTTCATTTACTTTTAAGGTATATAAACCCTAATGGTATATATTTTATTTAATTAGTCTTTAGTTATGCCCACAATGTTTTATAGATTTGAACATACAGGCCTTGCACTTGTTTTTTTCAGATTTATTTTCATGTATTATTTTTGGTCCTATTATAAGTAGTGTTGTTTTAAAATATGACCCCCAGTAAATGTTGCTAATATTTTGAAGCAAAATCAGTTTTATTGTTCTTTTATACTTAAAAGTTTTTAAAATTAGGTGTTAGCTCTAGTAGCACTTTAACAGTCATCTAATTTTCAAAATAGACAATCATGTTGTCTGCATATAAAAACAGCTTTATTTCTTTTTAAAACAAATCTGAATCCTCTTTGATTTCTTAACTCCCTTATTGCACTGGCTAGAACATCCAGTTCAATGCTAAGGACATGGGAGACCATTTGTTGATATGTTAAATATTTTTTATGAATCAGGACTTAAAATTCTGACTAGAGCACCTGGAATTCATTGGAATACACTCTAGGAATAATTACTTAAAATGTAATATATGGCAATGTCCTGCAGTAAATGCCAGAATTTTCTTGCCTAAGTGATGAGAAAGCAATCAAAAGACTCACAGAGGTGAAAATAATAGAATGAGTTTATAATAACACATGGAACCATTTTCTTAAAAAGCTCATGAGTAGCTCTCCTCTTTAGGCCAAGGTTGATAATAGAGCATGGTACCATGGAACTTAGCTTCTTAGTAATCAGGATCTAAGAATTATAGAATTCCATATTAGTAGATTCTAAGTAGCAGAATTCACTCTTTGAGACAAATGCTAAAAGTTATTCTAATGGACAGCAAGATTGAAATAGAAGCCCAGGTGCCTTCAACTACAGAAATCTGTGATACTCACTATTATAGTGGTTCTGAAACTTTAAAAATCATATAAACTATATGAGAGTATTTTTTGAAATATAGATTATAATTCAAGATATCTGGTTTGAGACCTGAGATTCTGAAGTTCTAACAAGTTCTCATATGATGCTACTGCTGCTGATATATCACACTTTGATTAGCAGAGGAATAATTAATAGAATGTAGTGTTTCTAGGGGATGGATGAATGTGCAGTTGACTAGAGGTTAACCTGACATGTTTAAACACCACATCTCTCTCTCTATCTCTCTATCTTTCTCTATAGATAGATATAGATAGATATTATATATAATATCTATACATATTATATACATATTATATGTATATATATCACATATATATGTAAAACCATAAACCATAATGAGATAATGAGGGGTATGAAGAATAAAGCTGTGTCAGATCTCAAATAAGGAATTGAAATTCCTCACTTATTTCTAGGACAATTATCAGATCCAGAGGATACTGCTTAAAGTAGAAGCTAGATTTCCTTGAGAATTAATACCAAACATAAATGTTAAAAAAATAAGCATTTATCCAAAACTATACCAAAACATGATTTACAGACATTTATAACATTTATGCTATGAAAGAGAGATACCTAAACTCTAGAAGGCTGTGGAATACAAGATATGATCAAGCACAAATAAATCAGAGGGGCTGAAATACCATTATGACTAAAATTATTAAAACAATCTTGATCGAAGTCCATTTCACAGCAGGTCCAATATGTTTCAATCTTTGATGCTGTAGTTACATTCAAATCACCAAATTCAAAATTGGATATTTAAACTTGGCACCTGTCAGACTCCTCACATTATGCCTGATGTGTAAAGTAAGAATAATTTTAATAGAAGCATTCAAGTGAAAATTAATCCACCCACCTTCCAGCCATTGTATTAAAATAGAAGAAATATTTTATCCCTTGTAGAATGTATGAAAGTAGTGACATATTCAAAGAATAAAATATAAAAAGATGGTTCTCTATTATGTAATTATTCAATTCAGTTATATATCCTTCAACAATAAGATAGATCATGGTGGATTATTTTAGACTACCATAGTCTTCACTAAATTCTATCCAACCTTGAATTATATGTTCCTATTATGGCATTTTTACTGGTACAGATGAGTTTTGTCTCTGGGACTTGATAAAAAATAGTATTTATCAAGTCAATGTGTTCTCAATCCTTATCCATAAAGAAAATCTAAACCAGTTTGTGTTTCTTAGAAGAGAATATTAACTGTTTTGCTCTTCTACCATATTAATTCTCCTTCACATTATCCAAAGAGAAATTGATCATTTCAAAATTCTGCACAACATGATTCTGTTACACTGTTTGTTGACATTAAGCAAGTACACCTGGTGAGCAGAAAAAAATTGATCATTTCAAAATTCTGCAGAACATGATTCTGGTACACTGTTTGTTGACATTAAACAAGTACACCTGGTGAGCAGAAAGTTGCATCTTCTCTGGATGCTTAAGATCCTCATAGACAGATAATAACACTTTGATGAAATTTTGTGGGTTCACTGAGCTGAGAGTACTAGGATGTATTGTCTGTAGTAAGAACAAGACTTCGAACCTCTTAACTTATAACTACTAAAAAATAGATACGTTACATGGTTGGCTTCTTTGCGTACTGGAAGCAGTATATTGCACACTTAAAAATGCTTCACTGCCACATTTCTAAAGCTGCCAGTTTTGAAGAGAGTCCAGAAAAATAGAAGACTTTAAAGTAAGCTCAAGCTGTGGTACAAGCAGCCCTTCCACTTGGACCATCTCATAAAGTAGGTATAATAATGCTATGAGTATCTCTAGGTTAAAGGAAAATCTGTGAAATGTATGAAAATTCCTACGGAAAATAATTTTAGGTACTTAGTACATGTCTGAGGCAAGAGTCCTTTATAGTAGAGAACAGCTCAGAATGAACTTCTCAGCTTGTTACAAGACCCAGAGAGGTACCAATTACATTTATTCGATGTTAAGTAATTATGTGCTCAAAGTTGTCAATCAGGATCTAAGTATTATCAGAAGCACACACTCATAAAGTCAGGTAAACTTAGCAGAAATTATATAATGGAGTCAGTACATCTAGTGCTGGTCCTGAGAATGTTCAGAGGCTAATGAGTAAGTTGTATTAACAGATACTCCAGACTCTGTCACCAATCTCTGTTGCTCCAACATCAGCTCACATCTACTTACTCTTGGCAAGTTTCATATGAACAACCAACAGAGGAAGAAGAATCTCGGACCTGGTGCATACATTTGTTGACTCCTTAGGCTTGTGCTACTAAAAATGGACTACCCCACACAGCAAGCACACTCAGCTTTAACCTGAAGGAGAGCAAGGAAGGGAACATCTCCCATAGGTCTGCAAGTACTGCTCTTAGCAAATTAGTTTGTATGGAGAGAGAATTTCCCTGAAATTCAGAGGTAGATGGACTCAAGGGAAATAGTGAATGGATTGACTGGCTTGTTGGGAGCTGAAAGGGTAAAAATTTGATATCAGGGCAAGAATGTATGGGAAAGAGATATGCAGAGGGCCCTATTTAATTGACGGAAAGCAAACACATCTCATAAGGTATACAGAAGAACCACTCAGTAACCAGGTAGACAGATCTGTGAAATCTATGGAAATCCCTACAAAAAATAGATACTTAATACATGTAACTAGGCCAGTGGTTATGAACTAGTCTGTTTTTTTTTTATTACACAACCCAATAGTTGTGTAATAGTCCTATAAACAGAGTTGATACAGTGATAGAAGTTATACACAGACTTTACTGGATGCTGACCTTCTCACAAATGCTGGTCATGCTACTGCCACTGCTGATTGTCCAAACTGTCAGCAGTTAAACAACTCAGTCCACTCAATATGGTGCTACTCCTTAATGAAACAAGCCAACATTCAGTCTCAGGTTAATTATAGTAAAACATATCCATCCTGTAAAAGACAGAGATTCATACTTCTGGGAGTTATTATAAATTCCAGAAATTACTTGTCTTATTTGTACAAAGTATCACTGCCATCATCCCTATTGCAATTATAAGGAATGTCTAATTACTGATATAAGATTTTATGTAATAGCTCTCAGAAATAAGGAAAAAATTTATAGCAAAGATGTACTACAATGGACAAAAGGTGAGGAGATGAGAACAGCACTGTTGTCTATATGTGCATATATATACACACACATGAAATTTTATGGGTTCAGTGAGCTGGGGGTACTAGGATATATTGTCTGTAGTAAAGGACAAGCCTTTGAACCTCTTACATTATAACTACTAAAAATGGATATATTGCATAGTTGGCTTCTTTGCATACTGGAAGCAGTATATTCCACACTTAAAAATGCTTCTCTGTTGCATTTCTAAAGCTGCACATATATGTGTGTATATATATATGCATGCATGTGTGTATATATATATGTGAACATATATGTGTGTATATTTATGCATGTATATATTACAGATGTAGCTATATACATATAATATATATTAATAAATTGGATTTTATATAGGAAATGGGTATATCTAAAGGACAAAAGAAGTAAACTAGGATGTAGGAAATTAATAAATATCTCGTATTTTCTTAGCCTTCATTTTGTTCCAGTCATTGCTTTGGCAATAGATTTCAATTCGGTATAGTCTGGAAGCAGCACCTTTTCTCAACTGCAACAGATATCTGTAGCTTTCTGTCTTAAAGGCATTTTCCCAGTGAGTAAATAAACTTTTTGCATTAGTCTCCACAGGAACTTTTGTCAAACCTAAAAATGCAAGGGTATGAAAACCCTGGGAATAAGTATTGATCAATGGGAAAAGGAGTCAGTGACAAATACTTTCTTCTATATGTCAGGTAGACAATTCTGAGATCCATTTTTGGTTCCTCAGATAGTCCTAAAGGATGTCGAATTCCAATTGTCCCTAGATTAACAATACAATTAGGATTTGCTTTCATTTAATCTATTTTCCCTTTTCCAAGTCTCCTAATCATGTTCTTTGGAATAATTTTCTTTAAAAAGTATTTTAATATAAGCTCTCACCTTAAATTCTGTGATTAGAGAAATAAACTCATAAACTCTTGAAACCAATAATTGATGTATTAAAAACTCAGCTTAGGACTAGTGGAAAAAGTATGTTTTCGCCATTGGTCAAAGAGAGATGCTGTTAGTCAAGTCATAAAATAGAAATACAACTGAGAGATGGAATACTTAGAAAATAACTTTTTCATAAGTACAACACAATAAACTGTCAAGATGATCAATCATATTTTGCTGCATGCATAAAGACAAATTTGAAAGAGATCTAAATTTAAAAAATTAGCTAAATATAGAAGAGCCATAAAATACAGGCTTTTCCCACAGGGAGTTTGGATAGGTGGTAAACTCTACCAAGTAATAATTTAAAACCAAAATCAACAAAAAGTGGATTAAGAACCCTATGGTGGAAGATAAAAACAATTAAGCAATGTGAAATCAAGAGCTTTTTGTACAAAACTGCATGTACTATAGAATAGAAATGATCACATTCTCTGTTATTAGCTATGTGCTAAATGATCTGTATTTATACTTTGATTCACGCTAAAAAAAATGAAAGAAATAGTGGATAATTATCTAATCAAAATATTTAGAATAATTGTCCTAGCATGATAATTTTATTTTCAAAATATTCTTTTGGCAGGGAGTATATTTTTATATTCTTTTTAGTCTCTTACGAAAGCTCTTTTAGTCTTTCAGGAGATACACAAACACACATATCCATACACACATATACATACATATGTATATATAGTGTATACATGCTTATAATACATATAGGCACATATAATATAAAAATAGATACATTTTGGTATACTCTAGATGAATATGTTTGTGTATGTGTACATATTGCATTCACAGATATATCATTATTAATACTTACCTCATTTTCTAGAAATTTCTTGTTTTTTGTTTTGTTTTGTTTTTTTGTTTTTTTTGAGACAGCCTCGCTCTGTTGCCCAGGCTGGAGTGCAGTGGCAGGATCTTGCTGACTGCAAGCTCCACCTCCCGGGTTCACGCCATTCTCCCGCCTCAGCCTCCCGAGTAACTGGGACTACAGGCACCCGCCACCATGCCTGGCTAATTTTTTTTTTTTTTTTTGTATTTTTAGTAGAGGCGGGGTTTCACCGTGTTAGCTAGGATGGTATTGATCTCCTGACCTCGTGATCCGTCCGCCTTGGCCTCCCAAAGTGCTGAGATTACAGGCGTGAACCACCACACCCGGCCTGAAATTTCTTAAAACACTTTTTATGTCCTTCAAACAAACCATACCAAGATATACATGTGCATTTTAAATGTAACATAGTAAAACCAAATTTGCAGCCTATGTGGTCCTATGCATTTGTGTTCCTATGAGACAATTCAAAGACAGAATAATATGCATCAAATATAAGACCACCCTAGCTAATTAGGCTACAATGACTATGAAGAGGTTAGACATGTTCATTAATAATAGCCATAGTCATCTAAGATTTCCTCTTCTCAAAATAATATTTGAAATAATACGTATGTTTTCCTTGAATCTCTAATTTTGTGATATTTTCTCTCAATAAAGATTAGTTGACTTTTGTTTTCTTTCTCAAACCCATTTTTGATTTTTAGCCTGGGTCTATTTGTCACATGTAACCTCTTTTACATTGACCTCCAGTAAGATCAAGATCCTTCTTGGGGCCCAGTGGGAAACCAGTTCTGTGCCACTAACATCAAGACAGTAGGTGGCATATATTATTTTGCCTCTAGATACTCCTGTAGACATATAAAGGCTGGGACAAAAATATCTATGCAATACACAAAGTTATATATAAAGGTACAATTTGACGATAAATATTTCAAAAAGTTATATACAGTTAAAATATATATTAAATTTAACATTTTGTTGATGTACTTCTCATTTGGATGACATTAACACCTGGATACAGAATATCACTATGCTAATATCTTTCTCAGAGTAAACTGAAAACATACCACAGGAATACTCTCATTTTCCTACAAATGAATAATCAAATTCACCTAATCCCTACCTTTCCATTTACCCTAAGGATAGCCTCTTTAAGGTCACACATGTACCTCAAGCAATCCACATAAGTCCCCTTCACTGACACTCCTGCTTCCATCCTGCTTACTGCATACATCTCATCAGTTTGAATCCCAAATCAATACTCCATCAAAACTGCTATTTCTCAACTTGCTAACAAATTTCTTACTGCTAAGTCCAAAGATTAATTTGACACCTACCCTGTCTGTCTTCTTAGCAGTTTCTGAAAACTCTGTTATACAAAAATACATTTAAAAAATAATAGATATAAAAGTACCACAATACTTGAGATTTATCCTAAGTCTGTGATAGATGTCTTTGCATTTCCAAAAACTGCTTTTGTGTGTATTTATGTAGCATTTTTTATTTTTATTTTCTCAAAAACTCTCATTATATTTAGATTTATATTTCCATAAAAGATGATGTATAAGAATTCTTTAAAGCCTACAACATTTTGTTCTTTACTTTGAATATTTAGTTCATTCTCATTAACTGCAAAACCTGATATATTGTGTTTAACTATTACATCTTATTATTCCCTTCCTTTAAGTTTAAATTGTCTCACATTTTTATATTTAAAAAATTAATCTGGCTAATTTTTAACTTACAATTGATTTTTTAAATCGCTCTTCATTCATTCTATAACATTTTTGGTATATTCATTTATTACTTTTTTGAGTGATTACCATTGGCTTTTAAAGTCTAATATGTATTGTTACTTTTACAACTTTCTAGATGATGCAAGGACTTTTGGACACTTTGAATCCATGCAACTTTCCACATCTCATATGCTACCTGTGTTTTTACTCTCTGTAGTATTTAAAACCAGTAAGATGTTATTTTTAATCCAGTCAATACTTTCATGACAACATATTTACCCTTTATGAATTTCTGAGTATCCGTCTGGTTCAGTCTGCATGTAATGTATTTCCTCTGATTTTGACTGGCAAAAAAAAAAAAATGTGTTGCATTTAATTAATCCAGCATCCTTTTATTGGATATATCATTCTTATTTTCTTTTAACACATTAAAATTGCCATTTCTTTTTTCGGCATCTACTTTTTCTATCGAGAATGCTGTCAGTATATTTTCTAGTCATGTGAACATAATATGTATTTTTGTCCTGTGGCTTCTTTAAAAATTTTGTATTTGATTTGATTTTCAGATATTTTTCTATATTTTGAGGAGTTTCTTTGATTTGCTGCTGCTTGTAGTGGCTACTTGATATCTTTTTTTTTTTTTTCATCGGTTTGGGTAAAATGTTGGCCTTTATTCCTTCAAACATTTTTATTTTCTGGTATTTTGTCTCTTTTCTTTTCCTAGAATTCCAATTATATGTATGCTTGACCTTTTCATATGTTTTGGACTGAGTTTTGTTTTCCTCTCTCTAATTGATATGTTAAGCCTTAAACCCAATGTGACTGTATTTGGAGACAGTGCCTTTAAAGGGGTAATTAAGGCTTAATGAGATCATAAGGGTGAAAGTAGCAACTCAGCAAGAGAGGCCTCAGGAGAAACCAAACCTGCCAACCCCTATTTATATGCATTTTACATCATTTAGTTCCTCTATGCTTTATTCCCTTTTTTTGCTTCACAAGATTTTCCTTATTTGTATTAAATCTACTGTTAGATTAAATCATTAATAATTAAATCAAGTCATTGAATTCTGAATTTTTTGTATGTTTTGTTTTATTTGGCTTGTTCTTTTTTAGAGTTTCCAGTTTTCTGAGAAATGATTTTTCTTGGCTATAGTCTATTGAAACATATTAAGGATAGTTGTATTAATATTATTTTTATCATATTTCCATTATCAAGAACCTCTAGGTAACTATTTTCATTTTAGTTCTTTTCTTTGTTTACTCATATCTTAGAAAGCCTCGCTATCTTAAACTGAGTTTTGGATAGTGTATGAGGAAAGAGTAGAGATTATTGCAGATGTTGGATAATAGCTTCATACAGAGATAATTTATGTTTGCTGGAGTCTAAATGCAATAACAACACCAGATGATTCTAGTTTATCGTGGAGGTTAAAATAATTGAAGCTTGAGTTTAGTTTCCTTAAAACCAGGCAATCTCTACTTCATTCCATGGTTGTATCCTTTTCGGTTCCATTTAAAAATATGTAAAGGGAAGCATTAGTTTCAACACATTCGGTGGACTATGAAATTAAAAAATGTGTCTCCCTCAACCAAAAGGAGAATTAAAAGAGCCGCCAAGATTCTCAGCCACCACTTTACTATTGCACGTTTTAATTTTCTTCTTTTTCTGCTATTTTAAATTTTTATTAAGTGTTGGCAAATATACATAGGTGTATAGTTCATTAGATTATTTTGTGTTGGTGGTTTTTTTAAATTATACTTTAAGTTCTGGGGAATGTGTGCACAATGTACAGGTTTGTTACATAGGTATACACCTGCCATGGTGGTTTGTTGCACCCATCAACTATTGCAGATTTTTCTAAGAGAAAAGTTTCCCGAAATTATGGCCTCAATTTATTGTAAGCAAAATATATATATTTGAATCTAGCATTTCGTCCTTGTTTTGCAAAGAGTTAGATTTCTGATGATTTCAGTAAGATGTTTTAAAGATTTAATTAAACGTCCTCATTGTTTTCTGCCAGCTAGTTAGTCTAAGTGAACTAGGCTTCCATTTTTGGAAAGAAATCCATTTTATAATAGACTTAAGGTGAAGAAAAGTGTCTTTTCAATTATACTTATTTTTATTAGAGACAGGTAAAAATAAATACTCAACATACTTATGGAAACTTAATATAGTAAGGCTATTTTAGATTCCTATTGTTAGAGTATATATTCTTTTGTTTTCTTTCACACTGTTGACCATGATAGAGTATATATTCTTTCTTTAAAATCTCATTGCACTATGTGGACTCTTTGAAAAAGAAATACATTGGCAGAATGTGGTAACATACAATATGGATATATCAATATGTTTTAACTCACATCACAGGCTCCATGTGTACCCTCGTTAATGGACTGTTAAGACTGGATGGCACATATAGATATTGACATTATAAAAAATTAAACATTCAGGAAATGACTAATGAGAAATATTTCCTTCTGAAAAAAATTGTTGAGAACTTCTTTCTTTAATTTTTTATTTCATATTTATGCTCCAGCAAATTATCTTTGTGATTTCCAGTAACAGTAAGACACTGGACTACATTGTTTATTGCTATTCTTTTGATAAGACTGTCCTTTCTACCTTACCTAGCTTTTTCCTTTATTTTCATTTCATTCGGCTAATGCCAACTCACTTTTAATGCTTATGTCATGTATAGTCCTCCTCAGGAAAACTGTACTTACACCCATAACCATTACTCTAATCACCAACTGTATTGTGTCTGACTCACTGTTCTATTAGTACGGGATACTTATCTCTATCATGGGAGTAATGATACCAATTTATAATACATTTATTCCTCTACATTCCACTTGAGAGAAGGAAATGTTTACTAATCCTAAAATTAATTTTTGTTGACTAAACAATAGGTGAATTAATGAAAAAATGCTGATAATATTATGGAATCTGAGAGAAAATATTTCAAAAGGTAAGTTTTGTGTTTTTTTTTTAGAAAAAGTGTAAAGGATGATAAGAAATATGTAGAGTCGATAAATCATATCTTTCTTTGTATTTGGGAACATCAATGACATGCAACACGAATAACTGAGGGGTGCACAAATAGACAACTTTTTTGAGAAGCCCAGTTGTGAACCAAAGTCCTCTCAACCATGACAAAGGCATGACAAAGTCAGTTGACAGTTAAGAGGCTTCGTCAAAAGACCAAAGAAGAATATTATGGGTGAAAATACTGCAGGAAAATTTTGCTTACTGTAGCATCATGTATAGATATAACAAAAATAAAATAATATTAAATAATTTTGAAAAGTTCTTTAATTAATTTCAATAAAGAGCATGACCATTTTGGTCCACTTAATGTAGAAGACAATGTATATAGAGAGGAGATGATAAAATCAGGTGGATTTATAATAAAAGAATAAAAAACTTAGATCACTAAAACAAAATGTACTCTACTAAATGTGTAGATACACTACAAAAAGTTAGCACTGAGCACCTCTAAGTTCATTTTGGACATTTACATCACAGTGGTTGTACATTACTAGACAAAACAATGTCTTTTCCATGTGTTTATTTATATAGGTAGCTACCATTGGTTTAGAAAAATTTATCTGAGAGAAATAATAACGCATATTTAGAAAATTATTGTTTTGTATATATATATTCAGTGTACTTTTATAGGTTCTCTTCTGCTTGGCTTTTTAAACTTTCTATTGGTTTATCATTTGATTTTATTTTCATTTTTACTTTTTTTTGCTTCATTTGGTCATAAAGGTAAATGCCATTGCATTTTAGAGCAGCATTATTTTCAGGCCACCAATTATGTGCTGCTCTCTTTCCAGAAAGTCCTATGAAGTAGTAAAGAAGAGTGATAATTTGTGCTTCAAAAACACTTTGAAAATATTCAATCTATTTTATTTTAAATGTATTGTAGGAAAATTTTGTTTCACATTATGTAAGTGGTGAATATGGTTATTTGATAAAAGTATATGCTTTTCTATTGGCTGTAATTTTGTTCTTTAGAATGTAAATTGGTCTTTCATGTAAGAACAATATAAGTTTTCCCTCTGTACAATAGCACATTTTTCTTTTACTTAGTACTAAATTCAATCTGCCTTGCAAAATACTCAATTGTTTAAATATCTTATTCACCTTTATAAACCCGTCAGCAACTAGCAGTCTTGCACATATTTAGAAATTTGAAAAATGCTTATTTGAATAAAGTGAAAGGCTAAAAACAGTGAAAACTCTGTCAATTATAATCATTGTCTATGAAATACAGAACTTTTTTTCATAGAGAATTGACATTTTTAGCATTAGATTTTAAGTGCACTTAAATCGAGAAAAATCCTTGTTCTATTCTGAATTTGTAATTTACTGTAAGTATATTTTGCTTGCATCTGATTCTCCACTAAGCCCCTGGCTCATATGCACACACTGTTTAAAAAATTTTTAATGCAGCCCTCTATTGAAAAAAGGGAATGGCCTATTTCTTGACTCCCTCCACACTTTGGCATTTCACACGCAATATTACCGTTCTTACTGAGCTTCTGATCTAGTCAGACTCCACTTTAAACTTGTTCATGGATAGATTCAACTATTAATTTTACTTGGCGTTAGTAAGAAGGATACACTATTAAAAGTAAATATTCATAGTCCAATTCATATTTAGTTCAAATATTTTTTCACTTTCATTATTTCAAGTAGATGTTTAGGTGATATTTTATTTAAAGCTTGACAATGAAATAATTATTTTTAATTATGTCTAACAGTCAAAGTAAGCATATGTAATAATTTTTAATATATGTTATATATTTTTTCTTTTTAATTTCTTTTTTATTTTAAGCTCCAGGGTACATGTGCAGGATGTGTAGGTTTGGTACGTAGGTAAATGTGTGCCATAGTGGTTTGCTTCACCTACCAACCCAATTCCTAGGTATTAAGCCTGGCATGCATTAGTTATTTTTCCTTATGCTCTCCGCCGACCTGCCCTCCCACAACAGTCACCAGTGTGTGTCTTTCCCCGCCCTGTGTCCATGTGCTCTCATTGTTCGGCTCCCACTTATAAGTGAGAACATGCAGTGTTTGGTTTTCTGTTTCTGTGTTGGTTTACTGAGGATAATGGCTTCCAGCTTCATCCATGTCCCAAACTATTACCATGGTTGCATAGTATTCCAGTAACACTACTACATTAAAAATACTATGACTGCATAGTATTCCATAATATTTCTAATATAGTAGTGTTATTGGAGTTGAAAACTATGAAAAACAAAAGCCACTAGCCTAAGAAACCTTAAAATGTAGGACAAAACTCACAGCTTTATGGGTGATCTTATTAAATCTCAAGATCTACCTTATTTTATTTTGAATTAAATGCATTTTGTAATGTTAGTTGTAATTAGTATTTGTAATATTAGTTCAATATTTTATAGCATTGAATACCTACTTGGTTCAATGTATGGTTTTTCATAACACGTTTTCATATACAATTTGCTTAATAAAAACCTTTAAATTTGAGCTATTACAGCAGATATGTAACACATTAACATAAATTAATATAAAATGTGCTATATATTACTTAATATAAAGTAACTTCAAGTCTTTGATATATTAACTTATATGACTCATGCCCACATAAAACTATTTTAAGATTTATAAAAAATAATTGATTTTAAAATGTTTTACAAAAACTACTAAGCTAAATAAAACCATGTTCTAAACTCTATTTTCCAAAACACACTCAATACTCATAAATACAATGTGTATAACTTTTATACAAAACAAATATCTTGTTTTAAATGAAGCTTTATACCTATTAAATGTATTGCATGTCAAAAATTAAAATAGTTTTTAAATGTTTTACTTTTATATATTAGACTTTGCAGATGAGCTTAAACTTATACATTCTTACAAACAAGCAGACATTACATTAAAATAGCAGACATTACGTTTTCTTTAATAGTGAAAATCTAGTTCAGAAAATTTGACGTTCACTTTTTCTTTAAATAAAAACATCACTCTTTGAAAGCATGACACATTGAATACAGTTTAAAATATACAAATTTTATAATATATTGTTAACTAATGCCAAGTGTTGAAAGGCGGGATCAACCAAGATGTTGGGAGGCAATTCCCCATGGGATTCATTGTGTACCTGCATATTCTAGGCTTTCTGAATTTGAATATTCAAATAATAAATGTGACTTGGAAGCTGGAGATAGTGTATATTTTGGGAAAAATTTGGAGATACCCCAAAATAATAAAGACAATTCTCTCTGCTTCACCTTCAGTATAATAAGGTGGACACATCAAAAAGAGGTCTGATCTTTATTCAAGCTCCTTGAAAGTAATTCAGAAGGTAAACCCTCTGAATATCCTGAGTGACAGGAGTATCTTTGTTGTTTATAGTAGACCCCTGGGACCACACCTGACAGTTTGTGCTAACCTGATAGTGGGACCAGGCAGGCACATCCAGTAGTCTTGGAATATGGCCACAGTAGAAAGACCAACCATGTGATTAGGAAGTTGAAGCTTTGGGTCACATGATATTGCCTCACCTCTGGAGAGAGGGACCTGGAGATTTTATTCAATCACACTGACAATGAATCAATCAATCGTGTTTGTATAGGGAAGCCTCAATAAAACTCTAGACACTAAAGCTTTGGTGAGAGTTGCAGGTTGGCAATACCTCTAGTGCATTGTCATGTAATGTATGTAATGTCAGAAGGGTAACACGTTCTGAGGATGTGGAAAATTCCCGTTAAGAACCCTCCCAGACTCTTCCCTATATGTTTTTTTTCCCTTGAGTGCTTTTAATGCATAATTTCTCTATAATAAACATAAATCTGAGTATAATAAGCTTCTGTGAGTTCTGTATGTCTGTTTTAGCAAATTACCAAACCTGAGGGGGTTTTTGGAAACCTTATGAACTTACAGTTGATAACAGAATTCTTGGGTAGACAAGAATTGGGTTGTGCAATTAAAAAATTTAAAGAGTGTTGATTTTATGTTAAATGTTCATATCACAAAAAAGTAAAACAAACCACAAAAGGGCATGTGGACACATTCAAAGATTATGGATATATTTACTCCCTTAATTGTGGTGATGGTTTAATGGGTAAATGCATATATGTTCGAACTCATCAAATTGTATACATTAAGCCTATACAGCATTCTGTATATCAGTTATATCTCAATAAAGCTGTTAATCAAAACAAAAAAAAGTACTCTTTAGTTTGAGTAAGCATAATACCAAAATACATGAAGATAAATGGTCTGTTTATTGACCTGGGTGCTGATTCCAAAGATGTGCTGATTTGTGAGGATCCATAGAGGAGGGAGCTTGTAGAGGGGGGATTTTTTTATACATGTATATTTTAATAGATTATATGAATATTTGTGGGTATGCAAAAAATTGCTAATTTTTTATGATGATATAAGTAAAGATAGGCAGATTTAGAGAATTTTATTTTGTCATAATTGAGTAGGAACAATTAACTATGAAGAACAGTACTTTGTTTGCTATTGTTTCCTGGATCCTGAAACCTCTCCTGGAGTCTGATCTAGGTCTTACTCGGGGAATCTATACCTATGGTTCATTCTGGACTCCAGTGAGAATCTTGGTTTCACTATGTTCTTGTATGATATTGCAGTGTCCCAATTGCATAAGGTAATTTGTTCTGGAATACACACACATAAAAATAAATGAAAACCTTACAATAAATTATTCATGTGAGTGTCTTCTTGTCACAAACAAGTTGTTCTACAAATACTGATAATATCTATCAATATTCATTTGCCCCAATAATACAAAAATTATGAGTAAGACAGGAGGAAAGCTGACCTTATAAAATATCTTCTTTCTAGTTTCAAATTATTATTTGCAGAAAAATGTAAATCATGTTGTTTAAAATGGCTAGAAGCTTTCAAAATTGCCTTTAGTAGACACTCTGACCATACATTTATTTAGAATTTTGAACTTGGTCCTTTACTGAAAATCATAATCTCTTTCTGTATTTTGATAAGAAATTAATGGAATGTAATGGGAAAGTGAATTTTAATGTGAGGGGGATTAATTTGGGACTACTATTAATTGTTTATGATAGAATTTTAAAATTCATTTTCTTAAAATGATAGAAATATGTTTAGAACTCACTAGTTAACAACAAAATGTCTGTTTCAAATTTTGCTTGCTCAAGAAATATTTAGATTTAACAATATGATTTACTCATGATTTCATTCTTGTAGTTCATGTTTTTATTATGCTATAAGAAGAATAAATACATGAATATGAAGTATACATTTCCTAGATGGCTTTGGCTCAATTTATTCATTTAAAAAGGCAAATTTTATAGGTATAGGAGCTAAAGATTAAACTTAAATTGGACACAAAAGCAGCCTCTTTCTTGAGGTTTAATATTAATAAAATTCTATAACAGATATTTACAGGAATTTTAAAATATAGTTCATCTTATTTGTGAGCTGGTACTTGGTTGACATTTTCTTGAATCACTTCCTGATGTGGCAGTAAAAGATAAATAAATAAACGAGTTGATTTTCAATCATGCGCGGAAAATTTATACTATGAAAATCTAGATTAAAATATTGTCCTTTTCACATGAGCTTTTCAAAGGTACCTTACATCTTATATATGCTTGGTTTAATATCTATAGATTTACTTGTCATAAAATTTCTAAAGATTGATGATAGTACAAAAATATAAATAATTTTACTGTTCTCTTATTGTGTTTCATTGGATTTTAACAACATTTTTTAAAGATGGGAATAAAAAATATATCTTAAGCAAGTTAGGGTTGAAATAGAATGAAAATGTTGATGAAAAAACCACATAGGGCCAGATTTTCTTTATAAATAATACATAGGCAGGGGCTTATTTAGCACTTTGTGGGACTTGTGTGAACTTATTCTATCCACTGAGAAAACTGTTTCCTGAGTACAACAAAAAGTAAGGTAAGACTAAAGGATAAAAAGAAACTTCTAAAAATAATTTTCTCACTTTCAGAAAGCACTTTATCCAATGAGAATTTCCTAACGTATGTAATAATCTTTTTACCTTTTAGAATGTTTCCTTGGTAAAGTTAAAGCATTGAAGACACAAAGTAGTCAATGAATTAAACTTTTTTTGAACAAACAAACCAAAAAACTCCAATAGTAATTGAATGAATTATTTTTTCTAACCTTTACATAAAATTATGGCTTACAGAGGCTAAGGCTATGCTAAAAACTGAAAAGGCCCTAAAACATGCCACAACAAATTCTGGATTATCTTCATGAAACTACATGCAAGGTACTAGCTCTGCTTCTAATGGAGCAATAATTTATTACATGGGTTGGTAGTAAAAAGTATGTAACTCAAGGACAGTATTATGAACATGGCTTCCACTTTCAGGCAGCGAGCAACTTCATCTTTTTTCAAACTTTCAGTGAATAATTATGTAAAATTACATGGATAGACATGAAGGTGTGCTGCCCATTTTCACTTTCAATGAATGACTGACTTTTCAGCTCCAAGAAGTTAAGTGATGTCCTTCCTGGGTAACCCACAGCCTGTGACTGAGTAAGGTGAATGTATGAAGGCCTGATCATTTCAGCCTGACAACACAGAATATTTGAATGGGAATATTCACTTCAGAGCCTTCTATTGGAATGGTCAGCATTTCTCTGTCATGCACTGCTGTTCACCTTATTTCATCCCAGTCCTGTTCCTCCCTCCTTTTCACTGGTATAAATTCTAAAAAAAAAAAAAAAAATACTTTATCCCAACTATATCTCAGTGTCTCATTCCAGAGAAGCCAGTCCGTGACAAACTGCCTAGGCTATCAGTCAAAATTCAAACAAACTCGTATTCCATTGTTCACTACTGTCAAAAACGGGATTTATCTAGAAAGTATGAAGTATTCACAAATACTGTTTAACTATTGAAACATTATAAAATATAAAAAGTATAAAAATGATATTTCTATATATTAACAATAACAATCCAAAAATTAAAATTAAGAAACTAATTTCATTTACAATAATATTGAAAAGAATAACATTCTTTGGATTTTTTTTCAGAGACAGAGTCTTGCTCTGTTGGCTAGGCTACAGTGCAGTAGCATGATCATAGCTCACTGCAGCCTCATACTCCTGGGCTCAAGGGATCCTCCGACCCTAGTCTCCTGAGTAGCTGGGACTTCAGGTGTGTGCCACCACACCCAGATAATTTATTTTTATTTTTCTAGAGATGGGGGGTGTCTCACTAGTTGCCCAGGCTATTCTCCAACTCCTTGTTTCAAGCTATCCTCCCACCTCAGCCTCACAAGTAGGTAGGATCATAGATGCAAGCCACTGTGGCCTGGCCTGAAATAAATTTAACGAAAGAGGTATAAACTTTGTACACTGACTATTACACAACAATGCTGGAAAAAAATAAGATATAATTAAATGAAATGACATTCCCTCTTCATTTGAAACTCAGCCATATAAAAAATAGCAATTCTATGCAAATGACAATCTAGAGTCAAGGTAATCCCTATCAAAATACCAGCATATGTTTTTAGGTAAATTGGCAAGTCCTTGCTAAAAATTTATAGTAAATGCAAAGAACGCAGAGTAGACAAAATCTTCAAAAAATAATACAATGTTTATAGACTCATTCTTCCTGATGTCAAAATTTACTATGGTGCTAAGTAATGAAGTGTGGTACTGGCATAAGGATACACATATAAATTAATGGAACTGAATTAATAACTTAGAAATAAACTCTTACAGACAATTGATTTTTGACAAAGGTGGCATAGCAATTTAATGGACAAAGTATAGCTTTTACAACAAACAGTAATTATAAAATTGCTCTTCATATATGAAGGGTGAATTAAGACCTGTACCACATACCGTACAAAGCAATCATCTTCAAATAAATCATAAACATAAATGTAAAAACAAAAACTATTAAACTTTTAAAGATAATGTAATAGAAAATCTTCATGGACTTGCTTAGGCAAATATTTCCTATATAGAACATCAACAGCACAATCCACGGAAAAAAAAGGTAAATTAGGCTTCATCAAATTTAAAAATATCTACACTACAACAGGCACCATTAAAATAAATGAAAAGATAATCCACAAAATGGAGAAATATATTCAAGAATCCTGTATCTGCGGAAACTCTTGTCTTCAGAATTTGCAAAGAAAGTGTACAATTTATTAATAAAAGGACAATTAAATTTAAAAATGGACAACATATTTGAATAGACATTTTATCCAAGAATATAATTGTCAATAAGCACATCAAAACATGTGCAACATCATTGGTCCTCAAGGAAATATCAATTAAAACCATAGTTTAATCTCATTCATTAGAATGGCTATAATCAAATTAGCAAGTATATTTAGTGTTGACAAGGACGTAAAGAAACTGGTACACTTATACATTGTTTATGAGAATGTAAGTACTGCAGCTCCTGTGGAAAACTTATTGAAGTTTTGTGAAAACTTAAACATTAATCTCTCTTAAGTTCCAGTAATTCCTCTTCTAGATATCTAACCAAGAGCAATGAAAACATATTTTTACGTAGACTTGTACACAAATTTCTACAATGTTGTTATTCATAATAGCCAAAATAACCCAGATAACCATCATTAGTTATAAAACTCTAATATGCCTAAACAATGGAATACTATACAGCAATAAAAAATGATAAAATATTCCTACATGCACCAACATAAATGAAACTCAAAAAATTATGGTAAGTGCAAAAAATCTAAATTAATATCCAATTGATTTTTTTTAAATGTCAAGAGATTAAGCTAGATGCTGGATTATGGAAAGCTTGGGAATGCAGGAACAAATTATGAGCCTCATTTTCTAATGGGGATCCTGGGACCAGACGTATTTTAGATTAATTCAACCTATCTTTGCTAAAGAGATGTCTTAGTATTTTGGGAGGAGGTTAGGAAGGAGGGAAGGGATTCAATCTGCACCTGGAAATCTTGGCTATAACATATAATTATGAAAATAAGCAATTTATATAGTTTCTTAGAAACTTAGTTTTATCAGGAGAAAAAAATGTGAATAAGACCATCTGATTTATTTTATCATTTGCGAGTATGACAAAATATAAACATATGTAAGGATACCTTTAGGAAAGTTTAGAAATTATATAATGATAGCTACTCATTTTTATATTGTGTCTTTTTCAATTACACAAAATTTGAATGTTCTATCTCAAATTTATGATGAGTAGTGTTTAAATATAAACATAAAGTCATAATGGATTAGGTATATTTTTAAACTTTAGATTTATATCTGCTGAATTGTACTTCTATATAGCGTTACACTTTTTATATTTAGTTGTGACTTAATTTAACATGTGTTATTTCAGTAAACATTTAATAAGCACCTGCTATGCATTCTGATGGGTACTTGTAATAAATTAGTCAACATAAAATAGAAATAAATCCTATATCCATTAACTTTCTGGACACGAAGTTTGAAAATAAAGTGATTACAGTATAGTGTGAGTACTACTAGAATGAAATTTTGATGAGAACACATGAAAACAATTGATAAATGCTCTTCACTCAGCTTTGGTAAACAATGTGATGACAAGCATGAGTTCTGTCACATATGAAGCATGAGGGAGATTCTAAAACAAATGGGCCAAAATTATGAAATGAATACAAATACAGTCTATAGAAAATTGAAAATATTATGTTTGCAGTGTAAAATAAAATATTTAGTAATAGTCAGTTGGGAAGAAAACTGTCATAATACCATGAATAATCTTTTAATGCCATGATAAATATTTAGGTATATGTGCATGTTAGAAATCTCACTGAATTTAGCAATCATCCAGTAGACTAATACTGCCCATAAATTATTAAACTAATATTCAGATATGTTAATTGAGACATTCAAATATACATTTTTACTACAACTATAACTTATATTTCTTTTCCGTATTTCCTGATCATGCACCAACATTCAAGTATTTATGATACACTTTTTTGTTCTATAAAAGTACATGTGTATGGTCTTCATTATTTGGTATGGTTTGGCTCTGTGTTCCTGCCCAAATCTCACCTCGAATTATAATCCTCATAATCCCTATGTGTCAAGAGTGGGACCAGGTGGAGGTAATTGGATCATGGGGGCAATTTCCTTCATGCTGTTCTCAAGATAGTGAGTGAGTTCTCAAGAGATCTGATGGTTTTGTAAGTGTGTGGCATTTCCCCTGCTTGCACTAGCTCTGTTCTGCTGCCCCAGAAAGAAGGCGCCTGCTTTTCCTTTGCCTTCCGCTATGAGTGTAAGTTTCCTGAGGCCTCCCTAGCAATGTGGCACTGTGAGTCAACTAAACCTCTATTCGTTATAAATTACCCAGTCTCAGGTATTTCTTCATAGCAGTGTGAGAACGGACTAACACATTATTATTATTTATTTAAAGTTGAGATTTAAGTTAGTTAATGATGTATGTCTATATGAAAGCTTAATATAAACCCTTAGGTTTTCTATAAAGTATCCAAATATTTAAAGTATAATTTTTTCACTAAAACATCATTTTATATCTATGTAATTTAAAAAAATAATTGTAAACCTAGTAGAAAATTAAAATATTTGTGCGAAAATATATGATTATTTGTTTCTGCATTAATAGTGAATAAAAATTACTTTTTATGACCTAAGAATAACATTAAGAATTTATCACCATGCAAATTCTCTTGACATTTTCTGCAGATGATTGCACAGTATTAACTCATCAATGAATGACATTCAGTGAATCATAAAGCACTTAACTTGAACACAGACAATAGAGTGTTCATAAAGTTCCTCTTTTTTAATCAAACAATATGTGTGTTCATATTTTTCAAATTTAAGTCAACACTAAATTAGTGATAGAGAAAAAATTATGTTAGCTTTATTCAGAAATGCATTTTGTGACTCTGAATTTAAGTATGTAGTTAATATCTGCCTATTGTCTGATTTTTAGGCTTGATTGCAATTCTAAAAATATATTCTTCTTACGGTTCTGCACTTATTAAAGCTGGAATGTATATTATAACAGGTTAGTATATTGATTTAAGTAGTAAATATCAACTTTATATGTCTTTCTCTGTTAAATATGTAAGCAGAAAATAGTTGCTGTTTTGATAAACACAATACTAGTTCTTTACAGCTGTTTATATGTAGCAACAGTTTGACTTGTAAAATCTGCCTTGAATATTTACTGGCACTGCATTGCTTGTTTGGCATGTCTTTATCAAAATGATCTATGTGATGGTTTATGAAACTCAATTTGTATCTAATCAATATTTTAATTTTAATCATGAAATCACAATTTTTTGTCAGCTAATTCTGTTTTCTTAGGAGCTGTTAATACCAACCAAAAGTGATACTAAGGACAAAATTATATTTAATCTAATGTATACATTTTAAATCCCCCATATTTCCCAGCCTTTCCACTCATCCTTTGAATGAATAACCTTTCCATCCACAATCCCTTCTTGTAAATAATCAGAATAGATATCTGAAGTGTTTGAGATAGAGATGGGGATGGAATTATGGCTTATATTCACTTGTGCACAAGAAGAAGAGTTGCTCTCATTTTATGGTGGTGTGTACCTGGATATTTATGTCAGCAGATAAAGACTAGGAGAAAAATGAAGTGTCACCCTCTCCACTTTAAATCGAACAAGGGTATTTTGTAAGGATTTAAAGTGAATGTTTCACAAATTTTTTTAAATTTGTTTTTTGATTTTTAATTTTTATGGGTACTTAGTAGGCATTTATATTTATGGGGCACATGAGATGTTTTGATACAGGCATGCAATGTATAATAATCGCATCACAGAAGATGAAGTATTCATCCCCTCAATCATTTATACTTCGTGTTATGAGCAATCCAATTGTATTCTTTTAGTTATTTTTAAAAGTACAATTAAATTTTTGTTGATTATAGATACCCTGTTGTGTCACCAAATACTGGGCCTTATTCATTCATTCGAACTACTTTTCATACCCATTAACCATCCCTATGTCCCCCTCATTCCTCACTACCCTTCCTAGCCTCTGGTAACCATGCTTCTACTCTATCTCCATGATTTCAATTGTTTTGATTTAATATTCCAGAAATAAATGAGAATATGCAGTGCTTGTCTTTTTGTGCCTGGCTTATTTCACTTAACATAAGGGTCTTCAGTTTCATCCATGTTGTTGCAAATGACTGAATCTCATTCTTTTTTATGGCTGAATAGTATTCCATTATGTATAAGTACCACAGTTTCTTTATCGATTCATCTGTTGATGGACACTTAGGTTGCTCCCAGATCTTGGCTATGGTGAACAGAGCTGCAATAAACATGGAAGTGCAGATATCTCTTCAATATATTCTTTTTTTTCTTTTTTGCATACACCCATCAGTAGAAATACTGGATTATATGGTAGCTCTATTTTTAGTTTTTTGAGGAACCTCCAAACTGTTCTCCATAGTTGTTGTACTAATTTACATTCCCACCAGCAGTCTACCATAATTCTTTAGTCTCCACATCCTCACCAGCATTTGTTATTGCTTGTCTTTTTTATATAAGCCATTTTAACTGGGGTGAGATGATATCTCACTGTGTTTTGATTTGCATATCTCTGGTGATAAATGATGTTGAGCACCTTTTCATAAGCCTGTTTTTCATTTGTATGTCCTCTTGTGAGAAATACCTTTTCAAATATTTTGCTCATTTTATGATTGGATTATTAGATTTTTTCCCATAGAGTTGTTTGAGCTCCTTATATATTCTGATTATTGTTCCTGTGTCAGGTGAGTAGTTTGTAAATATCTTCTCCCATTCTGTCGGTTGTATTTTCACTTTGTTGACTGCTTCTTTTTCTGTGAAGAAGCTTGTTAGCTTGACATAATTCCATTTGTCCATTTTTACTTTGGTTGCCTGTGCTTGTGGGGTAATCCTCAAGAAATCTTTGCCCAGACTAATGTCCTAGAGAGTTTAATCAATGCTTTCTTGTAGTAGTTTCATAGCTTGAGGTCTCAAATTTAAGGCTATCATCCATTTTGATTTTATTTTTGTATATTGTAGGAGATGGGAGTCTACTTTCATTCACTCCCTTGCTACCACCTATGTTCACTCAAAGCCCTGGAGCTTTGAAATCTACAAGTGGCAAAGCCAGTCAGGCCTATACCATTCCCTTCAAGATAGTGAGTTTCCCCAGGTCCCAGGCAGGTCCAGAAAAACTGTCCAAGAGCAAGGGACTAAAGTCAAAAACCTTAGAAGTCCACCTGGTGTTCTATTGTACCGTGGCTGAGCTGGCACTCAAACCATAAGATGCAGTCCTTCTCACTCTTCCCTCCCCATTCTAAAGGAAGAGGAGCCTCACCCTGTGGCCACCTCCACCTGAGGTTCAAGAGGAGACTATCACTGATGTTCCCTCAAGGCCCTAGGGCTCTCAAGTCAAATTGTTGTGAAAACTACCTGACCTAGGTCTCACCTTTCAGGGAAGGGGTCTCCCCTCTGACACAGGGCAGGTCCAAAAATGCTGTAAAAGAGTCATGTCCTGGAATCAGGGACCTTAAGAGCCCACTTGGTGCTCTACCCACCTGTGGCCAAGCTGGTACCAGGTGCAATAAAAAGACTTCTTTACTTTTCCCTCTGCTTTCTCAAGCAGTATTCTTGCCCCATAGCCACCACAGCTTGGAATGTGCTGAAGCTCACCTGAGGCCAGCAAGTCTCAGCATCTCTCCCATGGCTCTCAATGTAGTACCTGGCTATTGTTACTTGTTATTCAGGACCCAGGGGCTCTTCAGTTAAGAGGTAATGAAGCCTCCCAGGACCAGGTCTTTCTCTTCAAGGCAGCAAAGTTCCTATCTGGGCCAGGGTGTGTCTAAGAATGTCATTTGAGAGCCAGGGTATGGAACAGGCCTCACAACTCTGACTAGTGTCCTATCCTACTGTGGTTAAGCTGGTATTCAAAATGCAAGACATAGGCCTCCCCACTCTTCTGTCTCCTCTCCTCAAGTGCAAGAAAGTGGGCTTTATTGGAGCTGTAAGCTGAGCAGCCTAGGTTTAGGGGAGGGGTGATGCCAACATTCCCTTACCCACCCTGGCTGGTGTTTCAATAGGTCATGTGCCCCCAGCCCTGCAACCCCAACCCCCTGCCACCCAATCCACTGTCTCTGGGCTCAGCTCAGCCCTGGGACTCATCTAGGTGTAGGCCTTTCAGGTTTATTTGGAGCTCCAGATCCCATTAGCCCATGGTGGCAAGGCTTAGGGGAAATCAAGTTTCCATTGCTGGGATTGATGATTCCCCTCTGGGTAGGGCTGGTTTAAATGCACCCTCCATGGGCAGGTGTCAGCGAAGTTTGGTCCCATTTTGTTTTCTTCGGTAACAAAGACAGCACTGAGTTCAATGCCTCACAATTGCTGGCTTTCCCTCTCCCTAGGGCACACCATGCTGCTGTTGCCAGGGCATGAGGGAGGGGTGGCATCAGCAATTCAAGACTTTTTCCACCTCTTCAGTGCCTCCTTCAGTGACATGAATTGAAACATTGTGCTGTGAGTTATCACCCAATCTTTGGTTCTTACAAAGGTGTTTGTGTGTGTGTGTGTGTGTGTAGATAGTTGTTAAATTTGTGTTCTTGCAGGGGGACAATCAGTGGAGCCTTCTATTCTGCCATCTTGCTCCTCTTTCTCACAAGTAAATATTAATTCACTCAGGTCATCTGTTTTCCAATTAGTAAAACCTTCAACTCTAGTTGTTGTTTATATGTTCACAATTCATGTCAGTCTATCCAAAACTCCGCACCATCTTCTTATGTATTTTCACAGAAAGTGCTAAAATTGAAATACTGGCATTCTTAATTTAAGTGACTTTGCTTAATATAATTGTATTTCTCATCTAGGTTTCAAGAAGTAGAATTTCCTAACACATATACATGTTAATGTAATTTAATAAGAAATAAAAAATCAATGATTATCTCTATCAGCATATTGTTTTTCTTCCCATGTTCAGTATTTTAGTTGGCAATAACCTCCAAACTAGAGCTCTGTGATTTGTATTTCACTGCTATATCCTATGGATTCAATATTTTTATATACTTTTTCTTTTCATTTGTATGTTCAATGTTTTTCTCATCATTGCCCTTTGAAATAGCCACCCCATCATCTTCTGCTTATTTTTCTCTCCTCTTCAAATGATGTTTTGTATTCTACTCATCGCCTTTTACAAATCTGATCACCAATCATTTAATCTCCTACCACTGTGTGTTTTTCTAGGTCACTCTGCCAAACTGCATATATATGACCCAGCTCTCCTCTGCCCTGATCCACTTCTGCTTCCCCTCTCTTCTTTACCTTCCACACTGCTCATTCACAGTATTCATTTTTTTTTAACCCATTGTGCCTGAGGAATGATCTACCAGTTTATCTGGAAAATCACCAATCATCACCCATGCCCAATACAAAAATTCCATCTTTAATGAAATATTTGAGTTTCAAAAAATAATTATTATTCATTGTTTTCCAATCACTATTACTTATAATAAAACTATTATTTTTTATAGTTAATTTTTATATCTTTTCCATGTTTTTCTAAGTTTATTTCCAGCAAGGTTTATTTTCTAACCATGGGGGGTTTTTGTTTGTTTTTGTTTGTGTTTTTTGGTTTTTTTTTGAGACGGAGTCTCACTCTGTTGCCCAGGCTGGAGTGCAGTGGCATGATCTCAGCTCGCTGCAACCTCTGCCTCCCAGGTTCAAGTGATTCTCCTGCTTCAGCCTCACAAGTAGCTGGGACTACAGGCGAGTGCCACCATGCCCAGCTAATTTTTGTATTTTTAGGAGAGACGGGTTTTCACCATGTTGGCCAGGATGGCCTCGAACTCCTGACCTCGTGACCTGCCTGCCTCGGCCTCCCAAAGTGCTGGGATTACAGGTGTGAGCCACCGCACCCAGTTCTAATTGTGTTTTTTAAAATCCCTGGTGCCCAATATAGAGTCTTTAATGTACTAATAAATGAATGTTCATTAAAAATAATTGAATGTGAATCATTTCTGTAACTTGCGCTCTAAAAGTGGTTTACCTTTAAAGAATATTACCAGAATAATATGAAAGTATACTTGGATGATTATTTTTTAATGATAGATGATTGTTTTGATATTGTGTTTTTTTCACCATGATAGAATAATTTTAAACATACTAAGTTCTCCACATACTGGGTTTGATTTAGTTTTAGTAATTAATTCATTGACAGTTATTGTGTTCTCATGTGTGTATATACATATATATAATTTGAGAAGAGGAGACTTCCTTTTGAAAGTTGCTTTTGTCATTGGCTATTAATGAAATACTTTTAATATAGGCAAGTGGTATATTAAAACCATGAATATATCAGCTATTCACAACATAGATGAAAAATGTTTGTTATACTATAATGTCTAATAATCAGCATTATTAAAAATCCTTTCAATATATTGTCTAAAAATGCTGATTATTAGACATCATGTTATAATGTCTAATAATATATTATATGTATTATATATAATGTCTAACATTTTAAAAAGTCTAATATACTATAATGTCTAATAATCAGCATTATTAGACATTCTTTCAATATGTTGATATTATTAAATCAGTCAAAATCAATCACTCAGAAAGGAGCCACTCTGTACAGGTCACACAGGGCTGAATTCACTGGCATCAAATATATTGTTTGGGAAAATAAACAAATAACTACATTAAAGAGACAATATGTTCCAAAAGACCAAGTTAAGTCCACTCCCTTTAGTTTTGCAAGAGATGGGGATTCAAATCTGTAACACAATCAGCAACAAAATATAAAGATAATTTCTCTATATATTTCAAATAAGAAGATAGAGTATCTAGCCTAACATTATGTATTGTGCCAGACAGGCAGCCAAGAAGTACTAGCTGAAGGAATGAATGATGATAGAAACACATTGTTTGTATTTAAATTAATCAATAAATATCAGGGTAATCTGAAAATTGCCTTTCAGAGAAATGAGGTTTTCTGGGATTATGATTGCAAAATTTCATTGACAAGAGGTTAACTCCCCGTGCTGCTAACAAATCAAGCAAATAAAATTTCTGAATTTCTAGTTATTTTAAGCATATTTTTAATTTTACCAACTTTCAGCTTCCAGAAAATTTGGCAGAAGCATTTAGCATTACCTTGGAACATTCTAACTGAATTCTGATTCCAGCATTTTTAAGGATACTGAAATTCTGCAACAAAATACTGTGTTAGGTTTTTGGAGCCCATACTTTTACTGTATCATGAAGGTAAATTTATCTCTGTTGCCTACCTCACAAAATTATTTTGAGAATTATATGATGTATTGACAAGGTCAAGGTAAACTGAATTTTATCATTTTGGACATTATAAAACCACCTATAATAATCATATTTCTGTGTGTGTGTGTGTGTGTGTGTGTATTTGTATATATTTGTGAAATATATTAAAATTTATACAAATTATTTAAAGATGGATTTGTACCAGGTAATGTTTCAAAATGCATATACTATATAGCTCTTAGTCCATCTTCTCTTGCTTGTAAGAGAATACCTGAAACAGGGCGATGCACATAGTAAAGGATTTATTTCTTACATTTATAGAGGCAGAGAAATCTAAGGTTGGGGAGCCACATCTGGTGAGGGCATTCTGGCTGTTGGAGACTCTGTAAAGTCTCAAATCTGGGCAGGACATCATATGGCAAATAGGCTACATACTAGGTAAGCTCTGTATTCCTCGTTTTACAAAGCTACCACTCTCACCCCCATGTTAACCCTTTAATCTACTAGCTCATTAATCCATCAATTCATGATTGAGCCTTTATGACCTAATCACCTCTTCCAAGCCCTGCCATTCAATACTGCCACATTGATGATTGCATTTTAACATGAGGTTTTGGACATTACCTTTCAATCCATAGCACCTCTGTATTTTAAATTAAAACTTATAATTAAAAAATAATTTTGAAAATAGAAAGTCTATTTGTATTATAAATAAATTATATAATTTACGATGCTTGCCTTAAGTAAAGAGATATAATGGTGTATATGAATGGTGGAGTTTTGTATTTTCTTTAATTTTTTATACTTCTTTTTAATTTTTTATTTTACATTGAGTTTTTTTTTTCTTTTTCTTTTTTCTTTTTTTTCCTTTTGAGACAGAGTCTCCCACTATTGTCCAGGCTGGAGTGCAGTGGTGTGATCTCTGCTCACTGCAACCTCTGCCTCCCGGGTTCAAGCAATTCTCCTGCCTCAGCCTCCCGAGTAGCTGGGATCACAGGCACCCGCCACCACGTCCAGCTAATGTTTGTATTTTTAGCAGAGACGGGGTTTCACCATGTTGGTCAGGCTGCTCTCAAACAACTGACCTTGTGATCCTCCCGCCTCAGCCTCCCAAAGTGCTGGGATTACAGGCATGAGCCACTGGGCCTGGCCTGAGTTTATAATAATAAAAAAATCTTATATTATGGTTAGTACTAAATACGTATTTGTTAAGCTGTTGTTTGATGTTATTATATGCCCTAGACAAGTTTTGGATGATTTGGGGAAAGCCAACTCCCAAGTGCCGTGAACCTGGGGAGATTTTTTAATTTGCAGGGATTTACATAAGTGTAATTAGAAGCCCTGGCATACCTCTCTATTTGCAGGTGGCCAAGAATCTCCCGGAAGAGAGCTTATTAAACACAGGCCACACATGGGATTCAGATAGAGACAGATTTATCTGAGGGACTAAGGTTAATAAATGGGGTCGTAACTTACGGAAGAAAAATATAGATAATGAAATAAAGTCACATAAGTGAGGGAGTATTCTAGCATTCAGATAAGCCTTAACTTTAGGACCGGTATATTGTAAGCGTAAAAACAGGTGGGCAGTAGGACCACTTGAGTAAAGAATGCCAAGAGCATTAGATGGATATCAATGTGTTGCATCTCTGATCATGCAGGGGCAAAATGCCCCTCCACAAGTAATTACTGTAGTTTATAAGTTATTTGGAAGATGAGTCTGAGGAAAGTATAGAATTATTTATAATTTACTGGCAATCTAACATTTTGGAATATTGTATTAACATGACAAAATTATTTTCAACAGAAAGTCACCATAAGTATGCAACAGTTATGAGATCATATGAATTATTTATAATCAATGTATGTTTGTATTTTATGTAATTATTTAGAAAAAGTACCAATATTATATAATCAAAATACAATTAGCAAGTAAATGAAAATAGAAATTTGTTGCTTTAAATATTGTATGGAAACACATTTACAACATTTTGCCAAAAGTTACTTCCCTGGAGTGTTACATAAGATGCTGTCTAAGACTAGCTAACAACAACAGTGATGTTTTTTTTTTTTTTTTAAGAATTTTTATTGGGTTTTTATTGCTGTGTAGCACATTACCAAAATCTTAGCATTTTAAATCAAATAACATTTACTATCTCACAGTCTTTGTGGGTCAAAAAGTCTGGACACAACTTATCTTGCTCCTCTGAAAAGGTATCTTCAACATGTTGACTGACTAGGGCAGGGTTCTCATCTGGAAACTCAATTGGAGGTAAATCCTTCTGTAAGTGCACTCAGGATGTTTGCAGAACTCTCCTTACAGTTGAAGGGCTGAGGTCCCAAGTTATTGCTGGCTGTTGTCCAGGGCCTGCTATCAGCTCCTAGAAATCTCCAGCAGTTTATTGGCTTGTGGTTCTCTCCATAGACTCTTTCACTAAATGGCAGCTTTATTCTTTAAGCTAGGGGGATAATAAGGCCCATTTTCACTAGCAAAATGGAATCTTATAAAGTATGACATCACAGGAACAATCTTTCCTAATGTTTGCCAAATTCTATTGTTTAGACAAAAGTCACAGCTTCTGTCCACACTCAAGAGGAAGAGATTATAAAAAGACATGAACACCTGAAGTCAGGAATCATTTTTGAGTCATTTTAGGGTCTATCACAGTTATGAACTATCAAGTGACAAAACTTGATTGTTTTCTTACTTCACTTGGAGAAGATATCATGGTCAATCTTAATTGCTAATTAAATCAATTTGTGTATTTTAGTTAAAGTGAAAATCCATGTATGAAGCACCATCAGCCATTTACAGTAAAAAAAGTTCTAGGAAAATACAAGTGTACTTTAGACCACTCAAATAGGAAACATTTTCTAAATAAAAATCAAATCACTATTCTTACCCCAGTTGTACTGCTAACACAGAATACCTGAGACTGGGTAATTTATAAAGAACAGAGATTTATTTCTTACAGTTCCAGAGGCTGGGAAGTCCAAGGTCAAGGGGTCCACATCCAGCAAGGACCTTCTTACTTTGTCATCCCGTGGTGGAAGGCAGAGGGGCAAGAGCAGGTGAGAGTGTATGAGAGAGAGGAAATTCTTTTTCCTCCTTTTTTTTTTTCTCCAGGCTCCCTGCCAATTGGATGGTATCCACACACATTAAGGGCAGAGGCCAATCTCCTTCAGAAACATCCTCATAGACACACTGAGAATACCAGCTAAGTATTCTTTAATCCAGTCAGTTAACACCAAAATTAACCATTACACCAATGTTGTTCTAAAAAAAAAATATATATACATGATTTTCTGAGTAACAGCTTATTTTAACAAGGTTAAACAAACGTACACAAGGCACCTTGTCCAAAAAGCCACCTAAAGTATTTTTTCTTACAATTGTCTATTGCTAGATATTATGGGTATAATCTCTTGGCGGTGGCCACTGGAATGTATGTTGGTATTTACTTAGGAAAGTATCTGTGTTGGGCTACATGCAAACAAAATAATCTTCCAGGAGAACAGTCTGTGAAGAAAGGAAAAGAAACGAAAGAAGTCATAAGGACTATGAGAGACAAACAGGAATAAAGAAAGCATACATATTCTGAGAAAGTAGAAACTGACCTCAACAACTACAGTTTTCTAGGTCCTCTTCATCTTAAGCATGGATAAACATTGGCTTGAAATCCTAATAGGTTTTCTTTCATGTTTTTACACTATTCCTCTACTCCTTTATTTGAGCTAGCAAAATAAATCACCATACCTGACAAACAAAGCTCTTTGAAGTAGTTTGATATTTAAAGGACAAAATTCTAATAGCACATTTATCTTAATATTTCCCTGGAATAAAAATACTTGGAAAAGTTTCATCAAACTCTAATGTAAATTTGATTTTGTCTGCACCAAAATATTACTTCTTCATAAATGTCTCTTCTAATCGTTCTTTTAATTTATACTCCTATTTTTTCTCTCATAATTCATATTTTCTCCATCTGTATTACACCTTATAATAGCAATTACTCCTTTTTAAAAATGTTTAAATAATCATTTGTGTGTGTGTGTGAGAGACTCACTTCTCAGGGAACTAGTTAAGGACCTTGTAAAAATTAGACAAAAAGTACACAAATATGTAAGCAACTTAATGTGAAGTAATGATTATTAGTATGAAATAAACTATAACAGTATAAGAAACCAATGTTTTAGATGGGGTTGCTTTTGGGAATAGGTTTTCTATGTGCCTTTTTTGCTATTGTAGAGTTTGTTTAATTCATTAATACTTGAAAACTTGTTGGTATTTGCATGTGGGTGTATGTGTGAGTATGCAGATATCTGAAATCTGCTTATATAACATTGTATCCTGACATTATTCCTTTATAATTCTGCATATATCTGACATCTTTCAGAAAATTGCTGTCTTATCTAAACCAGGTTAACCATAACCCTATATTCCCCAAAACTTCTGCTTTACAGCTGTAGTAGAATTTATCACTTTATATGATAGTTGTTTCTTTACGTATTTTCTCCATTAAACTAAGTTCTTTGTAGGCAGAGATAATAATTACATTGGTTTTGTACATATAAAAATAGTGAGAAGATCCTTATTTCAGTGTTTGGGTATTTTAACTACTACAAAGGCACTAATTGTTCCTATTCATAATTAACTATATCACAGAACATTTTAATAGAATATGTTTAAAACTCACTGAAACACTATTTGAGGCAAGTACCCTAGGAAGCCAGCAGGAAGCATGCCCATCTGTGCCCTTGGAGACAGGCCTGCAGACTGCACACCCTAAAGAACCCTTGTAAGTTAGTCCCAGTACCTTTTAGCCACAGTCTTGGGCCAGTCTTGACCAACCACAGACCTACCAAAGGGCATAGTGAGAGCCTCACCTATCCATGCACCTGGTATTAGACCCCCCACCTGCTGAGCAACTGCAGACTTTGAAGCAGGCCCTTGTCCCAGTACTTGCCCTACTGAACAAGGTCTTGGAGGCAGCCAGCCTGTCAAGGTCCAGACAGGATCCACAGCTGCCCTAGTACCTGGTAACAGGTTTGCCAAACAAAGAACTAACTGCAGACCCACCAAAAGCCGCATCAACCAGCTTTGACCACACTTTATTATGATTACAGAGGCAATTGCATCATCCCAGGAACCTGAAAGGAGAAGGCATTTTCCTGCTGAAAGAAGTTTCTAAACACTGGAAGAGGTGTTTGCTCCTTCCAAGGCATAGACATCAATGTAAGGCTAGATGAATCATGATAAATCAGACAAACATGAAACTACTAAAGGAAACTAATAAAGCCCCAGTAGTAATCAACACCAAAGATATGGAGCTTTACAGATTGCCTGACAAATAATTCAAAATATTCGTCTTTAAGAAGTCCAATGTGATCCAAAAGAACATAGCTAGATGACTAAATAATGTTCAGGAAAACAATACATGAACAAAATTAGAAGTTTAATGAAAAAAATAGGAACCATGAAAAGGAACCACACAGAAATTCTGGAGCTGAAGCATACAATGGCATAACTGAAAAAAACAATCGATGCAGATCTTCAGCAGCAGAATCAATCATACAGAATAATCAGGAAACTGGAGGATAGATTAGGCCAGGAAGGGGTAGGATTATCTCAAGTGATAACAACAACAACAAAAAAAGCAAGCAAACAAACAAAAGCCTGTCAACCAACAAAACTATATCTAGCAAAGCTGTTCTCAGAAATGAAGGAGAAGTAAAGACATTTTTAGAGAAATAAAAGCCCCTTTTTTGGTGACTTCTAGGGAGTTCATCACCACTAGTCCTGCCTTACAAGAAATGCTAAAGAGAGTTCTTCAAATTGAAACTAAAGGACACTAAGTAACAACATGAAAACACATGAAAGTATAAAAGTCACTAGTAGAGGTAAACCTATAATCAATTTCAGAATATTCTCATATTGTAATAATGGTGCATAAGTTATGTTTACAGAATATAAACTTTCAGTTATATGGTTAATAAGTTCTGGAATTCTAGCATGTAGTATAGTCACTGTAGTTAATAATATTTACTTCAAATTTGTTAAGATCATTGATTTTTCCATGGCTAACATTGTTTTATTTATTTTATTTATTTTTTACTCATTTTTAACAAAATCCCATACATTTCATTAGCAAATTGTTCAGTATGTATCTCTAAAAGATAAAGACTCTTTAAAGAATTATAATATAGCACTCTTTAACCTATAAAACTATATAGTCAGTATTCACAATTTCTCTATTGTTGAAATGTGATTTTTAAAATAGATTATTCTTCACATAAGTGCCATACACTGTAATCGGCTAATATGTTTTTTACTCTCTAAATTTATAGGTGCTTCCTCAATTTATTATTGTTTTAAAATATCTACCTGCAGTTCGTTGAACACATCAATTTTTAATTGATACGTGCTATTTACATATTTACAATATTTTGTTACATGCATAGAATGTGTAATGATCAAGTCAGAATGTTTACTTCTCCTTGAGTAATTAGCATTTTTATGTGTTGGGAATATTTCAAGCCCTGTCTACTAACTATTTTGAAATATACAATACATTGTTTTTACTGATAGTCACCCTATTCTGCTAACAATGAAACTTATTTCTTCTATCTAACTGTACGTTTGTACCATTAACCAGACTCCAGAGAGTAGGTCTTAAGGGTTTACAATAGCAACAACATAGGACAACTATGTGAGATGATGGATGTGTTAATTAACTTGATTATGGTAATTATTTTACAATGTATATAAAACATCATGTTTTGCATTTCGAACATATACAATTTTTATTTGTCAATTGTACCTCAGTAAAGCTGGAAAAATACTCTGAGAAGTGTCCCATCTATTCTCTAATTATATAACATTGTCACTGACTTGATAGCCATGATAGATTTGCATGGTTGTACCTTCACTATTTAAAAACTGATATGCCTGGTGCGGTGACTCACACCTGTAATACCAGCACTTTGGGAGGCCAAGGCTGGTGGAACACCTGAGGTCGGGAGTTTGAGACCAGCCTGACCAACATGGAGAAACCTCGTCTCTACTAAAAATACAAAATTATCCAGACGTGGTGGCACACGCCTGTAGTCCCAGCTACTCGGGATGCTGAGGCAGGAGAATTGCTTGAACCTGGGAAGCAGAGGTTTGCGGTGAGCCAAGATCGCAGCAGTGTACTCCAGCCTGGGCAACAAGAGTGAAACTCCATCTCAAAAAAAAAAAAAAAACAGATAGCTAATGTAATAAATTGTTTAATATTTCAAAAGATTAAACATTTTCTTGGCAGAAACACATTGATGTTTAATTTTTACTTGTTTATTAATACAATATTTTTAAAGACCTTACATTATTTTATGCCATATATTTCTTTGTCATGGTTTTTAGTCTCATTTATATTTCTATAAAATGTAAACATTAGTCATATATATTTTACTTCCTTACAAGTGAGTTTTCCCTTTGAACACCATTTTTAATATCTCTAAAACTTATAAAAATTTCACATAGTTTTTTCTCATAGTTATGTTATTTATAGGTATGTGATTTGATAAAAAATACAGATCTTAGGTTGTCCCAATTCAAACAACTTGCCTGGATTTTACAACTATTTAATATACATGCATGTGCATGTCTCTGTGTGTGTGTGTGTGAGTGTGTGTGTGTATGTGTGTGTGTGTATCACCCCTTAGATCTTTTTACTCCTGGCTTGTTCTCACCTTTCTGGTTTCTACATACATGGCATAAATATACCCTTTACAAAGAGACTCTGTTTTCTTAGAGACACTCTAAGGGATTTGCCTTTGATTGTCTTCATCAAAGAACCCAATTTATTTCTTTCATGAAACTAATGATGATTTTTTATTTAAATAATGTATTTATTTAAATGCTTTAAGTAATTGTTTTCTTTTTTTCCTCACTATAGCATGTGCTTAACGGAGAACAAGGACACCGTCTGTCATGTTCTCTCTTGCACCCTATCAATTCGCACAGTATGCGGTACATCTGTACATTGGTACAATAAATATTGGGTGATGTATTGATTAATGAGAAGAAAAGTACCTGAAATATATTGAAATTAAGGCTCTGAGAATGGGGAAATTGTGCCCTTTTGCTTCCATATCCACAGTCAACCTGTCTGAAGTTTTAGATGGCGTTAGAAGAGTCGCTCCTGTAATATATGGGAAAAAAAAGTGTGTGCGTCTGTGTGTGTGTGTGTGTGCATGTAAAAGGAGAAAAGAAATAGAATAGGTATATTTAAATAATTATGAGATAGTCTAAATTGCCTTTCTAAACATTCCTAGTTCACCAAACATTACTTCTGGGGTTTCTGGAGGGAATGTGAGCCTCCCGAGCTGTAAGAGAATGAATAAACGAAGTTTTTGCCTTTGACCCCATAAATACAGACAAAAACAATACTTTCAGAGATACTATGCTTTCATGGATTCCAATGTAATGCTGTTTAAGGCCTGATATATCTTTGGTGCTCAAAACTTTTGGCAAATCTTTTCTAAATGGAGATGTATTATATGAAAATATCATTGGAAGAATCTCTTCTCCTGATGGATTTCTCTGAATTGTACTTCTTTTTTTCTTGTAAAACTCTCCCTCCTTTTGTAGGCAGGCTTTTTTTTTTCTTTTATTTTTGTAAGAATTCTGCACCATTTTGTACTCAAATATAAATTTTATTTTATTTTAAAGTTGATTTAAGTAACAACAAAAGTAAATAAGTAAATACAAAATTTAAAAACTTGATAACATAGAGCAGTTTCTTCATCCTATTCAGTTGACTTCTCAAAGAATGGAGAATAATTTTCTTAAGAACAAATTCATGTCTCAGTTCTTTCATTTGTGTCCATCCTTTAGTGCATCCTTTGTATCAATGCTATATGTTGTATTCTGTGGTGAAATAGACAAAGATAATTATTGACCTTTAACAAAAGTTAAGGCTGTAGTGAGGAATTTAACATTGTTTTGTGTGTGAGAGAATTAGAGACACCTGAAACTGACATATATAAAAAAGCACCATTTTAGAGTGCTTGAAAAAAAATAATTAGTAATTCTGATCTTGTCTTTATTAAAAATATTGGCATTTGGTTCATTGTTTTTAAACAATATCTTATAATGTTACTTATTCTGAATATTAGTTGTATGTGTGTCTATTTCCTTAAATATTGTGATGCTATCACCTCATTCATGTCACATTAGTCCAAGGAAGAAAGGAAATGAAGGAGGAAGGGAGAAAGGGAGAAAAGAGAAAGAAAAAAGTTCAGATGAAATAAATATATAAATAGTTGTTATAGTGGGTTCAATCATGGCCCCTAAAAGATACATCCAAATCATCCTATAATCTGTAAATATGACCTTATTTGGAAAAAGAATCTTTGAAGACATAATTAATTGAGGATAATGAAATGAGGTCATCATGGATTAGCTGCATCAGATCTAAATCCAATGACAAGTGTTGTTATACGAGACACGCAGAAAAGACACACACAAGGAGAGGAGGGGGAGGCTACATGAAGATGGAAGCAGAGTCTGCGACACTAGAAACTCTAAGAATTTAGATGCAGTGTGGAAACACTGTTCCCTCGGGCCTGTGAAGGGAATGTGAGACTCCAGAAATGTAAAAGAATACATTCCTTTTGTTTTTAAGCCACCAGGTTTTAGGTAATTTGTTAAAGTAGCTAGAGGAATCTAATACAGTAGTAAAGATGCATTAAGTACTATATGACATAGCATATAAGGCAATCAATTTTGCTGAAGAGTTGAGATATGCATAGTAGTTATGAAGAAAGAGGCCACCAAGATGGATCTTCAAGGATCATTTTAAGCAGCGATGTTGGCTTAGCTCACAATGTGGTAAAATTCTAAGGTTTGAGAACTGGTCAGATTTTGGATATATTTTGGGAATAGAGGTGTAAGTAGTAGATGGCAGACTAATGTGACATTTAATGTTGTCTTAGTCCATTTGTCTTGCTACAACAAAATACCTGAGACCAGGTAATTTATAAATACTATAAATTTATTTCTCACAGTTATGGAATATGGAAAGTGCATGATCAAGATGCCTACATTTAATCTGGTAAGGACCTTCTTGCTGTGTCCTCACATGGCAAAAGGCAGAAGCACAAGCTAGCCAAATAATGTGTGAAGTCCCTCTTTTAAGGGCCTTAGTTCCATTCACAAGGGAGGAATCCTCACAGCCCAATCACCTTTTAAAGGCCCTATGTCTTAACACTATCAAAATGACAGCATCTGAAATTTAAAGGGAACATATTCAAGCCACAGCAGAGGTGGAAAATTTAACAAGAATGATTACATCTACTTGAGTTTACACACTACAAAAAGAGTTGCAATTGCAGAGAAATAGAAACTTGTATTAGAAGTTCAGTTTTGGACACACTAAGTTTAAAAAGTTTAGTTGACACCTACATAATGTTGAAATAGGTAGCTGGGTATGAATCTAATAATCAGAGAGGAAAATTTGGTTATTAATGTCAGGTATTAATATTTTATGACTAAAATAAATCAATATTTATAGTTATAAAAATATTGAAATTACCAAGATGGCATAATGCATTAATAAATTGCATATTGTAGCAAACATTCATTGGTGCAAAAAGGTTAGATATGAACAAATTGTGTCAATATAAATAATGTTGACCCGATAATACTAGAACAACTCATTTTTTAAATTTCTATTAGTAATTACATTGAATTTCTCTTGTAAAATTTAATTTAAAAATAAATAACATAAAACTAGCATTTATTAATGTAGGCTAAAAAATATTTTATCTGTTTAAAAATAATTATTACACATAGAAATTAATATTGAAATTCTCATAATTATAAATTTTATAATTTTACTGCAGTCACATATTTACAATATTAATAACAGTTATATAACGAAACACATTAGACTCATAGATTGTGATGCAGACTCCTTATAGAGTTATAAATTCTGCCATGTCCTATTGTGGAAATCAGTAATTATGGTGCATGATTCCTAATGTGTTTATTTTACCATTTTGCCAAATAAATAAAAATTAAAATTGAATATTCATTTCAGGCATTTTTTCGACATAATGGAATTAGCTTTATGTTACGGCAATGTGTTATTTTATTGCAACTGTAACTTTTTAAGAAATGTTTTAAGTTTATGTACACATTAAGTCCGTACTTTGGTATGTTTTCTATTTTTAATTATAGTTATGTTTTAGTTATATTATTTAAATTGCATCAAAATTAATATTAAATCAAATTATGATAATAATACAAATTTTAAGAATTGTTGAATTTAACAAAATATGTGCAATTGTAAGGTTCTCACTATTAGAGCAATTTTTCAGAGTCAGGATGGATTCATAGCCAAAATTTGGTTTAGATATTGAGACTGATGCAACACACACACACACACACCAAGAGGAGTTAAAAAGTTTAATGACCAACATTTTGAAGCTTTGTGGAGAGAATAATGCAGGTTTCCCAAACTGGTACAAAAGTGCACCTTAGAGGAGAGACTAGGAAAAGATGATTGGATGATTGGGTTATGGTTTTTGTGGAGCTGTGTGAAGTTAGGTGCTTACGTGGTTAGACCTTCCCACCAGTGGCAAAGGAGTGAGCACCCAGGCTTTTGTATTAGCTTGCCTTTAGGTGGGGCAGAACCGGAAGAAGAGGTGAAACTTAAATGACGACAGGCAAATATGCCTAAAAACATAAAGTCAGAATCATTATTACATTTACTCTAAAGAAGAATGAGTACTAAAATTGATTTTAGAATGAGAATGTTTGTAGTTTTACCAGAAAATAAATAAGATTGTAAGACCAAAACTGTGGACTAATCTTCATCATTTCTTTGATAACTCTCACTAATGGTGCATGATTTCTTTAACGCAATTAATTATAAAATTGATAATTTTAAACACAGAGGGGTAGCATACATATTTCCAAGTAATAAAACACTATTCTGTATCTATATCTGTCTACATCTGCCTACAAATACATTTATCTAGATAGAAATTGAGATCTAGGATACAGATATAGATAACTCCCTTCCTTTTACTTTAGCTTTACAAAATCTTATTTTTAGCCTATTCTTTGTTATTTTGCATCTTTCCAAACATAAATTCTGTGTAGCTTACTGACATACACACACACACACACACATAAAGTACTTTTAATATTAATGCAATTCAATGGTAATTTATAGGTTAAATGTTGCCTCTCACTGAATTCTGCAAGTCTCAGGAACCTATGTAAAATACAACGTAGCTAAAAAAATCAATAGCATATTTAAACTCGTGATGGATAGGAATTTAGCTCTTGCTTTCATGTAACAGAGTGTTTTTCATCTGTCACCAAATCCTATGAAATTCATTAGATAATGGCACTATGTGTGTATATATATATTTGATATCTTTGGTTGGAAATTTCACACTGGAGAAAGTTTGACAATGGTAGAACATGTCTACAAAAACCAATTTGCTTACTGGTAATTGGGTACACTCCCCTTGCATTATTGAAGTTGTGTGCTTGAATAAAAGCCTTTTTTCCCCTACATTTAAGCCTTCTTTGATGATTTCTTGCTGAGAAAATGACACTAATGTCATTAATTTAGTGTTATGAGTAAAGCACTTGGCATTCAAATGCAGGTTGATAGAAGCATCTTTTTAAAAAATATTTTATTATATTTCATTATAGAATTATGAATCCTGTGTCCATCAAAATTGATTATGTGACAATGACATGCTAGGTGCAATATTGTTAACCATAATTTAAGAAAGGCAATGTTTAAAACTTTATCAGTTAACTTATCAATCACCTTTCTTCCAAGGTTATACTTAAAAGCTGATCATTAAGATGTAATACTAAAAGTATGTATGAGTTAAGTTAAAGCACATTACTAACATAAATTTCATGTATTTTACATTGCTTCTAAACCTTTTGAATTATTTGGAGTATCTTTTGTTTCTTTTCTCACTACGTAATGGTCCACGTTTGTGTCTAATAAGTGGCCTGCTTTATTTTCAAAACTTCTAATTTTATTTAGAATTAGGTATTTATAGGAGGCGGAAGCGGGTGGATCACCTGAGGTCAGGAGTTCGAGACCAGCCTGGTCAACATCATGACACCTTGTGTCTACCAAAAATACAAAAATTAGCCGGTGTGGTGGTGGGCACCTGTAGTCCCAGCTACTTGGGAGGCTCAGGCAAGAGAAATGCTTGAACCGAGGAGGCCGGGATTGCTTGAGCCAAGATCTCGCCGCTGTACTTCCAGCCTGGGCTACAGAGCAAGCTTCCATCTCAGGAAGAAAAAAAAGAGGTATTTAGGATGGTAATATCACCAGTGCTCTCTCCTCTTTAGTTATGAAGTATTTGGAACTTTTCAGAATTTCAGAGGTCTAGTACATCCTTTTATCTTTGGCATTTAAACCTACAGAGATTCAGTAATTGTTTACTTTATAGTACAGCGCTCCTAACATGAGCGTTTTGACCTAACAAAAGGGTATTTTTTTCTCCTATGCAACTTTGAAATGGGAAGAGATTGGAGTATGCTTGCTTAGTGTGATTTAAAGGGTTCTGAAAGTTTCCATTTACCAATAATACCATCTCCCCTCTAGCCTGGGGAGTATACTTGAGAATAGAAAACTCTCAAAATGGACAAAAAAACTAAAGAGTAACTTATTATTATATATTATCATGTATATATACCTAAGAGTATTAATTAGTGAAATAGATAATCAGAGTATATTAATATGTTAATAGTTTACTAGATCTTCAAACATATTTTAAATAAATTAACATGTAAGTAATTGTCAATTACTTTCCTAACTGTTCTTTTCTCATAACAGGAAATCATTCAGAAAGCTGTGCTTTTATATTAATTGTAATCAACATTTTGCACTTATCTAGATGCTGTTTTATTTATTTCCGCAATATCTTCAAAAATAAGAAAATACTTGATCTTCTTCATAGAGCTCCACAATTTCCTGGAATGCTTCAAAAGAATTTTGAAAATAAAAATATTTAGCTATATAAAATGTGCAGCACTTAATAGATTATCAGTATGCATGCAAATATATAGGCACTCATAAAACAAATTATATCAGTATATGAAAAATAAAAGATTTACTAATACCTGCAATGTAGGAAAAGGAAAAGCAAACTCCCCTTTGAAAATAGCCTTATTTAAATTGCAGCTCTTTGCTTGGACATATGCTACAAATTACTTTAAATAATTATGTTGGTACAGGCCATTGCCTACAAGACAAGTAAAATTTTCTTGTTATTGAAATGAGTAAGGTGAAGATCAAGAAAAACTACTTGTGCATTAAGGATGGAAGAAGCAGAACTGGCCTTTGACTCCGGTCCCCATGCAATTTCTTGATAGAATATTGTGATGTAAGATCTGAAGTTTGGAATGGTTGAAAGAAAAAGAGTCTTAAAATGGAGAAATAAACACCGGCAAGGTCATGCAGGATCTTTGATGTACACACATTTTGAAACACTGCATTCTTCATAATTCACAAAATGAATGCCTGGTATAACAAATAAATATACTTGATAAGTAGATTAGAGGAAGTAGAAGCCAATTGATGGTTTTAGCAGTGGAGTAACATAATCATATTTGCTAAGTAAAATGCTAACTTTGGAAAATGAACAAGACAAGACTATTCAATATTTAGTTTGAGAAGAGATTATTCTAATTTAAATCAGACCTGATAAATGTCTATTTAGAAATGTAGATAGGAATTTCACTGATGCAATTCATATCTATTTTTATGGTCTTACTTTACATCATTTAGCAATTTTCAGCAGCAATTTCCAGTTTTTATCTTTCTTCTCTAATTTACTAAAGCTCAGGTTCCTTCTATGTCTGTGCTGCATTCACATGCTCTGAGTATGCAATCTATCTCCCAAAACTCTACACTTCCTTAAAGTCCTCAACAGGATACAAACTTGCTTGGTTATCTTAGTCATGCAAATGAGTACTGAAGCATTAGCTGTATCCAGAAATATTACAATATAAATTAGTAACATCATATGACATCTAGAAGGCTCACAAAAGATTAATCAGATTAATCGAGTCTTTTAAACTGCAGGTAAGGTATCATAAAATGACCCCAAGAAATAGATGATAATTGGAAATCAAAGGAGATACAATACATGATCTGGGACCAAAGGCCTGGAAGAATGAGTGGCCCCCATTGCCGCTTCAATTGGAGAACTTTGTGGATGATTTTTACAGAACACTTTTCTTAAGTGTTTTTTTAGGGGGTTCAGAAAAAATGTCTTAAATAGTTATATTTAATAGCGATGGATATGTGTTCAGCTTTTCTGGAAATACATTACAATATAGAGAAAATCTACTTCTGATGAAGTTTTCCAATGGAATCTAAAATTGTAAAATAAATACAGTAATATTTTATTATTTTTAGTTTTTAGACTTTTATTTTATTATCTATAAATAATGTATCTTGTATTCTAACATACTTGAGTTCATTTTATGAGAAAATATATGAAAATAATGTTTTATTCCCTTGACATGTCTGAATGGGCTAAAAGAAAGCAAAGGGTATCTTTAGTAAGATGGGTAACTGGATTTTCCTAAGCCTGAAAAGAGTACTAATTTAGTATTAACCATACAGCTCTTTCCCCTTGGCATCATTCTTCCTAGTCCTTCTTTCTTGTTTTAATAAACATGTTTTAAATTAAAAGTCTTCTATTTCAAAATGTCACTCCTATAAGTATGTCAAGTACATTTAAGCAATACAAAAATAGTCAATAAGAAAATGCAAATCAAAATGACAGCAATACATCATAATCACTAGGCAGTGTGGGTGGCAAGCCACCCAGGTGCCAAGGTAAGAGACCGAGGGCACAAGCTGTTCCGGTATAATAAAATATACAGAATAAGAATAGTTATACTAGAAATATAATATAGATAAGTTTATATATGAATATTATTAATCATTAGTTTGTAGCATTACTGTTTATTCTAATATTATAATAATCTCTGTTCTACAATTATAACCTAGGAAGAACCAGGCCATACAGAGATAGGAGCTGAAGGGACACCGTGAGTAGTGACCAGAAGGCAAGAGTGTGAGCCCTCTGTCACGCCTGGAAAGGGCCACTAGAGGGCTCCTTGGTCCAGCGGTAGCGCCAGTGCCTGGGAAGGCACCCGTTACTTAGCAGACCGGGAAAGGGAGTCTCCTTTTCCCCCCTGGGAGTTAGAGAAGACTCTGCTCCACCACCTCTTGTGGAAGGCCTGATATCAGTCAAGAACACCCGCAGCCATCCGGAGACCTAAACCTCTCCCTGTGATGCTGTGCTTCAGCGGTCATGCTCCTGGTCCATTTTCATGCTCCACCCTGTACACCTGGCTCTGCCTTCTAGATAGCAGTAGCAGAATTAGTGAGAATATTAAAGTCTTTGATCTTTCTGAGAAGAGCATAGAAGAAATAATGATGTAAGCTGTCCTCTCTCCTCTCTCCGCCTCCACTACCTAACAGGGAAAGGCTCCCTCTCCGGTGGACACGTGACTCGCGTGACCTTATCAATCATTGGAGATGACTCACACTCCTTACCCTGCCCCTTTTGCCTTGTATACAATAAATAGCGCGGTCAGGCATTCGGGGCCACTACCCGTCTCAGCGTCTTGGTGGTAGTTGTCCCCAGGGCCCAGCTATCTTTTCTTCTATCTCTTTGTCTTGTGCCTTTATTTCTAGGATCTCTCATCTCCGCACACGAGAAGAAAAAACCCACGGAACCAGTAGGGCTGGACCCTACACGGATGTGTATAATTAAAAAGAAGAGACAAGCTCTGGAGACAATGTGGAGTAATTGGAACCCTCAAGTGCTGATGGTAGGATTATAAAATGTTCCAGCCATTTGGGAAAAGAATTTGCCAGTTATCAACATGTTAAACACAGAATCTCTTCCTAGGTATATATTCAAGAGAAAGAAAAGCATATATGCACCAAAAAATTAAAAAAAAAAACACTTTTACATGGATGCTTATATATGATTCATAGTAGCCAAAAATAGAAGCCACCCGAATATCCATCAACTGATAAATGGATTTGCCAAATGTCATATATTCATAAATGGAATATTATTCCAAAAGAAGAACAGAGTATTAATACAAGATGCATCATGGATGAACCCTGAAAACATTATGCTAAATAAAAGAAGCCAGTCATAAAAGATTGTATTATGATTCGATTTACATAAAATCTCCAGAATAAGCAAATCTATATATGTAGAGAGAAAGCAGATTAATGATTGCCTATGATTTCAGGCAATTGATTAGTCAATTGATTACTATAGGCAATGGTTGTCTATGACCATACAAGTAGTTGCATGTGGTAAGGAAAGGTCAATGATAAAGAGTTACTGCTAATGAATATGTAGTTTTTTGTTTTTGTTTTTTGAGTGTTGAAAATGTTCTAGAATTAGAATGTGGGGATGATATTACAACTCTGTGAAAATATTTTTAAAAACATTGACATGTACACTTTAAATAGATAAATTATATGCTATATGAATTCTTTATCAATAAATAGGTTTAAAAAGTTCCTAATGGGAAAATATAATATTCATTCAAATATTTATAGCCACATGCAAAATACATTACCTGGATTTACTTTTAAAAGTCTTCAATTACAATTTATTTCCTTAATAATTTAGCGTATTTCCTTCTTTCATTTTGTTTACCCTTTATAAACTCTAAGTTTTTCTTTCTTAGATTGTTTTGGCTAAAGATTGTTCTATTATTTAATATTTCATTTTTATACTTCAAATTTTGGACCAGAATTTTTTTTTCTCTTAAGTTTGTCTTTCATTATTTGTTTTTCACTTCTTCTCTCTGATTCTTTTTCCACTGTTTCTTCTTTCTTGCCTTTCTGTGAGTTACTTAATAGGTTTTTTTTGGGTTTCTCATTATATTTCTTTGTGTATTTTCTTTTTACTGGTTGCCCTGTGTATGATTTACATATATGATTAATTACAGTTTGATGGTTTCAAAATTTTACCACTTTCAATAAAGTGTCACTTCCATTTAAGTTCAATTACTGACCCCACTTTTAAATATCATTGTTATGGGTATCATCCAATGTTATAATTTAATTATTATTATCAAATACAATTTATAAAACTCATGAGAAGAGGCTACTAATTTTATGCAGACATATTTCTGCTCTGTTGCTCTTTTTTTCTTCCAGATGCTTCAAAATTATTTCTATTATTATTGCATTTCTATTTTGAAAACTTTCTTTTAGGTATATGCTAGTGACAAAACAATCTAATTTTCCTTTGTCTGAGAATGTTTTTATTTACTTTTTATTTCTGAAAGATAGTTTTGATCGTTACAGAATTCACAGTTGAAAAGTTATTTTAAAGCTTGAAAAATGTTGTACTGCTTTCTTCTGGCCTCTATGGCTTCAGATGAAGAAACTACTCTTACTAGAATTGGTACTGTCTTATAGGTAATACATCATTTCTCTCTCACAGCATTCAGATTTTTTCTTTCCTTTTTTGTCTTAAAAATTGTATTAAAAATACAATTAAACATCTCTTGGCATTATTTGAGGGTTAACTGTGTGGGGTATGTTCAGATTTTTAACTCTGTAGGTTTGTATTTTTCATCAAATTAGAAAATGCTTAACCAGACCAGGCGCAATGGCTCAAGCCTGTAATCCCAGCAATTTGGGAGGCTGAGGCGGGTGAATCGCTTGAGCTCAAGAGTTCAAGACCAGCCTGGCCAACATGGCAAAACCCCGTCTCTCCAAAAAACAAAGACAAAAATTTAGCTGAGAATGGTGGCGTGTGCCTGTAGGCCCAACTACTCGGGAGGCTGAGGCAGGAGAATAGCTTGAAACCTGGAGGCAAAGGTTGCAGTGAGCTGCGATCCCGCCACTGCACTCCAGCCTGGGCAGCAGAGCGAGACTCCATCTTAAAAAAAAAAAGAAAAGAAAATGTTTAACCATTACAGTATTCCTGTTAATACACGTTTAGCCCTACTAACTTTCTCTCTTCTGAAACTTAAATAATATAGATGTTGAATCTTTGGTTGTTATTTATCACATGTCCCTGTCTTTTTTTAATTTTTTTTATTTTTTCCAGTCTGTTTTTTGCTTGGTCAGATGGATGGATGCTGTTGACCTGTCCTCAAGTTCCCTGATTCTATTCTCTGTCAACTCTACTCTACTCTTGAGTTCATCTAGAAAATTGTTTTGTCTGGCATTTAATTTTTAGTTTTACAATTTTTATTTATTTTTATAACTTCAAAATATTTACTCAGAATTTCTGATTTTTTTGTTTCGAGAAAATCAATGACCAAAATTGATTGTTGAAGCATTTTTATAACAACTGCTTTAAAATCCTTTTCAGAAAAATTCAACAACTGTTTAATTTCTGTGTTCATGTCAGTTAATTGTCCTTTCTTAATTCAGTTGAGATTTTCTTGGTTCTTGGTGTGATGAAGAATTTTCAAGTATATCCTGGTCATTTACATATTATATTAGGAAGCGTTTGGCACTATATAAATCTTTTATTATATTAGACAGGTATCCTATTTAGGTTAGCATGCATGTTTGGCCTGCTTATTTGAACTGTTTTCAATGACAATTTAAAGTTCCAAACATTTGCAATGCTATTTTTGTCTGCTTGGTTTAAGTGGTTCTGACTGTGGCTCTCACTACTTAGTCCCAATTGGTCCTATTTGTCCTTAGGGGTCAGACTGGGTTATGCCACAGGGTATCTCTCAATGGGCAAGGGAATCTCAGAGCTATAAGGATGAAGAGGCTTCCAAGGCTGAACATGTGCTGGCTGTATCTGCTTCGGCTGTGTTGGACAGAGACTGCTTGCTGAGATGGGTACTTTTTTGGCAGCCCCCCTCACCACTACTGCCTGGAGTCTATCGATTTCAAAATTTTATTTAATTGCCTAGTATTTCAGTTAATCATATAAAGTAACAATTTTCATGACATATTAGCGATTATCTATGGGAACGTTTTATTTTGTCTAGATTTTTAATTGGGGTCTTTAATTCAAAAGTTTCGACACTGCTATATCAATTAATTTGCCTACAATTTAAAATATTTAAACTGCTCTCAAGAAAAAACTCTCAAATCCTAGAGCTAATTAATGGTCTTTCAGTTATACAGCTATTAAAGATGAAGTTTTTTTTTTTCTATGAACCTGACTTGTGATTGGACACACTGATAGCATAAGCTTCACGTGGAAAAACAAGGTAGACACAATAGCCTGGTAGGACCACATATCCATTTATATCCAAGTATTGTACATAATGCAGTCTGGAGGGGAAGAGTCATTTTGTTTGGCTCAGGAAAACGTGGGCCTGAATATTGACTGTCCAATCTTCTAATTATATAAACTTCATTAATTTATGGAATCTCTTAAAGTATCCAATATGCAACAGAAGTTGTAGAATAATTTAATTATGAAAAATGAATACAACTGAATGGGGTATTTATCAACAGTTTTTGTTTATTAGTTTGAGGGCACAACTCAACTTCCAAAACTAAGATAAACCAGTGGCAGGAAAATCATAGCACTACTTGTTAAAGGCAATAAAATCAGAATTCAGGGCTTGGAAGGAAGCATGAAAGGTTCTATGCAAGAACCACAGAAACTGTGAGAACCCAATCAGTGGACAGTCTCCCCAAAATATGAGACTCAAAGCTAAATTATGCATGCAAAAAGGAGATCTCTGTCTTTCTTCTTAGTTTAAAAAATAATAAAAGCAAGTAGATACCAAAAGAGAGTTCACTCATGAAAGTGAGAGCTTCAGGGAGCTTGTCTGTCAGTTTGTTGCTTCATTTAACTGACTGCATTCTCAACCAGTCACAGCTCAGGTAGCAAAAATGTGATGCTGAGTAGCTTTGAAATGTCAAAGTACAGATTATAAGGGAATGAATGAGATACTCTGAAAGTAAAGGAACAACCTCAGAAAATTGGAAACCAAAAGAAGGCTTACTCTCCATCTCTGCTTAGATATTTAACTGAGCACCAATTATTTGAAGCCCAAGGGAAACATATAAGGACCAAGCTAAAAAATTCCACTATTAGAGGTCATCATACTAGAGTAGAGATAATTAGCTGCTACACACCACAGGGAGACACAATTTCAAACTGAAGCCATGCAAGTTATTAATCTACTAGAATTAAAAATTAATTAACAGAAAAATATGACAGAATATAAGGTTGCTACAACATATTGTAGAAAATACTGTTTTCAACTAAATATTGCTAAAGACTCAATGACACAGGAAAGTGAGATGCAAAGTCAGAAGAATCTGTCAACAGAATTGACTCACAGTGGGTTAAATGTTGGATTAAGCAGATGATGGATTCAAATCAGATAGCATAAATATTCTCAAGTGTTAAAAGAAAATATTTTCAAATAATTGAGGGATAATATACTATTGGTGAAGAAGCTCAACAGAAATTTAAAAAAGAAAATCCTCGAAATTAAAATGTATTAACTAAAATAAAAATCAGATAAGTTTCAGCATTGCATTAGAATTATCAAAAAAAACTAGTGAACTTGAAGATATATAGAAATTTTAAAATCTGAAGAATTGAAAGAAAAATAGTAATACTATGGAAAGTGAGTTAGTTAATATTAATAATTCCTTTTATTATCTGAAAAGTTTTGTATAGAAATATTATTTCTTCTTTAAATATTTGTAAGATTTTACAAGTGAAGCCATTTGGGCATGATGATTTAAGGGTCTGCTTGTGGATGTGCATCTGTGTGCACATACATTTATGTGAAGATGTTTTAATTAAATTTTTCAGTTTTCTTACTATTTACAAAGCTATTCCTTTTGTATTTTTTCTTGACTAACTTTGGTAGTTTGTGTCTTTCAAGGAATTCATTTATTTTTCCTCAGTAAACTTATTGGCATGAAGTCATATATAATATTCCTTCATAATCCTCTTGATATCTAGATAATCTAGAGTGGTGTTCTGTTTTTCATTCTTAATATTGGTAGTTTCTCTCTCTCTATCTCTGTCTCTCCCATCCATCTCTTATTAGCATTGCTAAAGTTTTATCAATTTTATTTTTATGTTCAAAGCAGCAATATTTGATTTAATGGATGTTTTATTTATTATTTTATGCTTTTAATTTCATTGATTTCTTCTCTTATTTTTATTATTTTCTTCCTTGTTTGTTTTGGGTTTACTTTATTGTTTGTTTTTTGTATAAGAAATATTAGGATTTTGATTTGAGATTATTCTTCTTTTCCAATATAAGCATTTAATTATATAAATATTTATATATGAATATATCTAATTTCATAAATTTTTATTTTTTGTTATCTAAGCTAGATAAATTGATATATAATTAATATATACAATATTGCATATTTTATGTATATATTGATAAATTTGGATATATGCATACACCATGATAACATTACTATAATAAAGATATCAAAGAACTAAACATATATACCACCTCTAAAAATTTCCTTGTGTGCGTGTGTATGTGTTTTGTGGCATGAACCCTTAAAATAGACCTATCCCCTTAACATTTTAAAGTGCAAAATAGTGTATTTAGTATAGGTACTATGCTGTACAGCAGATTTGTAGAACTTATATTTCTTGCATAATGAAACTTAATACCCAGTAACAATTTCCCATTTTCCTTGTCCTTGGCTCCTGGCCACCATCATCCTATTCCCTGCTCTGGGAATTTGACTATTTTAGACATCTTATATAAACAGAATTATGTGGTCTTTGTTTTTTTGTAACTGGTCTATTTCACTTAGCATAATGTCCTGCCAGTTCATTCATGTTGTAACAAAAGGCAGTATTTCCTTTTTTTAATTTTCTTTTTATTTATTTATTTATTTATTTATTTTTGAGATGAACTCTCGCTCTGTCGTCCAGGCCGGAATGCAGTGGCGTGATCTCGGCTCACTAGGAGCTCTGCCTCCTGGGTTCAAGCCATTCTCCTGCCTCAGCCTCCCGACTAGCTGGGACTACAATATTTCCTTTTCTTTTAAAGGCTGAATAATATTCCATTGTATGTATATGCTATATTTGTTATCATTATTATTATTTCAACACAGTCTTGCTGTGAGACTGGAATAGAGTGACACGATCATAATTTACTGCAGTCTCAACTTTCCAGGCTCAAGCAATCCTTCTGCCTCAGACTTCCAAGTAGCTGGGACTACAGGCATGCACCACCATACACAGCTAATATATATATATATATTTATTTTTTGTAGAGATGGAGTCTCACTCTGTTGCCCAGGCTGGTTTCAAACTCCTGGGCTCAAGTAATCATCCCACTTCGAGCTCCCGAAGTGCTAGGATTACAGGCATGAACCACTATTCCCGGCAGTATATACAATATTTTTTAATCCATTCATCTGTTGATAAACATTTGGATTGTTTTTGTATCTTGACTACTGTGAATAATGCTGCAATTAATAAGTGCAGGTATCTCTTCAAAATCTTGATTTCAGTTTTTTGGAATACATACCAGGAAGTAATATATGGTACACACAAAAGGAGATATTGTTACGTATTATAAGAAATACATAATATATAATATAATATATATTAAACCTATATATAACATATATTTTATATATAGTATATATACCTAGATACATATATATACATATATACACACTCATACATATATATATGTGTATATATATAGAGAGAGAGACACAGAGATAAGAATTGTTGATGAGGATGTAAGGAAATTGGAATCACTATATATTGTTGATGAGGATAAAGTATGGTGCAGCCACTATGGAAAATGGTATGAAGTTTAACAAAAACACTAAACATAGAATGACATATGCTCTATATATGCATTTTAAAATTATTGAACAATTTAAGATTTTTAAGTTAATTTGAATATTTTAATACATAGTACATTTTAGAGGAACATAGTGTAACATTCTAAGATAAAATATTTTATATTTTGATTAGGATGACTTTGTCAAAGATTATTAAACTCTGTACACTAGATATGTGCATTTTACTGTATGGAAGTGTTATATTGACTAGAAAAATGTTAATGTATGGAATTGGTAGAAAAAATTCCAAGAAAGGAAGGAAGCTGTCAGTAGCTTAAAGAGTGAGAGAAAAGTGTTTGTGCAGAACCCTTAAAAAGACCAGCATTTAAGTGACAGGACAAAGTTTAATAGCCCACAAAGGAGATGTTGCAAAATTACTACGCACAAAGGTGTGAAAACAAGGAGCATGTTGAGTCAGGGAATTCAGGGAGTAGAGCTGCACGAATAAATGAGTAACATTTTGTAATTTGGCAGTGATGTACATTTAAAAACCAAAGCTATACTTGCTGATTTTATATGGCACCATTGAAGTTGCAGCTGCTATTAATGAGAATTGTTCCAGAGACACAACAGAGATACATACAAAAACTGGAAGTGAGGCAGTAGAGAGTGCATTTAGGGTGTGTTCTTTAGGGGTAAAGTGGGGAGTGATGATACTTAGTAAAGTATCAAGAGATAAAGGAGTGATGATACTTGAATATGTGCATTAGTCAAGGATATAGAGAGAATGAGAAAAACAATGTAAAGAAACTGGGTAAATGACTGAGGAACAAAGTCCAGAAAGAGGAGGTGGAAATGTTATTCAGGGTATAGGTAAATGACTTCCATCATGTAAAACTGAAGGACATCTGCTTAAAATTGGAATCAACATTCTAGTGAAGCAGAAAGTAGGTTTTTGAAATGTAACGAAGGTAGTTAGCTAGACACAAGTTAATGAAAGAGACAACTAACTGTGTTTGATGGGCTGTATTAATGGTCGGAAAAAAACTTGAACCGAAGCAGCTTTCTTATGATAAAATTTTGTTTCCTCAAAGAGAATGAAAATTATATTTATAATAATCACTTATAAACTGCCTGGTGTGTGTCATACACTGTTCAAAGCTCATTACATGGATAAACAAATTGAATTCGCAAAAAATTGTAATGTGGATAGTATTAGACTAATTTTGTAGGCGGCAAAATTAAGTTGTGGTACAAAAAGACAAAGTAACTTGCCTAAGGTATCATTGTTGATAAGTGCCGAGGTTAGGATTTGAATCTAGGCATACTTGACTTCAGAGTTTCTATATAACTAGGAAATTATACTGCTACTCTTTGGATCAAATAATAATGATAATAATATTTTTAATATTGTTGATTAAACTGGAAAAAAGCCATACATTTAAAGATATAAGGTTTGAAATTCAGACTGCTGCTAATAGTATGCTGATAATTTTGTTGTTTGACTTCACACCTAAGACTATTTTCTGGTAACCCACAAAGTTTATTTGTTGAATAATGACTGAAAAGATATTGAGATTTATTTAGAATTATATATCTGAAGAATGTGTTACAGGAATGCTAAAATTGTATTCTTCTCTGGATATAGTGTGACAATTTTTATTAAAAATAATAATAATAATTTTGGAAAATTGGTTTTCATTGATTTGGTTATTAGAGAGACAGCTAAAATATAAAAATATTATATGCCTTTTAGGAATTATATTTTATCAAGCTAATTATAAATTCAGGAAAAGCAATGGTTGAGTTTTCTTTGAGATTAATCTTCATAATTCTAAATATCTAAAATAAAAACATATTGGTTGTTTTGTGTATATTTTATATCTATTTCTTACATTTATTTCAAAGATTTCTTTCTATTTTCTACCACCAAAATAACATCCCTAGAGACTTGTATTTGTCAATCCCTGCAGGACCTATTGAACAAATCTGCCTTATAATAGATTGCTTCCCACAGAGCATGAACTTGAGGAAACAAAAAGTAATAAAAATGTATTTTAAAGTTGTCCCAAAAGTGAACATCTAAGTAAGAAAAGCTCATCTCTACCCATCCAGCCAAATTTGTCACATGACATAATAAATGGCATGATAAATTGCCAAAGTAACAACTTGCTATTTTATTTAAAGAACAGTAAGAGACCACCACATCAGCTTTCTTTGCTTAACATTAGGGGAATGCAGAGGATGTGTTGATTAAAACTATTTTTACTCTCTGGATTCCTTCTTTATGTCTAAATGTGCTGCATAATATACTGATCAACACAAGCAAGTGAGCTCACCACTTCTTCTCTAAAGGCTTCTATTTTACATTTGAACTTCTTATGTATACCATTTTTCATTGTGATGTTCAACTTTTATCCCCTGTGCTCCAAATGCAGGGAAATGAGTTGATTATAAGTTACAGAAGCTCAGAATCACTTTTTTCCTCTGTATGACTGGAGTCTGGAAATTCCAGATTATCCAAGAGAAACAAAAGGCTATGGTTTGAGTATTTGTCCTCTTCAAAACTCATGCTGAAATTTAATTTTCAATGTGGCAATATTGAAGGGTTAGGGTCTTTAAGAGGTGATTAGGTCACAAGCATTCTGTCTGCATGGATGGATTAATCCATTCATGGATTTGTGGGTTAATGGGTTAATGGATTAATAAGCTGACATGAGAGTGGGATGTGGCTTTCTTTATAAGAAGAGGTGTAGATACCTGAGCTAGCACACTCATCCTCCTCGCCATGTGATGCTCTGCACTGCTTTGGGACTCTGCAGAGTCTTACTAGAAAAAAGTCCCTCAGCAGGTATGGCTCTTTGACCTTAGACTTCTCAGCCTCCATGACTATACGAAATAAATTCATGTAAAAAAATTACTCAGTTTCAGATATATTCTATAAGCAGCAGAAAACAAAGACACACTTTCCTAGCTGGTTGGTCTTTTTGATACCTGCACCATGAATACATGAAAGTCTCAGGAGCTCCACATTCTTCTACATATTTATGCTGCTATTTTTTTTTAATTTCAGCCATTATAGTCTTTTAAGTATGATCTTTTAAATTTCAGCCATTTTCCCTAAAATTGATATGGCTGAGCACTTTTTCAAGGCCTTATTGAACAATCATATTTATTTTCTGGTGAATTCTGGGTCCTATATCTTTCCTCACTGTCACTGTTTTTTCGTTAATTTCTTTTTGTTATTGATTTCATGTAAATAAAATATACTCTAATTTTCAATATTTTATCAGATAATATGCATTGAAAATATTTTCTCTGTGTCTGTGAATTATCAGTTTTCTTGAGTTTCTTTTAATTTAAGACAAAAATTGTTGATTTTAATGATGTCTAATTTTCTGATATTTTTAAATTTTATTTTCACTGTGTTTACTATTTACAATATTATTCTACCTCATGGTTATAAATATTTTCTCTTTATTGAAAGACTATATAAATATAGATACATGTCACTTTAATATTTGTGCATAATGTGAGGTAGTGATTAGTATTGTTTTTTCTAGTGTGTCTACAGTTTCGTCAGCCCTAATTTTTTTAAAGTACATATTAATCATTGCTTCATTCAACTTCAGCAAAATTAATTAACTGAATTATATGTGGGTATATTTCTTGATTATCTATTATTATCTTTTTGAATATCCACATGCCAATACTTTACTACATTATTTTGATTATTGTGGTTTATACTAAGTCTTGTAACTAGGAACTTTGAGATATTCAATTTTATTCTTCTTTTTCTATTTGTTCTGACTATTCCAAGTCCTTTTCAATTAAAGGTAAATTATAGAATCTATGTTAGTGCCTTTTTAATAGCTGGCGTAGAAAATCTTATTGGTATCTTGTTGAACCTACAGGTCGATTTATAGAGAATTGATAACAATATTGCATTTTAGCAACAATGAGTATGATCTATCTCTCCACTTGTTTACATCTTCCTTGCTCCACTCAGCAATGTTTACGATTTCTCAGTCCCATAGAATTCCCATCTGTGTTTCTCTGCTACTCACTACCAAGGTATCATCCGCTTTCCTGACTTCTAACACTGTAGCCTGATTGTGAAATTTATAAAAGTGGAGTCATACAACAGGTACTCTCTTGGACCTGGAACCTTGAACAATATGATTACAAGAATTATCCATTCTTATTGTTGTACTACGCTTCGTGGTATAAATATACCACGATTTATGTATTTATTCTACTGCTTTTGTACATCTGTGCAAAATTTATTGATAGCACAGTAGAGACACATTTAAAAGTTTAAAAAGTAGGATGTTAAAGAGTTTCCTGAAATTATGACACCTGATCTGAGATTTATGTTGTTTAATTTGGAGATAATTAGCTGAGCTATATAATAATTAGGTAAGTGCAGGGTGATAATCAAGGTGAGAAAGAGGGTAGCTTAAACAAAAGCGCGCTATATTAAAATGGCACTAAAGTATAAAAAATCTTTATACCTTAAGGTATATCAGAGGTCAGGGAAGCAGTCAGAGAGCCATGATGTAGCTGATTGCTTGATGTCTTTAAATTTCATGTTATAAGGTATGGATTTTTTTCTTATAGGCAATAGAAAATTATTAAATAATCATTGAAATAAATGTATGGATGCAATCCATGCATTAGAAGGATGTTCAGTGAGAAAATATCTGTATTTCTCTTTTCTCCTATTTTCTGAACTCCTGTGAATGCTTTGGATAGATACCACTTTAAAGACATACAGGGAAACACACACACACACACACACACACACACACACACACACACACACACAAACCTGTGTGATTCTGTCCACAGAACTAGTATCCTGGGCTATGAGGCAGGTCACAGATGGTGCTGAGAAGAGATTGGGGGACAACTGAAGAATAGCCTATATGATCATCAGCTCAAGCCCACTCCCTGTGAGGAGCTGGGGAACCGAAGGAAGCTTTGCTCATCAAATGTTTATCTGCCTGATGCATCATTAATAAACTATATACTTACAGTTTACCATAAGAAAACAAAACTTCTATAGGACTTTGCCAAGTCTCAATGTAGTCCTCTCTGTAGCCTTCAATATAGGGTTTAGGCACCTTGTTTAAATGGAAGAAAGATAAAAATGAACATAATATTTCCCATGATTTAGTGCAGACGATCATTAGTATATGACATAATGTTGCTCAGAGACTGAGGACCTAGTTGAGACTATCCTAGTAGTGAGACCAGGAATGTTTGTTGGATGACCCAGAGAAGCTACCTTTTTGATCAACAGAATTATCTTGCATTAGAGACACTGGAGAGAGAATTAGAAGAACAAGAAATAGCTCAAAAAGCTATGCCAGGAAACCCCCACATGTTCTGGGACAAATACAGGCAATTTGTAATACACAGGTAAACATTAAAGAAATTCATTATTCAAGCTTTCAGGGAAACAGCAAGTGCCATTCATGAAGTAAACCCTAACACTTCCCAGAAAGAAGTCTTGGTGGATAAATGGAAATTAAAATCTGGTTGTGAAAGGAATTTAAGGGTTATTAAAATCCTGCTTGTGTCTTCCCATCTGGAATGGAAGCTGCTGCTTCTTTTTGTCTTCTGATGTGGGGGTTCAATGGCCTCTGCCACTCTATCTTTCCTCTTTTCCTCTGCAAGCAAAATTCCTTTACTACTGTAGCCTCTGATGTTGCCATTACTATCACTGTCACCACAGGTGATTAGTCCTTAACTGTCAGTGCCAAGTATACCTGAACTTCTCTACCACACAGGCCCAGTATCCCCTCAACTGTGAAAGAACAATGAGTTAGCAGCCAACCCGCCTGGCAGTAGCTAACAGAGCGCCCAGGCTCTTATGTCAACCTGCCAGGACCAGAGAACTTGAAAAATCAGTTCCACAGAACACTCTAGCCCCAGCTCAGCCTGTCCTGCTTGCTACTGTCCTGACATATTTGCTGTTCCGCTCAAAAGGATTAACCTTCCTGTGGTGGCTGTGTGTGCCTAGTGACTCATTATTAAAGGGTCCTGATAGAAATCGCAGGGAGAAGAATGGTATTCTGCGAGAAGACAGCAAGTGCAACAACAGTAACAACAAAAAACTCCTTTTTGTTTACAATGCCTTCAGTCATAATCAGTCAGAATTCTAGCGAGCAGCTGGAGCAAGCCTTGTTAGGTTGGTTTTGGGAGAATTGAGGGAAATTACTTTGCAGAAAAATGATATCATATGTCCTCATTTTTTCCCTTCAAGTCATGAATAGAAAACAATACATTTTGTATAACAAACTTACATAATTATGGGAGTATTATAGTTATCCAAAAACAACTTGTCCAGAGAGACTCTGGCCAACCCAGACCCTAGCTGTAACTCCTGGGGGACCAAAGAATCAATAATAACATCAGGCTGCAAGCTAAAGACAATGTACTACAGGTTCTGAAGATACATCATCATCAAAATATCAACCTGAAGAAATCTAGAATTCAGCCAAGTAATGCAGTCCCTAGGTATATCGTTTGTTAGAACTGTTAAAATAAAATACCACAGACTAGGTGGCTTTAACAACAGAAATTTATTTTTTCATAGTTATAGAGGCTAGGAGTACAAGATCTAAGTGTAGGCAGGGCTGTTTCTGTGGAAGCTTCTCTCCTTGGCTTTTAATAATTGTCTTCCTCCAGCATCTTCTCATGGTCATTATTGTTTGTGAGTCTTTGTCCTAACCCCCTGTACTTATAAGGACAGTAGTCGCATTGCATTAGGGCCTACTATATGACCTCATTTCACCTAAATTACTTTCCCAAAGCCCTATCACAAAGTTCAGTCACATTCTGAGATACTTGAGGTTAAGAATTCAACATATAAATTTTGTGAGGACACAGGTCCATAATACTAGGTCTAATAAGAGATACAACTGAATTAATGATGTGATTTCACAAGCAATAGGACACTTACAAATGACCACGTCTACCTAAGGTTACAGAACCTTTGGTTTCCTGTTTATAAGTTGAGTCACTAGATATATCATCAAGGCTCTGCTTTCCTGAAAAACAAAATACCTAGAAAAATATCCACTGATGTGAAGGTCAAAATATCTGCCCCATGGTTTATTTCCAGATTCCTTTTGTGAGATCAAAAGCTATGTAGAGAAATAGAAAAAATCTTTTCAGCATGTTAAAATTAAAATGAATGACTTGAATATCTTATAGATAGAACAGTTACTCATTCCTTTTGTGACATTTGCCACTGTATTTTTCTCACACAGCCAGGAAATAAGCCAATTAAGTATAACCAATTGCTTATCTTAGGTAAAGTTCTATGTTTTTGCGGGTGAAATCTATATGCTGCCACTAGCCACTAACCGAGGAAGAAACCGCTTTTGTAGTGGTAACTGCAACATATACCAATGAGGTTAGCCCCCACCATATCCCTAATCAAGTTCATTTCTCTGGGGCACCTGAATGACATACTATTGTCAGCTACTCCATATTGGATCTTTGCTATGTTTTGTTATTGTTGTTGTGGGGTGTAGGTGTGTGTTTGTCATATTCAGTATTGTAAATGGAGCAAGAGCATCCAATACAGTACCCTTATCAATCACACTGTTCTCAGAAGTAAACATTTCAGAAATGTTGCCAGTAGCCAAGAGAGTAATTTTATAGTCAAATATTCTTAGAATTGTGATTTTTTAAAAGAGAAGAGGAAAAAAATCACCTTAAATTTACATCTCCCTTACCACTCTTGTCTCAGGATGCTGGTATAAGCAAGAAGTAGAGAAAATATATATATTTTTTAAATTAGAAATTTAAAAACAAAGAGACTAATAAAATTTCCGGAGTGCTGGATACTAGTAAACTACTTTTGATATCAGTGGAAGGGCCACAGCAGTAATTCAGCCACAATATAGACAGGTTCAATTTATCTCAACATTACATTTAATTACAAATTAGCCATAAATTATTTTTCTTCCTGGATAATTTGGATAGCTCATATTTGTTTCTGGATTGACAGGGCAAGAAATTATAACCATATAGGGTATTAGCACCCCAAATATACAGAAAATATTAAGTTATTATTAAATGACTAGAGGAATAACATATTTGGATGTGAAATCTTCTACATTACCTTATTTGCGTTATGGATGATACACTACTGCAGCCCAGAGCTTGGTAGCAGTTATAGCCATGGATCCTGGAGATATGGAAGGATCAGCAAAGTTAAGTAATTTTATGTACTTTGAGTATTGTGGCAGGCATGTACTACAAAGGTCCTCAATAATATCCACTGCCTCTTATTCACAACCTTGTATAATAGTGTCTCCCCTTGAGTATAAGTTAGCCTAGTGAGTTGCTTCTAACCAATAGAATAAAGCAAAGGTGATGGATGGATGGAAAGGCTATTCTCATGATTAGGCTGCATAAGTCTGTTACTTCTGTTTTGACTCTTCCCTTTGCTGAGTTCAGTAAAGCAAACTGCATGTTGGAGAGGCCCAAATGGCAAGAAACTATAGGTAATTACAGTCAAAGCAAGAAAAAGAGGTCCTCAGTCAAACCTCCTGTGAATACTTTTCCGTGGAAGTCAATCCCTCCTTAGTTGAGCCTTCAGATGAAATGCAGGCCTGGCTGACACATTAATCACAATCTTGTGAAAGAACCTGAAGCAGAAGATCCACCCATGATATACCCTGAGGTATGACCCTCAAAAACTATGTGATGATAAACACGGGTTCCTTTGCCACCCAGTTTGTGGTAATTTGTTATGCAATGACAAATAATTAATGCAGGGACCAAACACAAACTGATGGGGTTTGGAGACAAAAGGGAGGGAGGGACTTGTGATTTCAGTAAAGGATGTAGAGAGCTAGAAAGGACATCACACCCACTCTTACAATGCAAAGTTCAAGACAGGCTTCAAGTTTATGACATGCTGAATGTGTCAGAGAGCTCTATTTAAGGAGGGGTGAATGCCTGTAAAGAGACATAAATGTGGGACAGCTTTAGCTAGGTTAGAGGCAACAGAACACAAGAAAGAAGAGTGTAGCCAGGATTGTTCCCTAATTGGAGGAGGCCAAGTGTGGACTGGGGAGTGTGAATCCCCTAGGGCTTTTAACAAATGGAGGCATCTGTATCCACTATAGACTTTTTCTTTATGAACCCTACTGAGCACTCGCAGAATAGATTGGAGAAATTTTAAGGGTATGTCCCTTTTGATGCATACCTGGGAGAACGGAAGCTGCTGCATGAGAGACAAGAAGTTCTACCCAGAATTTTATTCCTTTACTTCCTAATAAAAACAAATCTTCAGTTTATTGGGGTAAGGGCACAAACACTGTCAGAGAACTAGGGAAAGCCCTTTTCATCTTGAGAAAAGGACCAAAATCTAAATAAACCTATACCTTGTTAAGGAGCAGGTGTATATGCTGAGCTAAGCACTAAAGCTGGTGGAAGTTCAAAGTATTAGAAAAGACCACATTGCTGAGATCCACTGAGGCTACATTTAAGGAACAAAGAATGTCTGCCCGTCCCCAGCCACTCCCATTCCCACGAGGCTAACAAAAATCCAGTAACAATGATAGTAAAACACTGGTGAGAGGTAGAGAAGGAAAGAACTTGTAAGACGGCCATCTCTGAGATGCTAAACATAAGTAAGACCTAAAGCTAAGGGTAGAGCAGACATTGAGTAAAAATAAATATTTAATCAGAGCAGCCCCTCCCATTTCAAATACAAATTATTTCTATAAGAATTTGACACCTGGGAGTACTAAGAACAAATGTAAAAAAGGCAAGACTTGAAACCTGGTCCATTTCCTAATCATAATAGTTCAAATTCTTACATTAAGTGACAATTGAAAGAGAGAAGGTGTAGTCATTTGTAGGCATAAAAGCTGTCATTTTATACACTGTAGTTCAATTTAACTTATGGCATAAAAAAGAAATATATGAGGCATACATAAGTCTAAGGAAAGCAATACACACCCAAGATCCAAAGTCAGATTCAGATAAAACATCAGTGCAGGATCTCCCTATCTATGATAAATACGTTGAAGTCTTTCAGGGAAGGTACAGAACATGCAGGATCATATGGGTAATGTCAGAAGAAATATGAAAATTATAACAAATAATTAAAAATTATAGAAGTGAAAACAGCAACAAAGACGATAAATGTGTTGCACTGGCTTGTGATAGTTTCATGTGTTGAATTGGCTAGGCTATAGTATCCAGTTATTCAATTAAACACTAATCTAGGTGTTGTTCTTGAGTATTTTATAGATGTAGTTACAATCAACAATCATTTCACTTTAAGTAAAATAAATTATCCTTAATAATTTGGATGCGTATCATCTAATCAGTTAAAAGCCATGAGAGCAAACAGGTTTCACTGTGGAAGAATACATTCTGCCTCAACACTGTAGCCTCAGCTCCTGCATGATAGTATATAGCTTAATGGCTTGCCCCACAGATAGACTTTGTCGTAAAACCTTCCACTCATTCTCTATTCTCCCCGCTCTTCCCTCTTTAAGTCGGACTGATTATACTTCTCTCACTGATGCAGGGCTTATTAGTATACTCAACACGTGAACAAAGAATAAGTGAGTCTAGGTTAATAGAAATTACCCAAACTGAAACAGGTCCAGAGATAATAGGGATATGGGGCAAAATAGGGCATCCAATAGCTATGGGAGAATGTCAGCAGAGGTACAGAAGCACTAGTAAAGGCTATGTTCCTGAGACCTAGCAACATGATGCCTATGTGATTGTAAAAAAGAATAGAATGAAAGAAATATTTGAAGAATAATGCCAAAACATTTTTCAAAATTAGTGACAGACAACAAGCTGAAGAATCAAAACCTTCAGAGAGCATCAAGGAGTATAAAACATGGAGGAATATCACATTTAAATAAACAATATCAAAAAAACATATATAAGTCTTGAAGGTAGTCAGAGGAATATAAGATAGTATATTAAACAAAAAAGTGAGAATGACACCAGATATCAGAAACCATGTTGTCTAGAAGACAATATATTGACATCTGTAAAGTGCTGAAAAGAAAAACAAAACAAAACCTGTCAACCCTGAATTCTGTATCCAGTTAAAATATCTTCAAAAGTTAAAAGGAAATATAGACTCACGTTTAAAAATGAATAAAGTCATTCATTGGCACAACACCTGAATCAACACAACGAAACAGAGCATGCTAGCACTGAATTAAATAAAGGCAATATAAAATATGTTCTTTTTATTTCTTAAAGCTATATTTTTACCAACTTTAAAAGATGATTGTCGGCCAGGCGCGGTGGCTCACACCTGTAATCCCAGCACTTTGGGAGGCCGAGGTGGGCAGATCATGAGGTCAGGAGATCGAGACCATCCTGGCTAACATGGTGAAACCCCGTCTCTACTAAAAATACAAAAAATTAGCCAAGCGTGGTGGCGGGCGCCTGTAGTCACAGCTACTTGAGAGGCTGAGGCAGGAGAAAGGCGTGAACCCAGGAGGCGGAGCTTGCAGTGAGCCGAGATAGCGCCACTGCACTCCAGCCTGGGTGACAGAGCGAGACTCTGTCTCAAAAAAAAAAAAAAAAAGGATGATTGTCTATGGAAAAGAATAACAAACAATTTTGTGTTCATAAAAATATAAAGATAAGATGCATGACAAAAATCGGACAAAAGATATATACAAAGGATTGAAAATACAGTGGTCCAAGAACCTTAAACTACATGGCAAGCAGAATAAAATCATTTTCAGGCAGCCTGAATAAATTACAAATTAGCTGAAGCCAATATGAGGACTAGAGTATGGCAAGATTTTTAATTCTATCTTCTCAGCCTAAAATAAATTATACAAGATCTCCTTGCACTATCTTCTTACAGTATCTCCTTAGATTGTAATTTGCCCTTAAACTATCAATTAACCTATACACAATTCTGCAATTATGCTATCTACTTATAAGTAGTGGAACTGAGGCACAAGTAAAAATGTACTTTGTATTCATTTCTCGTAGGGCTTAGTCTAAAGATAATGGAATGCAGCTAACATTCAAGGCTCTGGAATATGATGACAAGCATTCTTAGGACTGTCAGTTCAGTGGAGCAACTATATCAACTCTACCAGGACTGTTTTCATGATTGTATTTTTCTTTTCTTAGTCTTATTATCATATGGTCTCAATATAGATCCTATATCTTTGTTGCAATGCCTGCATTTCATCAGGGAGAAAGAAGAGGAGAAAGGTGTTTGACTATATAAGAAAAATTTTAAAAATATCCCAGGATGAGTATATCAGAAATCATATCAGCCAGAATCTAGCTACTTGGTCATCTCTTGCTGGAATCCTATAAGAAAGAACCTAAAAATAGATTGGATCAGGCCTAACAGTGTCTGACACACTATACTTGTACAAGGTATGTAAATTTGTATCTAGTTTATAATCAACAACATAGATCTTACAAAATGTATTACTACGTATCATAGAATTTGTTTTGTCTTCATTGGTCTCCATCAGCTCCTTTTTGATTACCTATTTTTCTTTGCATGTCAAAATGAAGAATAGATTTTAATATCTTTTTTATTACTATGCAGATATAATTTTTACTGCATAATTATTATTAAAACAATTATCCTAAATCAAAATCATTTGATGATACATTTATACTTTCTTGGGTTTTTTCATTTTTCACATTCATAGCTTACATGTAAATTCAGTGTAACTAATATTATAGAAAAATTTTGTTGTGAGATATACATGACATTTTTTTATTTTAAATTATATCACTATGTCATAAGTATCTATACTTAACTAAGGTACATTCCATGGATTGAAATCAGTAAAAAGCTCTGCTAGCTGGGGCTGCTACTTACTTTTCAGCTTCTAAAAATGCATTAGCACCCATGGCATGGATGTCTGAATTTCTCCTGTTGTAATTCACTGTCAGAGAAAAGTACAGTTGAAGAAACATACTATTATTTTATTCTTTCCAAGTCAAATATTAGAGATTTGCTATTTGTAACCCTGATATCTACTTATTTCAAAGCTTATTTGTTTAATTTTCTTTTTACTATATACAATAATATGTTTTCTGAAAACAAATTGACTTTTTATATTTAGAATGTGCTTCCTGTAACTAGTGGTTGAAAGAAAGCGTCTGTCATATTATGTCAGCTTTTCCTCTCTGATCCCCTAGAGGGATGATCTGAATCATTAGTTTATAATCAGTTTTTTTGTTTTTAATTAAACATCAGCCGTATGATTGAGTCAGGCAAAAACAGATTTTGCTCCTGGTCTCCAAAATAAATAGATTTATGGAAGTAATGTTTGGCAAAATATTTAATAGGCTAATAGTAATAAATTTTATAAGAAAAGCATGACTTGGAGATTTCCATACATTAATTACTTTTAGGAAAGAGCGAGAGTTTGAATTGTGTAATGTTAAACAAAATGTTATTGATCAAGTCATTGCTATAATTCAGATTTCAATAAGTATAATACATAAGTTGATTTTAATTATGCATTCAATTTTTTCTTTATTAATTTATTCCATCAATTATTTATTCAATCACAGCATTAGCAAATTTGCTAGTCTATGTCAGTATGCTGGTATATATGATTGTACGTGTGTGCATGCGTGTGTGCATATGCATAACACCTGTAGTATATTTCTATACATTCAACAGTTGCAGATGAAATCTAAACTAGTATAAATTATACTGTAAAATTTACTGTAAAAAACACTGTAAAATTTACCATCTACTAGTAAATGCCCAAGAAAATGCATTTTTATTCGGCTCAGCTTAAACACAGACACAAACATTTAGCAAGCTTTGTGCTTAATGAATAAGTGAAACATAGACACTTATAGAGAATATTTATTTGCAAATAACCAGAAATCTATTGAAGAAAATATAGTTTTAAATTCTTTTGAATAAATCTACCAAAACATTTATTAATCTTGGGTTGGAATGCTTTTATTCATATATATGATGAAGAAAAACAGTATACAAATACGAAATTATAGAACACAACACTAATCAGATTTAATAACTAAACTATTAAGCATATCTATATATCTACCTATCTACACACACACACACACACACACACACACACACACATATAAAGATAAACAGAAAGAGCAAGGTAAAAATTAGGAAAACATCATCAACAACAACAAAAAAAATGAAACAAACCTACAAAATATCAGATGGAAAACTGAAACTGAAAATAGAAATTAATAAATTAGTAAACAATAGAGATTTTAAGTATCTTACTCTGAAAAAAATCAAGCAGATCTATTTGATTTACCTTAAAGTAAAACAGAAAACACAATATTCAAGTACATGCTATTAAGAATTAAATGTTATGTAATTCTATACCAAGAAGATATGAATATTTACTCAAATCTATAATAATTAAATTCAGAACTCAAAGAACTCTATTTTTTTCTCAGAAAATAAAATGGAAAAAACCAGTTCAACATTTGGCCTGAAATGAAGTGATAGAAACCTTTGAAGGAAATGATAAAAAATTGCAATAATTTTTTTTTTTTTTATGAGTTGGAATCTCACTCTGTTACCCAGGCTGGAGTGCAGTGGCGCGATCTCAGCTCACTGCAACCTCCATCTCCTGGACTCAAGTGATTCTCCTGCATCAGCCTCCCCAATAGGTGGGATAACAGGTGCCTGCCACCACACCTGGCTAGTTTTGTTTTTTAATAGAGACGGGGTTTCACCATGTTGTCCAGGCAGGTGCAATAAACTGTTTTTATGACTTTGCATTGTTATGGTAGTTTTTAGTAATGGTAAAAAAGATATTTGTATATATTCAAACCCATCAAATCATACTTCCAAAACATCATGTTTGCTTACAAAATATGCTTTAATGTAAGACCAAGGTTATTCTGCATAGCATGACAGCATACCCACTAAAATATTCTCCCTTCTCTAATTCTCACTAAAACAACAAAATATTTTATACAAATTTTAAATCTTGACATTTTCAATATTAAACATGTAAACTTTTATTAAATCTTTATATACTAGTGCCATAGTATATAGTATATTTTAATACCTTTTTTCTTACTATGCAGATGTAATTTTTACTACATATTATTATTATGTAGTATGGGTGCACCTTAGTCTGCTAGCCTATGTTCTATCTTCTGGGTCAGCAGCTTACTTTTCACTTGTATTCATTCTATCTAGGATTTATCATAACAAGTATTGTTTCTGTTATCAGTTAAGATATCCTCAGCTCTGAAAAAGAGAAACTGGCTCAATGATGCCTCCAAATGTTCATTTCTTTTTTTTTGTCATATTGTTTATTTGTTTGATATTTGATCATTTATTTCTGCTTTGTTTTGCTGTGTTTTACTCTTGTTTTGTATGATTTTAAGCTTGCTTTCCCTTGTGGTTTTAGAATGGCAGTCAGCAGAGTTTGGAACTAAATGCTTTTGTTTCAAGTCCAGAAGAAATGAGAGGGAAAACAAATGAGCAAGACAAAAAAAAAAAAAAGTAAGCATAAAAGTCACCCAAATATGCCTGAAGCATGAGTTGTGAAGCCTCCCACTGAATCAAAGTGCAAAGATTTAAGCAGCTTTACTAGAAAAATTCCCAGTCAGAACTTTTTTAAGAAAAAATTATTCTTTTTGTTTCAGGAATAAGATGTCACCTTATTTCTCTGATTATATTAATTGTATTCATTTTAATGTTTTAGCCTCTATTTTTATGGTATTTCTTTAAAATGTTGATGCTACTTTTTAATTTTTATCATTATTTTTCTCTCCAAAATATATTGATTTGTTTAATAATGACCTCTGTGTAATCTCTTTGTAGTTCCATTTTCTCATCGGTTGTCTTCTACTGTTGTTTCCACAATTCACCATTGGGGTTTTCCTTCTGCCAGGCTTCTTGTGAGTTTGTAAAGCATAGAAAAATCCCTTTATGAGGTGCACCTTAGTCTGCTAGCTTTTGAGGGTATTCACTCCTCATTCCTACTGAAAGTGGACTTCCAGGGAAGAGTTATTTCTTAATAATACAATATGCCATATTCAGTGTGCTCTTCTGGAGGTAGCCACCTCGGTCTCTGATGTCTATTCTAATTTTCTGTGTGAATGGTTGGCAGAGATAGACTTAGGCAGGAGATCACTGGTTGGTGGTACTCACGGTAATACTCTGGCAAACATTGGCATTACTCCCAGCCCATCTTCTTGTGCTTATAGCAGAACATACCTAGTGTTCCCACTTTCATCTTTCAGTAATTGCTCTCAGTTCCTGCACTCCCTGGTGTTTCCTTTTTTTATTTAAGAAAATTATTCTGCTCTTTTAAGGCAGCTACTGTATGGTAGAGCAGCTTCAGTGAGTATTCACAAATTAGTGTAAAGCAGAATTTCTTAAATTCTTAAATGCAAAAAAATGTAAACAATAATAAAGGAAAAATTAGGAAAACAAATATACAACCCTGAGGTTAATAAGATCTTCCTAATTAAAAACAAATTTTGGAAGAACAAAAGTTCTTATAAATAAAGTTAAATAATAAATAGTACACTAGCGAATATATTGGCAATTAACATGCAGAGTTTAATATCCATAATGTATGAAAAAAACATAGCCAAAAGCTATATTAATAGAAACATTTTAAATAGGATATTCAAAAGGTCAATTAAAATATGAAAAAGTAATATTCAACTCCAGGTTTTAAATTTTGAACAAAATATGTGTCATCCTTGCCTCCATGCAGTTTAGTTTACTGAGGGAAATAGAAATTTAAAACAATATTTTATTTTAATCATTATTGGCAAACTCCTATCCCTTCATAAAACTTGCAGATACAGGAAATCCATTCTCTGAAAGAGTTTTTTTTTTTTAAATTAGAAAACAGAATGCAGTAGAGAGAGAGAGATGATACCATTTCTATCCTGTCTTTCCACCACACATAGAATGTATCATTGAAAGCAATAGATGAGGAATCAGATGTACCTATTTCTTCCAAATTTCTGGCAGAACTACTAATTGGTAAATTGTAGTGACATATACTAAAGTTAAAAAAAAAAGATAAGAAGATACTTGGGGATTAATTTTGTGGTTTTACTTCTAGTCATGTCAATTTGTAGATGAGACACATAGGGTGCATACATTTTTATTTAGTGCAATAAACTAAGTCAAGGAAGAACAATATAGGAGGCACCATAACATACATATTTTGAGTGCATTTTTTTGGTAGACGCAATTACCTTGATTTTAATAATGGTATCAAAGATATTTGTATATATCCAAACCCATCAAATTATACACAATCATATGTGTAGTTCTTTATATATCAATTATACTTTAATAAAGCTGTTTAAAACACAAATACTGATGGAATTATTAAAATAAATAAATTTGTAAAGGACAAAATACCCTCAAGATTTGGAAGAGAACTGATTTTTTATTTGACCCCAAGGGGAATCAAGTAGAAATCTATAAATCCTCTAAAAGAATGGCTGTACTTGCCCATTGATGTCAGTGTTCTTGAGTAAAAAAAGCCTAACACCCATGCACAAATCGTTCTCAGAGTGCAGAAACCTTCCTGTAGCATCAGAAAACCAAAAACAAAAAATAATTGTGATATTGCTTTTACAATAGCTCCTCAAAGCAACAACAAATTTTAATCTGCCAAACAAAAGCAACAACCAAAAACATTTCTTTTCTTTCTTTCTTTCTTTCTTTTTTTTTTTTTTTTTTTTGAGACAGAGTCTTACTCTGTTGCCCAGGCTGGAGTGCAGTGGCATGATCTCAGCCCACTGCAACCTCCATCCCCTGGGTTCAAGCGATTCTCCTGAGTAGCTCAGATTACAGGCGCCTGCCACTGCGCCTGGCTAATTTTTGTATTTTTAATGCAGACGGGGTTTCACTATCTTGGCCAGGCTGGTCTTTAACTTCTGACCTCATGATCCACCCGTCTCAGCCTCCCAAAGTGTTGGGATTACAGGCGTGAGCCACTGCTCCCAGCCAACCAAAAACATTTCCCACTAGAAAAGAGATATGACTGAACTTGGAAGAGCATTTATTAAAAGGTACGTGGTAATAGAAATAAGAATTTTAAAGGGAAAGAGAAAAGGAGTCATAAAAGTAAGCATATAATCAAAACAGTTTATTATTACAGGAGGAAGGGGATTTTAAATTAGAAGGAAGACTCAATAATGCTAAATACTATATAGAGTGATGAAAAATAAAAACTCCAACAGACCATTTATTATAGTCTTTTAGATCATACTGTGGTCTTTGAAAATCACTGGTGTTCATTTAAAGCATTTTGTTCACTGGATGGTCAGAGATTCTGTTTGCAAAATGTATTAGGCCATTTTTGCATTGCTGTAAAGAAATACCTCAGGCCAGGCATGGTGACTCAGGCCCATAATCCCACCACTTTGGAAGGCCAAAGTGGGCAGATCGCTTGAGGCCAGGAGTTCAAGACCAACCTGGCCAACATGGTGAAATCCTGTCTCTACTAAAAATACAAAATTAGCCCACCAGGTGTGGTTGCACACCCCTGTAGCCCCAGCTACCAGGGAAGCTGAGTCATGAGAATCACTTGAACCCAGGAGGCAAAGGTTGCAGTGAGCCGAGATTGCGCCACTGCACTGCAGCTTGGTCTGGGCAACAGAGGAGTGAGACTGTCTCAAAAAACAAAAACAAAACAAAACAAAACAAAAAACACAAAAAAACGGAGACTGAGTAATTTATAAAGAAAAGAAGTTTAACTGGCCCAAGGTTCTGCAGGCCATACAAGAATCATAGTGCTGGCATCTGCTTCTGGGGATGCCTTGGGAAGCTTACAGTCATGGCCCAGGCAAATGGAAAACAGGCACATCACATGGCCAGAATAGAAGCAAGAGGGAGAGGGTGGGGTGGTGGGAGGTGCCACACACATTTAAACAGATCTCAGAAAAACTCACTATCAAGAAGACAGCACCAAGCCACAAGGGATCCACCCCCATGATTCAAACATCTCCACCCAGGCCCTACTTCTAGCATTGAAGATTACAATTCAACATAAGGTACATCACAAAAGGATTAAAGATAAAGTAACTACAAAGTAAGAAACAGTAGTTACCAGATACATATATGGAAAATCCAGCGATCAAAGAGAAAGTCTTGATGATAGCTTGATGAGATGACATGATTGTATAAATGTTCTATTTAGAACAATGCAGAAAGTCTACTGAACTGTGATGGTCAAGAAAGAAATAATGGAGGAGACATGTGTCTTAAATATACAGGTTAAAATAGAGTAAAGTTGGATATTTAATCTCTTATGGAAGACTTAGATGTTACCCCTGTGGAACATGTACATAATATATACAATTATGATACCCTTTATTATCCATACCAGGAGACTTTTAAGAGTGAAAGTGGGACAATTAAGTTTTATACTGAGACAGACATGACCCAGATTGTTCAGTAACTGAAACCATATGGTCCTTTACCACACCACAGTTCATCACACCATAGTTCACAGTATAGCTCAGATTTAATCTGGCAATGAGTAGCAAGTCAGTAACTAAATCTTTGTTTTCTTCTTTGGTATTGCTTTTCTAAGTCTCCCTTGGAGTGCTGTTGTCTTGAGGTCTAGCAGTGATGTGCTGTGAGCACAAATGATATGATGTACTTCCAACATTGGTCTAGAAAAGTCTTCTGCATGCTATCCTTGAGTTTCCCATTTTGTGACCTGAGTTTCTTTCAGGGCCCAATATTAAAACAGTGAATCCACTAGGTTGAATTAGCATGGGTTACGAATATATGATGAGAGGTACAATACCTCCTCAGAGCTGTAGGTTAATTAGAAAGAATCTTCTACTTGTTTGAGAGACATTGTTCATCCGGAGGTTTGTTAAGCAGCTATTATTATCCAATAAAAACTTATTCTCAATACAATCCTTCAAATAGTCGCTACCCGTAGATTAAAGTGAATATGAGGGCAAAATTCTATGACCCATTTTGATAATAATGGATGAGATAGAAAACACAGATTAGTCTTTAAAAAGTAAAGGCACACCTTATCTACGATATAGGATAAGCAAAGGGCAAAAGAGTGCAGAGAAAAAAAATAACAGAGCCAAGAATGTAACTTAGGCTACATGATTTTATTTTGTTTATCCTACTGAAACAGACTGAGATTAAAGTTTCTACTCAAATAATCACATTTTAAAGGACACATTCTATAGGTATATATAGTTTATTTTTTTTAATGTATTTGTGTCCACCTTAAGCATTGCTGAAACTACTAATATTTCAACGTCTCATTCTGTCTTCTCATATTGTTGACAACTTGAGTGCAATATGGTAGAAAATTTTAAGCTCAAGGCTTACATTGAAACTTGTGTCAATTTGAAGTTAAATGAAATAATATAAAGCACTACAAGGTCATAGGGAAAAGAGTTATACATAAAAGTATGCTTGGTATATATTTACAAATAAAGTATTATATTTAATCTTTAATAATATAAAAACACATGGCAATCCAATCTGAAAAGATACATACTGTATGATTCCAACTATTTGACATTCTGTAAAAGGCAAAACTATCGATACAGTAAAAAGATTATTGGTTGCCAGGGGTTGAGGGGAGGAAGGAATGAATAGGCGGAAAATTTCTGGGAAAGTACAAAATTCTTCATGATACTGCAATGTTGGATACATGTCATTTTACATTTGTCAAAACCCAAAGATTATAACACTACCAAGAGTGAACCCTAATGTAAGCTATGGAATGACACTGACCTTAACAAATTGTCATTCTGGTTAGAATTTTGCTACTGGGGAAGACTGTTTTTGTGTTGGGTGTAGTGTGCTGAGAAAGGAACCAGAGGTATATGGGAATTCTGTACATTCTCAATTTTACTGTGAATCAAAAACTGCCCTAAAACCTAAAGTCTATTACAATATTTTAAAATGCATGTCAAACCAAAACATAAATTGAACCATTTCAAAAGATTTTCAATTTGAATTGAATTTTAACAGCTGCTTAAAATATTTGATAGTTTAAAATATATATATTTTAATATAATATCTCAAAAATTAATATAGTAAAGGAGGAAAACAGGAAAATGATCAGCAATAAAAATGGTATCTTTTTTCAGTATATTTTTGGATAATAGGGGTGATTTGTTATTGTTGTTTAATGTGCACAAAGGTGCATGTGTTGTGTCCCTTATTCAAAATGCTTGGAACCAGAAGTGCTTTGAATTTTGAATTTCAAAAATTTTTGCAATATTTGCCTATACATAATAAGACCCAAGTTTAAACATAAAATTCATTTATATTTTATAAACACCTTATATACATACTCTGAAAGTAATTTTATATAATATTTTAAATAATTTTGTTCATGAAAAGAAATTTGTGGTAAGTACGTGTTGAATTTTCCTCTGGGGTGGTCATGTTAGTGCTCAAAAATGATTTAGGGATGCTAAAACTTTATTATTTAGTTAACATAGTGCCAAATTATTCACAGATCTCCCATTTTGCATCTGTAGCTATATTTTATCTGTCATAATTAATGAAGCTCCACATGAATTTGCAGCCTTTTTGTAAATTATTAGAAATGATATATGATTCATGCATACATTCTTTAAGAAGCCTGTCACCTTTAATCAAGTTCATCATATTTCACAAGTCTATGACCTTGTGAATTTCATCTACTTTTTTTATTTCTTCATGCCTCATTTGAATAATCATCTATCAAACTAAATAGACACAATTGCATCCATAAAATTTACAAACATTCATCAGACTATGAAGAAAGGTCTGTTTTTAAGTAAAGAGGCACTTTTCCTTACTGGTTACATGCCTAAATGCATTGACTTGATTCTGAATACCATCACTGGGCACTAATGACCACATGTACTTGGAGATGCAGTGCAAAGAAGTCACAGAGTAGATGCAAAATATTTGAACCAAAAATAAAGTTGAATTAAATATGTTATTAAGAAGTCAAACAGTGAAAAATAGTGACTTGTAATCATAAAGATATGGACATGAAATTTGAAAATAATCATTGATTTTTATTCACTAGATGAGCAATCTTCTTTGGAATTCTGTAGGAGACAGGATACAGTTTAAATAAATATAATTTTAAAATTATAATTATTGATCAAAGATGAAAACATTTTTCTTAATCTTCGTTATATCTTTCGGGAATGACAGAACAATTCCTAAGAGGAGTTGGTCTAATTTTCTAAGATCTAAACTTTAAAATTATAATATATCAGTAAATGAAGATAATTACAAATTGTGGGCTAAATATGCAGCTTGCTCAATTAAATTTGTTATTTTCATGTGACTAAAGGATGAACCGTGAACACAGGTTTTTCATTTTATAGTGTCATAAAGAAGGCATATGAGTAGAGATAGAACCAACTCAGCACCCCAAACATGCACAGAAAAAAAAAAGGGAAAAGCCTTGTGTTTCCGTTAAATCTTGGATATTTTATACCTGTGTGGCATTGGTAAAGTACATTGGTTGCTCTGAAATTCATTTTCCTCACTTGTAAAATTTGTCAGTGATATCAGCAACATGGAGAATTAGGAAGCCCTGGGTTTCCTCATCCCACAGGCACACGAGTTTAGTAATATACAGAAAATCCTTTTTGTAAGAAATTCAGAGACCAATTAAGAGGCTCATGCTCTGTGAGCAAGTGTGAAACCAACCACCAAAACTGGTAGGAAAATTTGTAAAGTTATCTCACTATAACTTTCCCCTCAGTACATTGCCAAACAATTGCCAATTATTTGGCAATTGCCAAATTGGGAGAAAACTCCTGGCTCTCAGTCTTCTTGGGGAGGGAAGGAGAGAACTAGACTGTAAGTTCAATATTTTGACTCTTGGGAGACTGACCAAGAGACTGGTTTCTGTCTTGCCTGAATCTGAGAGCTAACAGAAAAGGGCCCCTATTGGGAACTGCTGAGAGCCAAGGTGGTGATTTACCAGTATGCACTCACTGGCCATTGCTCATTCTGCCAACTCAGCATAACAGGATCAGGAAAATTATCAGGCCCCAGATTCTCCTCAGGTAGATAAATATGAGACTGAAATATAAGCCCAGTGTTCATACATATGGTGATGGGGAGATTATCTGAGATACGCTACATGACTGGGGGTCACTGAAAACAAAAAATAGAGTCGGATGGTGTACAGCTGCTCCAGAAGACCCCTGGCACAACAGACAAATACTGGAGAGAATAAGAGATTACAGAGTTTTGAAAAAGAAAGGTAATAAATCCCTATAGGATATTACATGCACAAATCTGGAGAAGACACATCCAAAGAAAAAAATTGAGAGGCCTCTAGAATCTCTAGCCAGGTTGATTGATGTCTTTCATTTTACAAATTCAGTCCTTAAAGACTCGGAGAGGAAAGTTCTTTTTCAAACATATGAATCCCGCAAAAATCTGTCATGAATCATGAAGAATCGGAAAAATGTTTTTTTAATGAACACAATAGACTTCCAGATGTTGACCCTAAAAAAATGGAGATATGTGAATTTCCTGACAAGGAATGCAAAATGATCATCATAAAGATGTCAGTGATCTCAGAACAATAATGTGTGAACAAAATGAGAATTTCAACAAGAAATTAAAGGCACAGTGAAATGGAAAGACCTCCCATATTTATATATCAGAAGAATTAATATAAGTAAAACATCCCTACCATCCAAAACAACCCACATATTAAATTAATCTTTATTAAATTAAATAATCCCTATTAAAAGTCAACTAATATTTTTACATAGAAATATAAAATATATCCATAAAATTTATATGGAACCACAAAAGACCCAGAATAGCCATAAAAATCTAGAAAAAGTGAATGTAGCTGGAGAGCTCATACTTCCTGATTCCAAAACATATTATATAACTACAGTAATTGAATTAGTATGGTACTGGCATAAAGACAGAGTAATGAAACAGAATAGAGAGACTAGAAATAAGGCCACACATATACAGTTAATCGATTTTTAACAATGGTAAAAATAATACACAATAAAGAAAGGACAGTTTCTTCAAACACTGTTGTGAAGACTGGATATCCATATTCTAAAGAATAAAATTGGACTTTCATCTTACCATACACAAAAATCAACTCATGAAAAAACTTTAACATAAGACCTAAAACTCTAAAATTTCTAAAAGAAAACATGAGAAGAGAGAATCATGACATTGGACTTGACAATCATTTCTTGGCTAGGTGTCAAAAGCATAGGCAACAAAAGCAAAAACAGAGAAGTGGGGCTACATCACACTAAAAAGTTCTGCACAGTAAAAGAATAATGAACAGAGTGAAAAACTATGTATAGAATTGGAGAAAATATTTGTAAACTCAAAAGGATTTAATCTCCAAAATATATAAGAAACTCCTATATCTACATTTTAAAAACCCTAATAACCTGATTTAAAAAATTAACAAAGGGCTTGAATATTCATTTATTCAAAGACGACATACAAATATCCAAAAAGTATATAAGAAGAGGCGCACCATCACTAATTACCAGAGATATGCAAATCCAAACCACAATGAAGTATCACCTCACACCTAATAGGATGGTAATTACCGAAAAGCAAACAACAAACCAGTGTTGGCAAAGATGTGGAGTAACTGAAACATTTTCGCACTATTTGTGGGAATATAAAATGGTACAGTTGCTATGGAATACAATATGGAAATTCCTCAAAAAATTAAAAGTATAACTACCATACGATCCAGCAAGCCTGCTTCTGGATATATATCCAAAACAATTGAAATCAGGATCTCAAAGAGATATTTGCACATCCACATTTATTTGTAATATTATTCACAGTAGCAAAGTTGTGGAAGCAAAGTAAATGGTCATTGATTGATGAATCAATAAAGGAGGTTTGGTATATTTTTCAGCATTAAAAAGAAAGTAAACCATGTTATATGCAACCATGAGTTAAAATGTACTCATAATGTACTCAGTAGATTAACCTTGAGTACATTATGCTAAGTGTAATAGTCACAGAATGACGAATAGTGCGTGATATCACATATATGAACTATTTAAAGTAGTCAAACTCATAGTGGCAGAATGCAGAATGCTGGTTTCTACAGGATAAGAGGAGAGGAAAAGAGGGGGTTGCTGTACAATGGTTTTATACAAAAATATATACAAGCAGTTATACAGTATAAAACATTTCTAGAGATCTGCTGTGTAACTAGTGCTTATAATTAACAATACTGTACAATTCACTTAAAAGTTTGTTAAGAAGGTAGACCTCATGTTATGCTTTTTATCACAATTAAAAATAAGTGACATTTAACTAATTATAAATATTACATGAGATAGTGAAACATTTTTAACACATGAATGTTGCACACAATACAACATTACATAATAAAAGAAGTAATCAAAATTATTATCTCCCTAATTACTATAATTAGTACTACAAAAATATTAGGCACATAGTGTATTAAGGATAAGTGATTTTATATACACAGACAGACATATACAGAAATACATACACATAGGTATAAATGTATGTATATATAATTGAAAACAAATTATTACAATGCATTAAGAGGGTTACACTACCTATAACTTTCAAACGTAAGCTTTTTTTAATTCAGACACTCATATTGTAATATTGTGAATTTGAAACTACTACAAAGAAAAGTAAAAGAATTGATTTTGCCTACAAAGTTATAATAATAGAAATTTGATTGGAGGCACTGAATTATGATGTCAAATATAACACAGTCAAATATAACATGATTATCCAACAATTACAACATTTTAATGTAATTTCAATTAGACATAACTTCAAAATTATCTCTTCAGAAAATAACAAAAAATTTAGTTGGAACATTAAAATTAGTGTAAGTATCTAATGGATGTATTCAAAAAGTTGAAAATATTTTTTCATACATAAAACTGAAGTTAATAAATATAACTCACAAAAATCAGTGATAATTATGATAATTCAAAGTAATGCTTTATAATTGGAAGCATTATATATTTATATATTCTGCAACTACTATACAATCAGTAAACTTTTAATCTTAAAGGAAGTTAACAAGCAAAAATCTTTTGCTCTTTTTCCTTTCCTTCCTTCCTTCCTTCCTTCCTTCCTACCTTCCTTCCTTCGCTCCTCCTCCTCTTCTTCTTTCTTTCTTCTTTTTCTTTCTTTCCTTTCTTTCCTTTCTTTCTTTTTCTCTTCCTCTTTTCTTTCTTTCTCTTTCTTTCCCTCTTTCTTTTCTTCCCTTTCTCCCTTCCTCCCTTCCTTCTTTCTTTTCTTTTCATTTCATTTCTTCTTGTTTTTGTTATTAGTTCAAAAGGGTAAGACAAATGTTCAGGCTGTTTTTATCTCTAATAGCTTTATTTTTTATTTTTAATGTATGTGTGTACATAGTAGGTAAGTATATACATGGGGTACATGAGATATTTTGATACAGGCATACAATGTATAATAATCAAATCAGGGTAAATGAGGGTATCTATCACCTAAAGCATTTATAATTTCTTTATGTTACAGATATTTCCATTAAAGTCTTTTAGTTATTTTTAAATGTACTATAAATTATAGATGACTGTAGCCACCTTGTTATGCTATTAAATACTAGATCTTATTAATTCCATCTAACTATGTTTTTATACCCATTAACCACCCCACTTCCTCCCCCCAGCTATGCTTCCCAGCCTGTGGTAAATTTCATTCTACTCTCTAGTTCCATGAGTTTAGTTATTTCAATTTTTAGCTCCCACAAATGAATGAGAACATGTGAAGTATATCTTTCTTTGTCTGACTTACATCATTTAATATAACATCCTCCAGTTCTATCCATGTTGTTGCAAATGACAGGATCTCATTCTTTTTGTGGCTGAATAACATTCTATTGTTTATATGTACCAAATTTTCTTTATCCATTCATCTCTTGATAGACACAAAAGTTGATTCCACATCTTGGCTATTGTGAATAGTGCTACAATAAACGTGGGGTACAGAAGGCTCTTTGATATACTAATTTCCTTTATTTGGTGTACATATCTAGCAGTAGAATTGCTGGATCATATGATACTTCTACTTTTAGTTTTTGAGAAACCTCCAAGCTGTTCTCTATAGCAGCTGAGCTAATTTACATATTCACCAACAGTAAATGAGGGTTCTCTGCTCTCCACATTCTTGCCAGCATTCGTTATTGCCTGTCTTTTGAATAAAAGCCATCCATTTTAACTGAGGTGAGATCATATATCATTTTAGTTTTGAGTTGCAATTCTCTAAAAATCAATGATGTTGAGCACCGTTTCAAATACCTGTTTGCCATTTGTATATCTTCTTTTCAGAAATGTCTATTAAGATCTTTTGCTCATTTTTAAATCAGGTTATTAGATTTTTTTCTATTGATTTGTTTGAGCTCCTTGTATATTCTGGTTATTAATATCTTGTCAGATGAATAGTTTGCATACATTTTCTTCCATTTTGTGGATTGTCTCTTCACTTTGTTGATTTTTTTGTTTTGCTGTGCAGAAGCTTTTTAAATTGACGTGATCCCATTTGTTCATTTTTACTTTGGTTGCTGTGCTTTTGAGCATTGCTCAATAAAACTTTGCATAGACTAATACCTGGAGAGTTTCCCCAATGTTTACATGGAGTAGTTTCACAGTTTGAGGTCTTAGATTTCAGTCTTTAATCCATTGTTATTTGATTTTTGCATATGATGGGAGATAGGAGTCTAGTTTTATTTTTCTGTGTATGGATATTCAATTTTCCCAGCACCATTTATTGAAGAGAATGCCCTATCCCCAATGTGTGTTCTTGGCACCTTTGTCAAAAATGAGCTCGCTGCAGATGGATTTCTTGCCACGTCCTCTATTTTCTCCCATTGGTCTATGTGCCTGTTTTTATGCCAATACCATGCTGTTTTGGTTACTATAGCTCTCTAGTATAATTTGAATTCAAGTAATATGATTCATCCAGGTTTATCCTCTAAAAAATATAGAAACAAGGTCTTGCTCTGTCACCAAGGCTGGCATGCAGTAGCGTGATCATAGCTCACTGCAACCTTTAACTCCTGGACTTAAGCAATCCTCCCACTTCAGCCTTCCCAGTAGCTGGGGCTACAAGTGTGTGCCATCAGATATGGCAATTTTTTATTCTTTTGCTCAGAATGTCTTTGGCTATTTTGAGTCATTTGTGATTCCATATAAATTTTAGAATTATTTTTAATATTTATGTAAATAATATTATTGATATTTTGATGGGGATTGCATTGAGTCTATAGATTTCTTTGGATAGTATAGACATTTTAACCATATTGATTCTTCCAATCTATGAACATAGAATATCTTTCTTTTCTTTTTTGGTTTCCTCTTTAATTTCTTGCAACAGTGTTTCATAGTTTCTGTTGTAGAGATTTTTCACGTCTTTGGTAAGTTTATTCCTATGTATGTTATTTTATTTCTAGTTATTTTAAATGAGATTACTTCTTTATTTCTTTTTCAGATAGCTCACTGTTAGCATATAGAAATGCTACTGATTTTATGTGTTGATTTTGTATCTGCAACTTTACTGAATTTATCTGTTCTAATAGTTTTTTGGTGGAGTCTTTAGGTTTTTTACAAATATAAGATTATATCATCTGCAAACAAGGATAATTTGACTTATTTCTTTCTAATTTGGATATCCTTTTTTTCCTTCTGATTGCTGTAGCTGGAAGTTCCAGTACTATGTTGAATAACAGTGGTAATAGTGGGCACCCTTGTCATGTTCCATATCTGAGACGAAAGGCTTTCAGTTTTTTCATATTCAGTGTGATACTAGCTGTGGGTCTCTCATATATGGCTTTTATTGTTTTCAGGTAGGCTTCTTCTATACCCAGTTTTTGAGGCTTTTCATTGTGAAGGAGTGTATGCTTTTTCATCATCAGTTGTAGTATGTTTTTTGTTCTTCATTCTGTTGATATGATGTATCACATCGAATGATTTTCATATGATGAAATATCCTTGCATCCCACTGAGTCAATAATAAATAATCTACTTCTTTTTTTTCTTTTTTTTTTGTGACGGAGTCTCACTCTGTCGCCCAGCCAGAGTGCAGTGGCGCAATCTCAGCTCACTGCAACCTCCGTCTCCCGGGTTCAAGCAATTCTCCTGCCTCAGCCTCCTGAGTAGCTGGGACTACAAACGTGTGCCAGCATGCTCAGCTAATTGTGTGTGTGTGTGTGTGTGTGTGTGTGTGTGTGTGTATTTTTAGTAGAGATGGGGTTTCACCATGTTGGCCAGGATGGTCTCAATCTCCTGACCTCATGATCCACCTCCTAAAGTTCTGGGATTACAGGCCCGAGCCACCATGCCTGGCCAAATGATCTTTTAAATGTGTCGTGAATTCATTTTGCCTAGTGTTTTGTTGAGGATTTTTGCATCAATGTTCATCAGAGATACTGGCCTGTAGTTTTCTTCTCTTTATGTGTCTGTGTGTGGTTTTGGTATCAGAGTAATATTGGCATCATAGAATGAATTTGGAAGTTTCTCTCTTCCTCTATGTTTCAGAATAATTTCAGTAGGATTGCTGTTAGTTCTCCTTTAAATGGTAAAATTCAGCAGTGAAGTCATCAGGTCCCAGGCTTTTGTTTGCTGGGTGACGTTTTATTATGGCTTTTATCTTGCTCCTAGTTATTGGGCTATTCAGGTTTTGGATTTCTTCATGATTCAATGTTTGTTGGTTGTGTGTGTTTCAAAATTTGTTCATTTCTTTTAGGTTTTTCAATTTATTGGCATGTAATTACTCATAGTAGTCTCTCATGATCCTTTGAATTTCTGCAGTATTGGTTGTAGTATCTCCTTTTTCATCTTTAATTTTATTTCTTTAAATATTTGCTCTTTTTTAATCAGTTACTGTGGCTAAAAATGTGTCAATTTTACTTATCTAAAAACAACAACCTTTCATTTCATTGATCTTTTGAATTTTTTAAATTTTCATTTCATTTATTTCTGCTCTGATCCTTATTCTTTCTATTCTTTTACTAATTTTGAATTTAGTTTGCTCTTGCTTTTCTAGTACTTTAAGATGCATCATTAGGTTGTTCATTTGAAGTTTTTGTACTTGTTTGATGTAAGCACTTACTGCTCTAAACTTTCCACTTAGTACTGGTTTTGTTATAACCTATAGGTTTGGTATGTTGGATTTTCATGTTCATTTGTTTCAAGAAAATTTTCAATTTTCTCCTTAATTTCTTCATTGACCCACTGGTCATTCAGGAGCATATTGTTTAATTTCCATGTGTTTGTATAGTTTCCAAAGTTCTTGTTATTGATTTCTAGTTTTATTCCACAGTGATCAGAGAAAATTCTTGATATGATTTTCAAATTTTGTGAATTTTTAAGACTTGTTTTGTGGTATGATCTGTCTTAGAGAATGATCCATGTCCTGAGGAGAATAATGTGTACCCTGCAGCCATTGGATGAAATGTTCTGTAATATCCATTAGTTCCATTCGTCCTATAGTGCAAATTAAATCTGATTTTTTCTTTTTGCTGATTTTCTCTCTGGGTTATATTTCCAATGCTAAAAGTGATGTGTTGAAGTCTCCAGCTATTATTGTAATGAGGTCTATCTCTCTTTTCAGCTCTAATATTTGCTTTATATATCTTGGTGCTTCAATGTTGGGTGCATATGTATTATAATTGTTACATCCTCTTGCTGAATTGAGCCTTTTATTATTATATAATTATCTTCTTTATATCTTTTTATAGTTTTTGTCTCAAAATCTAATTTGTCTGATATAATTATAGCTACTCTTGCTCTTAATTTCTGCTCTGTTTCCATTTGCATGAAATATCTTTTTCCAACTCTTTATTTTCACTCTATGTACAGCTTTGTAGGTGAAGTGTTTCTAGTAGGCAACAAATAGTTGGATCTTGGTTTCTGTTTTTTGTTTTGTTTTGTTTTTAATCCATTCAGCCCCTCTGTTTTCTTGTTGTTTTGTGGTCTTTCTTTCTTCCTTTCTTGTAAGAAAAGTCTAGTGTCGGTGATATCCCTCAGCTTGTGTTTGTCTGGGGAAGTCTTTATTTCTCCTTCATGTTTGAAGGATATTTTAGCTGGATAAAAATACAAGGAAAAAAAAGTTTTTTTCCCCTTTGGCACTTTAAATATACCATGCCATTTTTTTTCTGTCGTGTAAGATTTGCACTGTGAAGTGAGCTGCTAGATGTATTGGAGCTTCTTTTCATGTTGCTTGTTTTTTTTTCTATTGTTGCCTTTAGTATCCATTCTTTATCCTTGATTTGGGGGAGATTATTATTAAATGTCTTGAGGTATTCTTATTTGAGTTAAATCTGCTTGGTGTTGTATAACCTTCTTGTACTTGGATATTGATATCTTTCTCTAAGTTTGGAAAGTTTTTTGTTATCACCTCTTTGAATAAACTTTCTCTCCTGATTTTTCAATTTACCTCCTCTTTAGGGCCAGTAACTGAGATTTGCCATTTTAAGGCTATTTTCTAGATCTCTGTAAGTGTGCTTCATTCCTATTTATTCTGTTTTCTTTTGATCCTTTTGCCTGTATATTTCCAAATAGCGTTTCTTCAATCTCACTAATTCTTTATTCTGCTTGATCCACTCTGCTGTTGAGAGACTCTGACATATTCCTCAATAAAATTTTTCAGCTCCAGAATTTCTGCCTGATTTTAAAATTATTTCAACCTCATTGTTAAAATGATCTGATAAGATTCTGAATTCCTTCTCTGTGTTTTCTTTAATTTAGTTAAACTTCCCCAAAACAGCTATTTTAAATTGTCTCTCTGAAAGGTCATCTATCTCTGTCACTCTGGGATTGGTCACCAGTTACCTATTTAGTTCACTTGGTGAGGTATGTTTTCCTGGATGGTCTTGATGCTTGTGAATGTTTGTCAATGTCTGGGCATTGAAAAGTTAGTTACATATTCTAATCAGAGTCTGGGCTTGTTTGTCCCCATATTCTTGAGAAAGCTTTCCAGATATTCAAAGGGAATTGAGTATTGTGGTCTAGCTTTTTGGTCACTGCACCTGTATTTTCATTAGGGGGCACCACAAGCCCAGTAACACCGTGACTCCTTGAAGTGATGCCATGGTGGTGTTGGGTAAGGTCTAGAATTTCCTGGATTATAATGCAGTCTCTTGTTCTCTTCCCTTACTTTCCCCCAAACAAACACTGTCTTTTTCCATGTCTAGCTGCCTAGAATTGAGGAGAGGTACATCTTAAGCCAGCACAGTACTGAGTCTTGCCCAAGGCTTGTAGAAACCATTTCCTGGCTACAGATGATGTTTACACAAGACCGTAGGGTTCTTTAGTCAGCAGATGATGAATCCTCCCAGGAATAGGTTTTTCCTTCAGGGCAACAGGTTCCCTTCTGACCCAGGGTGGATCTAGAAATGTTGTCCAAGAACTAGGGCCTGGAATCAGGACTTTAGGAATCTGTTTGGTGTTTATTTTGCTATGGCTCAGCTGGTACTGAATTTACATGATGAAGTCCTCTTTATTTTTCACTATCCTTTCTTCAGGCAGAAGTCTCCTCATGGCCATTATTACCTCACGCCTATGGCAACTATGGCTACCACTGATGCTTATACAAAGCCTTAGGGCTCTTTTGTCAGCAGGAGATGACTTCTGCAAAGAGTGCATTTTTTCCTTCGTGACAGAAGGTTCCCTCTGGCCCAGGGTGGGACTAGAAATATCATCCATAAGCATACTGGAATGGGAACTTCAGGACTCTGCTCGATGCTTTATTTTACCATGATTAAACTGGTATTGAAGTTGCAAGACAAATATCCTCTTTACTGTCTCATCTCCTCTCCCACAGTGGAAGAAAGGAGTCTCTCCCAGAGCAACTCCAGACCATATGGAGGTAGAGGATGGGTGACACAGCACTCCCCAGCGGGTGTCCCACTGCATGTGTTCACCCCAAGTCCACTGGCTCTGAGCCCAGTATAGCAGCAGGAATTGCCTAGGAATTGCAGTCCTTGTGGCCCAGACTTTCAAGTTTATTTGGGACCCCAGTTTACTTGACCCTACTGTGGTGAGGCTAGCTGGAACTCAGGTTCCAACCTCTAGGATGGATGATTCCCCTCTGGTCAGGGCTAGTTTAAATGCTCCCTCTGTGGCCACTGGGTGAATTCTACCCTCTGTTGCTTTCTTCTCTGACTTAGCAGTGCTGAGTTCCAATGCAAAGTCCTATAATCACTTCACTCTCTCTTCCCCAAGCACACTGATTCTCTTCCCCTGCTGTGTGGAACTTTTGGAGAATGGGAGAGGGGTGGTTGTAGAAAATTTGAAATTTTCTTTTCTATGCTCTTCACTGCCTTTTTCCTTGATATGACGCTATAAGGTGAGTGCGAAAGTATTGCATTTTTTGCATTGTTGGAATTTGATATTGGAATATGTATGTAAGTAAATGTGTTTATGGTATACATCATCTTAATGGGCACTTCTTGCTTTATTTATTTGCTAATGACTTTTTATTTGCTGTTTATTTTATGTTTATTGTAGACTATGGAAATGATTTGAGACAAAAAGCAAAGTCAAGCTATTTTCTTACTCGAGTTCAAAATGGGTCATAAAGCACCAGAGACAACTTTCAACATCAACAACACTTTTGTTAATAGATCAGATTAGATTAATAATTGCTACCCATAAACATTTTATAACATCAAACGTGTCATTTTCATTATTTTCTTACCTTTTTAATATGAAATAATTTCAAACTTAGAAGAAAATTTTCAAGAATAAGACAGAGAACACTAAAATATTCAACACCCCTTCCTTTCTATTGCTAACATTTTACCACATTTGCATTATCATATTTTTCCTCACTAAGGATGATTGATAAATGGGTGGAAGAATAAGCAGGCATAACATATTTTTTCTAGATCAATTAAATTTAAGTTGAGGTCGTGCAGTCATGATTCCCTCTTGCCCTAAAGTTTTCTAGGTCTCTGCTGGGAAGATCAGCTCTGTACCCTACAGCGGCTTCCTACTTACACCTGTTTAGAATCACAATTTTAATTTCCTCTTTTTTTTCTTCATGTGTCTCTCTTTTTTCCTTCTTTGTTTCTTCAAGAAGATCAATAGTTAGCTAGAATACTTTGAAAAGTATAATATAACCACAAAATTTAGGAAATTAATATTCCTCATAATACTACTCATCTAATCTATAAATCCCATTAATGTTTTACCCACTATTCCGATAAAGAACTCAGCTAAAACATCCAGGACTACACCTAATATTTATTTGTCATGTCTTCTTAGTCACCTTCAATCTGCAACAATTCCTCAGTCTTATCTTTGATGATCATAGTATTTTTAAAGACTTTAAGCTTCCATTTTGTTGAGTATCTTTATGGTTATCTGATACATCTCTTCTTCCTCCCCTGCTTAGATTGTAGTTAAACATTAAGGACAAAAATATCACAGAAGTGATACTATATTCTCATTATATCTTACCAGGTGGTACAAGATTTTGATTTCTTTGACTATTGGTGATGTTAATTTTGGTCATATGGTTAAAGTGGCATCTGCCAAATTTCTCCTGTTGCTATTTTCAAATCAATGTATCTGAGTAATGTATCTAATTAATACGTCTTTTGTGGAAAGATTCTTTGATACTAAAGTCCGATTTCTTGTTACTTTTCACCCAATAATTATAACATCAATTGATGATTTTTCTCTGGTCAATTGTAACGGTTATTATTGCCAAATGGTGACTCTCTAATTTCATCAGTTCTTATGCATTTACCACCTGGCATTCCACATTAAGGAAGAATTATTTTTTTCTCTCACATTTACTCATATATTTATTTATATCAGTATAACCTCATGAATTCTACTTTATTTATTAAGGTATAGTCTGCCATTACTATTACATATATTGATATTCAAATCGTCCCATATTTTGTAGGTACATCCTAGACAAGTTGGCTTTTATCTTGTTTTAACATGCCTGCATCATTCCTCAGGCACCTTTTTAGGTTCTGGACACACTCACACCCACATATCTTTGTCTATTTATATTTTAGTTGTTCCTTTTTATTTTCGTAGCCCAAACATAAATTCTTCAAAGCCTAGGATATTGCCTCTTTATGCTTTTTTGTTTATCTCAGATACTTCACTTGCCAGCTATGGACACTTAGCACATAATAACTGATTTCTCAGCTTTGCTGAAGTGACTTTCCTGACAGAGAAGAGAACAAAGCTCTAGTTCTACATCCAGACTATTTTTGGTCTCACTTTTGATGCTGAACTCACTACTAGTAGTGCAGAGATGCCAGTGAACAGAGAAAGATGTGGGTGGTAGCATTTAAAAATATACACTACTGTTCACATAACTTACTTCTTTTCTTACTATTGGGAAGAAAATAAAAAGGTAATGTGAAAGTAGAAACTAGCAGTTAGATACATCCTGTTTTTTTAAGTCAGTTTGACCTTAGAAAAATTTAGCCACTTAAAACTTCTGAACTTCTTATTTCCTATCTATATATTTATAAATAGGAAAGTTTTACTGATCTCTTCCAACTTCAAAATTCAGTAAGTCAAAACTTGTCCAAAATATTGTTTCATCTTTGAGTAAGGCTGTCAGGAATCACAAAAAACATAGATGCATCAGGGATTTTCAGATTCAGAAATAAAAGTTGACATGTCAGTCACAGGGAACAGACAAAGCCAGTGACAGTGTCTGAGGACTTATGAGCCATGTGTCATCTGTGGGGTTTACATAAAGCTGTCCATGCTAAATCTTTAATAAAAGTCTGTCTCACAGCATGGAATCAAATTTCCAATTGGTGAATATTTAAACAAATTTCCTATAATACTTTATGTGAGCAAATCTTATATTCTTATTAATGGTCTAGAAGGACTTGACATTGTATATCATCAAGTTATAATCAATAAATATCTCAATAATATTTTCATATTTTTGTTAAATTTTTGTTAAATATTTATTTTCAAAATTTTGTTATCTAATATAAGATAAACACAAAGCACAGCTGTGGATTTTTTTTCAATGTAAACCCCAAAATTTCACAAGCTGTGAATGGCTAATTTTAAACATTCATAATATATGTTTTTCTGTAATAACATATTCCAACATACTGTATTTTTCTAACTTTAAAACAACTGCTTTGACAAGTTTATATAGATTTCTTTATAAACGTCTCTCTACTTCTTTAACATGAAGTAGATGTAGTATGTATTTCTTTAACATGAAGTAGATAGACATTTATATTATATCCAAAATTCACTAAGAATTCATATTTTATTTTTCAACATTTCTTTTGTTTACAATCAGAATTTGTTAAAAAATATTACTGTGAAATTTACAAAATAAAAACTGGAAACAAATTAAAAAGCTAATATACAACTAAAGGTCAAATGATTTTAAAATGACTATCTATTATGACAACTATTTCATTTTAAAATGTTGTTATATGAAACACAAACTGAAAATATTTTACAACATATTATATTTTCCTGTGAAGAAAATGTCTATTAGAACAGTATTTGTTTTCTCCTTAAATAAAGAATAAAAAAAATTTTATTCTACTCTGTCAAATATTCCTTGATTTCACTTCTAGAAAGATGATTCCCTTTGGTGTAGATTTCTCAACTTACTCACTCATGAAGAGTTGGATTTCCAAACTGCAGTCAATTGACCTGGGATTTGGAGTTGACCTTTAACAGTACAATAGTATAAGCTTCAACAATTTTTCTTCATTGACAGATTAGAGTTCTCTAATGCTGTTTTCATATAACAATATTTCATTACAAGTTTTATTTCATTTTTAACATTCAAAAATCAAGAAAATTAATAAAACAGTTGATTTATTTATAACATTAAATAAAGCAACCAAATAAGTTTAGTGAACTAGGGCTGTATACATGTGGGCCTTATTTATTTGACATATATCTAATTTATTCTTTTAACTAAGTTTTGTGATCCATGTCCCTAAACTTAGGCATTTTGTACATACTATTTTAGTTTTCAAAGACGATTCTCCTCCTTTTTCTGCCACCGTAAAACAGTTGTGTTTTTGTTTTTGTTTTTTATTTTGGGATGGAGTCTCGCTCTGTCACCCAGGCTGGAGTGCAGTGGTGCGATCTCGGCTCACTGCAACCTCTGCCTCCCAGGTTCAAGCAATTCTCTGCCTCAGCCTCCAGAGTGGCTGGGATTAGAGATGCCTGCCACCACGCCTGGCTAATTTTTTTTGTATTTTTAGTAGAGACAGGGTTTCACCATCTTGGCCAGGCTGGTCTTGAACACCTGACCTCGTGATCCACTCACCTCGGCCTCCCAAAGTGCTGGGATTACAGACCTGAGCCACTGCACCAAGCCAAAACAGTTTTTATAAAATACTTTCCAGTTTTATAAATTAATATTCTTTATTGTCAGCATATGTATGCATTCCAAGAACATAGCATTTTTTTTAGTCACATAACAGTAAGTAGAATTTTCTCAGAATAAAGCTCTTTATTGTAACAGTAAAATTTCTCTAATTTTTGTAATATATTTCATTTACTTTGAGGAATATTTAATAATTCAACATGTGCTAAGCCTGACCATTGCTGGAAGGTAAACCTTAAAAGAAACCACTTCTTGTGTATACTTTTTAAAGTTCATCAAATACTTTTAGCCCAACATGTACCTCCATGCAAGTAGTGTTTTCCAAACAGAGAAAATTATTTTGCCTATGCATAGTTGTGGAAAAATTCTATGAAAGTTTTATATATATATATATAGAGAGAATTTACACTATATATATATAAAATTTACACTATATATATATATACACACATATATATATAGTGTAAATTCTAAAGTTACACATCATCCCATTAAACTTTGCCCCTCGGCAATCATCGTAACTGGTAATTCATTAACAGAAATTAACAGTATAAAGCAAATATTGAAGCTGAGTTGAAATAATAAGAATCAAAGAAACAATCAGTGTAAATATAGATGGGAAAGCTAATGGGAAAAAAAGCGTTTTCCCTTAACTTGGCAATTTTGTTGCACCATAATCCTTACTTTTATTAGTAAATTGAAAATATTATGTTTCCAGACAAATACAATAGATATTGGATTTTCTATTTGACCTATGCATGCTGTTTTGCATGTTAAAGTTTCCCTGGCTTAACCATGACAAGAGCATTAACCTCTGGGTAAATCCTCCAGTCTTCTGGATGGTATGATATATGTTACATCAATGGACCTCATGGTCATGGATCCACTCCCACCCCATGGTGTTTCTTCATTCTTATGTTGCTTCTGCTTTAGCTGTCATTTATAAAACTATATATATATATATATATATATATATATATATAGTGGATATACATAAAACTATATATATATATAGTGGATATATATAAAACTATATATATATACACACACACACACACACACACACACATAAAAGAAAGCCCACTTGATTGTGATTAATTAACTTTTTGATATGTTGCTGGATTTGGTTTGCTAGAATTGTGTATGTATAACTGTGTGTGTGTGTGTGTGTGTGTGTGTGTATATATATATAGTTTTTGTTCTTTTTCTACTTTTATTTTAGGTTCTGGGGATAGATGGGCAGGTTTGTTACATGGGTAAATTGAGTGTCACTGAAGCTTAGGGTACGAATGATCCTGTCATCCAGGTAGAGAACACAGTACCCGATAGGTAGCCTTACAACCTATACCCCCATTACTCTCCCCTCTCAAGGGGACAGTTCCCAGTGTTTGTTGTTCCCATCTTTGCGTCCATGTGTATTCAGTGTTTAGTTTCCACATTTTAGTGAGTATATACAGCATTTAGTTTTCTGTTTCTGCATTAGTTTGTTTAAGATAATGACCTCCAGCTGCTTCCATGTTGCTGCAAAGGACATGATTTTGTTCTTTTTTACGGCTGTGTAGTATTCCATGATGTCTATGTATCAGATCTTCTTTGTCCAGTCTACTACTGATTGGCAAATGATTTATCCCATGTCTTTGCTGTTGTGAATAGTGCAGACTGAACATATGTGTACATGTGTCTTTTTGGCATAATAATCTATTTTTCCTTGGGTATACACCCAGTAATAGGATTGCTGGATTGAATGGTAGTTCTAATTAACTTATTTGAGAAATTTCTCAAGTATTTTGCATAGTGGCTGAACTAATTTACATTCTGCCCAAAGATAGTATCTTATTGTGGTTTTGATTTGCATTTCTCTAATGATTAGTGATACTGAGTATGTTTTCACATATTTGTTGGCCACATGTATGTCTTTTTGAGAAGTGTCTCCACATGTATTTTCCCTATGTTTTAATGAGGTTATTTGCTTTTTGGTTATGTATTTAAGTTCCTTATGGATATTAGATCTTTATCAGATACATAGACAGTGAATATTTTCTCCCACTCTGTAGGTTGTCTGTTTACTCTGTTGATAGCTCTTTTGCCATGCAGAAACTGTTTAATTTAATTAAGCCCCACTTGTCAATTTTTGTTTCTGTTCCAATTGCTTTTGGGTAGTCATAAATTATTTGCCAAATGCCAAAATGGTATTTGCTAGTTTTCCTTCTAGAGTTTTTATTGTTTTAGATCTTACATTTAAACCTTTAATCTAATATTGAGTTAATTTTTGTATATGGTGAAAGAAATGGCCTCGGATTCAATTTTTTTACATGTGGCTAGCCAGTTTTCCCAGAACCATTTATTGAAAATGGAGTCCGTTTCCTATTGTTTGTAATTGTTAACTTTATTGAAGATCAGGTGGTTTCAGATTTGTAGCTTTATTTCTGGGTTCTCTATCATGTTCCATTGGTCCACATGTTTATTTCTATACCAGCGCCATGCTGTTTTGGTTACTACAGCTTTGTAATATAGATTGAAGTTGGATAGTGTGATGCCTCTGGTTTCATTCTTATTGCTTAGTATTGCTTTGGCAATTTGGGCTCTTTATTGGTTTCATATGACTTTCAGTATAGTTTTTTTTTTAATTCTGTGAAAAATGACATCAGTAGTTTGATAGATATAGCATTGAATCTGTAAATTGCTTTGGGCAGTACAGTCATTTTCTCAATATTGATTCTTCCAATCCATGAGCATGGAATGTTTTTCTATTTCTTTGTGTCATCTCTGATTTCTTTCATTAGTGGTTTGTAATTCTTGTCAGAAATCTTTCACTTCCTTGGTAAGCTGTATTCCTAGCTATTTTATTCTTTTTGTGGCAATTGTAAACGGGATTGCTTTCTTGATTTGGCTCTCAGCTTGCATTTTATTGGTGAATAGAAATACAGCCAATTTCTGTACATTGACTTTTTATTCTGAAACTTTACTGAACTTGTTTATCAGATCTAAGAGCGTTCTGGCAGAGTCTATTAGGTTTTCTAGGTATAGAACCATCATCCATGAAGAGAGATAATTTGACTTCCTCCCTTCCTTTTTAAATGCCTTCCCTTTGTTTCTCTTGCCTGATTGCTCTGGCTAGGAATTCCAGTACTATGTTGAATAGAAGTGGTGAAAGTGGGCATCCTTGTCTTGTTCCAGTTCTCAATGGAAATGGTTCCAGCTTTTGCTTATCCACTATGATGGTGGCTGTGTGTTTGTTATAGATGGTACTTATTATTTTGAGATATGTTTATTTGATACCTATTTTGTTTAGTGTTTTTAACATGAACGGATCTTGAATTTTATCAAAAGCCTTTTCTGCCTCTATGAAGATGATCATATGTTTTTTTTAATTTTATGTATCCAATTTATTGATTTGCATATGCACAACCACCATTGCATCCCAGGAAGAAAGCCCACTTGATTGTGATTAATTGACTTTTTGATGTGTTGCTGGATTTGGTTTGCTAGAATTGTGTTCAGGAATTTTACATTTATGTTTATCAGACACACTGGCCTGAAGTTTTCTCTTTTCGTTGTGTCTCTGCCAGGTTTTGGTATTAGAATAATGCTGGCTTTGTAGAATGAATTAGCAAGGAGTCTCTCTTCTTCATTTTTTTGGAATAATTTTGGTAGTATTGGTACTAGCTCTTCTTTGTATGTTTGCTGTAATTTGGTTATGAATCCATCTGGCCCAGGGCTTTTTATGCTTAGCGGGCTTTTTATAATTATTACATTTCAGAACTTACTATTTATCTATTCAAAATTTTAATTTCTTCCTGGTTCAATCTTGGAAGGATGTGTGTTTCCAAAAGTTTATATATATCTTCTAGGTTCTCTAGTTACTGTGCATAGAGGTGTTAGTAATAGTCACTCTGGAGCTTTGGTATTTCTGTGGGGTTGATTGTAACATCACTTTTGTTGTTTCTGATTGTATTAATTTGGTTATTCTCTCTTTTTCTCTTTATTACCCTAGATAGCAATTCATCAATCTTCTTTAATATTTCAAAAAACTAACTTTTGCTTTTGTTGATCTTTTATATTGATTTTTGGATCTCAATTTCATTCAGCTTAGTTTTGATTTTCATTATTTCTTTTCTTCTGCTGGTGTTAGGCTTGGTTTGCTCTTGTTTTTCTAGTTACTGTAGATGTGATGTTTGATTTTTAATTTGTGATCTTTCCAGTTTCTTGATGTAGGTGTTTAGCACTATAAACTTTCTTCTTAACACTGTTTTAGCTGTGTCCCAAAGATTGTGGTATATTGTGTGGCTGTTTGCATTAGCTTCATTGTTTTTATGTATGCCTTAATTTCATTCTTTACCCAAAAGTCATTCAGGAAAAGTTGTCTGGTTTCCATGCAATTGTATGGTTTTGATAGATATTCTTGGCATTGATTTCTATTTTTATTGCACTGTGGACTGAGAATATAGTTTATATGATTTCAATTTCTCTGAATTTGTTGAAACTTGCTTTATGGTGGAGCATTTGGTCAATCTTATAGTATATGCTGTGTGCATATATGAAGAATGTATATTCTATTGTGTGGAGTGTTCTGTAGACGTCTATTAGGTCCAATTGGTCAAGTGTCAAATTTAAGTCCTGAATATCATGGTTAGTTTTCTGCTTCAATGATCTTCCTAATACCATCAGTGGGGTTTTCAAGTCCCCCAATGTTATTGTGTGGTTTTCTAAATCTCTTAATAGATGTTGAAAAACCAGTTTTATGTATACGTGTACTTGGATGATGGGTGCATATATATTTAGAATAGTTAAGTCTTTCTGTTGGATTGAATATTTTATAATTGTGTAATGCCCTCATTTGTTCTTTTTGATCATTATTGGTTTACAGTCTGTTTTATCTGACATGAAAATAGCAACCCCTAATTTTTTTGTTTTTCATTTGCCTAATAGATCTTTCTCTGTCCCTTTATTTTAAGTTGATAAAATAAACTCACAAGTTTATTTTATTTGTGAGTTGAGTCTCTTGAAGATAGCAGACAGCTGAGTCTTACTTCTTTATCCAACTTGCCACTCTGTGCCTTTTAAGTGGGGCCTTTATCCTGTTTACATTTAAGGTCAATAGTGATGTATGAAGATTTGATCCTGTCATCATGCTGTTAGCTGATTGTTATACAGACTTGATTGTATAGTTGGTTTGTAGTGTCAATGGGCTATGTACTTAAGTGTGTTTTTGTGGTGGCAGCTATTGTTCTTTTATTTCCATGTTTAGTACTCCTTTTAGCATCTCTTTTAAGGCAGGTAAAATGGTAATGAATTCACTTAGCATTTGCTTGTTTGAAAAGGATTTCATTTCTCCTTTGTTTACGAAGCTTAGTTTGGCTGAATATGAAGTCACTGGCTACAATTTCTTTTCTCTAGGGCTGTTGAAAATAGGCCCTCAATCTCTTCTGGCCTGTAAGGTTTCTGCTGAAATATCCATTGATAGCCTGATGGGCTTCCATTTTTATGTGACCTTCCCTTTCTCTGCAGCTATCTTTAACAACTTTTTCTTTAACATTGACCTTGGAAAATCTGACGACTATGTGTGTTGGGAATGGTTGTCTTATATAGTATCTCTCGGAATTTCTTGAATTTGCATGTCAACCTCTCTAGTGAGACTGGGAAATTTTTCATGGAATTTATCCTCAAACATTTTTGCCAGGTTGCTGTGTCTCTATCCTTCTCTTTCAGAAATGCCACTGGCCATAAGTTTGGTCTCTTTACATAATCCTATACTTCTTGGAAATTTTGTTTATTTATTTAAATTCTTTTTTCTTTATTTCTATCTGCCTCCGTTGCTTCAAAGAAGTAGTTTGCAAGCTCTGAGATTCTTTCCTCAGCATGGTCTATTCTGTAGTTAATGCTTCCAATTGTCTTTTGAAATTCCTGTAATGAATGTTCATTTCCAGAAGTTCATTTTGGTGCTTTCTTAAAATGGTTATGTCATCTTTCAACTCCTGCATAGTTTTATTAGTTTCTTTGGATTTCATTTCAACCTTCACTTATATCTCAATGAGCTTCCTTGCCATCCATATTCTGCATTCCACTTCTGACATTTCAGCCATTTTTATCTGGTTAAGAACCATTGCTTGGGGGCTAGTGTGATAGTTTGGAAGTAAGAAGACACTGGCTTTTAGAGTTGCCAGAGTTCCTTATAGGTTCTTTCTCATCTGTGAGGGCAGATGTTCCTTTATCCTTTGGAGTTGTTATCCTTTGGATTGGGCTTTTGTGTTTTTATTATGTTCTTGATTGCCCTTGAGGGTTTGACACACATTGGGTACAGTTAAATGAATCAGTGTCTAGATGCTTTTAGAGTGCCAAGGCTCAACTCCACGCTCAAGCTTTGTGCTTTAACTCTGAGTGGCAGGGACTGGGCCTATATCTTTGTTCTCTGGTCCCTTGAGGTTAAGCACTAGCTGGGATAGAGGGGCTATGGTACTCTCAGACTGTTGGTAACAGTGCTCTGTTGTGAGCAGCAGAGGCCATGGGAGGAAGGCATTCCAGCAGCAGCACTGTGGGCAAGAAGTGCTCCAGTGGGGATGGTGATGGCTCTATAGGCAAATGTGCTCCACAGGGGCAATGGTGACATGCAGCGGCAAGAAACTCTCATCAAAAGTCTCTGGCAGGGATGGCATGGGTACTGCATGTGGAAAGCCTACTGTAGTGTGATGGCAGAGTCCCTGGTGAATTCACCAGCTTTGGCAGCTGGCTATCACCAAAAGCGCTTCAGTGAGGGCAATAGAGGCTTTCAGAGAAAGTACTATGGCATTGGGCACTGGCAAAAGTGCTCTGGTTGGGTAGATGAGCTCTGGCATGCAGCACAGACAGGCAGGAACTCTGGGAGGGGCTGGTCAACAGAAAGGTGAGCAGCTTGGACACACCCTTGTCCTGTGGGCAAGACAGACCTGCTTTTCCAGGTGTGGTGGATTACACAGGTCAGAACCACCTAGAGGAGCAAGAAGAACCTTAGGGGATGAACACCAATGGTCATGTTCCACTGAAACCATCCCAGCACCTCACCACCTGGGCTCCATGCACATTCAAGTTCTGCCTACTCTCTGGGCAGTTCCCCTGCCACTCAAATGTCTATGGAATTTGTGGAGTTTCCTGTAGCTATGATCCTTGAGGTCCATGGTGAAAGTAGGCTGCTTGGCATTTATTTCACTCACCTCTTCTTTAGGAGCTATTCAGGGCCAGGAATGATTTCTGGTTCTTGGCAACCTGATGTGTGGTTCCCAGCTTCCTCCCGCTTCAGCACCAGCATTTAGGGTGTCTGTCTATCAACTCCCAGTACATTCTCTCAGATGATGTTTGGATTCTGCCAATCTATTCAATGTTCTGGTCTGTCTCAATGGGAGAAATTCTTCCTGACTTCATGTAGTTGGCCATTTTTTCACCCTCTCTATTTTTAAATTTTTCACACAAAAAAATTTTGTGTAAATTTTGTCAAATTTCTTTAAAACCATTCTTTTGTTATATCATCTCATTTCTGAATTTTTCCTAATTGTTTTTTATGCTTTTTTTACAGCTTTTTTCTTAATTTCTTTTTGCTTCTTTTGTGTATATATTTTGTCATGTGCCTTCATTGTGGATTAGGCATCATTGATTGTTATCTCTTACTGTCTTTCTCTCTTTGTTTTGGCAATGACTTGTATACAATTCAACCACAATTCTTTTCTATTGTCATAGTTAAGTAAGATGGGCTTTCAAATAAGAATGATTTTGTTACCCAAGAATATCTGGAAATGTCTGGGGACATTTTTGGGTATTGTTAATGGTTGAGTTGCTATTGGCATCTAGTGTGAAAGACAATGGATACTGCAAAAAAACCCTGCCTTGCCTAGGACATCTTCCCTCTAAGAATTATCTGCTCCAAAATGTCAATTTTGTCTAGGTTGAGAAACCCTGGCCCCATTAACATAGATGACTATAATGGGGTCTAAAAGTCAGATTTCTTTAGCTTCATGTCTCCCATGTGTCTTTTTATGTTGTCAAAAGTGAGCCTTTATAATTCCTAAAATCTGTCTTGTCTCCCTTCAGTGTTTTTATCTGCACTTTATTTTTTCCATTTTACTTACAGCTTCTATACTTTTCTATTTGATTTTTATTCCCAGGAGTTTTTTCTCAGAATAAGTGATCGTCTTGGGAATTATAGTTTACAAATCCCCTCATAACTTGGGCTGCTTTTATTCAATTGAATTGCAGAGACTTCCATAAGCATTTGTGATCCTTTATTCTGAAGTACACTACTTACTAAAAATCTGTCAGTTCTTCAGTTGTCAAGACCCTCAGAAGTTGCTGCCTTCCTACTACTTCATCTACTTAGTTGCTGATACATCATGGGTCACCTCACTGTTGAATGTTTCAAGTGTATACATTGTCATTTATTTTGTTTACATGTTATATATGACATTTTAAACTAGTGGTTCAATTTCTATACTGAGCATCAGTTTTTCCATTTTCTAAAATTCTAAATTTTACAAATATTTAATTTTTCAATTTATTATTGAGCATTGTTGAATTTTGTTTGATCATGTATGTATTAAAATAAGTTGTCAGTTTAAGTTTTTAAACTTACAGACATAACTGTGTTTCTGTTTTTCTTTGAAGATCTTTTTATCTATCCCTCATTTTTAGATATACCTCTCTATTACTTTTTAATAACTGTTTTGTTTTCTATAAATTAAATTCATCAAAATATAATCCTCAAAGAAACAACATTTGATTATATAATTCTGGTCTTATTTTTATCTTTTTCTTACTTCTATTTTCTTTCATTTGCTCTTATGGTCTTCTAAATTATTTGGTTAAATATTTTGTTTACCAACTTGTAGCTCTTTGATTCTCATATATAAGAATTAGCTTAAATTGTTTGTTTTACATAATGCTTTAGGTGAATCCCATTAGTTTGGACAGTTTTATTAACTTTTAAATTAACTCTCAACTAATTGTATTTTAGTTATGTAATTTTTGTTTTGTACCCTTTCAATTTTCTATCAACTTTTGTTTCATTTGAACTTGAAAATTATTTTTTAAATTTATTGTGTAAATGTTTGTGTATATGTGTGTGTGTATATCAAGCTTATTTATATCTTTAAAATTTTTTTTATTTTTATCAAACTATCAGTTTCATCAATCAGTTGTTCCGAGATATTTTTAAATTTTCACAAATGCACATGGATTTATCAATTTCTCCAATTTCCTGCAGTTTTATCTTATGTAATTTGGGGTTATTTTTATAAGCATATTAAGTTGTTATACCTTCTCACTACATTAAACTCTTTATCAATGGGTAGGTACTCTCCATATCCCTCAAAAGGAGATGTGAAGATGGAGGTAGAAATTGGGGTGATGTGGTCACAAAACAAGAATTACTGGCAGCCACCAGAAGATGTCAAAGACAAGGAACAGGTTCTCTCCTAGAACCTCCAGAGGGAGTGTGGCCCTGACAGCACCTTAGCTTCAACTTTCAGGCCTCCAGATCTGTGAGGCAAACATTTTGGCTGTTTTATGCCACCAAGTTTGTAGCAATTTATTGTAGCAGTCTTAGGAAAGAAATACACCTGCACTCCCACAAAAAATTTGCATTATGTTTGAGAGTGTGCATCATATTCTATTCAATTCTTAATCTCAACATTATGGCTTATAACAGAGCCCACATCTTGTTCATAATACATAAATTTTAAATAAGATAATTAAAGCATGTGAAAACATAGGCTTTTCAAATTAGCGCCATCTGGTTCAAATAGAATTTGGAAATAATTCTCTCTGACTCTGAATCAGTTTTTTAAAATTTCTATATTTTGCAAATCCTTATTAAGTAAACTACTGTGTGCTGGCTGTATATCCCAAAGTGGATTATGATAAAAACTAGAGTATCTATTTATTGTTTCCAAGATACTTTTAGTTAGTACTCCAGAAAGACGCAGTTTGGTTGTTTTTTATATAAAACTTCTCTAAATTTTTTTCCTTTGACAATTTATTATCTAAAATGGTATTATGTTAAGATACGTACTATTCCTATAATAATTCAACAACCACACTAATATAATTTTAAATATAACCTTAGGTATAACTTCATGTAATTCTTTCATGATTTTTATCAAATTACCCTTAAAATAGTATAAAACTTCTACAAATTCAGGTATATATTATGCACCCACTGTGTAATTTTTAACATTAAGCCTTTTTACACTATTAGAGTGTGATATTGGAATCTTATTTTTTTTTTTTTTTTTTTTTTTTTTTTTTTTTTTTTTTTTTTTTTTTTTTTTTTTGAGACGGAGTCTCGCTCTGTCGCCCAGGCCGGACTGCGGACTGCAGTGGCGCAATCTCGGCTCACTGCAAGCTCCGCTTCCCGGGTTCACGCCATTCTCCTGCCTCAGCCTCCCGAGTAGCTGGGACTACAGGCGCCCGCCACCGCGCCCGGCTAATTTTTTGTATTTTTAGTAGAGACGGGGTTTCACCTTGTTAGCCAGGATGGTCTCGATCTCCTGACCTCATGATCCACCCGCCTCGGCCTCCCAAAGCGCTGGGATTACAGGCGTGAGCCACCGCGCCCGGCCGGAATCTTATTTTATAAAAACTCTTATTGTTTTCTAAATTTTATTAAAAGTCTTATTGTTTTATTTTTTAAACTCATGTTTACTTAGATAAGTTTATTTATTAAACTCTTATTGTTTTATTAAAACTCTTATTATTTTCTAAATTTACTATATATTTGCATCAAATTATTGCAAGAATATATTATTTCATCCTAATGTGCTCTTCTTAGTGCTATCATACTTTCTGAACTATAAGAAGAGAAATATCTGTTTAATTATGATCATTGCAACTAAGAAATACTCCTGAAAAGATGTTCTAGCATGTAGTGTTAAATCTTCATAGCAATCATGATGATTTGTTGCATTTGTTACTTATTACACTTCTGCCACCTTCAATCCCTCAATATTATAGGCAATGTAGACTAAGAAAGATATTAATTTTAAAATCTTCAGCCATTTGTTCATTTTATGAAGGAACATTACATTCACTATAAAAGGAAGACTGTAATAATTTATAAATAGAGTAATAAAGCAATAATATTTTTTTAAAAATGGGACAGAACACCTGGCCAGAGCAATCAGGCAAGAAAAAGTAAATGAGGGCATCCAAACAGGAAGACAGGTAAGTCTAACTGTCCTTGTTTGCAGATGACATGTTTCTATAGCTAGAAAACTCCATAGCCTTGGCTCAAATGCTTCTTCAGCTGATAACCAACTTTAGCAAAGTTTCAGGATACAAAATTAATGTACAAAAATCACCAGCATTCCTATACAACAACAACAGCCAAGCCAAGAGCTAAATCAGAAATGAAATCCCATTCACAATTGCCAGGAAAAGAATAAAATATCTAGGAAAACAACTTACCAGGGAGGTGAAAGATCTCTACAATGAGAATTACAAAACACTGCTCAAAGAAATCAGTTATGACAGATACAAATGGAAAAACATTTGAGGCTCATGGACAGGAAAAATCAGTATTATTAAAATGGCCATACTGTCCAAAGCAATTGATAGATTCAATGCTATTCCTACTAAACTACCAACAACATCCTTCACAGAACTAGAAGAACTATTTTAAAATTCATATAGAACCAAAAAAGAGCCTGAATAGTCACGGCAATCCGAAACAAAAAGAGCAAAGCTGGAGGCATCACGATACCTGACAACGCCATTCAAAAGTGGGCAAAGGAGATGAACAGACACTTTTCAAAAGAACATATACACACAGTCAACAATCATATAAAAACATGCTCAATATCACTGATCATTAGAGAAATGCAAATCAAAACCACAATGGTATCTCATTGAAAAAGCAACAGATGCTGGCAAGATTGCAGAGAAAAGGGAATACTTACATTTTATGGGTGGGAATACAGATTACTTCAGCCATTGTAGAAAGCAGTGCGGTGATTCCTTGACATAGCTACCCTTCAACCCAGCAATCCCATTACTGGTTTTAGTGGTTGTATACCCAAAGGAATATAAATCATTCTGCCACGAAGGTGCATGCATGTGAATGTTCATTGCAGCACTATTCATAACAGCAAAGATATGGAATCAACCTAAATGCCCATCAGCAGCAGACTGGATAAAGAAAATGTGTTACATATGTACCATGGTACACTATGCAGCCACAAGAAAGAAAAAAATCATGTCCTTTGCAGGAACATGGATGGAGCTGGAGGCCATTATCCTTAGCAAACTAACACAGGAACAGAAACCACATATTCTCACTTATAAGTGGGGAGCTAAATGATGAGAATTCATGGACACAAAGTGAGGATCAACAGACAGTGAGGCCTACTTGAGGTCAGAGGGTGAAAGGAGGGAGAGGAGCAGAAAAAATAACTATTGGGTACTAGGCTTAGTACCTAGACAACAAAATAATCTGTACAACAAACTCCAGTGACACAAATTTACCTACATATCAAAACTTCACATGTACCCCGAACCTAAAATAAAAGTTAAAATAAAAAGAAATGGGACAGAGCAAAGCATTTCTGGGGACTTTCACAGAAAATTCAGTAAGGCTAAATATATGTTTTTAGGTATAGTATTTGTTTTAGAAAGTTCTTTAATTTCTGACAGAGCCCTTTAAATGTGTATATTTCAATGAAATTAAGGAAATTTCATACAAAGGTGATCATTAATAGTCTTTCTTTTTATACCTTCCTTCAAAACTTTTAGTAGGCAAGTTTTCAAGATTACACAATGATTACTTCCAGGATTCTTGATCAGCTTGTGGTGCAAAGAGCAATCATGGTTGGCAATATAATCTGTTGGAAGTACACTAATTTGGGGAATCTTTTGAAATATTTAATGTGTGTCAAATAAATCTGAGTCAGCTATATAAATTGTCTATATTATACAGGACTTTTTGATGCCTAGCTGCCTCAGTATTACTTATTAGTTTTCTCAGAAGAGAAGTGCCATCAAAAAAAGAAGCAAAGAAGAAAGAAGTAGTAAATGAGAGAGGAGGCATGATTATAAATTGAATTGAATGTAAAATAAAATAATGTTATTTAATATTATGGTCCATGTACTGTTTTTTTGTGAATTGTATTCTCTTTGACTAGCTTTGTCACAGTATTTCATTAGATTATGTATTCATAAAGAATTGTATTTTAAAATTATACATTTAATTATCTAACATTGGTTTTAAAAATCACATAAAATTATGTCTTTAAATTCCAAAAGCCTGAAATAAGTCAGTTTTTTAAAAAAGTTCACAAACTAAAAAAAAAAGTTACTAAACACTTGTATAAGTGGAAACATGACAACTTTCTGGCTCAGTTTATTTGAAATAGTATGATGTTAACTCACTTTTTCCCAATGCTCTGTGTATATTTATGCTGTGTATAATTAAATATATATTTTATTTATTTAATTAAGCCAAAAAGACTTGCTGGATCAATGGGGTACACTTTTTGAAGTCTCAACTAAAACATTCTCAAGGTAATGCATGAGAGTGACTAATATATACGTGCATATATATTATGTATCATGTATCATGCATCAAAAATTGATCCACTGCTCTTTAAAGTTGTTCAATTTTTATTTTTCCTATTGCTTTCTTTAAATTGAGAACATAATAAATTGAGCTCCAAATTAGTTATAATCATTCTAAAGTCAGGCTGAATTTATTGACATGAGACCCTAAGCAGAGATTCTAGAATTCATCTTTTACCTTGAGGGGTTGAAAGAGCAAACATGTTCTAAACTAAGGGAAATTAAAATGCTAAAAGTAATTTGGTATAATGTACAAGAAGGAAGAGAGTAGAGATAGTGCAATTTATAATTGCAGCAATTAAAACTTTGCAAGATTAAATTTACTCGAGAATAACATTCAGCCTTGTCTTGTCGCTGATCTATTGTTTTACAAATCAATTCGACATACACATTAAAATATCTTACTGCTTTAGAAGACTATGAATAATATACGTGTATACAATTACACAAAATGGTTTTTAAAATGTGTTAATTTACTAGGCTTCAGCCCACACTTATTCAAAGACTAATACTGTTATTTTTTAGAAGTGATTGGAGTCCATGGCCAATTGACATTAAGGAAAGGGAATTGTCCTAGATAATCTTGGATGGCCTGGTTCAATCAGCCGAAAACCTTAGGAGCAGAACTGGGGCTTCCTGAAAAAGCTATTCATCTATGAACATCAGCTTTAGCTTGTGCCCAAGAGTCCTTAATGTCCTGCACTAGAGATTTAAGACTTGCCTGGCCAGATCCACAATGAAGAAAGCCAATCTACTGCAACAAACATCTTAGTGTACTTCTTACTCATTTCTGACTCTCTGGTTGAACTTTGACTGATATAAATTTTGGTACCTGAAATAGTTGTAGAGGAACAGAGGCCTAAGGCTCAATTTACTGAATTTGTTCTGGGATGTCTGGAATTAGTTATCCAATCTAATTAGATTTAAAGGCACTATTGACTCTGTCTCCAGACTCTATCACATGTGACATAATGTGACAATAATACATGAAATATTTGTATTGGATAGTCCTAATCAATTACCTCTAGAAGGCAAGTTTCTGCAATACCATGTATTTACTAGCTTAGAACATTTTGCTCAAATGAAGGAGTATGAGTTTGGCTGGCTGCCCCTAACTTTGCTCGAGAAAGCAGGTAATTAAAAGTATGTTCAGGGCTTCATATTTCCAAATTAAACTCTGTATTAATGACTTAGAATATTCTCTACTTGCCCAAACACAAAATAAAATGCAACAAGAACCTTTATCACATGTACCTGTATCATAGACATTTCCGAAAACAATAGTTTCATTTGGTGAATAGCTGAATTACAACATAAATTGAATTCCTACCCTAACCCCACAAGGTAGATTCTGTTAAAGTGGAAGCATTGATTGAGAAGGAATGGGATTATGGAAATTGAAATAGGAGATGTGGGAAGATCCTAATGAAGGTGGGAACACTGGACTCATGAACTCTGCTAAGTGTTTTTGCCAGTAAAAGCAGCCATTCTTTCCTTGCTTGAGTGGGTTAGCCCATCCCACAAGGTAGTTGCCTTATCAGCCACTGCTGATGTTTCTCAGTACCTGTTTCTAACACCTCTCTGTGATTTTAGATGTAAAGCTAACTCAAGTCTCAGCAGGCCCCAAAGAGTAAGGTACAAAGTGAGATCCATGAGGAAATACACTACCCACCCAAATAACTAAATATTTTAAAAAATGTACACAGAATAAGATCTGAGAAATATGTTTGGGAATGAATCTTAAGAATGTCGATTCAAGGAGGAAAGAATATAAAGTTAAGTCAGGCTGAATTTATTGACATGAGACCCTAAGCAGAAATTCTAGAATTCATCTTTTACCTTGAGGGGTTGAAAGAGCAAACATGTTCTAAACTAAGGGAAATTAAAATGCTAAAAGTAATTTGGTATAATGTACAAGAAGGAAGAGAGTAGAGATAGTGCAATTTTATAATGGATTTATCATACTGATTTGCTCAATTACCCTGGAACAAGCCTATGACACACCTTTCACCTTTTACCATGACTGTGAGAAATAAATTTGTAAGGGAAGTCTTGAATGTTCTTATTTGTAGGTCAGAAATTAGAGTAGATACTTCTGTTGCCAAACTGTGACCTCAAGACTCAATGGAAATAATGACAGCCCAGGGCAGCAGTGGCCTCATGACTGCAGTTAATTGCCAAAGACAAGGTGGACCTGGTTAACGGACCTCAGGTTAATGGAACCTGAGGAGTAATCAGAAAACTTTGACTTGCAGTGACTTATGCTATGGGCTAGTTAATCACGGTGTACTTAGAAAATGAATAGATGGGCAGTCTATTAAAGTCTTATTTGACCCGTGTAAGAGGGAAACTTCTAGGTTTAGTGAATAGAGGTCTAATTTGAAGTACCAAAAAAGATATTCATGACCTATCAATCAATTCTAAAATATGAACCAATTTTCAGGACACTTCTACACCACGAAAAATGTGTACTGCTTGTTTTTTTACCATCTTTTTCCAAATGGACCTATGGATGTTTACTAGGGTAATGATGCAATGGAAAAGGGGAAATAATCAAACATTTTGGAGATTACTGGAGACTGGATCTGAAATGACACACTCTTTCCTGAAGACCCAAATTGTTACTGTAGTCTACCAGAGTTGAGAAATTATGGCGATTGTGGAATTTTTGCTTAGATCTATCTCACAGTGGACCAATGTATCCACGAACCCATTTGATGTTATTTTTCCAGTTCTAGAATGTAAAATTGGAATAGACATACTCAGCAACTGGCACAGTCCACACATTGGTTCCCTGACCTGTATATTGAGAGCTATTATGGTAGAAAAGTTTAAGTATAAGCCAATATAATTGCCTCTACCCCAACATATAATAAACTGAAAGCAATAATGCATTTTTGGAGGTATTGCAAAGATTAGTGCCACCATCACAGACTTGAAAGATGCAGGCATGGTGATTTCCATAGAGCCTTATTCAAGTCATGTATTTGGCATACTCAGAAAACAAATGGATCTTGGAGAAGGGGACAGTGGATTATTGTAAATGTTCAAATTGCAGTTGCTTTTGCAGATGTGCTTTCATTACTTGAGCAAATTAACACATCTCCTGTTACCTTGTATGCTGCTATTGATGGAGCAAATGCTGTATGGAAATAAGTAATTCAAAATGTAAGCTGTTGAAACTTTAAAATATTTTCAGCCTTGGGGAAATGTGATTAGGGGAGACTCACATCAGGCAGCTGTAACATAGGCAGCTATCTATAACCTATGTTTCTCTTTATAGATTAGACTTCTTCCTTACCTACATGGTTTTATAAAATGTTGTAAATGACTAAAGATCACCAAGGAAGACTATGTCTCTCTTTACTGTTGATCTTCATTATAGATTAATTTCCCTCTTACCTTTCTCACAAAAAACAATTCATGACTATCACAATATATTAGATGGAATGTTAAATATACTCTTTTAAATTGAAATGGAAAAACAAGCTGTATGGAAAAGGAAGCAAACTATAACTAATTAAATCGTTGTAACTCATAAACCAGCCTTGAATAAAGAGTTATAATCCTACTAAACTTGATTTCCTGACTATATAAGCAAGACTATAACTTTTAATATCTGAGAACTGACTCCATTTCTTTGGAGTCTGTGATCTTTGGATGGCTATTCCTAGATTTTCATTTGAATAAACTATTCAAAACTGGATTCTGACCCTTTTGATTATTTCAGGTTGACAGCTATTTGTTCTGCACCTGTTAATGAAGACCACCAGAGGAGTTTACTTTCAGTTGGCAAGGAGAGCAAAATACCTTCACGGTCACATCAGAAGTATCTTAGCTTTCCAGATAAGCTATGTTATAATTTAGTCAGCAGGGACCTTGATCCCCTTTCCCTTCCATGAGACATCACACTGGTTCATTAAATTGATGATATTATGTTGATTGTTAGTGATCAGGAAGTAGAAAACTACACACTTGAATAGACATTTGTGTGTCACAAGGTGGGAAATAAATCCCACAAAGATTCAGTGGCCTTTCACCCCAGAGAAATTTCTAAGGTTACAGTGGCATGAGCATGTGACGTTATCCTGTCCAAGGCAAAGAACGAGTTTGTTGTATCTGGCCCCTGCTGCCACACACAAAATGAAGCTTAATTCTTATTGAGCCTCTTAGAATTTTGAAGGCAGTGTTAGCAGTGGTGAATTCCTACAGGTCGGCCCCAACTTGATTTTTGCCTCATCGAAAGAAAGACTTCAGCCAAGGAGCATAAGGCAGGGTAAGACACTGAGGCCAGTTGCAGAGCAGGAGTGAAATGTATGACAAGTTTTAGAGCAAGATGAAAAAACTGAAGTATACTTGGAAGAGGGCTAATAGGGTGACTTGAGAGATCCAGTGCTTGGTTTGACCTTCGACTGGGGGTCTTATACATTGACATGCTTCCAGGGTTGTGCTACTTCTCCCCTGATTCACCTCTTGGGATGGGCTGTTTACATGGGCAGTGGCCTGCCAGCACTTGGGAGGGGTCACATGCACAGTGTGTTTACCGAAGTTGTGCACATGTTCACTTGAGGTGTTTTTCCTTTACCAGGCGAGTGTTTCTAGAGGAAGTTCCCTTACCTGTTAAACTGCCATTTTGCCTCTTAGTGTGCATGCTTGAAGCTGCTCGCCCATCTCCTGAGATCGTATTGAGAAGCTGCTGGTCACCAGCTTCAAATATTTTCTATCTATTGAGAGATTGCCTTTCCTGGCACCGGATGCGACTGATTATCATTTTAGAGATACAATGTAACAACCACCTGATCATCACTTCATGTTTGCCTGACATTCCTTGGGGGCAGGTCTCTCCTGTCCCACTCATGTCTGCCTAGCTACCTACTCTAACAGAAACAAATTTCTCATTTGGGTCTACTACTATGGTCCATTTACTGATTTGCCGTAGAAATAGCTGGTTTTGAGTAGAGCCCAGAACAAAAGAAAGCTCTGCAGCACATACAGGTTGTCATGTTGACAGATTTTCTTAAATGTCTAAAGCAGAAAGAAAAAGAAAAACCAACTAAACAACCAAACAAAGACAGAAAAATTAAAAAAGAGAAAAATGAGAAAACACATACTCTTCTTGTCTTTGCAGATTGGCATGTGTTGGCAATCTGTGTTGGCACTCCTTTGGCACTTAGGTAGGCTGTTTACCGCACTGTATTAGCCTTCACTCTTTGCTTATTGAGCCTGAAGATCAGCCAGGGGCGAAAGCTTTAGGCCTTCTCCGGCCTTTCTGAACACATTTGAACATGTGTCCTACTCTAAGCAAGCATATGGCTTATTTTTTTTTTTTTTTTTTTTGGGACGCCGTCTCACTCTGTCACCCAGGCTGGAGTGCAGTGGCGCGATCTCGGCCCACTGCAACTGCTGCCCCCCGGGTTCAAGCTATTATCCCGCCTCAGCCTCCTGAGTAGCTGGAACTACAGGCGCCTGCCACCACGCCCGGGTAATTTTTGTATCTTTTTGTAGAGATGAGGTTTCACCATATTGGCCAGGCTGGTCTTGAACTCCTGACCTCATGATTTGCCCGCCTTGGCCTCCCAAAGTGCTGGATTACAGACATAAGCCACCGTGCCCAGCCAAGTACATGGCTTTTAAATTTCCCAGTATACATTCCCCAGAATACAGGAGCTTTTCCATGCCCTACTTGCTCAAAGAACCTCTCTTCTCAGAGCCTCCTTTCAGGCTTCCATATTTTGCTTGTTTGCTTCACTATAATTGTCTGTCCCAGATGGCAGAGAGGCTGTCCATTTACCTTTCATTGTTTTCAAGGCCTGGCCTCTGAATAACTTCTTTTCTTCCTGAGAGAGTTTCAGTTTAGTTGAAACAAAGCAAACACCTTGCCTCAGTTGCTCAGGATGTCTTCAGACAGGTTAAAAGAGACAAACACAATTCTTCGCATAGAAGGTCTGCTTTGTTCCCTCTGGAGCCAGGGACCAGGGTCTCACTGAGAACATGAGCTGCCACCTTCAAGACTGCTGGTGGTCAGGGAAGTGAGGTGGCACAAGAACAAGTAACAATGCTACCAAGTTCTCGACATTTTTAAGTTGTTTTTTCCGTGGTTAACATTCATTCGGTTCCTGTCAACCTCTGACTGTTTTCCAGAGTGCCAATGAGTTGATTCTGACACTTTCTGCTTGTTTTTTTTAGAGATGGGCCCTAGGAGCCACTTAACTCTGAGTTTTTGGCTAATACTATTCCTTTTTGTACTAACTGTTGAAATCAGGTAATGTAAGTTCTCTAACTTTTTAAAAAAGCCTTTGTACTTTTCTGTGTCTTGTTTTCTCATATATATTTTAGAATTGGCTTGTCATTTTGCGAAAAATTCTAGTCAGACTTCAATAGAGAATGCATTAGATCAATAGATCAAGAATTGTCATCTTAAAATTAGTTAGCTTTCAAATGCATGAACATAATGTTCTCCATTAATTAAGTCTGTTCAAATTTCTCCCAGGAAAGTTTTGTAGTTTTCTGTATATACCTTTTGCATTTTGCTGTTGTTGTTGTTAAACGTATTTCTAAGCAGGTTTTTTTTGGTGCTATACGTATATGCTTGGTTTGCTAATTTCATTTTTGGATTATTACTAGTATGTAGAAATACATTTGATGTTTATATGTTGATCTTTACTCAGAGTCATTGATGAGCTTATTAGTTTTCATAAATTGTTTCATGAAATCCTTAAAATTTTCTAGATACAGGTTCATATTACCTGTGAATAAAACATTTTTAACCCAGATGTCCTTTAATCTCTTTATCTTGCCGGTTTGCTCAACTGCACTGGCTAGAATTTAATGTACCACTTTGAGTAACAGAGGACATTCTTGCCATATTCCTGATCGTAAGGAAAAATCATGTAGTTTTTCACCATTGAATATGATACTAGTTGTAGATCTTTATAGATATTTTTCAGTTGAAGGAGTTCCCTTCTGTTCTTTGTTGAGAGTTTGTTGAGCTATTTGTCCTGCAAAATGGCATGTTTTTCTTGAGCCATTTTCTTATTCATACACTGCAGATGACATATTTTCATGTATCTGATCACTTGAAAAACAACAAATACATTTTTATTATAACACCAGACAAAAATAATTAATATAGTTGCACTTAGCAAACATCAATATTAGGAACCTACTTTAAATCAACAAAATGTACAATGCAAGTGCTATTTAATAGCATGAAATATCAGTGATTATCCATTAATTCTAAACCTGGTAATTAATCACCTGAATTACTGGATTTTATTCGATAAGTATGAATACTAATAAAACATCCATTGTGAGCAAACATCTTTCATCTTCCCTTTTATATTCTCTTGCATATAGATTCAATAAATACTATTAATCAATACTTTCTACATTGATATATAAATCTTGCCCTCAGTAGTGTCAAATCTGCACATGAAAATCACTACACAGACACATGGCATAATGTCTGATGAGATTACCTCTGGATGTATAGTCATACATTAAATGTCAAATGATTAAGAAGAAATACACTAAAAACAGTTGTTATGTATCAGTTGTTGGAGCATGGTAAATTTTTAGCATTTTTTTACATGTATGTTCTCAATTCAATTATATTCAACATTTTAACATGTTAAAAGAAGTAAAAGCAATTAATCTTTATTTCAACAAAGAATGACACCACAACTCTTTCCCCAGGGATGCCATCCCCCTGTGAGTAAGGGAGTTCACAGGCTTTTACCCATTTCTGAGGCTATCTCTCTACGTTTAATCTATCTAAATTGTTTAGAAATATCCAGTGTTGGGAGAAGATATAAGAAGGATAGATATGAAGTATATCATAATTGGTATAAAACATTATAGTGGAATATGGTAGAATTATTCAAGTTAGCTAAACAAAGGAAACTTTAAAAAGTCAAACATTTAGCTTTACCTTATCTGCCATTTGTATTGCAATGTTAGCAGTGTTTCCCATAAATCTTGAGCATCTTTTGCTATCTAAATACAACTATATTATTCAATTGGTTTATAAGGCACACCAAAGGGACATTTTTGTATTCCATATTTGAGTTAGTGTCAGGCAGGGAAACATGACATGGCTGCAGCGGCTAAAAGAGAACATTTAGTAGCAATAGGATTTGCAACCAGAAAGAAACATGAAATCATAAGCTATGGGTATTTGTCAGCATATTGGGAAATATACTGGCCTTCCATAAGACTAAGGAGTTATGTAAATCACTCCATAATTTTAATGATTCAGGGAGGTATCTGGGTTAAATTTGCTTTGTTAACTATAAAACTCTTTGAACTTTGCCGTACAAGTTCATGCCAGCCCCGCTTCCCACCATCAATCCACAATGTGTTGTGACTTATTCCTACTATTTTGGAATAGTAGGTTTGGAATATTTTAAGTCTCTCCTTAAATTATTCACAATCTGTTCATCTTCTTTGAGTGCAAAAGTTGCCATTTGCCTTTTAGTTGCTCAGAAGCCTATTTTCTGGTATGATATTCCAAGATTTACTATTAGCCTGCACTATTGCACATTAGAGTTCAGAAAAATATGTCTCTAAAGCTCAATTTATCTATTCAGTCAGATGTAGTTACTTGAAAAGTACAGAATGATTACTTTTCTAAAGTGTATCTGGCCTGATCTAAAGAGATTTCACTTATTCAGGGATCAACTCCATGCAAAGACTATAAATTTCTCTCAGTGAGAATAACACTAACAGATTGCAGGAATTCTAATGAGTGAGTTTCCATGTCTACTAGGACCCATAGAGATATGCAGCCATGGTAAAGGAGAAGAACTGAAAAGCATGCAAACTATTTACAAGATAATTAGCCAAGTGGAGATTACATTAAAATACATATTTTGCTCAATTTCTACAATTCACATACTTTTAGCTTAAAAATAGTAACATATATGGAACATTGCCTACATATAAAATTATTGTACAGGTATTTTCACCATAGAGGGGAGATGCTGAAGAGAGTATTTGACTCAATAATTCAGCAAGTTTCAAAAGATGTTACAATAAACTGAAGTTGGCAGTTATCATGCATAATTTTCATATGTGGTTGCATGAAATTTCTAATTCTGGGCATCAACTCAAATTCTGAGAACATGTAATATGCTTTCTATTGAAACCAGCAGTTGAGTAATAATACATAATATGACAATATTATGTGAGTAACATTTGTATGTGAGATATTATCATGGCTAAAAATGTATTAGCCATAATAATACCTTAGGAAAACTTGAACTTCTTTCTTGTAAGAGGCATAGAAAAGAAATAAGAGCTCTTTCAACAGTTGGTTTACTCTTTTTCAAAGCTTTCACAAAATAATGCAAATATAACTTTTCAAAGAGAAACAAAATAGTATTTAATATCAGTAAGAAAGATGGAGTAAGTGAACATTAAATTTTACTGCTAGATTTTTTTTCTAAACTAAACAGTTTACAAATTTATAACAACCTTAGTTACCATTTGTAATTATTTATAATTACATATTGCTCCATTTATACAACATTAAAAGTTTAGTAATATAGTCACGTGTTTCTTAACAATGGCGATACTCTCTGAGAAATGTGTCATTAGGTGATTTCATCATTGTACAAATATCAGAGTGTATTTACACACTCTACATCAGAGTGTACTTTCAAGCCTAGATGGAATAGCCTACCACACACCTAAGCTATATAGTATCACCTGTTGCTCTTAGGCTACAAGCCTGAACATCATGTTATTGTACTGAATATGGTAAACAGTTATAATACAATGTAATGCAAGTATTTTTATCTCTAAACATATCTAAACATAGAAAATAAAAAGATATCATAGTATAACCTTATGGTTGCACCATTATATATGTGGTCCATCATTGACTGAAACATTGTTAGGCAGCACATGACCATATACTGGACACATTCAGTGTCAAATGTGTGTGACTGTCAAGGTGAGGGTCAGGGTCTTAGGCTGCACGTAGAAAGATGTGGATTATTCTGAGACTCTACATCCTCCAAATGCCAGCACTGCAATTTTTATATCACTAGTAATAGTGAGTGATCTGGCTTCTTTTCCAGAGTTTGAGTTTCGTCTGTTCAAGTCAGTCTTATTCTGTCATTCATCCAGTCCATGCTCCTCTCCTAAATCAGAGATAAAATATATTACAAATTCTGCTACGAACTCCAGTGTTGTCTCAATCATAAAATGCCAATTTGGTGTTCCAACTAGATTAATAGAAGTGATATCCAGAAAGTGATAAACTTTGCAAACTGACAAAAAACATTCTAGTTTATACAGCATCTTGCTTCATCTCTAGTAGCCATTTCATTTTTGGGGAGCCAGAGAATGGGTAAACCTGCATGCTTTATTCCTTAAAATGGAAAGAAAAATAAGAAAAAGTTTACAAGCCTGGTTTTCAACAACTTAATTTAGTTTAAACGACAAAAGGATACATACATACATACACACAAACACACACACACACACGTTAGTTTCCAAAGATAGTGTGAAACCTATATACCACTCGTATGTGGCATGCACTACCTACAATCAAGAGTGGAGATGCTATTTGAATCTGAGCTGAGCCTGTCACTGCTTTGATCAGTGGAATGTGGACAAAGTGCCATCTTGGGCTACTGAGCACAGTTATTAAGATTTGACAGTCTACTCTCCCAGTCATGGAAAACTAAGCTTCCAAGTAAGAGTCCAAGTTATTCTACTAGAGAGAGAAACCACTTGTTAAGGTCTTGAAAGTGGAGATGCAACATAGAGAGAGGCCACATGGAGAAGTACACAGGCACCAGATATCCAGACCCAGCTGGCAGGCCCAACCGTCATCTAACTTGACTCACTTAAGAGACCTCAAGCTAAATCTATTAAGCAACCTACCGATTGTGCTCCTGCCAGCTTACAGAATAAAATGGCTATTGTGTAAACCACCAAATTTGGAAGTTATCTGTTATTCAAAACTATTGAAGTGAAATAGACTTTTTAATGTTAAGTGGAATGTTGCTTTTGAAAAAAGCTCCCCATATATATTACACACTTTAGGACATCATGGGGGATGGAAGCTGGAAATGCCTTGAGAAGATTATTAGGCTTGCAGAGAATATTATTTGAGCTGGAAAGAAAGAGACACAAGTTATATAAAAGCCATATAATTAATAAAATAATCAATAAAGGGATTATGAAAAATTGAAAGGTTACCCCAACTTGTTGATCTGTCTAAAGATATTACCAGAAAAAAATTTGAGAGTGTGAACTTTTTTAAATATAAATATTAAATTTGTATATCGGTTGATGATAAAGTACGAGAGTAGCCAGAAGGGCTAAAAAGTAAGTGCTCAATTTTTCAAGATAATTTAGAGAAAATACAAAAATGCAATACTTTTCTGTCTTCAAAAATAAAACTTTGTCTATTCTTAGTCTCTGTGGAAGACAAAAACAGCTTTCAAAGTAGGAAATAGCCTCAGAGCAAAGGACACGTCTTGGCCATCGCCAGTATAAACTGATCTCTGCGTAAATTTCAGATCAAGGATCAGCTGTACATGCCTTTGTTAAGGCTCAAAAAACTTTGTCACCTTTAGAAATTTTCAGCTAGAAAAAAGACCGCTAGGTCAACTAATAGAATTTCTGAAAGTTTTAAGAAAAATTTTACCTCAGTAGCCTTGGATGGGAGGTCTAAGGTACAGCAGCTCTTACTTCTGAAGGGAATGTGAGTGCTGTTTTTTGTTTGTATGTGTTTTCTCATCTAATGAGTTTTATTATAACATGATAAATTTAAAAACCTATAAAGCTTATTGAAGGAATTATAACATCTTGTACTAAAAAAAGGTGGCAGTTTATAATGAAAAGAGATCACTAGGAACCTCAAAATTTTATAAGCAGGATGCAGGCCAGAAGAGCTGCTGTGCTAAAAGCATGAGCCATTTCTTATAGAAAAGTGAGGTTAAGTCAGAGGGCAAATGAAAATTCCTGAGGATGGAGCCAACATCTATGGGGAGCCACTTCATTGAAACTTAATCAAGGAACCACATGCAGGTACCCAGTTGGATATTTTAAAAACTGTTGTTTTATCAGGTCATTTATGTTCTTCTCTAAACTGGAACGTATCTCAAAATAATAAGAGCTATTTACGACAAACCCACAGCCAATATCATACTGAATGGACAAAAACTGGAGGCATTCCCTTTGAAAACCAGCACAAGACAAGGATGCCCTCTTTCACCACTCTTATTCAACATAGTATTGGAAGTTCTGGCCAGGGCAATCAGGCAAGAGAAAGAAATAAAGCGTATTCAAATAGGAAGAGAGGAAGTCAAATTGTCTCTGTTTGCAGATGACATGATTGTATATTTAGAAAACCCCATCATCTCAGCCCAAAATCTCCTTAAGCTGATAAGCAACTTCAGCAAAGTCTCGAGATACAAAATCAATGTGCAAAAATCACAAGCATTCCTATACACCAATAACAGACAATCAGAGAGCGAAATCATGCGTGAACTCCCATTCACAATTGCTACAAAGAGAACAAAATACCTAGGAATACAACTTACAAGGCATGTGAAGGGTCTGTTCAAGGAGAACTCCAAACCTCTGCTCAAGGAGATAAGAGAGGACACAAACAAATGGAAAAATATTTCATGCTCACTGATAGGAAGAATCACTATTGTGAAAATGGCCATACTGCCCAAAGTAATTTATAGATTCAATGCTATTCCCATCAAGCCACCATTGACTTTCTTCACAGAATTAGAAAAAACTACTTTAAATTTAAATTTCATATGAAATCAAAAAAGAGCCCATATAGCCAAGATAATCCTAAGCCAAAAGAACAAAGCTGGAGGCATAACACTACCTGATGTGAAACTATACTGAAAGGCTACAGTAGCCAAAACAGCATGGTACTGGTACCAAAACAGATATATAGACCAATGGAATGGAACAGAGGCCTCAGAAATAATGCCACACATTTACAACCATTTAATCTTTGACGAACCTCACAAAAACAAGCATTTAATAAATGGTGTTGGGAAAACTGGCTAGCCACATGGAGAAAACTGAAACTGGACCCCTTCCTTACATCTTATTCAAAAATTAACTCAAGATGGGTTAAAGCCTTAAATGTGAAATCTAAAACCATAAAAATCCTAGAAGAAAATCTAGGCAATACCATTCAGGACATAGGCATGGGCAAAGACTTCATGACTAAAACACCAAAAGCAATGGCAACAAAAGCCAAAATTGACAGATGGGATCTAGTTAAACTAAAGAGCTTCTGCACAGCAAAAGAAACTATCATCAGAGTGAACAGGTAACCTACAGGATGGAAGAAAAATTTTGGACTCTATCCATCTGACAAAGGGCTAATATCCAGAAGCTACAAGGAACTTAAACAAATTTAAAAGAAAAAAACAAACCACCCCATCAAAAAGTGTGCAAAGGATAGGAACAGACACTTCTCAAAAGAGGACAGTTGTGCAGCCGACAAACATATGAAAAAAAGCATATCATCACTGGTCATTAGAGAAATGCAAATCAAAACTATAATGAGATACTATTTCACACCAGTTAGAATGGCAATCATTAAAAAGTCAGGAAACAACAGATGCTGGAGAGGATGTGGAGAAATAGGAACACTTTTACACTGTTGGTGGGAGTGTAAATTAGTTCAACCATTGTGGAAAACAGTGTGGCCTCCGTGATCTAGAAACAGAAATATCATTTGACCCAGCAATCCCATTACTGGGTATATACCCAAAGGATTATAAATTATTCTATTATAAAGACACATGCACACATATATTTATTGCAGCACAATTCACAACAGAAAAACTTGGAACCAACCCAAATGCCCATCAATGATAGACTGGATAAAGAAAATGTGGCACATATACACCATGGAATACTATGCAGCCATAAAAAAGGATGAGTTCATGTCCTTTGCAGGGACATGGATGAAGCTGGAAACCATCATTCTCAGCAAACTAAAACAGGAACAGAAAACCAAACACCACATGTTCTCACTCATAAGCGGGAGTTGAACAATGAGAACACATGGACACATGGAGGGGAACATCACACACAAACGGGGGCCTGTTGGGGGATGGGGGTCTAGGGGAGGGATAGCATTAGGAGAAATACCTAATGTAGATGATGTGTTGACGGGTGCAGCAAACCACCATGGCACGTGTATACCTACATAACAAACCTGCATGTTCTGTACATGTATCCTAAAACTTAAAGTATAATTAAAAAATGTTAAAAAAAGTTATGAGCTGCTTATTACTCTCTTCCTACCACTTTAACTCTATCTACACATTCTTTGTCCTTGTTCACTATTATATATTTGGTGAATGGGGTACTGAAAATTTGTCTCTATTTTAAAGATTCTCAGATCAAAAGGGACAATATCCAAGTAGATGAGCTGGAGATTCCACACCAAAGAAACCTGATTCACAAAAGACAAGGAAATTCTAGAATTCAAGCTGATACTGTAAAACAATGATACTTTGGCAGGACGGTGTCTAAAAACGGAATGGCTATATGTGATACAAGGAAAGAAATAAATTCTTGTGGCCAGAGGGTTGGATGGCCCCGAAACTTCTGCCCTTCCTAGTTTGTAAATAATTACTTTTTTCCATCAAAATATGGAACTTATATCCCTCCAGTAGAGTTGTGAAACATTTGACAAATGGACTGCAGAGGAAGTACCATTCTAAATTTCTAGTCCAAGTATAAATAAAGCATTAAGGCAACTCCCTCTTTTTTACTCTTGGAGTCTTTCACGAAACTTGCCAAAAGGAGAAAAAAGCCACATGAAAAGTATAAGGTTACAAACAACCACCTCTAGCCATAAGCCCAACTACCATCTGAGTCCAACCGCATAGGAGGTCAGAAGAAAGATCAGAAAACAACCAGGTAAGCCCTATCCAAATGTGATATATAATGAACTGGTGGTTTGTTTAAGCCAGATGTTAGCAACGATTTTTAAGAAAAAGTTACAAACTAAATATTTTAGAATTTGTGATTCATATATGGCATCTGTTTTCACAACCTTTTAAAAATGTGGAAAACATGAATAGTTAGAAGATCATAAAAAACCAGGTCACAAGCAGTGGGAAATTCTTTGTTGATGCTTGTTTTCAGCCACTAACTTTTGTGCTGGTTATGGAAGAACACGTGACCAAAACAATTTATAAACATATTTTAATCATAAAACTGAAATTTAACAGCATATTGAAAACTTTATAGACTATTAGATAATATGGTATAATTTTATTACAGTTTCAAAACAAAATCTGGGAGGTTAAATTTTTTGACCTGATTTCTCAAACAATAAAACAAAATATGAAAATATGTTAAAAACTAAATAACCATGAATTCACTAATTATGGAAATAAATGACAGCATTGCAAGTTTTATTATACTTTAAATATCTTCTAGTTGATCAATTAGATTGCTAGCCTATAAATTCCAAATCACAATAAAATTGTCACCAATAAATTATAGAGTAATGAAGAGTTTAAAAAAATGCATCTGTTCCATTTTGCCTTGCTGAAATCCTTCCTGTTACTTCACAAGAAGATACTTCAATCTCATACACACCAATGTTTGTATATCAAACTCTGCAATTCCTTTGTCTATAACAATAAAATTATTTAATACTGATAATAGTAATTAATTAAACTAATTATTAAGTGCATATTGTGATTATAGCAGGTGCTTTTGGCTTTATGGGAAAAATGAAAACAGCACATGTATTGATGGAGAAAGTAATCTTTAAGCAATAAGATGAACAGATAAAAGAGGTAAAATAGGAAATAACTTTTATTCATATTCACATGGTAATTTTCATAGAGAATCTACTCAGAATATTTGCCAATTGACAAAAAATAAGGTAAGATATGATTAGGTGTCAAGTGAATGTTACCACTAATAATTTAGAAGAGGTATATTTATTGTTAAACTTTAAAAATATATATATTTATTGGCCGGGCGTGGTGGCTCACGCCTATAATCCCAGCACTTTGGGAGGCTGAGGCGGGCGGATCACGAGGTCAGGAGTTCGAGACCATTCTGGCCAACATGGTGAAGCCCTGTCCAAAAAGGTAGCTGGGCATGGCCTGTAATCCCAGCTACTCAGGAGGCTGGGGCAGGAGAATCTCTTCAACCTGAGAAGTGGAGGTTGCAGTGTGATCGTGCCACTGCACTCCAGTCTGGGTGACAGGGTGAGACTGCCTCAAAAAAAAAAAAAAAATGATTTATTGATCTTTTGTATATACCTTTGGTGTAGAAATAAAAATTCAGAAGTGAAATCAGTAATCTGTTATATCATTAGGTTTTCAATTTTTGGTTTCATAGAAAAATTAAATATATGAAGATATAGAGAGACAAATATAGATATATAATATAAATATTTTTCAATTAAAATACAATTTTGGATGTTTGGTTCTAAGAGGGAATATATAAGACATTTTTAAATCTGTATTGTGAGTGATTTTCAAAATTACAATTATTAGCTCTATTTTATCTTTATACGGATCATGTTATCTCAGCAGACAAGTAAATAAGACTCAATTAACAAGTCTTTATATGGAATCTGGCCGGGCGCGGTGGCTCACACCTGTAATCCCAGCACTTTGGGAGGCCGAGGCGGGTGGATCACGAGGTCAGGAGATCGAGACCATCCTGGCAAACACGGTGAAACCCTGTCTCTACTAAAAGTACAAAGAAACATTAGCCGAGCGTGGTGGCGGGCGCCCGTAGTCCCAGCTATTTGGAGGCTGAGGCAGGAGAATGGCGTGAACCCGGGAGGCGGAGCTTGCAGTGAGCCGAGATGGCACCACTGCACTCCAGCCTGGGCGACAGAGCGAGACTCCGTCTCAAATAAATGAATAAATAAGTAAATAAATAAATAAAATATATGGAATCTTTGCTTGAATATCTGTTCTTTTAGATATTTAGCGACAAGGCCATTTCATTCACTTCTTATAAATAAACAATCATATAATATACCAACTATGTTTATTCAATATTGCTGCTTATTTGTTTACATTGTTTTGTCCCTATACTATCAGTTTCACATTGTCTGTTTCCTGATAATCATGCAAAATTTAGATGATCTTTTCCCTACATTCCCTACATTCCCTCATACATAGAAGAGATTGTATTCATATATCGACTCTAAGTGTTCTAAGCAGAATCACCATACAAACCTGGAGGTTTTCTTGAAACTGTGCAAAATGCTTTCAATCATTTACTCTCTAGACACTGTAAAATTTATGCTCAGTATTGTCTTTACATGAGCAGACTGAGAAAATGCGCTTTCCTATTTGTTACAGGAAAAAAGAAGGGCAAAGAATTGGGCATTTATTATTCTGACAAAGAGAAAATGCACACTAACATACTATTTTCTGGTCTATATTTAAAATGCTTACAAACCATAAAGTTCTGCTGCACTCCACTCTTCTGGCAAATTTGTATCTTGTTGGAAGTAGCAATCTTGGCTACTTTTTGTTTAAGCATTCTAACTGGTGAAATTTGAAGGTTAAAACCAAGACAGCAAATAAGTCGTCTCAGTTTTTAAAGCAAAAGTAAGGTTCACTGATTCTACTAACTTTTATAAGGAACTCTTACAACTCAGCAGCAAAAAATCAAATACTCCAATTTAAAAATTGGCTAAGGAATTGCTTGAGTAGACATTTCTCCAAAGAAATGTACAAATGGGCAATAGATATGTGTGTATATGATATGTGTCGTACTATTATTTATCTTATTTTGTTTGAGTGTTTCATCTGTAAAGTGGTAGTAATAATTGTTGTTGGATAATAATGTGAAAATTCAGGCACTTAAATATTTAATAACTAGCAGAGAGTAGGTACTATATAAATGTCAGTTAAATGACTTTCACAAAAATACATGATTGTGATGTTTTCTCTCAGGTGCGGGATTTTCAGTCAAATAGCTATACAGATAATTACACTTTGTTTTAACAGCTTTTTTGTCCACTATGTGTTTGGTCCAATTACCTATGCATATGCACATATTTTTCAGCAATGTTATTTTATTTTGCAGATGTAAATTGTTTTTTCTCTCTTTTACCGCTATTCCTAACTACTACCCCCCTCCCTTGCTCTTCAGAAATTTAATATCATTCTCATTGTAGAAAAATTTGTGTTCATAGTTTTAGGTTGTTGCAAAGAAAATAGGCATAGAAACTTATTTCAAGCAATATAACATATTTGAAGAAGAGTATAAATTAGATCCTAATATATACAGGTTAAGATCATAGCAAGAGGAAGCATTTCAATTATTTTGCCAGAGGATATTAGGGAAATTTCACTAAAAGGAAAAGAAAAAAAAAAAAAAGTAAGGTTATACTATTGCTCTTACAAGGGATTAGTACAACTCTTCCCCAAACCCCAGATTGAGGACTGATTATTAAAGCCTTATGAGGATAAAGTTCAGGGAGTCATCTTTTCTCCATTTTTTCATGTTCAAATATTCATTATTTCAGATGTGATAGTCTGCTATCCAGTTTGACATACTAAAATTCTGCCTTTAGAGAATGTCCTGATATTATATGAATTACTTGGTTTGGGGGAACATCTTTTCTCTGTCTTGATGGTTTTAGGATTACCTAATCCCAAGGATTATATTAAAACCTGCTTAGGTCTGTCTGTGGAAGAAAGTCTCTTTTCATTTTATATATATATATATATATATATATATATATATATATATATATATATATATATTTTAGAGAAAGGGTCTTGTTGTGTTGCCCATGTTTGAGTGCAGGCCTATTTATAGCACACTGAAGCCTTGAACTCTGACCTCAAGCAGTCTTCCCACCTCAGGCTCCTGTGCCCGGCTGTGAAAATCTCCTTTAAAGTCACATGCTATTCTGTTGAAATTCTTTGGCTGGAGAAGTCTTATGACCTTATTCAATTACAGAGTCTCTAATATTATTTCTCACTGATCTAGTGACATAAATGAAATTTCAAACCCAATATTTAAAACTCATTATAGTTATAATTTACCCAATAACTCATAACTATTTTATTCACATCATAATTATCATCCATTTATGACACCTCATGTTAACATAATTGATATTTGATCTTATAATCACAAATGCCATTAGTCAACTATAATAGTCACATTCATCACTAATATAATATTAACTTCCTATGAAGACAATATATAAAATGACCTGAATCGAATTCTATTTGATATTATTATCAACGGCCTGATAGACTAAGAAGATAGTTAATAGCTGCACTATTAAATATTAAGCATTCCCTTCAATAAAATTTACTATTTCAATAGCAGCTATTAGACTATCACATTATGATATTGTTTAATTTTTTAAATTTTTTTCTGATAAACTAATTCTTGTTAGAGTTATGTTCTTAATATCCTGGAATTAAGATTGTTTTCAAAATGTATTAGCCAGTTTAACATGTGAAAACATTAGCAAAACATATAACATTAGACCAGATTATTTTATTGGTTTCAGCATTTATGTTTGGATCTGTCAAGATCCAGTCAGGAGACAGAAACCACAGACCAGAGATTTTCTACTGAATATTTACTGTAAAGTTAAACTAGCTCTTGAACTAAAAGGCTTTTGTAGTTATATACTGCTTTGTATCCAACTATGTTTTCATTTAGTTGCTTAAGACAATCATGACATATTATTTCTCAGGATTCTTATGATTCTGGGCTGACTGGAATCATCTGGGATGTCCTTCTATTCCAAATGGTCCAATTTATGCAGCTCCATTGCCCTGGGAGTTCAGCTGGGCATGAGGATGGAAAATCCAAATGGCTCACCCACATGTCTAGTGCCTTAGTTATGGTAGCTGAGACATCTGGGTGAGGCTCAACTTCACTAGAAGCAGCATAGTTATACTTCTTACGTGGTGGCACAGACCTCGAAGAGAGCAATATAAAGTTGGTAGGTCTCATTTCTGTCCATGCTATTGGTCAAAGCAAGTTGCAGTGTCAACTGGAATTCAAGAAGGGAAGTAAACTGTACTGTATGGAGAGAGTTGCAAAAAAATATAAAAGGGTGGGAGAATAGTTGACAATTGTCATTTAAGAAAAGGCAGAAAAAGGAATATTAAGGTATATGAAGATAGCAACAGCAGAGTGCAGTTACCCACCTAGTGCTGATGAAACAAAGGGAAGAAGTTGAGAAAATTAAAACTTAAAAGGGTAGAGGAGTAGCCAAATGAGGCTGGAACTCAGACTCCTGATCAGAAGGCACTATTCAGCTGGAGCAATGTCTAGGAACCTAACAGAGTTTCCTCATATTTTAAGTATTAGCATATTAAGTCTTTTTTTTTTTAATTATACTTTAAGTTCTAGGGTACATGTGCACAACGTGCAGGTTTGTTACATAGGTATACATGTGCCATGTTGGTGTGCTGTACCCATTAACTCGTCATTTACATTAGTTATATCTCCTAAGGCTATCCCTCCCCCCTTCCCCTACCCCATGACAGGTCCCGGTGTGTGATGTTGCCCTTCTTGTGTCCAAGTGTTCTCATTGTTCAATTCCCACCTATGAGTGAGAACATGGGGTGTTTGGTTTTTTGTCCTTGTGATAGTTTGCTGAGAATGATGGTTTCTAGCTTCATCCATGTCCCTACAAAGAACATGAACTCATCATTTTTTATGGCTGCATAGTACTCTGTGGTGTATATGTGCCACATTTTCTTTATCCAGTCTGTCATTGATGGACATTTGGGTTGGTTCCAAGTCTTTGCTATTGTGAATAGTGCCGCAATAAACATATGTGTGCATGTATCTTTATAGCAACATGATTTATAATCCTTTGGGTATATACCCAGTAATGGGATGGCTGGGACAAATGGTATTTCTAGTTCTAGATCCTTGAGGAATCGCCACACTGTCTTCCACAATGGTTGAACTAGTTTACAGTCCCAACAACAGTGTAAAAGTGTTCCTATTTCTCCACATCCTCTCCAGCACCTGTTGTTTCCTAACTTTTTAATGATCGCCATTCTAACTGGTGTGAGACGGTATCTCATTGTGGTTTTGATTCGCATTTCTCTGATGGTCGGTGATGATGAGCATTTTTTCGTGTGTCTTTTGGCTGCATAAATGTCTTCTTTTGAGAAGTGTCTGTTCTTTTGCTTCACCTACTTTGTGATAGGGTTGTTTGTTTTTTTCTTGTAAATTTGTTTGAGTTCCTTGTAGATTCTGGATATTAACCCTTTGTCAGATGACAATATTGCAAAAATTTTCTCCCATTCTGTAGGTTGTCTGTTCACTCTGATGGGAGTTTCTTTCACTGTGCAGAAGCTCTTTAGTTTAATTAGATCCCATGTCAATTTTGGCTTTTGTTGCCATTGCTTTTGGTGTTTTAGACATGAAGTCCTTGCCCATGCCTATGTCCTGAATGGTATTGCCTAGGTCTTCTTCTAGGATTTTTATGGTTTTAGGTCTAACAGTTAAGTCTTTAATCCATCTTGAATTAATTTTTGTATAAGGTGTAAGGAAGGGATCCAGTTTCAGCTTTCTACATATGGCTAGCCAGTTTTCCCGGCACCATTTATTAAATAGGGAAACTTTCCCCATTTCTTGTTTTTGTCAGGTTTGTCAAAGATCAGATGGTTATAGATGTGTGGTATTATTTCTGAGGGCTCTGTTCTGTTCCATTGGTTTATCTCTGTTTTGGTACCAGTACCATGCTGTTTGGGTTACTACAGCCTTGTAGTATAGTTTGAAGTCAGGTAGCATGATGCCTCCAGCTTTGTTCTTTTGACTTAGGATTGTCTTGGCAATGCGGGCCCTTTTTTGGTTCTATATGAACTTTAAAGTAGTTTTTTCCAATTCTGTGAAGAGAGTCATTGGTAGCTCGATGGGGATGGCATTGAATCTATAAATTACCTTGGGCAGTATGGCCATTTTCACGATATTGATTCTTCCTACCCATGAGCATGGAATGTTCTTCCATTTTTTTGTGTCCTCTTTTATTTCCTTGAGCAGTGTTTGGTAGTTCTCCTTGAAGAGGTCCTTCACATCTCTTGTAAGTTGGATTCCTAGGTATTTTATTCTCTTTGAAGCAATTGTGATTGGGAGTGCACTCACGATTTGGCTCTGTGTCTGTCTGTTATTGGTGTATAACAATGCTTGTGATTTTTGCACATTGATTTTGTATCCTGAGACTTTGCTGAAGTTGCTTATCAGCTTAAGGAGATTTTGGGCTAAGACGATGGGGTTTTCTAAATATACAATCATGTCATCTGCAAAGAGGGACAATTTGACTTCCTCTTTTCCTAATCGAATACCCTTTATTTCCTTCTCCTGCTTGATTGCCCTGGCCAGAACTTCCAACACTATGTTGAATAGGAGTGGTGAGAGAGGGCATCCCTGTCTTGTGCCAGTTTTCAAAGGGAATGCTTCCAGGTTTGCCCATTCAGTATGATATTGGCTGTGGGTTTGTCATAAATAGCTCTTACTATTTTTAGATACATCCCATCAATACCTAATTTATTGAGAGTTTTTAGCATGAAGGGCTGTTGAATTTTGTCAAAGGCCTTTTCTGCATCTATTGAGATAATCATGGGGCTTTTGTCTTTGGTTCTGTTTATATGCTGGATTACATTTATTGATTTGCGTATGTGGAACCAGCCTTGCATCCCATGGATGAAGCCCACTTGATCATGGTGGATAAGCTTTTTGATGTGATGCTGGAATCAGTTTGCCAGTATTTTATTGAGGATTTTTGCATTGATGTTCATCAGGGATATTGGTCTAAAATTCTCTTTTTTTGTTGTGTCTCTGTCAGGCTTTGGTATCAGGATGATGCTGGCCTCATAAAATGAGTTAGGGAGGATTCTCTCTTTTTCTATTGATTGGAATAGTTTCTGAAGGAATGGTACCAGCTCCTCCTTGTACCTCTGGTAGAATTCGGCTGTCAATCAGTCTGGTCCTGGACTTTTTTTGGTTGGTAGGCTATTAATTATTGCCTGAATTTCAGAGCCTGTTATTGATCTATTCAGAGATTCAACTTCTTCCTGGTTTAGTCTTGGGAGGGTGTATGTGTCCAGGAATTTATCCATTTCTTCTAGGATTTCTAGTTTATTTGTGTAGAGGTGTTTATAGTATTCTCTGATGGTAGTTTGTATTTCTCTGGGATCAGTGGTGATATCCCCTTTACCATTTTTTATTGGGTCTATTTGATTCTTCTCTCTTTCTTCTTTATTAGTCTTGTTAGCAGTCTATCAATTTTGTTGATCTTTTCAAAAAACCAGCTCCTGGATTCACTGATTTTTTGAAGAGTTTTTTGTGTCTCTATCTCCTTCCGTTCTGCTCTGATCTTAGTTATTTCTCGCCTTCTGCTAGCTTTTGAATGTCTTTGCTCTTGCTTCCTAGTTCTTTCAATTGTGATGTTAGGGTGTCAATTTTAGATCTTTCCTGCTTTCTGTTGTGGGCATTTAGTGCTATAAATTTCCCTCTACACACTGCTTTAAATGTGTCCCAGATATTCTGGTATGTTGTATCTTTGTTCTCATTGGTTTCAAAGAACATCTTTATTTCCACCTTCATTTTGTTCTGTATCCAGTAGTCATTCAGGAGCAGGTTGTTCAGTTTCCATGTAGTTGAGCAGTTTTGAGTGAGTTTCTTAATCCTGAGTTCTAGTTTGATTGCACTGTGGTCTGAGAGACAGTTTGTTATAATTTCTGTTCTTTTATATTTGCTGAGGAGTGCTTTACTTCCAACTATGTGGTCAATTTTGGAATAAGTGTGATGTGTTGCTGAGAAGAATGTATATTCTGTTGATTTGGGGTGGAGAGTTCTGTAGATGTCTATTAGGTCTGCTTGGTGCAGAGCTGAGTTCAATTCCTGGATATCCTTGTTAACTTTCTGTCCCGTTGATCTGTCTAATGTTGACAGTGGGGTGTTAAAATCTCCCATTATTATTGTGTGGGAGTCTAAGTCTCTTTGTTGGTCTCTAAGGACTTGCTTTATAAATCTGGGTGCTCCTGTAATGGGTGCATATATACTTAGGATAGTTAGCTCTTCTTGTTGAATTGATCCCTTTACCATTATGTAATGGCCTTCTTTGTCTCTTTTGATCTTTGTTGGTTTAAAGTCTGTTTTATCAGAGACTAGGATCGCAACCTCTGCCTTTTTTTGTTTTCCATTTGCTTGGTAGATCTTCCTCCATCCCTTTATTTTGAGCCTATGTGTGTCTCTGCACGTGAGATGGGTCTCCTGAATAAAACACACTGATTGGTCTTGACTCTTTATCCAATTTGCCAGTCTGTGTTAAGTCTTTATTTTACTTCATTCAGTCTTTAATGAAGGCTGGCTTCTCTGAAGGTGTAAGATAGAAATGGTTTTGAGAGTGCTGAAATTAAAAAAACAAACGAACAAACACATGAAATCATGTTCTTACTGAAACAAGTTGTCACTATTACAGTGAATAAAATGGGAAACAACTAGAAAAAGAAAAATCAACAGAAAGCAAGCAGAAAGAAGAAGGTGTCTTTTCTCCCTCGAGCCTTTAGAGCCAGCTGGCAGAAGAGAAATGTGGTTGGTAGAGTGTCCACCCTGGCAACAAAGCAGAATATGGTCCTGAGGTGTTTAAACCTGAGGACAGTAGCCACTTCTGCTTATAAAAAATAAGGAGAATGTATATTACTGTACCTTAGTGAATCATTAAATGGGAAATGCCCTTAATTAGTTTGCAATATGAAATTTTAAGGGTAATATAAGACATGCTCCCTAATATTGACTTTTATAATGTTTCTAATGTTTAATAACCATTAATGAGACATTATATTATAGAAACATTACAACATTTTCCTGCATTAAAAATTCATTAAATTCTATATGCATCTTAAAGTTTCCCAAGAGACTTTCGAAATTAAGTTCAGTGATCATGTTATCTTAACAAATGCATAGTCTTTAAGGATGGCTTCCTATAAAGGTAACATGTATTTAAGGCTTTAAGGTCTATAATGTGTGTGTTTATTGTGTTCTTATCAGCAATATTTACAGTTACACCACAGATTATCATCTGTGTTAATATAAAGAGTGAAATGGTATAGAATTACAAGAAATAGTTTACTACATACTTTAATTAAAGCATAATTATATACACTCAAATATTTAAAATATAAACATATATTCATATAATTTTACATTAAATAATTTGTGATTATGGATTGCAGACCCAACCTACCTATTTGTTTTTAGGAAGCAACAGAAGACTCATATTCATGTCAAATCAACTATAATTGGCAACCCTCTTTCCCCTTTTTTATTCTTCAGCTTTCTCCTAATATTAACAGAAGAAGAGTTTCACTAACTGATGAATAAACTTTAAAAAATGGCTTTTAGGTAACAATCTGTAGGTGGATAATTAGGAATTCAATACTTGAACAAATTTAATTTTTATACCTAGTGTGAAATTAGAACAAGAAATAATTTTAGATGTGCAAAATATTTAAAGGTAAACCTGTTAGCTAAGAAATAGAAATAGGAAGAAAAGAAGAGTTCAAATTGCAAACCCAAGCCTCCCATTTTATTCTATAATTCATGCAGAATGAATTACTTCTAGAACAGGTATGGTTTTTCTAATAGTATTCTGACTAAAGGGCTGTTGCCTAGCATGGCTATAATTACATGATGTCAGTATTCTATGCACTAGGCAGAAATTTTTATTGCATACATCTTTCACAAAGGGCAGCAAGGATTCCACAAAGTCATCAGCTCACATTTCAATTGTTTTAGGCTATATGAATTATTTTGAAGTTAAAAAAAATCAAAGATCACACAGTCATTATGACCTGAAACTATATAATTTTAAGACAAATGTCCCACCTACTTGAGGCGTGGCACAGTTATTCTTGCTTTCTTAAAAATAATAAATAAAAATGGAAAAATATAAAAATAAGAACTAGGGACAGAGGACAAGAACTACAATCATAGTGCCTCAGCCGTCATGAGGAGACATTTGTGTTTTATTGTTCTATATGAAGTAAAGTACAATAAATGATATTTCTACAAATGTTGTCTCTGATCTGCTGAAAACATAAGGGGGAAAGAGGTAAAACCTATTTCCCATAAAAATACTTTCACATTTACATAGGGAGCCACAGCATAGACTCAGAAATAATTCTTCTCTTACCTGGTAGCAAGTATTGGAGATAATACATTCATTTATTTAGAAAACCCTACTAGCATTTTTAGTCTCTTTCTGTGATTTTGGGTGGCCATGAGGAGATTGTAAAGTAGGCTAAATTCTTGTTACATTCAGAAGTACCCACTGCTCTTATGCTGTTCCCTACCTCTATGTGAAATTTAATTACAACATTGTTTTCTGGTTCTGATTCCCTGTCTCATCAACTGAAAACCTTAACAACTGAGGCATGGGAATATTCCCTAGAAGTTGTATATTTTCATCTCAAAAATATTAGTATGCTTTTATTATGTTCAAGAAGCAAGGAAAATGTGTTTATATTTTTTGCAATAGTGGACAAATTTATACTTGCTATTCAAGATTTTAGATATCTGTATGTAAACATTTTAAAACTTTAAAAAAGTACTCAATGTTATAATTGCAATTATTATTATTTATAGTATAAAGAAAAGATAGAAAGTATAAGATATAAAAATGTAGAATGGAACAAGATTAAAGAGAATGTACTCTGAGCCAGAATGCTTGGTTTAAATCTTGGCTATGGCACTGCAAGCATTGGGACCTCAGGCATTTACCCTCTTGGTCTTTTTATTTCTTATATAAATGACAGCAATAATAATATTCTCCTGTAGATATTTTATGAGGCTTACTGGACTGGTGTATTTAAAGCATATTGGAATATTTATAGTAATTATGAGTAATGTAGATATTAAGTATTACCTATAAACCTCCCTATAAACCTCCCTGAGAACAAGGATTTGGGTCAGTTTTGTTTATTTCTGAATTCCTGCCTCCCAGAAGAATGCTTGGTACATAGTTGGCACATGTGCCTGTTCACATGATTTGTATTCCAATTCATACCTTGCTGTTCTGAAAACTGTATTTCCTAGGTTCTTCTGCTCAATGGTTACCATGTGGTTTCAACCAAGGGAAGCACTGTTGGAAGACTAAAGTGAAGGAAAAGGGAAGAAATCATGGCATTCTTAATTCTCTAGTGCCTTCGCGAATGGATTTTTCCCTATATCTGTTCTACTCTGTGTGATACTTGTCCTCCCAGTTGCTGTTCTTTATGTTACTTCATCATCTCTTATTTGTCTTCTCAGCTCTTATGTCAACTATACAATTCCCTGTATACAATATTTCAATGTAAAATACCTAGAATGTTTCTTGTTTCCTTGTTGTCTTGTTTGTCTTGTTTGTACACATTGATTGATGCATTACTTAGTAAATAATTGTTGCTTGAATAAATTAACAAAGTAGCAGTTACATACTGCTACATGTTTATACATTTTGGTTCCTGAAGTTTTGATGTATTACCCCAACGAAAAAGAATTCATATTTTATTGTATACATATTTAATAAAAATGTGTCTTAGAAATCAGGTTTCCTTCCTAATACTGTAATTTTGATAGTAATGAAGCAGAGAGTTATCAGCCTATAATTCTGAAAATAGAAATAATAGAAAAAAGAATATTGATCCCTTATCTATAACAGAGCGGTTACGGTACACACTCTTCTGCATGTTTGTATGATAATCTGGGACTTATCTTGCTTATGTTATTTGTTGCCACATCATTAACCTTCAACTTATATACTATCTTAAATGAGAATTATTCTATCAGTATGGCATCTTGTTTCACAAAATATTATGTTATGTCAATAAATGAATTAATTGCAGGATTTTTTCAGTTGAAAACAATACTAAGTATATCTACATTGAAGCTAACATTGAATTAATTCTCAATCCTTAATTAACTCAGGCTGTCACGATTTCCTGAGCTGCATCATTTAGAGATAACAAGATTCAATGCATTTTCTGTAACTGAACTGTAGGATAGTGTTTGCTGTCAGCCAAATTCCTAATACTCATGAGGACTCCAGGATTGTTCCTAGACTGAGTCTATTTGAGAATATCAGTATGCACAAACAAATCATTAAATGTGATTTGTCCAGAGCTAATTGAAACTATCTTGTATATGGCAATAGTAGTTCAAAAGGGAGGGACAATTTGATACAGATAAAAGATAGTGAAACGGAAGTCAGAAGAACAGAGTATTATCTAAATATTGCCACATACTTTGCTGTGAGACTTAACTCATATGCCAGTTAAGAAGACTGGGTTGGATGACTTCTGAAGTTCACTTCGGTTCCAATGGCCAACCACACAAATGAGCTTTTCTGCTATTTAGGCAGACCTAACATATCATTTGGTCATATAGTTAAGTTATACCTTTAAAACAGAATAATATATTTATTTTATCAACATAAATAAGAAAAATGGTTTCTATTCATTTTTAAGATTTCATAAATATCAATAAAAAATACTTAGACTGAAAGGCAGGTAAACAACTAAGCATTTCTTCCCTGGTGGAGTTAGCCATTCATCATCAAATTGTGTTTATTTATTATTTATACTTAAGTTGTGAACAACAATACCTATTTCTCCAAGCCTCCTTCCAGCACCTCAAAATTAAACTAATCAGCGTATCTATGTTTGGATCCACTTGTAGAACTAAATATATAATCTTCACTGTTTTAAAATACTTGCATTGATTTATAAACATAGTTAATGAAATAAATTAGCCTATGGTTTAACAAATTTTCTTTTAAAATGTAGAAAACTGATGTAGTTAATAATTGCCTTTGCATTAAATAGTATCTAAAATCTAAAGTTGTAGCACATTCTAGTTTATAAGTTTTTTGGAGGATATGATTCTCATCATCTTACTAAAGTATAAGAAATACACTTGACCTTTACTGACGCCCCCTATTGATCCTACGGGTTTCCTTTACTCTATTTAAGAGAAGGTGGTATTATTTGCTTTTTGTAAAAAGTCAAGAAAATAAACTGGGTATCTTGAGCTAAGCTATGTCTGCGACTCTATTGAAAGATAGTTTTCCCTTGTCCTCCACAGGACAGGCACTTCTCTACTATATAGGGATACTTTCCACCACATTGCCTCTGTGTCTAGGTGGATAAACCCTTTTCAATCTTGAGTTCTGTTAGCAGACCTATTTTGATCTTCAAAACAACATGAATGATTAAGCCATTATTAGCAATAAGAGCAATATTGATACCATCATCGGGTATTTCTGTTTTCTCACCTTGCTTAAGGAGGGGACTGTAATTTGGGTTGCTACAAAGTCCTCAACAATTGGACATTGATTAGAAATGCAGATAAGTAAAGCCAGGAATATAATTTCAGACCAAAATAACATGCCAAATGTCTTGTGATGATTCAGGGTACAGAGATCTAGGATTTTAATATATGAACAAGGCATTTCAAACTTGTCCATTTATACTGGCTAATGTGTGGCTGGACAGGCTGTTCAGTAGTTAGATGATTTTAAACTGCTCTGACCAAAGAAGAAACCACATGGTATTTTGACTCCTGCTTGTATTGTGATTATCCACTGGTGAGTCACTGTGAATGCAGATACTGGCATTTGTAGAAATGCAGGACTGCATGACCAGGCTTGGAAAATTTGTAGATAACTTCAGTAGACTGCTATAGTATCAAGGTAGCAAATACTAGCTGCATAAACTTCAGCAAAATACTAGACTGCACATCGTTTTGCAGAGACATGCAACTTCAAAATGCAAGCTGCTAGATCTCTCTACACAGGCACACATATTTTTAAGTAGGCATGGCTGAAGCAAAGGTTTTATTTTTGGAATAATATAGCCTTTTTAACCTTTTAAACTACTTAACTGATGAGTTCTGAGTGAATTACAGATCACTGTCAAAAAATTTAATTAGTGTGAGGTTAGGTAGATAAAATTAGATCTACTTCTCTAAATTCTTTTAGGCACAAATAGATAAGGACATATTTGGAAGCATTAACCTTCAGCTCATGCAGTTTGTCTATGGGATCATGTGTAGGGGGAAAATGGTTAATTTCAAGCTGCCAACATTTAAGTACATAAACATGTAAGCTTACCTATAAAAGTGTGAAAATCTAAAGAGAAGAAAGGTAGTACCTTAAGGAGAAGGCAGTATTAGTAGTAAACTAGTTCTAGATGCTGGTATTTGAACTAGTTACTGGTTCTCTGTAGGTCATAAGGACTTAAGATGCAGATTTGTAAATATCAGCTTCAGTTCAGATTTCTCCTAAATGCTGTTTACAACTTGAAGGCATGTGAACATTAACTGAAAGCCATCCCTAGGAGGCAGTCCTCGTGAACCCTGAAGTTTTAAGCACATTTTCAGCCCAGATATAGAAAACACATAAAGCTAAACAAAAGTCTATATAGGATATTATTCCTAGTTGAATTCAAACTCTTACATTGTTGATTTTAGACAATAGTCGTTAACTGGTTGATAAGCATATGTAGTAGAAAACTAAAATCTGCATTGGCACTTCCTCAAATATCACTAAATTTTTGCTATCATCTTGGGCATCACTGATAAATTTAGCATGGAAAAATAGTTTTGCCTAGATTTTCATTCTCTAGCAGTGTTTTTAACCTTGGTGCTTGTAAGTTCCATAATATTTTTTCCCTGTAAAATAAAAATATGTGATACCTCAAGACTTGGCATTAAGCTAATTCAACCTTTGTGTCTCAGAAAGAAACTGCAGTAATTCCAGTGAAAGAAACCTCATTCCTGAGCTACTGACAGAATTCTACTACCACCTACACTTGGAAAACCATTTGGCTAAGATAAAAAATAATTTAATATTGGGGCAGGTTTTAATTCCTTTGGAATTTCAGCACACAAAGGTAGGATATTTTTATTTCAAACTTGAATTCCTTTGAAATTTAACTAGTGTGAGGATTTAATCTTTGAACTTTGATATTTCCCTGGAAAGTTCATACCACTCAGGGGCTTATATTCAAATTTATAATATGTCTATAATGTTGGGGTTTTTTTTATTAAATGCCTTTATGAATTTTATTATTAGATTTCTTAATGAAATATTTAAACTCATAGAATACCTCCTGATAGGCTATGTTGTATAATCTGCCCAAACCTAATTTGGGATAGATAATTAATAGAAAATAGATTGTTAGCCTTGGAGCAGGGTAGGTTTGGCATAAAAGTTAATTAGAATATTATTCAGATCTATCTCAGAGCCTCAGACAACAAAATATTAACCGTTTTCCAGTGGTCTCAAAAGAGAATGGGTTGGTTTGAGAGTAGTTGTCTCAGGAAAACTTGTGTGAAAAACTTTTAATCACTTACAACAAAGGGGATGACCTAATTTTTGGTAGATCATGGTCCTAATAGTTAAGCCTAATGGGTTATGAAGAAAACAGCTATAGAATAATCATAGGAACATTACTTAGTCTATCTTCCTAAAGGATCTTTCCAAGTAGTAAGAATTCTCATCTTTTTTTAGTAGCGTTATTGAAGTGTAATTGACAGAAAAAGATCTGCACATAGTTAATCTGTACTACTTGATGAGTGTGGGTGTATGCTGACACCACTATCAAGGGAATAGACAATGCCTCCCAAAATTTCCTTGTGTCTTTGTATGTGTGCATGCGTGTGTGTGCATGCATGTGTGTGTGCATGTTATTAGTCAATTTATAAAATTACATGTATCATATACAACATGATGTTTGGAAGTGTATATACATTGTGGAATGACTAAAGCTAGCTAATTAACATATGCATGAGGTATACATGTTAAGTATATCTCTCTCAATATAAGATACACTCTCTTCACAAATTCTGAAGTGCAGAATGTTGTTATTAGCTACTGACAATATGTTGTACAGCAGATCTCTAGAAATCATTCATTAACCATAATTAAAACTTTATACTCATTGAATAACAAGTCCCTATTTTTTTCCAGCCCCAAGCACTAGCAACTACTATTTTATTTTCTGATGAGTTTGACCATTTTGATATCTCATATGATTAGAATCATGTAGTATATGTCCTTCGGTGACTGGTTCATTTCACTTAACATAATACCCTGCAGATTCACCCATGTTGTTGAAAATATAAGAATTTTCACCATTTTTAAGACTGAATAATATTCCATTGTTATCACATTTTTTGATTCCTTTGTCGATGGACAGTTGGAATGTTTGTATATCTTGACTACTATGAATATTGCTGCCAATGAAAAGAGAAGTGCATATATTGCTTCAAAATTCTAATTTCAATTGTTTTGAATATATACCTTGAAGTGAAATTGCTGGATTATATGGCAGTTCTATTTTAAAATTTTCAGGAATCTCCATTCTGTTTTTATATTTGCTGTACCATTTTACATTCCAACCAACAGTGGGAATTTCCACTTTCCCACTGTGGGTTCCAATTTCTTCATTTTGTGCTAACACTTGAAATCTTTGAGGTTATTATCATTATTTTTTATAATTGCCATTCTAAGAGCTGTGAGGTGATATCTCATTTTAGTTTTGATTTGGATTTATCTGATAATTGATGTTGGCCATTTGTATATTTTCTTTAGAGAAATGTCTGCTTATTTTTTATTTTTATTTTTAAATTGACTAATAAAATTATATGTATCATGTACAACATGTTTGGAAGCATATATAAATTGTGGAATGACTAAAGCTAGCTAATTCATATATGCATTACCTCACATAGTTTCATTTTTATGGTGAGAACAATTAACATTCCCTTATTTTGCATTTTTCAGCAATATAATTACATCAAGAAAAACTCTCCCTAACCATGGTTTGCCTCTGCTCTGTCACCACAACAATAATCATCAACACACAAGAAGACTTCTGTGGCCAAATATGTGTGGGATTTTCCCATGCACCAAGCAGTGGATACCAGCTGGGTGTCCTCCAATTCAATTCTGACACAGTCTACCTGGAGATTGTGTCAGAGCCCACGTGTTGGGGGCTCCGTCCCTAAAATTGCCTCTGACACCCTCAGAGAGCAAAGTGCAACCCCAGGCCTCTGGAACATCTGACTGAATGGCTTCAAGCTGGGGTTCCCATTATTACAGGTAGCTAGACTGGCATCAGTGGAGCAGGAGAGGGCTCCCTGCCACCCCACTAGGAACCTTGGGTGATGGTTCAGTAATTATTACACTGACTCTCTAAAAGTGATAAATTTGCAGCTGGTGCCAGGAAGAGGCCATTTCCTGATGGTCCACACCTGTTAAGATTAAAGTGTTAATTAAAGGCAAGCCCCAGGGAGAAGCAACTTCCTGGGCATACGCCTTAAGAGAAAAAATGGCGAACTATGATCTTCCAGGTGTACTCCACTGGAAAAAGGAAGAAAGCCTCAGATGGGAATGCGTACAACTTCCTAAACACACTGCTCTTGCTCAATTCCCAAGGGTAAGCCCACCCTAAAGGAAGAATCATGAGAAAGAGGCGAGCCTACAAAGTCCCAGTATCAAGGTTAAAGGCCCTTCTTTTCTCTCGTTTACCTTCAGGTGCCCATGGATCTCTTCCAAGGATTCTTTCCTTTCTTTCCTGTTCTAAAGCTTTTTAATAAACCTCCACTCCTGCTCTAGAACTTGCCTGGGTCTCTTTTCTTCTTTATGCCCCTTAGCGAATTCTTTCTTCTGAAGAGGCAAAGGCTGAAGTTGCTGCAGACCCACACAGATATGCTGCCTGTAACTTGGCTGTCTTCCACTGCCAACACCATGACCCCTTGTTTGGTTTCCATTAATTTGCTGGAGAGGCTCACAGAATTTATGGAAATATTTATACATTTACTGACTTATTATAAAGGCTATTGCAAAGGATACATACAAACAGGTGTGTAGGGAGAGGTATGGGGGAAGGGGCATGGAGCTTCCATGGCCTCCCTGGGCAGTACTCTCTGGGAACTTCCCTGTGTTCAGAGATCCAGAAGCTCCTCAAACCCAGTCCTCCTGAATTTTTATGGAAGCTTCATAATGTCAGCAATCCTTCCCCCAGGGTATAGGTTGGGACCTTCTGTGGGGAGATATTTAAGACCCAGAATCAAAAAAGCAGGAGTCCTGCCTTCAGGAAAGTGAAAAGACAGGAGAAGGTCAGAGAGATCCTGTTTCCTGAGGCCTATCGCTGAGGCCTAACACACCCAACATTACAACAAAAGACTTGTATCAAGGGTTATGGGAGTTATGTCATAATACTACAATAATACATTTACTATAGACACCATGTTGTACAGTAAATCTCTTGAAATTCTTCCTCCTATCTAACTGAAATTTTGTATCTTTTGACCAACATCTCCCCAACCCAACCTCCTCCAACTACCCTAGTCTCTGGTAACCACCATTCTACTCTCTGCTTCTATAATCAAAATTTTTAAGAATTTTAAATAAATTTTAAATGAATAGTTCAATAACATTTTCCAAGATTGAAAAGTAATAATGTTCTTAATGGAAAGGCGCACCCAGCAAGATGAATTCCAAACAAGACGAATAAAGTTGCACACCAACATTTGTCATAATGAATTATCAGAGCACCAGAGAAAAACAGATGTATACAAAGGATCCAGAGAGAAATGAACTGAAAATCAACAAATAAGAAAAATAATATCCTCTACAAAGAAAAAGTAAAAATGGCATTGGACATCTTGACAGTAATATTGGAAGACAGAAGCAATGTGAGCAAAGGCTTCAAAATTATGAAAAAGAATTATGTCCTGCCTAGAATTCCTACTTTCAGCCAAACTCTAAATATCTAAAACAAGAGTAGAATAAAAACATAATGAGATATGCATCATTGTAATAAATTGCTTTTCCATCTATTTATATGGCAAATACACTGGGAGATGTGTTGCTTCAAATCCAGAGTAAAAATATCCTGGCTACTGTGGAATGTTTTGACTAATGAAAAGTTGTCTTTACAACCAAACTGATTATTGCAATACTCCTAAGAACAGATGTGGCCTGGATACAGCAGTCAATACCACAGGCATTTCTGAGGAGTTGGAAAATTGAATAACTGACACTTTTTAAATTTTTATTGTTTAATGCCAACTCCATTCAATAACTTCTGACTCACATAGGCTACCTGGGCTGGGTCAGTTTCTTTCACTTTGTCATATTGCACAGCAGAGTATACTTGCCCGTGCATTTTTCTTATCCCATATGATTTCATTTTTATCTTTTTTTTAATCAAACATGTCCTGGTATTACACCAAAGTCAGAAAAGAAGGGAGTCCAATTAATCACACAAACTAAATTAGTTGAGGTTTTAATTTGAATTTTAAAAAAGTTCCTATTCTTATTTACTGCAAAGGGTCGATAGTATGGTTCTCATTTTTCTCTCAGGAGTAGAAAACAGCAATATATTTAATAAAACAAATTTTGGTTGAAGTTTTAAAAATGATTTTGACCCTTTATAGATATCGCGATAAGAGGTTGTAACATTTATAATTTTTCTTATTATTTTATAATTTCAACTTTTATTTTAGATACAGGGTGTACATGCCCAGGTTTGTTACATGAGTATATTGCATGATGCTGAGGTTTGGGATACAGATCCTGCCACCCAGGTAGTGAGGATAGTACTCAATGGTAGTTTTTCTACCACGAGAAAGGCAGATTTCTTGATATATATATATATATATAATAACTGCTGTGTTATATATTTTCTATCAAATTCCTAAAAGTAGTACTAAATATCATTAACCCTATTTAAAGAGATTTCACATACAATGGGCCATAGTACATAGTACATAAACAAATATATTAAAGACACTAACATTTTTACCAATATACTTAAAATCTAAGTAAATGTTACAAATGTTGAAGAAATATGGCTTGGGATAAACTTTCAAGTAAATGGCTAACTATATTTTAACTACTATTAGTTTTTAAATATTTTTATTCCCTTTTCATATTTATTTGGTTCAAATATATTGATTTTAAAATACAGACCTTTTAATTGTTTTCATTGCTAAATTCTTCGTATACTCACATGATAAAATAGTGTGTGGACAAGAATGACCAATTTGACTTTGCAAACAAATATTTGAAAAATTTTTTTCTTAAGTCAACTTTGACCTTGGAAATGCTAACAAGGCAGTGTCTATGGAATTCTGTAATAACCCACCATCCTTACCAGCTTCTTTGATGTTGATTCTAACAATGATCTGGATGCTATTAAAGCACACGTTTGAATTTATTTGAGAGAGTACAATAGCAACCCTTTTATGATTTTTTTCCAGAGAGTGTAACCTCAAACCTGCTGCTACCAAAAGCTATCAGCATCTAAACAGAGAAACAAATGTTTCTTGGAGTATTACACTAAAATTATGTCCTCCAACTCTACTTTTCATTACTATGAAATAAACTCCTAAACTGACTGTAGCTACCAGAGGGGCTGAGAACCTCAACGGAATTTTAATGACATTCTCTGTATTATTCCTCTAACTTGCTTGTGCTTTTGCAGCGACAAAATAAGAAATACTCAATGAAGCCATTTTTGTATTTTCTAAAAAAGATTTTATGAAAAGTGTTGAGGTGTTCAAAAGTAATTAGGTGAAAGAAATAGATTGAGACAGTCAATCAGTTTGAAATAAATATAAAAAGCAATAATTTCCTAACTTTTCAGCTAATTATTATTTATTTGATTTTTAAAAAATGTTTGGAAATAATTATTATACAAACATGGAATAATTATATCTAATTTTATTCTTAAAGTAAAATGTATAATTAGAAGGTATATTTATTGAAAGGAGAAATTAAACTATAATTTCATACTGCAGTGCTTACCAGATGGTGCACTGCTGTACTCCTAGCACTCACAAACTAGCTCTAAAAGAATGTACATACATCCTAGAGTTTTAAAAATTGTATTAAAGCTATACTATATAATCTCCCTTTAAGATTCAAAAACATACTAATATATTTAAAATGCTGAGGAATCATACAATAAAAATAGTTTATCATTTTCCCAAAGATATTAGACAATAAAAAACTTTTTCCAATGCATATTGATTATAATTTTAATATTCCAAACTTACATTTCAGAAAATATTGTTCCACATCATAGGTGGACACACTGTTTCAGTAAATGACCATATAGTAAACATTTTTGTTTCTATGAAAGAGAAGGTCTTTGCTACATCTGTCATTTCTGTCACCACTACTAAAGTCAACAATTGTAGTGTGAAAGCAGCCACAGACATCAGAAACAAAGGAGTATGACTCTGGCCCAGTAGAATTTTATTTATAAGAACATGTGGCAGGCTGGGTTTGGCCCACTTTGTTGGCTGACCCCTGATCTACGTACCCTATTCTCAAACAGGTTTGTAAGGTCTAAGATTTAATGAAATGTTTATTGGTGAAAATGAGGAAAAATGAGTAGGTCAAGATTACACTTATAGCTGCTCAGTCTAATAGCTATATTTTTAACAAGTCTTCGGTTAAACTCAATCTCCTCTATTCTTTCCTCAACTATAAAATGTAATGACAATAATATCTATCTAATGAAATTATTACAAAGCATATGAAAAATAAAACTTAGAAATTATGTATCATATATTTGCTCAATCAAATGATAGTCATTGTCTTTTTCAATTATTTTACAACTACTTGTGATATTTTCATAAAAATAGTCTGCTGCTAAAACATAACTTAAAATTCTACAGTAAGATTTCTTCACCTTTATTTTACATTCAGTTGTTTGAAAAGCTTAAAAAAAATTTAAACAACAAAAAAATCCAGATAATTTTTTGTATGTTAAATTTTTTCATTTTCTTTATGCAAAAGCATTTTTAATGAAATCCCTCATTTTTAATTATCTATTTTTTGTTTGAAAATTTTTAATTATCTGTTTTTTCCTAATGAAAATTATTTTCTTTTGCCTAATGAAAAGTATGGCTCCTAAAACTCTTTAAATTTCTATTTTTATAATTGCTGCTCAAATGTAACAATGAGCATGTATGCTTAAGCAAGCAATTAATATGACTTCAAAGTATGTTTTATTCCTAACCAAATTTCCCTTTGTTATTTCAATATGGTATCCAATTGGAGAATTTGAATTTTATTAATTTGCATGTATCCATTCTAATTTGCGTGTATCTTTTGGAATAGGCCAGTTTTTTACATAAACATAAAAGTAAACAAACAGATACTATATACTTAGACATGTAATGATTAGTTAAAAGTCACTACTTTCCCTACCTCAACATTGCTGGTAGTCTGAGTGATATTTTATAGCAAAAAAAGTTTAAAGAATAAAGCCAGGTTTTAATTGAAATTGGCTAGTAAACTTCTTAGTCTTAATGATTCTATGAGGAAGAGACTAGGTCAGAACTTTTCATTTTAGATTTTATATGTATATATAAAATATATAAATATATATATATATATTTTTAATGTGGCTCAGTGTATAAGCTCCTGAAATTTCACACCTATGACCATGTACCAAAGACAATATGACTTTTACAGAAAAATGAGGGTACAATTTGAATACCAGCTCTGCTTTATGATATTTGTGTGTTTTTTTTAATGTATTTATTTATTTTGAGACGGAGTCTCTCTCTGTCACCCACTCTGGGGTGCAGTGATGTGATCTTGGCTCACTGCAATCTCCTTGCCTCTTAGATTCAAGCAATTCTCCTGCCTCAGCCCCCTAAGTAGCTGAGATTACAGGTGCCCACCACCATACCCAGCTAATTTTTCTATTTTAGTGGAGACGGGGTTTCACCATGTTGGTCAGGGTGATATCGAACTCCTGACCTCAAGCAATCCACCCACCTTGGCCTCCCAAAGTGCAGGGATTACAGGCATGAGCCACCGTGCCCGGCCTTATGATCTTTAAACTTCAAAATGTTAAGGTTTTTTTGTACCCTCCCTTTTCAAATACAAAGTGGAGGCAATAATGTCTTCATTGCAAATTGGGTTTAGAATTACATGAGATTAAGCATTCTGTAAAGAGCCTAGAAGAGCAGCACTACGTTGGAATATATGATGTACCTTCAAAATCCCAATGTCCAAGCCACAGTCATATTAATTAAATTAGAATACGTGGGTATGAAATCCAGCCATTAGCATTTTTATTATCCTCTCAGTTGATTCTAAAACACAGCCAAGCTCAACAATTATAGGTCTGCAGCAAGAGTTCTCAAACTTCAATTAGAAACTGATCAACTGGGGGTTTTGTTAGAGTCAAGGCTCAGCAGTACCAGGGAGGCTTCTTAAATTCTTCCCTTCTGAAAAATACCCACAGCTGATGCTGGTGGCTGCTGTGCATGGAGTATACGTGGAGTAGCAAGGGCTCAATGATACTGTTTTTATTTACTTTCTGTAGAGGAGGTTTGAAATCCAGGCAGAAAATTGAAAACTGGTTTATTTGTTTACTTTTCAATTCACTACAATGATGCAATTCCTATGCTCAGCAAACTAATTTGGCGTTTAAGGCACAATCTTAATTATTATTAATATAAATTAAAAATTTGAGAAGTTTATTTCCAAAACATAATGATTCCTTTTCTTTTCCTTCTAAGGTAAAACTGAAAACTACACAGGAAACATTTATAAGTAGAAATTATAAAAATTACAATTATAGTTCCAGAGCTATATTATATATAGCTCAAATTATATTTTGTCTAAAAAATTAGTTTAAATTCTGAATCAGATTTAAACTTTTTAAATTAAAAAGTATTCTTATTTTTTATTCTACATTATTAAAAGAGTATTCTAAGATATAAACATGTATACACACACACACACACACACACACACACACACACACAGAGACACCATATTGTGCTTACAAAAGAATTATATTAGCATGAATATATGAATATGAGAGTTTTTCCAGATGGATGCTTCTGGAGAATTGTAGCCATTCCATTTTTGAGTCTTTCTGTCTTCTTTCCAAATAAGCTGGTGATATTAATGAGATTTTTTTGTTTGTGCCTGAAGAGTTTCTTAAAACGGTTACGGGACTTCAGAGAGATTACCTCAGGTTGTCCCTACATTTTATTTTATATACTATTGCTTTTTCAAAAGACATGTCTTTCAGTGACTGAAAATTGCTTATTGGAGAAATCATAAGAAAAAAAAATCCCTCAAAGTAATAGTCTAGATTTTTTCTCTCTTTGAATGTATTTTAAAATACTTACTTAAAAAGGTTATGTTTGTGCACTACTCATTTGTTTTATTATAATTATTTGCAAATAGTCAGGGACACACAGGTTATTAGTGTCATATAGCACTAATACAAGAATTGTAAAACACAGTTGTTTTCTTTTGGGGAAGTGTAGAGAAAAACTTACAAGTGGAGAAAGAGCAGAGCGCACAAAATACCAAATCTCCCATTGTCTCAGAGGGAGCCGTGCCAGTGTTCAGTTCTGGACTGCACACGTAATGGCTGCTCTTCTCAGAAAGTATACCCCACCTTCTGAATATTTTATGCATCATAGAGATAGGAAGTCAAGGAAATTCTAAATGAGGTCATAAGAATGAAATTGTTCCTCACTGAGGAAAAGCCTTTGCTCAGATACAAACTGGGAGCCTCCAAGCTCTGGAACATGAGTCTCCTCTCATGGGATGACTCAGCTTTCTGCTAAGTTCCTTCAAAGGGGGAGGACATGAATTTATACGGTCATCCAGATCTTTGTCTCCCAGAAATATTAACATCCCACTAAACTGTCAGTGCCTGGTAAGCATATATATACTCATTCTGCTAATTAATCATAACTGGATTTTGTTACAGAGCATCCACAGAAAAACTTTTATATTTGAGTTACAAAATACATTAAAGTATAAATCTAAAGCATAAAATTAATGAAAAACTACACACCAATTGTTCTAGTTTACCTGAAAATCTTTATACTAAAAAGATACATTATACATTCAAGTGCATTCATTTAAAATATTTCACAGGTTAAAAGAGAATAATTGAAATTTGGTTTGAAATATGCAAAAGCCAGGACTGCTGGCAAGATGGCCAAATAGGAGCAGCTCCAGTCTGCAGCTCCCAGCGAGATCGAGGCAGAAAGTGTGTGATTTTTGCATTTCCAACTGAGGTAACCAGTTCATCTCATTGGGACTGGTTGGACAGTGGATGCAGCCCAAGGAGGGCCAGCCAAAGCAGGGTGGGGCATCGCCTCACCCAGGAAGTGCAATGGGTCAGGGAACTCCCTCTCCTAGCCAAGGAAGCCATTAGGGACTGTACAGTGCACTCCAGCCCAGATACTGTGCTTTTTCCATGGTCTTTGCAACCTACAGACCAGTAGATTCACTCCAGTGCCCACACCACCAGGGCCCTGGGTTTCTAGCAAAAAACTGGATGGCAGTTTGGGCAGACATTGAGCTAGCTGCAGGAGTTTTTTTTTTTTTTTTTTTTTTTTTTCATTCCACAGTGGCACCCAGAACAACAGCGAGACAGAACCGTTCACTCACGTGGAAGGGGGGCTGAAGCCAGGGAGCCACATGGTCTGGCTCAGCTGGTCTCACAACCACAGAGCTCAGCAAGCTAAGATCCACTGGCTTGAAATTCTCGCTACTAGCACAGCAGTCTGAGCTCGACCTGGGATGCTAGAGCTTGGTGCGGGGAGGGGTGTCTGCCATTGCTGAAGCTTGAGTAGGCTGTTTTACCCTCACAGTGTAAACAAAGCCACCTGGAAATTTGAACTGGGAGGAGCCCACCGCAGCTCAGCAAGGCCACTGCGGCCAGACTGCCCCTCCAGATTCCCTCCTCTCTGGGCAGGGCATCTCTGGAAAAAAAGGCAGCAGCCCGAGTCAGGGACTTATATATGAAATTCCACCTCTCTGGAGCAGAGCAGGCAGGAAGGCGTGGTTGGGGGTGCAGCTTCAGCAGACTTAAACTTCCCTGCCTGGCAGCTCTGAAGAGAGCAGGGAATCTCCCAGCACAGCACTCGAGCTCTGATAACAGACAGACTGCCTCCTCAAGTGGATCCCCGACTCCCATGTATCCTGACTAGGAGTCAGCTACCAGTAGGGGCCAACAGACAACTCATACAGAAGAGCTCTGGTTGTCATTTGGCAAGTGCCCCTCTGGGATGAAGCTTCCAGAGGAAGAAACAGGCAGCAATCTTTGCTGTTCTGTAGCCTCCACTGGTGATACCCAGGCAAGCAAGGTCTGGAGTGACCTCCAGCAAACTCCATCAGACCAGCAGCAAAGGGGCTTGACTCGTTAGGAGGAAAACTAACAAACAGAAAGGAATAGTATCAACATCAACAAAAACGACATCCACTCAGAGACCCCAGCTGAAGGTCACCGACTTCAAAGACCAAAGGTAGATAAATCCACGAAGATGGGGAGAAACCAGCACAAAAAGGCTGAAAGTTCCAAAATCCAGAACTCCTCGTCTCCTCCAAAGGATCACAATTCCTCACCAGCAAAGGAACAAAACTGGACAGATAATGATTTTGACAAATTGACAGAAGTAGGCTTCAGAAGGCAGGTAGTAGCAAACTCCTCCGAGCTAAAGGAGCATGATCTAAACCAATGCAAGGAAGCTAAGAACCTTGAAAAAAGGTTAGATGAATTGCTAACTAGAATAACCCGTTTAGAGAAGAAAATAAATGACCCGATGGAGCTGAAAAACACAGCATGAGAACATCGTGAAGCACACACAAGTATCAATAGCCAAATCAAGCAGAAGAAAGAATATCAGAGATTGAAGATTAACTCAATGAAATAAAGTGAGAAGACAAGATTAAAGAAAAAAGAGTGAAAAGTAACCAGGAGCTGGTTTTTCTAAAAGATCAACAAAATAGATAGACTGCTAGCCAGACTAATAAAGAAGAAAAGAGAGAAGAATCAAATAGATGCAATAAAAAATGATAAAGGGGATATCACCACCAACCCCAGAGAAATACAAACTACCATCAGAGAATAGTATAACCACCTCTACAAAAATAAACTAGTAAATCTAGAAGAAATGGATAAGTTCCTGAACACATACACCCTCCCAAGACTAAACCAGGAAGAAGTCGAAATATGGAAGGAAGAACCAAGAAATATGGGACTATGTGAAAAGACCAAATCTACGTCTGATTGGTGAACCTGAACGTGACAGGGAGAACAGAACCAAGTTGGAAACAATCTTCAGGATATTATCCAGGAGAACTTCCCCAACCTAGCAAGGAAGGCCAACATTCAAATTCAGGAAATACAGAGAACACCACAAAGATACTCTTTGAGAAGAGCAACTCAAAAACATATAATCATCAGATTCACCAAGGTTGAAATGAAGGAAGAGATATTAAGGGCAGCCAGAGAGAAAGGTCGGGTTATCCACAAATGGAAGCCCATCAGACTAACAGCAGTCTCTCAGCAGAAACCCTACAAGCCAGAAGAGAGTGGGGGCCAATATTCAACATTCTTAAAGAAAAGAATTTTCAACCCAGAATTTCATATCCAGCCAAACTAAGCTTCATAAGCGGAGGAGACATAAAATCTTTTACAGACAAGCAAATGCTGAGAGATTTTTGTTACCTCCAGATTTTGCCTTACAAGAGCTCCTGAAGGAAGCACTAAACATGGAAAGGATCAACCGGTACCAGCCACTTCAAAAACAAACCAAATTGTAAAGACAATTGATGCTATGAAGAAACTGCATCACTAATGGGCAAAATAACCAGCTAGCATCATAATGACAGGATCAAATTCACAAATAACAATATTAATCTTAAAATGTAAATAGGATAGTTGCCTCAATTAAAAGACACAGACTAGCGAATTGGATAAAAGCTGAAAATCCATCTCTGTGCTGTATTCAGGAGACCCATCTCACATGCAGAGACACATACGGTCTCAAAATAAAGGGATGGAGGAATATTTAACAGCAAATGAAAGGCAAAAAAAAAAAGCAGGGGTTGCAATCCTAGTCTCTTATAAAACAGACTTTAAACCAACAAAGTTCAAAAGAGACAAAGAAGGCCATTACATAATGGTAAAGGAGATCAATGAAACAAAAAGAGGATGCACCCAATACAGGAGCATCCAGAATCATAAAGCAAGCTCTTAGAGACCTACAAAGAGACTTAAACTCCCACAGAATAATAGTGGGAGATTTTAACACCCCACTGTCCATATTAGACAGATCAATGAGACTGAAAATTAACAAGTATATCCAGTACTTGAACTCAGCTCTGGACCAAGAGGACCTAATAGACATCTACAGAACTCTCCACCCCAAATCAACAGAATATACATTCTCCTCAGCACCATATCACACTTATTCTAAAATTGACCACATAATTGGAAGTAAAACACTCCTTAGCAAACGCAAAAGAATGGAAATCATAAACAATCTCTCAGACCACAGTGCAATCAAATTAGAACTCAAGATTAGGAAACTCACTCAAAACTGCACAACTACATGGAAACTGAACAACCTGCTCCTGAATGACTACTGGGTACATAATGAAATGAAGGCAGAAATAAAGATGTTCTTTGAAACCAATGAGAACAAAGACACAACATACCAGAATATCTGGGACACATTTAAAGCAGTGTGTAGAGGGATACTTATAGTACTAAATGCCCACAAGAGAAAGCAGGAAAGATCTAAAATCGACACCCTAACATCACATTTAAAAGAACTAGAGAAGCAGGAGCAAAAAAATTCAAAAGCTAGCAGAAGGCAAGAAATAACTAAAATCAGAGCAGAACTGAAGGAGATAGAGACACGGAAAATCCCTTCAAAAAATCAATGAATCCAGGAGCTGGTTTTTTGAAAAGATCAACAAAATAGATAGACTTCTAGCCAGACTAATAAAGAAGAAAAGAGAGAAAAATTAAATAGATGCAATAAAAAATGATAAAGGGGATATCACCACTGACTCCACAGAAATACAAACTACCATCAGAGAATACTATAAACACCTCTACAAAAATAAACTAGAAAATCTAGAAGAAATGGATAAGTTCCTGGACACATACACCCTCCCAAGACTAAACCAGGAAGAAGTCGAATCCCTAAATAGACCAATAACAAGTTCTGAAATTGAGGCAGCAATTAATAGCCTACCAACCAAAAAAGTCCAGGACCAGATGGATTCACAGTCGAATTCTACCAGAGGTACAAAGAGGAGCTGGTACCATTCCCTCTGAAACTATTCCAAACAATAGAAAAAGAGGGAATCCTCCCTAACTTATTTTATGAGGCTAGCATCATGTGAATACCAAAACCTGGCAGAGACACAACAAAGAAAGCTTTCAGGCCAATATCCTTGATGAACATTGATGTGAAAATGCTCAATAAAATATATCAAACTGAATCCAGCAGCACATCAAAAAGCTTATCCACCATGATCAAGTCAGCTTCATCCTGGGGACGCAAGGCTGGTTCAACATGCACAAATCAATAAATGTAATCCATCACATAAACACAACCAACGAAAAAAACCACATGATCATCTCAATAGATGACGAAAAGGCCTTCGACAAAATTTAGCAGCCCTTCATGCTAGAAACTCTCAATAAACTAGGTATTGATGGAACATATCTCGAAATGATAAGAGCTATTCATGACAAACCCACAGCCAATATCATACTGAATGGGCAAAAACTGGAAGCATTCCCTTTGAAACTGGCACAAGACAAGGATGCCCTCTCTCACCACTTCTATTCAACATAGTATTGGAAGTTCTGGCCAGGGCAATCAGGCAAAAGAAAGAAATGAAGGGTATTCAGTTAGGAAAAGAGAAAGTCAAATTGTCTCTCTTTGCAGATGACATAATTGTATATTTAGAAAATCCCATCATCGCAGCCCAAAATCTCCTTAAGCTGATAAGCAACTTCAGCAAAGTCTCCAGATACAAAATCAATGTCCAAAAATCACAAGCATTCCTATACCCTAATAATAGACAAACAGAGAGCTAAATGATGAGTGAACTCCCATTCACAATTGCTACAAAGAGAATAAAATACATAGGAATACAACTTATAAGGGATGTGAAGAACATCTTCTAGGAGAACTACAGACCACTACTCAAGGAAATAAGAGAGGACACCAACAAATGGAAAAACATTCCATGCTCATGGGTAGGAAGAATCAATATCGTGAAAATGGCCATATTACCCAAAGTAAATTATTGATTCAATGCTATCCCCATCAAGCTACCATTGACTTTCTTCACAGAATTGGAAAAAACTACTTTAAATTTTATATGGAACCAAAAAAGAGCCTGCATAGCCAAGACAATCCTAAGCAAAAAGAAAAAAGCTGGAGGCATCAGGCTACCTGACTTCAAACTATACTACAAGGCTACAGTAACTAAAATAGTATGGTACTGGTACCAAAACAGATATATAGACCAATGGAAAAGAACAGCGGCCTCAGAAATATACCACATATCTACAACCATATGATCTTTGACAAACCTGACAAAACCAAGCAATGGGGAAAGAATACCCTATTTAATAAATGGTGTTGGGAAAACTGGCTAGCCATATGCAGAAAGTAGAAACTGTGTCCCTTCCTTACACCTTACAGAAAAATTAACTCAAGATGGATTAAAGACTTTGACTTAAGACTTAAAACCATAAAAACCCTAGAAGAAAACCTAGGCAATACCATTCAGGACATAGGCATAGGTAAAGACTTCATGACTAAAACACCAAAGGCAATGGCAACAAAAGCCAAAATTGATAAATAGGATCTAATTAAACTAAAAAGCTTCTGCACAGCAAAAGAAACTGTCATCAGAGTGAACAGGCAACCTACAGAACGGGCGAGAATTTTTGCAGTCTATCCATATGAATCTGACAAAGGGCAAATATCCAGAATCTAAAAAGAACTTAAACAAATTTACAAGAAAAACTCAAACAACCCCATCAAAAAGTGGGCGAAGGAGGTGAAAAGACACTTCTCAAAAGAAGACATTTATGCAGCCAACAAACATGAAAAATTGCTCGTCATCACTGGTCATCAGAGAAAGGCAACTCAAAACTACAATGAGATACCATCTCGTGCCAGTTAGAATGGCGATCATTAAAAAGTCAGGAAACAACAGATGCTGGAGAGGATGTGGAGAAATAGAAATGCTTTTACACCGTTGGTGGCAGTGTAAATTAGTTCAACCATTGTGGAAGACAGTGTGGCGATTCCTCAATGATCTAGAACTAGAAATACCATTTGACCCAGGAATCCCATTACTGGGTGTATACTCAAAGGGTTATAAATCATTCTCCTATAAATGCACATGCACACATATGTTTATTGCTATTCACTATTCACTATTCACAATAAAAAAGACTTGGAACCAACACAAATGCCCATCAATGACAGATTGAACAAAGATAATGTGACACATATATACCATGGAATAGCATGCAGCCATAAAAAAGGATGAGTTCATGTCCTCTGCAGGGACATGGATGAAGCTGGAAACCATCATTCTCAGCAAACTAACACAGGAACAGAAAACCAAACACCACATGTTCTCACTCATTTGTAGGAGCTGAACAATGAGAACACGTGGACACAGAGAGGGAAACATCACACATTGGGGCCTGTCAGGGGGTGGGGGACTAAGGGAGGGATAGCATTAGGAGAAATACCTAATGTAGATGGCGGGTTGATGAGTGCAGCAAACCATCATGGCACGTGTATACCTATGTAACAAACCTGCATATTCTGCACATGTATCCCAGAACTTAAAGTATAATAATAAAAAAAGAAATATGCAAAAGCCTTATAACCATTCCCCAGTAAGGACTTATGGTTTTTATAATGTCTTTATTATTAAATATGAGGTAAATAATAATAACGATCCAAGTCTAGGCTAAATAATCTCTGAAATATCCTGAAAACATGTACTTCATTTTCATCGATTATCAATAAATAAATATGATAATCAATAAATAAGATGGCATTTACCAAAGTAAAATTAGAAAAATTAGAAGCATAGAAAAGTAATATAATGAATAAAAATGAAAACAGATTATTTAGTGGTAACAGAAAGGTATTATGATAAAACCAGTAAAAGTATTAATAATATGAAGAATATCTGACTGCCAGTATTCTGCATCGTTTACTAGTTCAATTATTTTGCATATATTACTTACAGTTCTCTAGGCTTGATTCTTCATTTTAAAAATGAGAATGAAACACACACACATACACATGGACACTTGAAGGCCATGTAGGTTACATAGTAACCTAAATTACTGTTGTGTAGTTCAGCCGTAATAACAGACACTGGTGAAATCTTTTCTTTTCATCATAAAATTTCAGGAGAAATACACACACATATGCACGCACACACACACAAGCGCATATTATATTTACAAACACATACATATAGATATATACAAAAATAAATGAAATAATAAATGTTATATTAATTTACCTACATATGAAAGCATATGTATCAAGTCATTTTTATTCATCAGAATAAGAAGCATATCTAACCACTCACACAGATCAACAATTTATACATATATTGAAAACATATTTTCTTATCTTTTGGATGTTTGTTGTATAGCATATGAAAAGAATAACTAAGACACACCTATAGTCATTAACGGTTTTCTTGATCTGTTCATCTTCTACAAAAATTATATCTAGTAGTCTGTTTTTGCATTCATATCTTTTCTCTCATTTTATAACACTAAAAATAACAATATTGATATTTAAATAATTTACCACCTTGGATATGGTATATTTTTCTATTAATGCTGTTTTTGGCATTTTAAGATTAGAAAAATTTTAAGAGAATTACCTATATGGTATATATTTTGATGTTCAAAAATTTTTAAAGCACCTTATTAGGGTTCTCTAGAGAGACAGAACTAATGGAACGTGTGTGTGTGTGTGTGTGAGTTTTATACATATATATATACACATACATCTATATATACATACATATATATACATACATATATATATATATATATATATATATATATATATATGACTTTATTAAGTATTAACTAACACGATCACAAGGTCCCACAACAGGCCATCTGCAGCCTGAGGAGCAAGGAAAGCCAGTCCAAGTTCCAAAACTGAAGAACTTAGAGTCCAATGTTCAAGAGCAGGAAGCATCCAGCACAGGAGAAAGATGTAGGCTGGGAGGCTAGGCCAGTCTCTCTTTTATTTTTCTGCCTGCTTCTATTCTAGCCAGGCTGGCTGCTGATTAGATTATGCCTACCCAGATTAAAGGGTGGATCTGCCTTTCCCAGCCCACTGATTCAAATGTTAATCTCCTTTGGCAACACCCTCACAGACACAGGCAGGATCAATACTTTGTATCCTTCAATCCAATCAAGTTGACACTCAGTATTAACTATCACAAATACCAATATAGAATAGATATAATAATAAAAAATGCAGATAATATATGATAAATAATACCTCTCCTACCACCACGTAGCACTTCTTAGAATAAATTTAGTATTTATTGTGCATGTAAGCATTGGAAAAGACTACTCAATCAAATAAGTCACGTCATGTTTCTAATCATAGCTCTGGGCAGTAACAGTATTAACTAGCCCCTTTTCTAAGATTTAAGAAGTGCTATGCCTAATTTATTTTACATTGGCAATGGCCTGAATCAAGTCTTAAAACAAAGTTATGCCTAAATTATTAAAAGTGTGACTTGATTTTGAATGAAAATTTAAAAGACTAAATCAAGATATGTTAAAAGCAACATGCGTTATTTCAAAGATCCAAAGGAACAATTATGGTGACATCAATAACTCTTTTCATTATAAGATGATACGCTTCATGAAGTCAATATTGTTGAAAAGAAAAAGACACCTACCTCTGAATTGCACAAGTATTTTAACTATTTGATTACTGTATTCCTAAAACTACCATTACTTCATAATTTTAAGCTGGACTGGTATAATAGTGGTAGGCATGAGGCGTATGCCCCTTCACTACTAAATTATTTATTTCCTCAGCCATGCTTCTGGCTACTTGGTTGCCATACTCCACATAAATTGTCCTGAGATGGAAAGAGCTACATCACCCAAAAAATGATAAATGTAGGACTATGAGGACCTAGCCATTTATTTACAATGCAGCCTCAATATGAAAAGCTGCTTATAATCTATTTATCTATCTATCTATCTATCTATCTATCTATCTATCTATCATCCATCTGTCTTATCTGTCATCTATCTTTTCTATCTTATCTATCATTATCTATCTAAGTACTCTCTACCTATCTATCTATCTATCTAAACAATCACAACACTGTGTAATCGTAAAAAATATGGAACAAGTAGGATTCCCAATAGCTGCTGGTGGAAGTAAAATGATTGCACACACTTTGGAGCGTTCAATAAAGTTAAATACACACAATATAACCCAGCAATTTCTCTCTTAGCAAGTGGAAATGCACAGGTCTTTGAATAACGTCATTTAATTCAACATCTTCTTGTTATTTTAATATAATGTTGATGAGAAAATAAATGATTCCTGTCTGGAGCCAGTCTGTGGTGTTTGCAAGTTCTCCCCATGTCTGCCTGGGTTTTCTCCAGGTCTCCTTGTTTACTCCCACACCCCAAAGATGTGCATGTTAGGTTCCTTGGCATGTCTGTATGGTTCCATTCTGAGTGAGTGTGGGGGGTGTGTGAGCGTGCCCTGCAATGAAATACTGTCCTGCATAAAGTGGATTCGTCCCTTGGGCCCTGAGCTGCCAGGACAGGCTGTGGTCACCTGTGACCCTGCACTGGAATAAGCTGATTAGAAAGTGAATGAATGCAAAACACAAATTGTCCTAAAATAAACATCTGTAAAGTATATGATAATCATACAAATGCACAACAATAAATGATGTGAGAGGAAAACTCTCAGCAAGCCTGCCATATTTGTGATTGTTTTTGACCTGCACGGTGGTAGAAGGTACTCCTTACAATTTTTTGCTTTGCAATCACTTATTCCTTGATTTAAGTCACGACGATGACCACCATCACTCCCTGAATCACTAAAAATTGTAAATTATTATCTTACTTGTTTTTATTAATCTTTCTTAAGGGTATACATAGCTCACATTTATGTTAATGTTCAATGATAGAAGTCTTTCAGGTCTTTATCTGGAAGTTGGGTAATGTTTTTGTGGCCAGAAATATGACATGGGGAATTAACTCTTGTTTCTGTCACTTAGCCTATGGTAAAATTGATTTGGTTATACATCATTTTGCTTAAAGTCACCATTTCCAAGAACCTGTCAACAATGTTAAGTAAGGACTTAGTGTATACATGCCTCAAGCCCATGTGTAAGAATATTCATAGAGGCAGTATTTAGAATAGAGGCATTTTCAGAACAAAGAAGTTACTCAAATATATCATCAATAGAATATTAAAAATCTGCACAAAAGGATACTGTATTAAAAAACTAGTTACTGTGATGTATTAGGTTAAATTTTACAAACATAATACATACAAATATATGATTTTATAAATCTGGAATACAAAGCCAGGCAAACTTTTATGGGGTTAAAAATCAGGCTGTTACTTGCCTTTGAGTGAAGAGAGAAATTACTGACTCAGAAGTGGCAGGACAGGAGCATTACCAGTGGTAGTAATTTTTAAAACTGGTGTGTGATTATTAATGTGTTAATTTTTTAATAATTTATTGAAATTAGCATTTATGATTTGAACACTGATATCTGTTTTATATTTCATTTTTAAAGATGACTGAAAAGGTAAAAATTTAGAAGTAACTCTTTTGCATTTAAGTTGTGAATATAATTTTTGTTCTTGTGTAGAAAGAATTACATTCAAAGGGGCATATTATATTCAAATCAAACATGAATTAGTGTCCAGGAGACCTGGATTTACATTCTTATAGTTGCATTAGGTATTGGGGTGACCTCAGCAAAATAGTTTAACCTTTTTGAACTTAATTCAACCTGTCTACATAATTGAAAATCTGAAGGCTGGGTTCAATACTTCTGAAACTATTCAGTTGGCAAGTGAGCTGTTTCACATTTGGGCTCTCCAATAGAGAATACAACATCCATCTTACCTTTACTCCTGAGAAACACAAACCTTTTTTCAATCTGGGCACAATATTCCTTACAAAGTTTGTGGGAAGTAATATGTTTACTTGCAACCTGTTTTTTCTACCTGTTCACATTAGGTAGAAGTTTTTGGCAGTGAATGATAAGAGCAAGTGTTGGGTGAGATTGACAGTGCTATTTCAATGTGGCTGAATCTTTAGGGAAGGGCTTGCCCTCTTCCCTTTCTTTCTCCTTTCAACTATTTTGGCATCCTGGTATAGTCAGTGCAGAGCTGGCATAAATGAGGCTCAGAATGCCAAACAGATATTGGCTGCTGTTTACTCAGCAGTGTAATAATTACCAAGGTGCAAGGAAACCTAGGCAGCTACGTACAGTTGGAGCCTCCTTTTGTTTTTTATACTAGTCTAACATTGTCATAACTAGAGTTCTAGAAGTCAAAATAAAACAATCAACTTAAAAACCATCAACAAGGATAGTGAAGTATGGTATAGAGAACTCCATAGATGCTCAACCCTGGAATACTTAGCTCCATACTTCTTTTATATGAAGTATGAATTTCTTTTTTTTTTTTTTTTTTTTGAGACAGAGTCTCGCTCTATCACCCAGGCTGGAGTGCAGTGGCACGATCTTGGCTCACTCCAAGCTCCACTTCCCAGGTTCACATGCCATTCTCCTCCCTCAACCTCCCGAGTAGCTGGGACTACAGGCACCCACCACCATGCCTGGCTAATTTTTTTGTATTTTTAGTAGAGACTGGGTTTCACCATGTTAGCTAGGATGGTCTCGATCTCCTGACCTCGTGATCCGCCCGGACTTGGCCTCCCAAAGTGCTGGGATTACAGGCGTGAGATGAATTTCTTTTATATGAAGTTTTAAATTTAACATTTTGATTAATTCAGTGCTGTAAAGCATTTTCACTAATACAATAATGAACTTAATCTTCAACAATGTGGGCTGACATATAATTATAATAAGCTATTCTTTGGCAAAATAACATTAATTTTTAAAATTAATTGTTATGGATAAAAATAATGAATATCAAACATTGAGCATACAACTGCATAATCACTGCCCTTTAATTTATAACCTCCACAACAAATTTCTGCATACCTCTCTGCTTTTACTCATATCCTTGGAATCTATCTGAATTCTTGCTAAAATGCACTTCCTCGTTCTTCCTCTCTAAATACATAATTAATTGAGTCCACAAGTCTATTAGTTATTGCACATCACTGGACTGATATTTCAGAGATATCTGAAAATTTTTTCATATCTTCTGTCTTTCAGAACATATGAAGTATTTATTTATACTGCTATTTGTACTTTTTGTTTTTCACTTTCCAGTCAGTATATTTGTTATACTGTTCTGTTGCATAATATTTTTACAACTCTTGCATTTTGAATTATTTTATAAAAAGAATCTTACGCTTGCTTATGAAATCAAAGTTGCTGTTTAGCTCTCAACTGGAAGAAAGATTCAAAAGATGTACGGTTTCTCCTTGGGTCATGAATAACACATTCTGAATATGTTAATTAACATATAGCATCTCAGCATGTAGTAGATATTCTGGGTTAAATCGTGTCCCTTCAAAAGATTTGTTGCAGTCATGACCCAGTACTTCAAAATGTGATCTGATATGGAAATAACATAATTGCAGATGAAATTAGTTAATTTAAGATTTGGTCATACTAAAGTAGGCTGGGACCTTAATCCAGTGTGACTTGTATCCTTATAAGAAGACGACAGAGATAGGAAGGGCACCGCATGAAGACAAAGGCAGAGACTGGAGTGATGTATCTGCAAGCCAAGGAAAATCAAGGATTGCAGGCACACACCAGAAACTAGGAGACGGGCAATGAACAGATTCTCCCTCAAAGCCCTCATAAAGAACTCACCCCGCCAACACCTTGATTTCAGACTTTTAGACACCAGAACTGTGAAAAAATACATGCGTTGCATTAAGCCACCAATTTTTGATACTTTCTTATGGCAGCCTTAAGAAAATACTACAGTATTTTATTTATGAAGTATATATATTGGCTTATACTCACTCAGCTGATGTATTATTATTGTCTTCTGAAAAAATGTAAAACTACACAGTATTAAGCACGTGGGCTTTAGAAATAAGCTGGGCTCAGATATTTACTCAGTCACTTAGTAACTGTGTGGTAAGAAAAAAGTATTCATGCTTTTTAACTCTGAAAGTCTCATTTATAATATGTATAAAATATTTTCTTCCTTGGCATGTGAGATCTGATATTTAATTTTAACTGGTATCTTTAAAGTTTTCTCCCTATATTGTTTGGCTTACAGAGGTGAGAAGTCAACATCACTTGCCCTTGCTTGCACACAAACACATCTTGTTAACACTACATGCATGCATTCCAAACGTACAGACTATATAACGCCACACAGTAAAGCTATGAACAAATTATTCTACTCAAGCCTCTTAGTCTTTCTTCTCATTGAAGAGTTTAGAATTGACACAGTGTAATGTCAGGAAATTCTAATATTGCCAATTAAATACACGAGTCACATTTTCTACAGCTCATAGTGATATTTCTTAGAATTATCAGTGTCACAAATGCAGTTACTTCCGTATTGTCAGTATAACTCACCTGTGTCTATTAAATGAATAACCTGGCCAGCTGATGAGATTGCTATTTGATTCAATGCATCTTTTTGTAAGTACATATTAAGCCATATTACAACATAAAGCAATTGGTTCCCTCATGTTGAATGTTGTCATATGTAATTCTTACTATTTCCCAGTGAATGGACAAGGAATTGAGGTAATCAAAGCACCCATGAGGCTTTCATCACTCACTTAGCATGAGTTCTAAACTGAATGATCTAGGAAGTTCACTGAAGTTTTTGTGTGAGCCTAAGAATAGGACAGTGGTGTAAGCGCTGCCAGATGTGCTTCTACATTTGGAATGTACATAATGCAAGGCTTTCTTGAAGAAATACTTCAACTAGAAAGTAGGCAAGTACGTTGCATAAAATCAAGATAATATCTATAAATATAACAACATAAATTCAATAGTATATTCTGTGTAGTGCAAAGAGAGGTACTATAGTATGGTGTTTTTGTATATAATTTATTGGGTCAGACTGCATAAGGTGGATTATTTCTTCATCACTTAATATTTGTGTGACCTTAACTAATGACTCCTTTACTTTGGACTTCAATTTCCTCATCTTTATAATGGAAATAATAATATTTATTTATGTGAAGATCATGGGCCTTCCAAATAGTCCATCAACTTCTTCATTTCCGTGTCCCCTGGAAGTAAGTTCAAGGCAAAACCATTTTTCTGCTGAAAAAAATATGACCTGATTGATTTCTGGAATTTATTTTAGTCAAAGAGTGGGATGCATATGTATGATTCTTCAGTTTCTCTATTCTTGTGATAGCCAGAAGTGGACCAGGTAGAAAGAACGAAAACAACTCCATACACTTCCAGGCTTCCATCCTTGATCCACAAACGGTAGTCTCTTTGCGGCTAAACATTGTTTCTCCTGATGCAGATAACCTTCAGTGATTGTCATGGGCCATGGCTACTTGGCAGTTTAGGGTTTTTATTCAACCACTTTTTCATTTGTGGGATGCTCATACAACCCTTTGATTAAACTGTTACTTAGATAGGGCACAGTGGCTCACACCTGTAATCACAGCACTTTGGGAGGCCAAGGTGGGTGGATCACTTGAGGTCAGGAGTTCAGGACAGGCCTGGCCAACATGGTGAAACCCCGTCTCTACTAAAAATAGAAAAATTAGCTGACCGTGGTGGCTCACACCTGTAATCACAGCTGCTTGGGAGGCTGAGGCAGGAGAATCGCTTGAAACCAGGAGGCAGAGGTTGCAGTGAGCCGAGGTCATGCCACTGAACTCCAGCCTGGGCAAGAGCGAAACTCTGTCTCCAAAAAAAAAGTAAAATAAAATAAATAAATAAATAAATAAATAAAATAGTTCCTTAAAAATGAAATTTGACTGTTACAACTTTCTTGTCCTTTCATCAGGCCTATAATCATAAGCAATCTGTGCTCTCTGACACCTGGGTTTGAGGCAACTACTTCAGAGGAGAAACTTATTCTTCATAGTTTTATTTACATCCAAAGAATGTTTATCACAAGTGAAGGGAACATTAGATTCAGCTGGTCTTTTTCTTATTGAAGGAACAGTTATGAACTCTTGGAACTTAAATATTCCACTTCTCAGTAATGGCTGAGGTTTAGGGCCCCATTGTCTTTCCTTGAGAATTTTAGATATGTTATTTCTGATATATACTTTTGTCATAAATTGATGATATATAAGACTTCCTACATTTTCCCTTTATACCTCATGCTTTTGTTTTTGTCTAGATTCTCAAAGAACTGATTCTTTTTCTTGAAGTCGAGCAGTTCTATTGGAATACATATTGATCATTCTGGAACATTACGTAGTTTTCTTTTTTTAATTCAATAAAGTTTTTCTGAATAATACATTTTAGTATGCGTTCTGCTCCCTTGCATGATTTTCTCCTTCAGAAATTTCTATTAACTCAGAGTTTTATTGTCTATATTTAATATTCATTACTTTCTGTTGAAAAACTTATATTGATTTTATATTTTGTTTTTTTTTTCTTTTTTAACGTTTATGCGTCTTAATGCATTATTATTTTTGTAATTCACTCCTGGGTTCTTATTTGTTTAATCTTAATTTCTAATACTTAAAAAAGTTAATTATTTCTGCATTCCTGCCACCCATTTCAGATATTTATAACTTTCACATATTGTATTTTCATATGTCCTATAAATATCTTAATGTTTCTTAATCATTTCGAATAACAGGTTAAGGTTTTGATATTTTTAGCAGATTTTTGATGTGAGTATACAGTGTTAGCAGTGTTCCTAATCCTCTTGTTCTCAAGATAATTTTGGTTAAAATTAGACCTTCATAATTTTCTATGAATGCACGTGTTTGTGTGTCTGTGTGTGTGTCTGTGTCTGTGTGTGTGTCAAATTAGTTTCTGTAAGTTTTAGGCAGAAGTTTGGTTCAGTAGCTTTTCTGAATTCACAATATTTCCTTTTCTATTGTTTCACATAATGTTAAAAATATGGGTTTCCTCTACCCATAGCTAAGGTGAACTTCTCAATTTAAACAACTGCAGAAGTGTACACATTTATAAGTGAACTGTTTTCTGGTGTTGGATAACAAACAGCAGAGCGAGAGAAGTTGGATCCATAAGTGAGCTCCACATTCACCCAAGGTTTTACCTTTGAATGCATTCCTAATCAGGAAAGCAGATCGAAGCTGAGCCGAGGTGCATACATGGGAAAATCAGAGCTTCTCAGTTCGCAAATTTGTCAGGCAGGTTTTTGGAAAGGTAAAGTTATACAGAAGAGGACCCCCACCCAGAAAACTGTGAAGGGATTCTCCTAAAGTCCTTGGCCAAAAGCTTGGCAGCACATTCATGGAGGCCTCTGGGAAGCCTAGCAGCAAGTCATTGTTGATGTATAGAGATTCAGAGGTTATGCATTTCTGAAGCTAAAGCTCTGCCAGAATGAAGAGCTCTCATGAAGCAATTAGATTATTTAATTGAACCTTATGCAGGCAATTTTGTCAGGCAACTAAATTACTGGTGGATACTCTTGAATCTGTTCAAGGAGATTGTGTGTGTGTGTGTGTAAGTGTGTATACATACATTTGTATATGTGTGTATATATACATATATTATAATATATGGTAAAAACTGCAATAAGTAGGAACACATCAAGTGTTGACCCATATGTTGGAAATAGGGGACAAGGACTTTGATGCTGCTATTTTAAATATAAATACAGACATGAAGAACAGTATCATCTTATTGGTTGCATAAGACTCTACAGAAATAGAATCTATTAAAATGAAAATTCTATAACTAAAAATCATAATACTGACAAACAATTGTATATTGATTATGTAATATATCATATTACGAAGCTAGAAAGCCAATCCACACAAATTGAAAGTGGAACAAATTGAAAGTGGAAAAATGAAGGTAGACATTAACAAAGTTGGAAACATAAATTTAAGCTTACAGATAGAATATATTAGTTATTTTGATAAATTCCTAACATAGTTGATCAAGATAAAAATGAAAAAATAAATAATCATTAGAAATGATGGAGATACCATTAGACATTGTAAATACCTTAAACTAGTAAGCAATATGAAGAAAAATGTTTACATTAATACATTTAATAACTTACATGACATGAACAAAGTTCTCGAAAACTCAGTTTAGCAAAGTTGATACAAAAGGAATTTAAAACACTGAAGGGGCCTAAATCACTTTAAAAGAATTATAATTTTAAAATATTTTGAAAAAAGTCTCAAGGACCTGGTGGCTTCACTGGTATATTTTGTGAAACTTTTAATAATGAAAACATAGTGATTTTATAAACTTCTTTCAGGAAATAAAGGTTGATTGTATTTTATTTATTCCATTTAAGTCACTCAAAAATAAAATATGAATTTCTTAATAAAACATTATCAAATCAAATTATAAAACATATAAAAATTTTAACACACTCAGGCATGGGTTTATCTCAATTATGGAAGTTTGTTTCAATATTTTAAATCAACCAAAATAGTATTCCACATTGTCAACAAAAAAAGGTAAAAATTATCTCAACATATTCAGGAAGCACATTGACAAAATCCAAAACCAATTTATAATTTAAAAAAAAAAATCTTCATAAAATAGGAAACTTTATAAGGTTAGAATACATTGTGTATAATCTACAACTAAGATTATTATTGTTAAAATATTAAATGGCTTCTTTTAATTTGGAGGTTAAGAGTATGTTATCTTAACTTTTAACTGTTCCCTCCCTCCCTTCCTTCCTTTTTCTTTTTTCTTTCCTTTCTTTTCTTTTTATTTTCTTTCTTCTTTCTTTCTTTTTTCTTTCTTTCTCTCTCTCTTTCTCTTTCTTTCCTTTCCTTTCTTTCTTTCCTTCTTTCTCTCTTTCCTTCCTCCCTCCCTCCCTCTCTCCTTCCCTTCCTTCCTTCCTTCCTTCCATCCTTCCTTCCTTCCTTCTTTTTCCTTTCCCTTTTTTTTTTTTTTTCAGGGTCTATGGCCCAGGCTGGAGTGCCGTAGCTCAATCATGGCTCACAGCAGCCTCTACCTCCCAGGCTTAAGTGATCCTCTTATCTTAGCTACTTTCATTTTTTGTGGAGACAGGGTCTCACTATGTTGCCCATTCTGGTCTTGAATTCCTGGGCTCAAGTGATCTTCCTGCCTCAACCTCCCAAAGTGCTGAGATTACAGGTGTGAGGCCCTGCAACTGGCCCATCTTAACATTTATATTCAGTATCGTGCTAGAAAGAACAAATAGTGGCATAATCTAAAGCTAGAAAGCATACAGATAGAGAAATAAGTAAAATCTCTTTTATGTGTGTATGTCTGTGTTGAGAAAATGCTAAGGATTCTAAATGTTTTTTACTAAAATCTAGTATATAATAATAATTTTCTTTTTATAACCTAGCAATAAAAACTAAAACAAAAATTATAAAAATGGTCCTTCTAACAGAGGAGGAGCACTGTCATTTTGGACAAACACCACCACCTTAAGTTCTAGCTCCCTTTCCAGTCTCATGCATTTCAAGGAAATCATGTAGAAGCTTCTCTTCTAACTACAAGCAGCCAGAAAGAGCAGAGAATAAAACACAGACAAGACAGCTCAGGCACAGAGGGAGGTGAGGGGAACGTCTCTTGGGTAACTGCCAAACTTCACTCTCATACAATGGGCCCCAGTAAAACAGTGGGCCTTAATAAGCTCATTCCTTTCCCTTCAGGTGCACTAAGATAGGAAAGCTAAAAGCAGACTCAGGGAGTATGTCTGCAGCTGCAGAAAGATGTATAGGAGCAGACACAGAACTCTCCCTCCCAGATAAGCACAATAAAAAGACACAGAAGCAGTCCAAGCTTCTGATAAACATCACCTTGAGTACTTAAAAACTCTTAGTCTGTAAGAAAGTGTGCCTCTGACCTAACTCTGCCAGAAGCCCTCTTTAAGGGCCACCTTTCATGATTCTTTCCTCTTTCTTTAATTATTACATTTACCATCGGATAAAATAAATTAGACATTTTGGAATACCTTTAACTTATGAAGTGACAGAGCACTACACTGAAAATTACCAAACTTTGATGAGACTCAATATCGTTATGATGTTAGTTCTCCCTGAAATGACTGGTAGTTCCAATGCTTCGTTATATAATCCAGGAAGGCTTGTAGTAAAAATTAACAAGCAGTTCTAAACTTCATATGTGAATATAAGAACTTAAAAAGATCAAATCAGATTGAAAATGAATAATAAATTGCAAGATACTTTTTAAAACTATACAGTCTTAAAGGAATTTTCTTTGTAACCATTGGTAGGAAATTTTTTTAGGGAGATTGAAAGAGCAACCATAAACTAAAGAAATCGATAAGTTGAAATTAATCAAAATTCAAAATATTTGCCCATCAAAAGACTCCATAAAATAAAAAATCAATTATATATGGTAGACATACTGCTTGAGAATTTGTTTAAACAATTAAATAGTAGATTCTTAAATTACATTTTTAGCTACAAAATAAAACCATGCTCAACTTTTCTTTTAAAATGTGTTTTATTTTATATTCAATTGATAATAATATAATTATTTCCAAGTAAGATTAATAGTGATGTGACATCAAGGGTTAACTGTAACTGAAGGTTAAGTGATCTCTAAGTAACTTTGAGAATGAAAACTCTTTGAGGCTGAGATCTAGTCTATTATTAAAATAAAACGTAGGAAATTAAGAGATACAATTGCTTATAATAATAACATTAAAATTTATTTAAAGTAAGCCTGATCCTTTTTTCCCAATATAGGTAATTGTCAACTAAATATTATGAAGCAATATGCACCCTTTATCCTTAAGTCATTTTTATTCTTTAATCATAGAACACTGAAAATAATGACAATTCATATATTCATAGAATAGCTTCAGGTTACAATAAAAGTATTAGATGTACTTTCACCATTTTCATATTATTTTCTAAAGTTATTTTAGTATTATCGGAGGAAATTGCCTTAATAATTTCTAAAATAAAGAAAACATATACCATCTCAAAACTCACTTACTATTCAAGGGCTTCTAATAAAAGCTGTAGAAGGCTTGTTTTCAAAGGCAATTTTTACTCTCACAACAATTTTCAATTCATACTTCAAAATGGGTCAAAAATAAATGAACTATTAAAGACTATTGAGTTAAGCATCACTGCTGCCATCATTTGCAAGTTGATGTATCTTTATGTCAATCAAAATAAAATGATTCAACAATAATATGCATCTAATATTTAACTGTTGTTAGAGTACATTATTCTGTACAAGTATTCAAGGACAGAAGAAATATTTAATTAAATTAATAATTTTTTTCTTTTAAACATTAATGCAACTGGAATGTATCTAGTTCATAAACTAAACAGGTGATGACAAGAAAAGAAGTAACCTCTATGATTCAAATTTAAATGAAGAGTCTACTGTGTAAAGGTTGTAACTCCTTATCAATAGTTGCCTTGCTGTTGAGAAAAATTTTTCTGATATATGAACAAGTATAAAAGAAGCCAGTAAAATAAATTGCATACAATTTTACACTGTTTAATGTGTTTTAGTTAATAGTTTTAATGCTCTAAGGTAGCATATCAGAAAGACCAGAGAAAACAACATAAAAAAAATACATGATAGCATACCAGCACTGAACACAAAATTTAAGAAGTATGCCATATAAATAATATAAAAATCTAGGGAAGAAAATCTAATGAATTGCAAAATTGTTACATATAAAACACTTAGTAAAATAAGTGAATTATTGTTGATATGAATTGTGTCCCTTAACTGGAAAACTCGGTAATTTATAACTGTCAATTTCCTATAATTAATTTATTGACACAATTACATTCAAATATAATTTCCCGTGGAAGTTTGTTGTTGTTTTTGTTGCTGCCACTGCTACTTGGCTGTAGCTTTTTAGGGGCCAAAACTTGATGAACTGATAACAATATTTAAATTGAAATGCATAAAAGCCAGAATAATTAATGCAAACTGAAATAAAAAGAACATCTTTGGAGGACTGACTTCATTGCCTCATTAATCAAAGTGAGGTCCATGATTATACAGCATCAGCATCTCGTAGGAGCTTTTTAGAAATGCAGAACTTCAGACTCCACCAACAGTTATTTAATCAGAATCTTCATTTTAGCAAGAACTCCAGATGAAATGTATACACGCTCAATTTAAGAAGTCGTGCTCTATCAGATACTAGGAGTAATTGTAAAGCCAGAATGATTAAGACAGGATATTTTGATATTTGTACAATGTTACCTGTACAAGGCTCAACAGAGGTGAGAAAAGAACACAGAAGTAGACACGTGCCCATATGGGCACATAATTTACAACAAAGGTGGCACTTCAGGGAAGCAGGGCAAGTGTCATCTTTTCAATGCCTGTTATTTGTTTGCTCTGTAACCATGTGGAAAGAAAAGAGTCTTAATGCCTGTCGAATATTATAGCCCACCATCAGTTCCCATTCAATTTGTACATGTAAATATGGAAGATTCAACAGTGTTTATAAATGACAATAGAAGTTTATAGCTTCATGATTTTAAGAGTTATTAAGAGATTGAAAATGTAATTCATATTGTGAGAGACATGTAAGATGCATAATAAAAAGGCTCCTATCGAGCATACTTAAGTAGCTCAATACATCAGTAGAAAGAAACAAAATTTAAAGTTGGTAGGTGCAGCTAACCACCATGGCACAGCACAGGTATGCCTGTGTCACAAACCTGCACTTTCCACACATGTATCCCAGAACTTAAAGTAAAATTAAAAAAAAAAAAAAGAAAGAAGGTAATAGAAAAATTAGATACTGGAACAGGGCCTCCAGAAAAAAGCAGGTATCCAAATGGACAGTAGCTATAAGATAATGTGCTCAAATGTATAAATGAAAGAAATTTAAATTAGTACACAATATGATGCCATTATACAGCTAGGAATGGCTAAAGTTCGTAAAGACTGCCAACACTGAATGTTTTCTTGTTAGTGTTGTTGTTTATTTACTTTTTAAGAAATAGAACAATGGAACTTCCATATTCCCCTATGGGAGAGATATGAAAGGTTCTTTAAAAAATTACTTCAGCATTTTCTAACAAATGTGAACCAAGAAGTATATACCTTACAACATTTTTTGAAAAACGTGACCATACATGCTTCTGCATAATACACAATCTGTTTTTTCCCCATATTAAACCAAACTAGGAGGTACCACAAAGGCCTATTTGCACGCTTAAATAAATTTTGGAAGAGTCATAGAATGGAATGCTATTCATTAGTGGATATAACTAAACACAAAAACATGTAACAACCTGAATTAATATAAAATATAATGAGATAGAAGAATGATAAAAAATAAAATAACATAATTTCATATTTTTTATAAAAATCAATTTATAAGATTTATATAAAATCCATATAAATACATTTCAATACCAGGAAAAATAAAACTCTATTATTTAGGAAGGTGGGCCCAGCTGATAATTTTATAAGGAAAACAGGAGTTCTATCATAAAAATTAGATTAGATATTACCTCTCAGTGATGACTAGGATTGTTATTAGAAAGGAGCCCTTCCAAGGTACAGTCAATGTTCTATTTCTGAACCTGGGTGGCTATTACATGATAACTCACTTGTAAAAATTGTGTTCAAATTTTTTGTTGGCATTGTGTTTACTTTATACATGATAATTTGCAATGGGGACATGAATTTAACTGCGGGTGTAGCAGCAGATCAGCAATCTTTTCATTCCTTTACTAAATAAACGTTTTGGGGAAATAAAAAAAACTAATCATTTGCTTTTAGCAGGATGTACATATTTGTCAAGGATTGCTTATAGTAAATAAGTCTAGAATACATGAGTTTATGAGACATGATTTTGTGGGAAATGTCATGTAAGCCAATAACTGAGTATAAAATAGAGATGTTTCATGACCTGCCTTCTATACCAGTGTTGTTACTGCCCACCTTATTTAGAAATTTATATTTTAGTGTAGGCCAATGCACATCACATTAGGGGAGAAAACAGCTAGGGAGTCATGCTGTTAAGTCCTGGCCCTCTCCCTGTTTCAGATAAGCTGGTGCTTATTTGCTAAGCTTTGATACTGACTGAGATTTCTGATTCATGAGAGTCTGATTGGGAAATTCAATATTTGTACAATCTCAACAATATAAAAAACAAGCATGTTAACATAATCCATAGTGATAACAAAATGTTAAAAATTATTTGATAAAAATCATGGGTATGAGATTCATGGCATTAACATATCCTTTAGACTATTTGACTAAACATATTAGAGTAATTCACAATAGCATAATATATAAATTATGTGATTAAAAATATTTTAAAAGGAAAGATCCATTTGAGATTAAAAATGCATAGAAAACTAAAGGATCATCCTTAATCTGACAACATAATTGTTATTTATAGCAAATTCAAGGACCAGGATACACATATTGACACCATGTCTTCAATATTGTTTTTGAATTCTTAGCCAACACAATAAACAAATACTAATAACAAATAAATAAGCAACCGTATAAATAAGATATAAAATATATATGTTATAAAGGAAGAAAATAAACATATATTTTAAGTAATATTATTGTCTATTTTAAAAATATATATGTAGTAACAGAGTACTAAAAGTTAAATGCTTGCTTTTTAAGAGAGCCATTAAAATAAATTAATTTCACATATAGTTAAAGTAAAAATTAAATAGAACAGCAAATAAAATATATGCATAAAATTAATCTTTTATAATATGGAATAACACTATTTTAATCAAAGTATATAATTTATTTAAAAATATAGAAAAGAAACATACATAAAATGATACACTTTGTTCATGAAAATAAACACTCAAAATTCCAATAGGGTATTTCATGAAACTGGACTAGGTAATTCAAAATGTGAAAAAAATAAAGAACATTTAAAGTCTAAGATTACCCTGCAGAAAACCAAGGAAAGTGTGCCAGATAGAGAAATATTACAAACAATAAAATGTAAAGCGTTTTTTTTCTTTTTTTTTTTTTTTTTGAGGGAGTCTCGCTCTGTCGCCCAGGCTGGAGTGCAGTGGCGCAGTCTCGGCTCACTGCAAGCTCCGCCTCCCGAGTTCACGCCATTCTCCTGCCTCAGCCTCCTGAGTAGCTGGGACTACAGGCCTCCGCCACTACGCCCGGCTAATTTTTTGTATTTTTTTAGTAGAGACGAGGTTTCACCGCTTTAGCCAGGATGGTCTCGATCTCCTGACCTCGTGATCTGCCCGCCTCGGCCTCCCAAAGTGCTGGGATTAACAGGCGTGAGCCACTGCGCCTGGCCTAAAATGTAAAGCTTTTTTGGGTGGGCATGAAGATAAACAGATCAGTGGCATAATTGTAGAAAAAGCCCAGAAACAAGTTCATTTCATTCCAATAAAGACAAAGACCCAGTTTTTCAAGATCTACATATTTTTATCTATCACCTGAGTATCCACCATTCAAAGTTTCTGATTAGTCACAAATTTATGTAGTTTATATGGCTTTGTTTGTGGATTTGTTTCCAACTCTTTAACCCATCAAATTTTTTTCAATTGTAATATTTTTCCAGATTAAGATTAGACAAATTTAATTTAATCTAGAATAAGATCATTTATAGCTGTGGTAGAGTCCAATCAACTTAAGTCTAGGTTTGTCATAGATGGTAGTCCTGGACCATTATGTAAATGCCATAAACTTCTCTGGTTATCAACTTTGACCTTCAGTAAACGTGGAGGAGTATGAATTAAGGTATGCATAGCCTTGTTGGTTGTGACTCTTACAGAAGCACTAAGAGTAACTTTAATTGGTTTAATTAAATAGACATATAATCTCCAAATTAATTTTAGGACTGCCCATTTATTCTGTTTCTGAGGAGAGTCAATAGATCAAACACAGATAAACACCTTTATAGATATACTGTTAATGGAATTCCTGGTTACTGCAAGTTGACTAAGTAAAACACAACCTCCATAGACTACAGTTATAAATATTGGTCATTCAAGCAAATGTGTGAATTAAAATACACACTTGGATGAGCAACAAAGACACCTATGATCATGGATCATGGTGGGCCTTGATGTAAGACAACTCGGCTTGGGAGACAATAATAAAATTCAACTTCTTTCTCTGCCCACTAACTGACAAGACTTAGCATCAGCACCTCCAGGATGTTTACAAAATTGATGGACTTGGTACTGTCCCTGTGGTCCTAGGAGAGACTGGAATTATTAAACCTAATATCATGTTCACCTTTGCTTTCCTTAGTGTTACATCCAAAGTAAAACCTGTTGAGATGCACCAGGAAGCTTTGAGAGAAGCTCTTCTTGTGGACAAAAGGGCTTCAATATTAATAACATTTCTGTGAAATATGTTTGTTACAGGAAAGTGGCTGGTAACAGTAAAAATTATGCCTCAGTGAAAGCAGCTGGCTTCACTGGTCATGTGATTATCCCGAACCATCTAGGCCAAATCAGTGCTGTCTTTGCCACATAGCTCACATTGCTGGCAAGGTTGCTTAGCTGAAGAAGGCTGGTCATCATTCTGGCAAGAAACCAGAATGATGGCCTCAAATTCTTGAAATCTGCTGGTGCTGCCATCATTGATAGGGTTCTTGGCTAGCCCATGTGTATTGAAAACATGTCTGAATATCCTTCTCTAGGTTATTTTGCTGTTTATAATACGAAGCAGACACTTCCTGTGGGTATCACTGTAACAGTGAAACAGTAAAAGAACATAACACTGTTTTGTTTGAGAGGCTTTTACCTATTTTTGCATGTAAACATAATTTTAGATCAGTGAAATAATATATAAAAAGTGCAATGCAGCCCTTAAAACTAACTCTGGAATTAAAGGAGAAGTATGTAAACAACGTTTTTTTTTTAGATGGGGTCTCACTCTGTCACGCAGGATGGAGTGCAGTGGTGACATCTTGGCTCACTGCAACCTCCGTCTCCTGGGTTCAAGCAATTCTCCTGCCTCAGCCTCCCGAGTAGCTGGGATTCTAGGTGCACACACCCACGCCTGGCTAATTTTTGTATTTTTAGTAGAGATGGGGTTTTGCCATGTTGGCCAGGCTGGTCTCAAACTCCTGACCTCAGGTGATCTGGCCACCTCGACCTCCCAAAGTGCTGGGACTAAAGGCGCAAGTCACCGCACCTGGCCTTAAACAACTATATTTTATTAAACATTTATAGGAACATTGAGACCTGACCAAGGAGAAAGAAGTTCCCAACCTGCTCAGACTCTCACTGGGACCCAGATATCTGTAGTCAGTGGTCACCTCTTAATACCAAACTCCCTCTCTTTTCCCTTCCCTTAACATAAAAAGAGCCTGAAATTTGTACTGATTTAATATGGTACTCGGTTTTCTGGCTCTCTGAATGAACCTGCTTTTTCTGTCACCAACTCTTGTGTCACATATCTCTTTTGAACAGCAAGCATCCAAATCAGGGTTCAGTAACATCATCAAAGTGTGAACAAGAAGGCTGCTAGAGCTGGCAATGTCACCAAGTCTGCTTAGAAAGTTCAGAAGCCTAATGAATATTGTCCGTAACACCTGCCACCCCAGTTGTAATCAGTGAAATATCTCAGAACTGTTTGTCTTTACTGACCATTGAAACTTAACTGGTTAATGATAACAAAGCATCATAAAATGTTCAGGAAGAAAGGAGAATGTTTACTAGACTGTGTGTGTGTATGTGTATGTGTCTGTGTGTGTGTGTGTGTGTGCAGAAGAGAGTGGTAGCTTTAAATACTAGTTTTTAAAACCAGTTCCTCTGAAATAAAAACAATTGATCAAAAATCTATCACAGAATTTTGAAACCCATTAAAACAAAAGTTTAATGACAGAAAGAAACTCTCTAGCCTAAACAGACTGACCCTCACTTCCACCCCAGTTGCAGATTCAATGACTCCTGCCTCCTCTATTCCTTCAAGTGAGGAAGAATCCCCCCACCGGATCTACCTTCTAGCTGATCATGGATATACAACATAAAAGGAAAATATCTTGGATCCCAAAATCACTAAGCTAAAAGGAAAACTGAAGCTACGAACTGCCTAGGGCCAACCTGCCTCCCATTCTATTCAAAGTCATCCCTCTGTTCACTGAAATAAATGCATATCTGCTTGCTTCCTTTGAAAAGGCTAATCAGAAACTCAAAAGAATGTAACTTTTTGTCTTTCACCTGCCTGTGACCCGGAAGTCCCCTCCTTACTTCAAGTTGTCCCACCTTTCTGGTCTGAACAAATGTTCATTTGACATATATTGATGGGTTTCTCATGTCTCCCTAAAATGTATAAAACCAAGCTGTACTCTGACCACATTGGGCACCTGTCATCTGGACTTCCTTAGGTTGTGTTGTGGGTATGTGTCCTCAATCTTGGCAAAATAAACTTTCTAAATTAACTGAGACTATCTCGAATTTTGGGGGTTCACATTTGGCAACCACAAAGTAATTCTAAGTGGAGATGCTCCCCTGACCTTTGACAGATCTATTGGTGCTTGATACCAGCATGAGCTAACTTTATGGCTCAAACCAAGAGGACAATTTGCTGAGGTCTGAGAGCACCCCCTCCAGAGAATCCCTGATCTCCCAAAATCTGTTCAAGATCTAAAGTTGATTTTGCTGTACAGCTCCTCTTTTGTTTTTTTTGTTTTTTTTTTTTTTGGAGCTCTTCTTGTTTCCAACACAAGGAAGGCAAGTTTTTCCTGCTTCCATGATGATGGAAGGCAGGCAACTCCTTTATGGAGTTTGAGCTTGCTTCCAGGAAGAAAGATGCGTTATATTTTTCCCCTGCTTCTAGGATGGTAGAGAGCAGTCTTTAGCCTGAGACTCATCGCTAAGTAAGTAACTGAATTGGGGTTTGTCTTGGCTGAACTTAAGATTAACAACCAGCTGGTCTCAATTTCTCCTTACCATTGGAGCACCCAGTGATCATATTGTTGAGATTTTTGTTGTTGTTGTTTGTTCTGGTCTTTCTCCCATCAGATTTGACCAACTCTACCTGACTTAGTCAAATCTGAGTGACAATTTCAAATTCAAGGCCTCTTGAATTTGGCTAAAATTCATCGCAGCTGCAAAAGGAAAAAAAAAAAGAGAAAACAAAAAAGCATGTGCTTGGTTTCTGTGTTTGCTTCCTGTCTTAAAAAAAAAAAAAAAGATTGCTCTTTTGTTTACTTTTATTCCACCCAATACCTCCTTCCCCCTTTGCTATTGGCAGTACCAAAAAATCTAGAGAAGGCTTCTAATGACTTGAACCCCTTTAAAGAATTCAGAACGAAGGCACTACTTATCCTCTTTGGGGGTGTTATGTTTTCTTTGGGGAGTTTTCTAGAGTCATGGGAAGATTCTTTTTAGGTCTAAAGATCTGTTTTTCTGTATTGCATGACCTGATCTTTTTCGCTTGGGGTAACAGGGATGACTTCGCCCTGTGAGAGGATTTGACCTTGGCATAGATAATGGCAGACAAGAGCTACAAAGTTACGGGTGGATGAGCAGTTTGCAGGAAGTGGTCTTGGCTGTTTTTTCTTTTCTCTCCTAGGAAGTTGTTGTTTGAGGATCCTAATTCTAGCTTGGAGGTGCATTCTAAAGGGTCTTTGCTATTGCTTTTTCTCCCAAAATTCATCTTAATTTGGTTTGTCTGTGCATATTTGCATGAGAAACTGAACTGTTGTTTTCACACATTAATGAGAGACTTGGGTTTTCTTAGCTTTGAAGAGAAAGGGCATTTGCTTCTCCCAGCTGAAAGGTATCCCTGAGTGACTGGGGGCCTCATAGGAATGTCTGAGGGTTGACCCCCTGCCATGTGCAGTGGCCATGCAGGGAAATCCCCAACAAAAAATAATTTTCAAAATGGTTGGTCTAGGAAATGCATATAAGGGCTGATCACCTGGTGTTTTGAGCCCTCTCAGAGTTCATAGACATCTGGAGAGAGAGTAACTGAGACATGTAAGAGGGTGGAAACAACTCAGCAGTGATACATGGTTGAGTCCTGCCCACAAGCAGCACATACCGATCTACCACACAAAAACCCTAGGCCACAGCTAAGTTTCTCCTTTTAAGGAATAAAAAAGTGGGAAATAATCTAAGAATGAAAAGAAAACAAGGAGAATGACCCTCCCCCTTTCGAGCACTCTGTAGGTTTCAGGGCAGCTCTGCTTGCCAGGGTAAAATGGAAATAATATGGTGTTTGTGTACATTTGCATTAAGGAAAAAGAGCCCTAAGGTCCACCTGGAAACTACAGTTCCCAGGTTCTCTTTTTCTCTATTTTTCTTTTCTGCCTGTTTTAAATCTGCTGTTACTTTTCTACTGAGATGAAAACCACTCTTTGGAACTAACAGGTTGTTTTTTTTGTTTGTTTCCAAGTTGGTGAATTTATATTTATCTCATGGCTAAAGTACTGAAGAAAAAGCTACAGAATCTGTGTGTGTGTGTATGTGTGTATGTATATGTGTGTGTGTATATATATATATTTGAAGGCCTTTATAATAGACTTCTATAATTTTATGTTCAATTGGCAATTAAATTTGTTTTAATTTCCCTCTAGCTCACCAGAGTTTCTCTTGATACTATCATGTAAATTGTGCTATCTGATTTTCTCCTAAGTTGTTTCCTTTAATATGCAGATTTAGCCTGTTTAGCTGACAACTGCCAGGGTAAGGAAACAGGTTATCAAGAGTTTGCAAGTCTAAGATAGGAAAAAAAAAAAAAGGAGGTCTTAAGAATCTATAAGATGTATTTGTATCAGCATACCTAATACATCTATTTATTTATGTGCTGTGTACACAAAGTTTCACTACTGAAAATATGTAAAGAATTCTCATTAATTGGCTTAAGAAAATAAAGGTGTTTGAATCAAATACTTTACCGGAAAAAAAAAAGACTAGTCAAATGCTTTTTCAAGTTTATGTAACTTAAGTAAAATCCTTAATAAATAAGCTAGCTTTAAAATTGTTCGTAAAGTAATATTAGAAATGTCTTAAGAATTGCCAGCATACAATTTTTGGTTGCATTTATTAATCAAGTAATTTCATATTTATCCCTGCCAAATACTATAAGGTGTCAAAATTTGGCATAGGAGTAACAAAACTATAAACCCAGTCCAATACAGAATGATTTTTGCTGTGTAATTTTTAATAAATAAGACATTGATATTGGTTTAATGAAAATAGCTACACCTTGAATTTAGTGAGATTACTATAACTTCTAATACTGTGACTTTAGGCAGTCTATTACACAGGCAATAAGGAGGGTTTTTCTGGGGAAAGAACTGTTATCATCTTTGTTTCAGACTAAACTATAAACTAAATTCCCCCCAATGTTAGTCCAGCCTATGCTCAGGAATGAACAAACACAGCTTGGAGGTTAAAAGCAAGATGGATTCAGTTAGGTCAAATCTTTTTCAGTGTCTCAGTTATAACTTTGCAATGGTGGTCCCATAACTTTAAATGATGACTATTGCAGTTTTCATAAATAATCTAGGTAAACAAAATAAAATAATTAGTAAATGTAATGGGATAAATACTTGCAGACAAACATCATAAATTAGAATAAATTTACATTAATTAAATAATAGAGATTTCATTTTTTGGGTGTTTTCCAATGAAAATTTGGGAAAACATTCTTCTTAAAAAAAAAGTGTGTCCTTTTTAAAAAGGGTGAACAAGTTTTGTCTAATCCAAAGCTTAAAGTTTATGTAGGAAACAAAGTAAAGGAACCAGAAAATAAGAGAGATGTAAAGAAAATTATAAAAATAAAGAGGTTTTGATGTGATAAGAAAGCTTAAAGAGAAATAATTTTATATATAAAAAAAATCTTATATAGTAAATTTAGTCCTAAAACGACTGGTTGTTTAAGAAAGAGGGATGTTGGCTGGGCACAGTGGCTCACACCTGTAATCCCAGCACTTTGGGAGGCCGAGACAGGCAGATCACGAGGTCAGGAGATTGAGACCATCCTGGCTAACATGGTGAAACCCCATCTCTACTAAAAATACAAAAAAATTAGCCAGGCATGTTGGCAGGTGCCTGCAGTCCCAGCTACTCAGGAGGCTGAGGCAGGAGAATGGCATGAACCCGGGAGGCAGAGCTTGTAGTGAGCCGGAAAAAAAAAAAAAAAAAAAAACGAAAGAGGGATGTTAAGGACAAACCATAAAATCTAAGAATGTCAGGAATGGTCTGTGTAAGCCACAATGAGACAATTTATTAAAAAAAAGAAAACTTGAATATGATCAAGTTGTTTATAATTAAAGGGAAATTATAATGCTCTGTCCAGAGATTGGGCTTGATGTAAAAAAACACACTTATACACTAAATTATTGGTTGGAACAATGAAATTTTCTTAAGAAGCCGATCCACTCTTAATAAATAATGAGATTCCAATCTTTTTAACCGAAAGTTCAATTTTTATTGTTTTTCAGCTTTCTCGCCCCTTTTAAAAGGCCTATTTTTCTGTTTCATAAGGTTTTTAATTATTAATTCTTTTTTTAAATTATACTTTAAATTCTGGGGTACATGAGCAGAACGTGCAGTTTTGTTACAAAGGTATATATGTACCATGGTGGTTTGCTGCACCCATCAACCCGTCACCTACATTGGGTATTTCCCCTAATGCTATTCCTCCCCTAGCCCCTCAAACCCCAACAGGCCCCGATGTGTGATGCTCCCCTCCCTGTGTCAATATGTTCTCATCGTTCAACTCTCACTTATGAATGAGAACATGTGGTGGTTGGTTTTCTGTTCTTGTGTTAGTTTGCTGAGAATGATGGTTTTCAGCTTCATCCAAGTACCTGCAAAGGATATGAACTCATCCTTTTTTATGGCTGCATAGTATTCCATGGTGTATAAGGCCACATTTTCTTTATCCAGTCTATCATTGTTGGGCATTTGCGTTGGTTCCAAGTCTTTGCTATTGTGAATAGTGCCACAATAAACATACATGTGCATGTCTCTTTATAGTAGAATGATTTATAATCCTTTGGGTATATAACCAGTAATGGGATGGCTGGGTCAAATGGTATTTCTAGTTCTAGATCCCCTAAAATCAAATGTAAAAGGCCTATTTTTTTAAAGATCTAAATGAAATGTTTTCTTCCAACATAATATTCTGTGCAGTAAAGGAGGTCTTTTCTTTTGCCTTTTGGTAACTGGCCTAACAGATTTTATGTTTTATTGAGATAATTACCATACCATTATTATTAAGTTTGGTTTGCTTAGGAAAAAATAAGATACATGTATATATTTTTTAATTAAAGTTATTACATCCATGTATCTTCCTATATGTGCCTTTAAAGTTCTTATGACATTGAGTTACAGGGCTTTGACACCTGGGTATAAAAAAGACACCAAGACCTACTAAATCTTAAATACTGATAGCAATTAAAGCCTCATCCTCAGGTCCTGTAGAAGATGCCAATCAAACTATAGTGCATTCCTGAGACACAGGGCCAGAAATTAAAGCTATTCAACTCCTCAAGGCCCAGGGGCTATAGTGGAAGAGGTGGGCACATGAGATTGTAAGGGCTGATTTTGAAAGATAAAATAAATTCAGTTTCTCTCTAAATTAATCATCAATGTCAAATTACACTGATGCAAAAACAGTATATGGGCCCCTATGTCAGATTAACAAGGTTTTCTTTAAGCATTAACCAATTCCTTAATAAAGGTTATAAAGGTTATCAAAGATTTATGGAAGTTATGTCTTATGGTCAAGATTAAAATTATATAATTGGTAAAATTTTGAAAAAGAAAGTTAATTACCTTCATGATGTTTTTATTAGGGCTTATTGTTTGGAAAATTAAGTCTCCTCTCTCAAAGAATGAAGGTTTTCACCTTTTTTTTGAAATCCTTGAGTTATCACTTTGGTTAAATGAATGGCTTACTTACAGAATAGTAATCCTATTTTGTGAAATCAAGTCTTTTAAACCCTTGATATTTGACAGACTTTCCCAAATCAAGTTATAAATTATGTCTTTTTCTGACCTAATTAATCCTTTAAGATATTAGGTTTAATAAAGTCCAAAAATGACATCATTTGGCTTATTGGGTACAAAAATTATGCAGGAAGCATTGTCAAATATGAAATGGCATTTGGTTTTCTTTGGGCTGTATTAGTATAAATATGTTATTGGTATGTGTTGCCAAATTATGGGAAACTCCTGTAATTCTCATATGACATGTACATTATAAGTAATAGTCATAATTGTTATGTTAAAATTATTGTGTGCCACAGAGGTAACAGATTTTCTTGTCAACTGTGCCTTTGACTATGGCTGCCCTAAAACTTTTTGTCATCCCTGGACAACTGTTGGGTTGTTCTGGTACTCTTTAGAAGGTGGTTTTATAATCAGCTATTAAACTGTAACAGGTGCTCCTGAATGCAGGTTTCTGATAACTTTGGAGATTTTGATATCAGAATAGAGGAAACATTTTTAAGACTGATGGAGAGCTAAAATATTCACAAATATCAGGCAGAACAGGAATTAACTGCATGAACTGAACTAATATTTTTGACTTTTTGCTTTGTTTTGTTTTTCAGGGTCTTAAAACTTTTGAGCTATTGACAGCTTTTAACAATGTATTAAAATCCTATGAATAAACTTTGGAGCATATTTGTTTCTCCCTGATTTTGCCAGAATTTGGAAACTATTTGTGTGTATTCTTAGCTTATGGCAATACAGTTATTTGTATAAGTGCAATAAAAATCTGTTTCCATTTGTAACAGGACACAATTGGAAAAATCTGGTTATTTTTACCAAGCCTTTGACTGGAATGGTGTGCTTTCCTTTAAAGAATCAAATGACTTAATGGAGCCAGTAAAAGTATTTTGGAAGACTGCCTTCATAGTTTCCACAGTCCCTGTACAGGGTTTCTGACCTGTAGTAAGTAAAGAATGTCACTTTCTGACAGGTCCAGGAGCCCACAGTTTATCTTGAAACCCCAAGAGTAGAGGAAATTCACCCAACTTGTAGGTATTTGATGGTAGAAATCGATGGCTGGGCTTGGCTTTAAAAAAGTCTTATCTGAGATTCTTTCTGTGGAACAAAGTTCCATCAAAGCCAATTTAAAAAATTCTATATGAAAAATAATTATTCTTGCTGTACTTTATACAAATAATCTGTCCAAGTATAATAAGGCAAATCAGCCCTACTATGATTTTTCTTTAGTAAAAATGGGAAACTGGAGACAGAAAGATCATGTTTCAAAAACTATATTACACCTCTTGTTATATTCTAGTCTTGCCTCATGTTTTTCAATTTTTATTATTTTCTACAGCTTCGGCTGAATTCTAATTTTTCCTGGCTACAAGCCTCCAAAATAATATTTTCACTTTTTTCTTCTTTCTTTTCCTTTTTCCCACATTTTTTCCTGATTTGAAATCACTGAAAACTAAGCTGTGCTTTCCTAAAGCCCTGTGAACTGAAGCTAGACATCTTAAAATTCAGAAGAAAATAACAGCAACCTACTTACATATATAAGCCACTTTCATACCTGCCTACTGATGTATGACTTCAGAGTAATATGGCCTATATCGATTTTCCAGAATTATTCTTCAGTTTGTTACTGTTTTTCTCCCTTCCTCCCCCTATTTTCTCTTTACAGGACATGAGACTTCACAACCTTCTAACCATGAGCTTTCCTAATAACTTAGGGCCTACCTGCCTAGGAATAAACCATTCTAGCCATGCGATACAGACAAAACCTGGAACCAAAGAATCATTTTCTTCTAAAATGCCTTATCCAAAACATTTGTAAAAAGAAAGGAAAGAAATGTGAAAGGAATATATCTTGGGCCCCAAAATCATTAAGCCAGAAAGAAAATTCAAGCTGGGAACTACTTGGGGCAAACCTACCTTCCATTCTTTTAAAAGTTATCCCTCTACTCCCGAGATAATTGCTTATCTGATTGCCTCCTTTAGAAAGACTAATTATAAACTCAAAAGAATGCAACTGTTTGTCTTTCACCTACCTGCAACCTGGAAGACCCCTCCCCACTTTGAGTTTTCCCACCTTTCTGGACTGAACCAATGTTCATTTTACATGTATTGATTGATGTCTTCTGTCTGCCTAAAATGTATAAAACCAAGCTGTGCTCTGACCACCTTGGGCACATGTCATTAGGACCTCCTGAGGCTGTGTCATGGGTGTGTATCGTCAAACTTGGCAAAATAAACTTTCTAAGTTAACTGAGACCTGTCTCAAATTTTCTGGGTTCAAAATATCTATCTAGTCTTAAGTAAAACACAAAATATGTAGAGAAAACAGATGTTTCTGAGGAACTTTGTTACTAAATATAACCATAACAATTAATTGCATTATTACTACTTTCCAATACATTAAAAATCTAAAATTCTGCCCTACAAAGAAATCACAACATGAAGGCATTATTTAAAACCTCTCCTTTTTCCATTATTTTGCCAATCTCTTTGAATCATCTTTAATGCTTGCTGAGATTGAAATTTACATAACAACCAGTAACCATCTAGTTGTTCCCCAATCTCTTCACCTTCTAACATCTAAATTCAGGGCTTCTAAAAAGTACTTTAAACTTTGGTTGAAGTGAGAGGCAGTGGTGGAGACTTACTTATAGGTGATTTTTTCTTCCTGAGGAGGAAATACAGTCTTCTTCATATACCTGTTGGTTCCTTCCCTCTCTGCCTTAGGTGATCCAGCTGTAACCATGATACTCTCCCTTTCCCCCAGTGCAAGCAGCTGAACTGTCCATGATGTCATAATCACAATTCCATTACCTCACTGTGCTGGAGGCCTTAGAGGAAGGGGAAGTTGTGAACAGCCCTGGGCTCTCCTTAAGCTTTGCAAAGTGTTCTGGATAGGGCTAATTGAAGAACCAAGAGAGAAAGGCCCCCAAACTGTTGTAAATTCTAGGCTTAAAAGGTTTAAGCCCATCCTGCAGCTAGAGGAGGGGTTCCTGGGACTCAGAGCAGACCCTTTAAGACCATGGACTACATTTCCCAGCAGCCTTCATGTCACATTGGCGTCCTCTACTGGTGGAGAGGGGAGTCCTTCCAAGAGAGGGCTGTAGAGGGCAGAGCAGGGCAGGAGAGCAGCTGAGAGGAGCCTTGGCTAATACTATTAAGGACCAGGATGACAAAGAAAACCACTTCTTTCCCCCCGAAACAAAACAAAACAAAAGACCAAAAAATAAACAAAAAAGAGTTTTGTATGTAAATCTGTGTGTCAGAGTTGTTTTCCTAGGAAACCTGACCATAAACATTTGAAGCCAGGAATCAACCAAAGTAGCCAACTCTAAAATGGGAGTTTGGGGTTGGATGGCTTGCTGGCTGGTTGGCTGTGAAGACCCTACTGTTAGTGGTAGTTGACTGACTAATAAATAGCCCATGGGTATGACTTGTGGTAGTGGTATAATTATTAAACTTCCGTTGGTGTTTAACTGAGAAGAAATACCAGTGGAAAGGAATATATTAGAAAGTGCAATGGCTCAGGATTTTGAGAGTTCTATAGGAATTAGTAATACTAACTTTATAAAATCCAGTGGGTGCTGCTGAGTTTCTTCAATGCTTCAGAACGTCTGGGGATGATTAATCTCCAATTAAAACCTAAGTGTGAAAGCCAGATGGCCTCCTTGGCAGCATGTAAAGAGACTCATTTCCTACAGCTGGAACATAGGAAAAGCTCAGGATCATGGCTAAGTCTTAATTATGAGAGAAGGAGAGCTCCAGAGAAAGCTGTATTCTCAATGCTAGCAATATGTTACACTGAGGTCAGAGACCTGATAGAAAGGATTGGGACTCTGAGACTTCATATAGAGTTATCTTTGTCAATGTATTCAGAAGTCATTAAACCTCCGACTCTCTTGGAACCTCTATACCTGCAGAATATCTCAGTCCTCTGTGTTAAAGCTGAAAACTCAGCTATTGAAGAAAATGCACAGTTATCTTCCTTGTTGAAAACATGTGCTCCCCTCATCATCTAACCTTACATCTCTTTCTAAGTGCAGTTTTAATGATTAGCATTGTATTAGTTTCCAGTGTTTGCTTTAACTAGTTAGCACAATTAGTGACTTAAAACAACAGAAATTTATTATCTTATAGTGGAGGCTAAAAGTCTGAAGTCAGTATCAGTGATCCCAAATCAAAGTGCTGTCAGGATTTCTGGTCATTACGGGCATTTCTTGGCTTGTGGTTTAATCATTCCAATTTCTGCCTCTATCTTTGCCTTCTGCCTTCCCCTCTTCTGTCTGTGTTAAAACTCCCTCTCCCTCCCTCTTATAGGGGTGCATGTAATTGTATTTGGGGCTCACCCTAGTAATTCAGGATAATATTCCCATCTCAAGATTCTTAACACATTTGAAAGACCCTTTTGCCTCATAACATTTTTATGTCACAAGCATTAGGACTTAACATTTTTATGTCTCAAGTATTAGGACTTAATATTTGGGGGTGGCCATATTTAGCCTACTACAAGCATTAATTCATAATATTATCCGGTATGGAAAGGAATAGACATTTTTATTAATGGTACAGAATACGTCATAAGTGAATTGCAGATCTTAGCCAACAATTACTAGAAGGAGACAGGATTGTATGTGTGTGATTGGATTCTGAAGGTGCTGAATCAAGGGTGGAGGAATGTAATAATGAATTAAGGAGAATTTTAGACTACATAAGATCACTTTCTCATGATACAGTAAGCATCACATTAAACTACATGTTTTAGCTTTTTAGGTGCTTGCCACCTAAGCACTTTAGACATTTTGTGTATAGGGACCAGAAGATAAGTAAAGAACGCATTATCTTGACAAGGGTGTTTTCTTCTGATCAGCAGAAAGTGGTACAGATGGTTTTACACAATTAGGGAAGGAAGAAATAGGTGTGTAACTCATGCCATCAATTCATTTTAGTATCCCTTAGTGTTTTATTTCTAATTGTAACCATAAATGTATTCATGCAACATTTCTGGCCTCAGAAGAGGGTGGTTACCAAGAACTCACATCACTCAGGAATGAGAGTTTGAGTTCCGTTACCACATAAGAAACCAAACTGCAAAGATGATAGCTGAGCATGAGAATTTAGAATAAATAATAGAGGAAGAAGGCTATAGAAGCCAAGCTTGGCCTTGAAAACAACTACGGAGCTGGGTCTGCGTGTCACTAACCTCCCTCTTCTAAATTTGAACTGAGAAAGAGAGGCCCATAGGAGCCATAGAGGAGCTGCTTCCCGCCTGTGCATATGTTAAGCGTATTTGTGCGGTGCAAGAAGTATGAAATTGTAGCAAAAAATGTTTTCATGCTTCTGAATGTTCATGGCTTTCAGAGCAACAAATACAGGCAATCTAGGTTAATGGACTGTTGAACAGAAACCTAAGAATAAAATACTCCTGAGAGATGTATAAGTTTATCTCTTTCTGAACCATGTGTTTACACTTTGAAAAGGAAAAAAACCTCAAGCCATGAAGGAAGGCAAAAACCTAGGGACTTTTCTTTGAGATTTGTTTACATTAGGAAAATAAGATTTCTCTTCTTTCCTCAGGAGGGGAGGGCGGTAGCTGCACAGCAGCTCCTTATAAGATCCTAGATTTGTCACTTGAGGGCTCCTCTTCTGTAGCACAGACCCGAAAGTGCAGTTGACAACTGCCCTCATTTCATTGCCTTGGAGAGACTGGGATAAGGGAAAGTGATGTTGTTATTGCTGTAATTAATTCTAATGTCTGATCCAGAAAATAGATGCTTTCTTTCCGAAGAAAATTATAAATATAGTGTTAAAACCTGATCAGAGTCAGGTTTTGACAGCCATGCAGTTGTGCTGCTCAGATGTCCTTTCAAGAGAACCTGTTGTGAGCAGCGTAGATGGTAACAATCCTCCATCTGTCACACATTTGGATTTCCAGCAGTCTCATGACAAGGCTGCATTCTCCCCGGATTTCCTATAGACAAAGAATAAGCATGACTAGGGAATAAAGTTGGGTTGTTTCTAGCCCAATGTATTACTCCACTAATGGGCATTTTTTCCTCTGGGGCTTCTCGTTTACTTGGTCAAGAATTTCTCAGAGCTTCACTGCAGTCTGCGACTCTTCCAAATCAATTCTTCTTTCTTTCCCCTTGTTTTTATAGTTATAAATTCTATGTCAAGGTTACAAGGTTCTGCCTACCTTCTCCTGCCCATTAAATGTCTTCATCGTCTAATTATGTCTTTGTGTGTGCTTCTCAGAAGACCTTAACTAACAACAACGAAAACCAAACAATTTGCATATAGATGGGATCCTAAACAACATACATTTCTGGTCTTGCCCAACTCTTCTTTTCTCTGCCATAATATGGTCTGAAGAGAAATAGAGACTATGACATTGATCCTCTATATCAACTGTATTACATTAATTCTCCCAATTCACAAGAAGTGGCCAGTAGGTTAAAAGTTTTGGTAAGACACATGCATTCCAGAGGGTTGAAATAAAGCTTAAATATATTCAGGGGCATTCATCATTAGTAGGAAATATTAGGCTTCCAGTGATTTAGGGTATGTATATACTGGAATGGCTCCTTTAAGGTAATAGAGAAATTGTAACTTACACTTTCCACAATAAGAGAGAAAAACAAACACACAAAATCTTTGGTAGGCCTTTGGGTTTATGGAATTACCATGTTCCACAATTTGTAATGATGTTTTAACTCATATACTATGTGACACAAAAGACTAACAACTCTTGGTGAGTATCAGAGCAGGAAAGGATGCTGAAGAAGGTCTGAAATGTAATGCAAGTCCATCCTATTTTTGTATTATAGGATTTGGCAGACCCTATGGTTCTAGACTTGTTAGTGTTACAGAAAGACACTGTGTGGAGTTTATAGCAAGCCTCCATCGGAGAATCATAAGGCAGCCTGATAGATCATTGATAAAACTATGCCATCCACAGAGGAAAATACCATTTGAAAAGCAGTTCCTGACACGATAGTGAATCCAGGTAGAAATGAAGTGCCTGTCCAAAAAACACCAAGGTGCCTGGTAGCTAGAAATGCCAACCATGAGGTAAGTTCTGTTGCACTCACTAATTCGTAAAACTGGATGGGTAGGCAGGATTTCATGGTGAAGTAAAAGTGGTAAACCCAGTTCACAAGCAATATTGGAGGATGGAAGTAAATTGTGTGAGCAGGTAGCCAGCCCCTGTGTTTGTACCATGCCCCATGCTTATACCATGCCTCTCCATGAGCTCACACTGTGTCCCTTTAGGGTGGTTCCAATAAAACCAGCAGAAGGAGTAGAAAGACCATGCTTGTTTTTACAGATGGATTGTCTTGATATGGTATGTGATTTCACTTCATATGTCAGGGCAAGCGGAAAATGCATTTGGAGTATACTACAGACCTCCTTTAGGTGCCCTTGAAAGGCAGTGGGGAGGGAAAACCTTCCTGATGGTTAGTTTTCACATTAAATCTGGACCTTCACTCCATGAGAAAAGAGAGTAAGCCTGAGAAAAGTATGACACACACACACCCCAGTATGAATGGCTTGACTGGGCTGGTTGATCTAGGTCTGAAATGACAGACTAGGAGACCATGAGTAGGAGGCATATAAAAAGAACTGTCGTGGTGAACATAAAGTGAGAAGGGCAATTTAGCTACTGTAACTGCAACCCACAGTGACAAATTATGAACTCTTAACATGTCACTGTCTTTTAAGGGGATTAACCAGCCACTTTGTTATGGCAAAGAGACATTACCTTGGACCCCTTCAATCCCAAAAGGTGTGGCAATTTATCTTGGCTAGAATCAACACATATAAAATATGGTATTGCCTTTGCTGCACATAATGTCTTGCCCATACAATATTTAAGGATTACAGAGTATTTCATTCACCAACACAGGATCCTGAATAATACTGAATTGGATTAAGAGACCAATTATTTATCAAGAATTTTGCAACTCATGATCTAAAATCCAAGAGTCCTATCATATTACTGCACCATTCAGTACACAGAAGGTGCTGGCTTAACAGGGCAAAGGAATGGCCTGTTCAAGGTGAAGTTGAAGTGCCATTTGGATATGATGCCTTGTGGTGATGGACACTATATGCAAAGATAAAGTATACACTCTACATCAGTGACAATTATGAAGCCCTGTGTCCTTAATAAGTAAAATACAATCCAAAGCGCATAAGTAGTAGTGTCACTTTTCAGCATTCTCCAGAAGCACACTTGGAGATTTTGCCTTTCCTATCTACACAACTGTAGGTTTTGTTTTGGAGCCTTGGTTCTCAGAAGGAAAATGCTTCTATTAGGGAAATAGCAAGAGTCCAATTCAATTCGAACCTATGGCTATCACTCATTCACTTCAGTCTCCTCATTGCAGGAGAACCACTGACAAGGAAACAAGTCACGTTCTTTTTAGAGATAATGAACTTAAATCATCAGGAGATAGTTGAACTAATAATACATATTCAGGCACCCAAGTGATTCACTTGTGCATCTATTCTTTGCCAAATAATGAAGGTAAGTGGGAAAGTTCACTAACTATCATCTGAGAAGTGCTTGTTGATCAGGAGTTAAGACCACTCAGGGATAAAGTTCTTAGTCAAGCCGTCAGGTAAATCTCTGAAACCACCAGAAGCACAAGTCAAACACAAGACAAAACTAGACTTGGTAGTAGATTAGAGATAACATAAGAATCAGTTTCAGTTATGAGCATATAACTGCAGGAATATAATATCAACAAGGTATAGCAATGCGAACTTTAATGCATACGCATAAACATCAGTTTGTAATTATTCCTGGAAGAGCTGCTGGCTAACATTACTTAAAATGTATTTTCTTATCACATTATACAAACAAGCAGCTCTAAGTCACACAAGAGGTGGTCTATGCTCTTAGGGCTTCCTAGAGATCCCCTGCTACCAGAATAAATCATTCATTTCTTTCAGGTTTTTGCAGTGTTGGCAGCTCACATCTATCTCCTGAGCCCCTCTTTAAGAATGACTCTCATCTAAAAAAGTTTTCTTGCCTAAAGTTATATTCTCTTACCCAAGAAGGCAGTGTTCAATATCTGGCCAAGGCAATGAATGTAAAGGCAAGTTGCCTGGCTTCAATACATGACAAGTCTGTAGGGTTATCCCCATGCCAGAGCTCTGAGTTTGATCAGCCAAGACCTCTGTTGTAACCAAATCTTAGTTCAAATTATTGTTCTGCCAATTCTGCTTTCTTCACTCCTCAACAATGTTTATTAAAAGAGCAGTTCCTAATTAATCCTTGTATATAAACCTCTGTTTCAAATTCTACTTCCCAAAGAAACCCAACTTCAAAGTTCATTGGTTTATAATCTATTTTTTTCAGATTATGGAAATGTTGATAAATTTATATATTCCGGCAACCAAACAGGAAATATGATTTTTTTTTTGCTTTGCCAAAGTAATGTGAAAGAACCTGTATTGGCAGTCAACATGAACTTGTATTGAAGTTGATGCATTCCCCAGATCATTGACTTTCTACCAAACAAATTGAAATGCGGAGAGATATTTCAAAATAAAATTCTATCAGATGCCCTTATATCAATAGAAGATACAACATCATTTATTTTTTGATAACCAGAGGTAATTCACAGGCATCAGTTACATAATTATATTATAAATAGGGGATTAGATCACTCCTTCCTCAAAATCTGTATCATTGTTCTAGTTTTACTCACTAACCCTACTATCAAATGTTGTATCTTGAATGCTAGAATTTTGGTGAAGGTTAACATCTCTGAGCTGTCTCACTTAAAATGCCCAGTAATCAATGGCCTGTATTCCTTTGCTCTATTTAGGTAAGAATGGTATTTTTGCAAGAGCAGAATAAACTAATTCTAAAAACATACCCAGGGAAACATGAGGACATTTCCAGTTACTTCAACTTTGCAAACTCAGATTTATGTTTATTTATTTCCTCCAAAATTATAGTAGTCTTTTTCTTTTAAGGTAATCCCACTATGAAAAAAGAATGAAATAAACTTTATCTCATCCTAAATACCTGAACTCTGGCGTACAGCTTACGGTTCTTCTAAATATGTCTGATGTCTTAATGAACTTGGAGGCAAAAATTAATGCTTGTTGCCTTTAACCCTTGATAAGTCCCCACCATTTTCCTCAGACTTTATAAAGCAAATATCTTTAAATTTAAAAAGAGCAGGATAAGTAAGGTGGTCCTTTAGAAGCAGAGAGAACTTCATTCTTCAGATTTACAGCTCTTTATCTTGGTGCTATCTCACTTGGCTTCCTTCCCAGAAATTTTTACTGTCTAAATTGATAGTCTGTCAAGGCTTTTGACCTGGATATAGTAGATTCTTAGAGTTTAACTCTTTCTGCTATTGAATCAATCTCATTTTAAATTGTATTAATCTCTACTAGAATTTTTACAGATTTAAGAAACTATTTTCCTAAAGAAAAATACTGTGAGCAGGAAATTTGTCTCTGTCCAAACTATGTAATGCATCATAAACAGTGCAAAAAACTGGCTACTCAAAATCTTTCTCATTAGTCATTTTTGTAGGAATTTCTCCCACATTAACTTTGTCTCTGTTAAAAACTGTTTTAACAGAGAATATTAATCTCATGAAGCAGATTTAAGATACCAATTTTTCTACAATTTGAGAAGAAAATTACTCACGTGGTTTAGAATACCAGCATCTGAATGATCTAGGAAGTAGATCAAAGTATAATATTCCCCTGTCTATATTTTTAATTCCGTATGAGTTTTCTTGGATCCCCAAATTATAACCTCCATTATCTTTTATCAGCCAAGAAAAAAAATTAAAAAGAAGGAAAAGAAAAGAAATGATTTCCAGGCAATTGGGGTGTATTTTAAGCTATGATTATGGTAATGTTGTCATTGATGTTCCTAACAGCACCAGCTCTAACTCAAGGGGGAGAAATACACCATAATGACTCTCATTTATTGTTGGTGAAATGCAAAATTGTACAGCTACTTTGGAAACAGTTTGGCTATTTCTAACAAAACTAAACAAACTCTTAGCATATAATCCAGCAATCATACTCCTTGGTATTTAGCCAAATGAATTGAAAACTGATGCCTACATAAAAACATGCACATAGCTATTCATAGCAGCTTATTCATAGTTGCCAATATTTGGAAACAATAAAGATGCTCTTCAATAGTGACTGAGTAAAATAAAATAGTATATCCAGACAAAGAAATATTACTCACTGCTAAAAAGAGATGACCTACCAAGCCATGAAAGGGCATGGAGGAAAGAAATGCATATTACCAAGTGTCAGAAGCCAGTTGGAAATTGTATGTGCTATATGATTCAGCTGTAGTAGTACATGACATTCTGAAAATGGCAAAACTTTGAAGATAGTAAAAAGATTAATTGTTGCTCAGAATTAGAGGAAAGAAAGGGATGAATATTTGAATCACAGAAGATTTTTAGGGCAGTCAAACTTTTCTGGATGATATTATAATAGTATAAAAATATAATACATTGGTCAAAACTCATAGTATGTACACCAAGAATGACCCTTAATATAAATTATGGACTTTGGGTGATAATGTCCTGTCAATGTTGGGTCATCAATTGGAACAAATATACCATTCTGGAGTATGTTGATAGTGGAGTAAGCTCTGCATGCGTGGTAGCAGAGGGTGGATGGGGACTCTTTATTTTCTGCTCAGTTTTGACCTGAGCTCCAAACAGTTCTAACAAAATCTAAATAAATTAAAAAATAAAAATAAAATTATAATGAAAAGTCACTTACTACTAGATGAACACACACACCACAGTCACATCCACACACATCTACAATAAATTTCCCAATTAAAAAAAGAAAATAAAAGGAAAAATTAACCTTATTTCTTGCAATTATATATAGATGTAGCTACATATATATATGTGTATATACAGATATGTATCACCATTTAATACAAAATAGAACTATTGAATCTAACCATTTTTTCTGGAAAATCAGGAATCCCTGTTAACCCAATTAATATTGCATAAATTATTAGAGTTCTAATTTGTACATCTTTACTGGACAAACTAAAAAACAAACAAATAAAAACCCCACTATAGACACATGTTGTAACAAAGTAATTCATTTATGTTCAATATAAATATGCAGTCACTTAAGAAATTTACTAGGCTGTTTCAGGAGATAGAGTTGATTTACAGATGAACTTAAAATACTTTCTTTAAACTTGGCCAGTATGAGAACAGTGGATTTACAATGTGCTCTTTAAGTCTGAAACTTGATGAAGGACCCTTGGGGTCAGTATATTTAACAATGGTTTGCAACTGGCCCAATGGGTTTAACAAATTTGACTTGTAAATCCGACTTGCATTTTTTGCACAGACCTTACTGATTTAAAAGAGGGACATGCAGGACAGTCAATCTTTTGCTGTCCCTTTTCTTTACCTAAATAATAGCCATACATGAGTACACCCTGCAAATTCTGGTAAGCCCTTTCAAACATATGACCTGCAGAAATCTTTGTACTATCCAATTCTTCTTGTCCAGCTAAACAAGTTAAAGATCCTTTCTGTTGATTTTTACCATTTTTATTTATCTGTTTATTTATTTACACAACCCTCCATCTATTATACTGTATAATGTTATTTCTTCTTCTTTCTTTCTTTTTCTTTTTTTTTTTTTGGTATGGCTGTAGCTTTGTATGGGTGATCCTTCGGGAACAAGCATGATCCTAACATAGACACTTAATTTCACTCAGAAAAGCCTGAATTAAATGAAATTTAATAGAGAACTTCCTTTTCTACAGGGTATTTGGGGTTTTACTTTTGGTTCGCAGGCAATTTGTCTTCACACTCTGGTGTAAAGGAATTCTACTTCAATTATATAGCCTGAATAAATATTGTACAGAAGAAATGTACCCTTTGGGGAATTTTAATTCCCTACAATTTACTAAGAATCTATACTGAGGTAAAAAGGGAGGGGTCAGTGCAAGAGGGTCTAGCCTTCTACTTTTACCTCACCTGTTCTTCTATGTTAACATTTCAAGAGAATGAGATGAAGTTTTAACTGTGACTCCTAGGTTTTGGCCTTCAGTAATAGGGTATAAATTGGTAACATTTACAAATACAGGAAGTATTGATGTATTTGTTTGACTAAGAGCAGGTATTGGGAAATAGCATAAAGAGTTTTAGTTGGGACATACTGTGTTTTAGTTTCCTATGAGACATCCAAGAAAAAAATTGATAAGTAGGCAGGTGAATACTTGAATATTCCTAAAACAATAACTCAGCAAGAGCATACCAAGAATGTTCTATTTTCTTTTTAGTTCATCAGTATAGTAATATTATAACTGGATATAAAATATATTTTTCAAAAAGAAAAATGTTCAGTGTAATCTAGAACTAAGCAATCCAATTATTTTTCTCTTGCCTCTTTTTCTCATTTTTCTTCCTGTTTTTCTTCATCATAAAACACATTTTTCAAAATTAAAACTTTCAGTGTTATCTGGAACCAAGCAACTCAATTATTTTTCTCCTTTTCTTCTTCTACTTCTTTATTATTATCATTGTCATTGTCATTATTATGATTTTTCTTTTGGCTCAACCATCCCCAAGTTGCATAAACCCCAAACAAAGCATTATTAATATAGGTAAAATAAATTATTTTTCCTCTCATTTCACTCTATTATTTATAAAGACTAGAAATGACAATAATTTACATGTGATTTGTCTTCGAACAATTTTTTGGAAAGAACAAATAAAAGAGTGGTCTCTTTAATGGAGTGGTCTCCTTAAATGATTATTTTTGTTGCTTATTCCCTTTCGCTGAAGTAGAGTCATCCCTTGATGTCTGTTGGCGGTTGGCTCTAGGACTTACCTCACTATGGATACCAAAATCCAGGGATGCCCAAGTCCCTTACATAAATGGTGTAGTATTTACATATAACCTACACATATCTTCCCACAGACTTTAAATCATCTCTAGATTACTTATAATACCTAATGTAATGTAAATTTTATGTAAATACTTATGACACTGTATTCTTTAGGGAATCAGGACAAGAAATAAAAGTCTACAGAGTCAGTGCAGATACAACTTTTAAAAATATTTTTGATCAATTGTGGTTAAATCCATGGATGTTGAAACCAAAGATACGAAGGGATGACTGCGATTTATTTAGATTATTTATCCAGGAAACTTCTGTAGAAAGATGGACTTGGGTGTACTTCTCTAGTCTTGAGAAGAGATATATATTAGAAATCAAGAAAGGACATGGTATAAGTGCAAACTGGAAAATGAACAAGAAATTGAATGAATCAACTCATGTGGTTCATTCTATCTTAGCATATACAATAAAATAGAAATGTAGAAATATAACATATATTAAAGAGTGACTTTTTCAGAAATCAATGTTTGTATACTTACATACGTATGTCATATATGTATATATATTTATACTCATATTCTTTGGGACATTGTGCTAGACTGTTTGGGCTACAACAGCAAAATATCATAGATTGAGTAGAATACAAACAACAAAAAATTATTCCTCACAGTTTTGGAGCCTAGGAAGTCCAAGGTCAAGGTGCTTGCAGAATCAGTGTTTGATGATGGCCCACTTCCTGGATAACCATCTTTTTGCTGTAAGTTCACTTGATGGAAGGGGCAAGAGATCTCTATGGAGTCTCTTCTATAAGGGCACTAATCCCATATCCCACAGGCCCCCTCCTAATTCCATTATCTTTAGGGTTAGAATTTTAATATATGAATTTGTCAGGTCATAAACATTCAGTCCATGCTAATCTACAATGAGGTTAAGCTCATGTTACTTTTCATCCTCTCCAATATTTACCCAGAGCAAGGCCTTAGCAATATTGACTTTTGCTACCTGTGCATAGAATATTAGTTCTATTGCATAACTTCATATTTTTCTCAGAGACAGATAACTTTCCAGTATGTATTTTCCCTGATGAAAACCTTTATTAAAGCCTTAGAACCTATGTCAATGTAAATTAGAAAATTATGAGTTTTACATACATACTTTAAGTGACAGTAATTATTTTACACTTAAAAATGGCACATTTATTTAATTTTCACTCAATTATGTTTGAATCACCACTAATCACCAATGAGAAGTTAACATATGTTTTGTCAGAAAATGTCCCAAGGTTTTCAGTTACTTTGCATTATGTTGATGATGGATTTTACATCACATCATCATTGCAAAAGGTCAGTTCCAATATATGGAATGGCTGATAGTAGATTTGTAATTACTGTAGCTCCTCAGAATGATATCTGGCCTTACGGGAGCACTAGCCTATGAATACTGTTGCCATAGTTGTGAGTAGGAGAATAATACCGATATTTCAGGTTTCTAGAAATGTAAATGATCCATAGTATAAACCTCAGCCAACGTGTAAGAAGAGGCAGATGAAAAATATTGAAGCACCCTTAGCATGGAAATAGTGGACCATTCGGCTGTAGTTACACCTCAACTGCCTTCCCTTTAGTTGCTCATATCAGCCGAGATATAAACTGTGGACTTCATCCGAGTCTGTCTACAGTGGATTTGGCAGGGACGAGGTCTTCCATGATGCTAAGTGATATCACCCCCAAAATTAAAAATACCAAATGCATGACAGTGTTCCCGTGACTGGTTAATATGGTGGTAGTCATTAGCCCATTGAGATGTCTTATTTAAGGGGAATATGTGGGTGATCTTAGTTTTATGGCCCTGAAGTAAGAACTGGATGCCAGGTATAGTTTCAGTGTAGTCACCCCCAAGTATCATTGGCCTGGAGCGAGGAGGGTAGCACTCCAGAGCAGGATGATGATTTCTTGGAGCTTGGTAGATTAAGACATCAAAAATTGGTAGGGGATATCCATGTTGATGAGGGACGTCTTGACTAAAATGTGCTATGTCCAATGAACTAATATATGCACTATGTAATATTAAGGATTTACAGTAGGAGTCAATATCCATGTGGATTAGGTTTAAATGTACATTACAGACCTGATTAATTATTATCTATAGGTTTTATAAACTCTTCAATAAAATATGAGAAATAATATTCTTGGTGAGGATTTATAATTAGGAAGAATAAAGCATTGAGATAAAGAATAAGAGCAAACATAATATCCATGGTTGACACTGCTCACAATCTTTTCTCAAGCCTTTTAATACACTTCTGGTGAGATGACCAAAATAAAAAATAGATAAATGGGACTTAATTAAACTAAAGAGCTAACGCACAGGAAAGGAAACTATCAACAGAATAAATATACTACCCAAAGAACGGGAGAAAATATTTTCAAACTATGCATCCAACAAAGGACTAATTTACAGTATCTATAAGGAACTTAGATGAATCAACAAGAAAAAAACAGCCCCATTAAAAAGTGGATAAAGGACATGAACAGACACTTCTCAAAACCAAGACATGCAAGCGGCCAAAAACATGAAAAAATGTTCAACATCACTAATCCTCAGAGAGATATAAATCAAAACCACAATGAGATATAATCTCAAACCAATCAGAATGACTATGATTAAAAAGTCAAAAAATTACAGATGCAGGATGTAGAGAAAAGATAACGCTTATACATTGTTGATGGGACCGCAGATCACCAAAACATCTGAAGATTTTCTAAAGAACTAAAAACGTAACAACAAATCGATCCAGAAATCCCATACACAAAGGAAAATAAATAATTCTACCAAAAGGATTCATGCACTTGATGTTCATTGCAGCACTATTCACGATAGCAAAGACATGGAATTAACCTGTGTGCCCATCGGTGGTAGAATGGATAAAGGAAGTGTGGCATGTATACACACAGACTACTACCTAACATTAAAGAGAAGAAAGTCCTTTGCAGCAACAGGAATGCTGCTGGAGACTGTTATTCTAAGTGAATTAATGTGGAAACAAAAAACAAAATATGTCATATTTTCACTAAACATTGAGTTCACATGGACATAAAGAGGGGAACAATAGACACTGAGGACTCCAAAAGTTGGGAGAGTGGGAAGGACTGAGGCAGAGAGGAAGAGGGGCAAGGGCTGAAAAGCCTTCCATTGGGTATTATGTTCACTAGCTAGGTGACAGGATCAATAAAAGCCCAAACCTTAGCATCATGCAATATACTCTTGTAACAAACCTGCATACGTACCCCCGGAGTCTAAAATTAAAATGGAAATTAAAACAAAAAATAACAACAAAAAGACAAAACACAAAAGAGAGCATCATACAAGCAAAAACTACAAAAAAAATATAGCAAATCTAAGAACCAAAATGTTCTCAAAACTAACTGTGGATATAAGTAACTCCGGCAAAAGAATTTGAGAAAACTGCCCCATAAGCAAACACATCCTCTAATGCCCACTTGAAATTTAATCAAGCAATAATGAAAAATGGAAAAAAAAATCTTAGAAGGCAGAGGCAAAGTTCATGGAGGAATATCATTTTGGAATCCCCCACTCTTTAGGAAAATAACCTGGCCTAATCAAGAAACATTCTCCATCCACAATGAAGGGTCCCCATAATAACTGCACAGCAGAATTTCTGTTTTGCTATAAACCAGTGAGATCTATATTTTCTACTCTCTCTCTTTCTTGTCAATGGGAGCATTTAATGTGGTGTATCAAGTGTTTAAGGGGCAGATACTTTTTTTCACTTTATAAATGTCTGGATCAGGTCTACCTGGTATAGAACCTATTGCACATTATACATGATTTTGGACTTGAGGTGTCTTTCAGTGAAAAGGTTTATTGTGTTTTGAGTTCAAAATTGAGTGAAATATTTCACAGCAAGAAGACAGATTACGGTATTTATCACTCTGACTTTATAAGTAGTTCTGCTTTTATGTATATTCAGAACCCTGATATACTTTTTCTGGCTCCCTTTTAGTGAGGCTGATACATAACTACTTCTATCCAATGCATTGTTAGTGGCAATAACAAGTTCCAGTTCCAAACTGGAGCATTTAATTGTGGATGTAAGATTATCCAGAGATCTCTCTCACTCTGCCAGCAGAATGCCAACATTTAGTCTGGTGGCTGCTCATTCAGTTCAGTCTGAGTCCTGGGGTAAGAAGTGAGAGAGTTGCCTAGTCATAGTCATGTATTGTGAACAATACCTAAACCTTCGTGTAATAAGTCATCATAATTTTAGAACTGGTTGTTTTGTAGATTAGTTGTCATAGCCTGAATAATAATAATAAAAAAGAGAGAATGTTCACATTCATTATTTCATTGAATCTTCATGACAACTCAATTAGTAGTTTTTTGTGTCTTATTTGTGAAATAAAAAATGAGGAAATATTTAAAAATACACATTCCTTGATTTTGGGCATTTGTCTTATTTCTTAATTTTTATTAAATAGTAATCAAGTGTAGTAGTCCATTCTCATGCTGTTATGAAGAAATACCCAAGACTGGGTAATTTATTAAGAAAAGAGGTTTAATTGACTCACAGTTCAGCATGGCTGGGGAGGCCTCAGGAAACTTACATTCATGGAGGAAGGCACTTCTTCACAGGAAGACAGGAGAGGGAATGAGAGCCAAGCGAAGGGGGAAGCTCCTTATTAAATCATCGATCTCGTGAGAACTCACTCACTATCACAGGAACAGCATGGGAGGAAACCACCCTCGTGATTCAATTACTTCCCATTTGGACCCTCCCATGACATGTGGGGATTATAAGGGCCAAACCATATTGTCAGTCAAACTATTGTTACTAAATCTGTTTTCATCCAATCCTTAGGTTATCTACTCTCACTTTCATTGCCCTAAGAGTGCTAAAAATATCGAGTTTACAATAAAATAGTATATTTTTGAAAGATACTTGTGTGTATGGGAAATGGAGAATAGATGTTAGTAGAGTATCCAGAGTTGAGAATACTTTTTTAAAATGATAGCCAAACCTAAAGGATTCTATAGAACTAAATGAAGGTATAATATACTCATATTCCAAAAACTCTACATTTTGCAAATTTATCTTTTTTCTTTGGTGAAGCCATTTAACATATTTTATTTAGAACATGCTAGTACTCTTCCAACACTGCTTTTGTAATATATATTCATAGTGAATGTTTGTCCCTTTGTCTTATTTTTAGGAGTCAGCAATGTAATTTTTATGACAGTTTGTGCTTTCCTTTTACATATACAGAGATAACACAAAAAGGTGAGTTGTAAAATTAGACACGAAAATCAAATACTTTGCTCAGAATCAAACTCAAACGTTACAGGTAATTGAAAGACACAGACAAAGTGCAGAAGAGCCTGAGACTGCCAGTCCATCACTCAGATCTCTTTTGTAAGACACTCATCCAAATTTAACATTTATGCTTCTACATGATATAATCAGAGCATCACCTTCAGAAACAGAGCTAGTTAGATTATTGTATCATTCTGGGTCCTATGAGGAGAGAAAATCACACAGTTGTTGAGTTCTCAACTTTGTAGAAGAGGGCACAGCTATTGCTCACTGGATGACAGAGAAGTCGTGAGATGTCATGCCAGCAGAACTTGCTGGAAATATGGCCTTTGGAACTTGCCAGAAATCCACTATCCGGGATACTGGACAAAGCTGCTTACTACATGATTCTGCTGTCCTATGTGCATTGCAGGGGCCAGATACTGTGGAAGTGCCTGTGGTTTGAGAGGTGCTGTGAAGTGCCACTGATTGCCACACACTGCAGAAGTGGACACTGGGAAAAGGCCACTCTTCTTCAAAACTGCTCTGGAGATGGGACGTGTCATGGAAGCTGCTGGCTATGAAGATAATTGCTACCTGACTTGAGCTGAGAGAGTTAGGCACTAGAGAAGCTATGAACGCTATAGGAACCTACAAAGCCAACATATCCGAAGTACAGAACTAAGCTCTTTTTCTCTTGCAGTGCCCTCTGCTGACAAAACGTGCTGCCAACTGGCACAGGAAAAACAAATATTTAAAAGGACCCAAATCTATGTTCCCAGAGCAGTCTAAAAAGATGAATTTGTGGTTGAGAGGCAATGAATTTATAATCAGCACAACCATGAAATACCAATATTTATTTCTCTGATAATTCCATCTCTAACTGAAACATTTTTCCAGAGTATCATACCACAAACATCCATAAATTTCAGGTGTGTTTGTCATAAGTAACCTAGACAGACCAGGTATATCTTGCTAAAAAATTCCATAAATAATAAAACATTCTTCTAATAAATGCTATCAAGAGATTCAACTAGTATGTTTTGAGGGCAATTTGATTAGACTATTTATTCCCAGGTGCTTCAGAGAAGAAAACAAGTTACAGACCAGCTGTTAATTCTTTTATTCCCAACTGACCATTGGCCATGACATTTCAGTAATGCAAAGAGATAGTTTTGCTTTTAGATATAATTAAGAATTTTGTTATTAGAATTTAGAAATTTAGGAGAAAGAACTAAGTAAATTATTTATGGCAGAGAGACAGAAGAACTGTTATTTCAAAAGATGTAGGAATGTTGATGGTAAGAAGATTTCAAAACCTTTTTAATGCATATTTCAGATTTCTCAGATCAATACTTTACACATTTATTTATATTACTGCTTCAAAATATTGTTTTTTACTCATTTTCCAAACTGTGGTCTGTCTGTCGTATTAACTACATTTGTAAGTTATCCAAAACATTTGTTGAAATTTAAATAATTTCAGCCTTACAAATTAACATCTTATATTGTGATCATGACATTTTCACTGTCACTACTCGCTATTTATTTTCATAACAAATAATTTTAAGCAACCAATCAAAATGTCCACTGTTGGTATTATGACATATAAGAACCTGTGATCATTTTTCAACATTCAGAAATATTGCAAAATAGGTCTCAGTGCTGCAAAGGCACAAGAAATCATACAATAAAATTGCCTTAATGAATTTTATATATTTTTGGCACATGTCTTTGTTTTCAGATTTCTTCACCAAGTAAATAACTAAAAAGTGTTTCCAGATGAAATAAAAATCTATATTCTAATAAAAATAAGGGCATATACAAATCTATTTTTATTTCTTTTTATTTTGTTGGAAATAATACTAGGAACATCAGCATTTCCTTAGGAAAACTCAAGAGCAGTATAGATATCTCCAAATTAAAACCAATATTTGAAAAATCTCATCTAGTTTCTTTTCTTTGGATTTTTTTTTTCAAATTATCTCCTTGGCACAGTCATGAGTCACAAGAAATGAACATGATTGTGTCCTGATTGTGATGACTAAGGAAAAAGACAAAATAAGCATGACTTCTAATTACAGGTGTTGTGTACTCTGATGTGAAGTTGTAATTATAATTGCAATTTGTAATTGTAAAATTTGTAAAAATATGATGTGGACTTGATCCCCAGCAACTGCATGAAAGGCTTCTTAGAATAAACATGTATTGGCACTCAGACATTTCTCATCTATTAATTTTGTCATGCACATAGTTCTAATTACTTCCCTTGGTGTGTCTTTAGAAGCCACCCAATGGAAGCACCTAACACCCAGAGGTCAACAGTCTATGGTCTTGGTCATAATAGTATATTAGGTGTAACAATCCAAAGAAGTGTATTCTCCTTAAACTTTTGTAAGAGCATTACTCAGATGAGGCACAATATAGAGTATAAACTGCAGAGGCCACAAAAACTACAATAATCAAAAACTGCACTTTGGGAGGCCGAGGCGGGCGGATCACGAGGTCAGGAGATTGAGACCATTCTGGCTAACACGGTGAAACCCAATCTCTGCTAAAAATACAAAGTATTAGCCAGGCGTGGCAGTGGGCGCCTGTAGCCCCAGCTACTCGGGAGGCTGAGGCAGGAGAATGATGTGAATCTGGGAGGCAGAGCTTGCAGTGAGCCAAGATCATGCCACTGCACTCCAGCCTGGGCGACAGAGCAAGAAAAAAAAATAAAAATTGCAGAACTGCATTCGTTTCATTTAGGTTAACTTCTGCCATTTAGTAAATCACAATTTTAGTATGTTAAATGGTGCTTAGCAGCCTGAGAGAGTTAATTATTTTCCAAAGTATAGAACTTATTCGTAGTGAGCAAATTATTGGACCAGTCTTGCTGATTATGAAATATAGCATAAATATATTACAATTATTAATAAAACTGTGATAATTATTTAATGATTTGACATTAGCTTGTATGTTCTAAATACATGACACACTAAATTGATTATTCCTGAACACGGTGACTAGAAAGAAGTAATTTACTATCACCTGATACCTTAAGACTTCCATATCTTATGGGGGTAAACATTTTAACTCTAGAATACATTTTATCATGATAATTTATCATGAAATTGTGGCTAGTATTATTAAAGTGAGATATTGAAAGACAGCTCATACTTTGTATATTAGTCCCATTATTTTGTCTTATATTTTACTTTTATAATTTATGCAAAAATATCACCATTCTTTTACACTATTTTGTATTTCATTGTTTTTGATAGTAAAGTTTTAGGTTAAATTGTTAAACACATTTTCCTATCTGGTTATCTCCATTAGTAACAAGCATAGAAAAAATGAAAACCATCTGAAGTCTTCCCATTTTTTTGTCTTACCTGTTATTTGATTTCGTTTGTATTTTTAAAAATCAGGCATTAAAAAAAACCTGAACTATCTGATCTATATTGAATCTTTACCTCCTGTTACTCTAAGCTTTCCTTATTTTATAATTAAAACATATTTACAACTGAAATACTATGCCTTATATAGTTTAGAGAGAACCATTTAACTATTTTAGTATCACAATTTATAATCTAGTTTTGCTATGGTACAAAGGATTTGCATTTGTTATTTAAAAAAAAACATGAAATAGTCTGATCTAGTATATCTAAAAGCATTGAAGTTGCAACCTCCTGAATTTCACCTAAATGCTCAACTATTCTTTAGTCCTTAAATGACACATGACCTTAGTTGTGGTCAATAGTTCAATGATCCAATATCGAGTAGATCTGATTTTTTCTATTTGTAAAAGATGCTTCCAATGTTCATGTTCTTTCTTGTTGCTATGTTTAAAATTCTTCTGTTTTGGACCTAAAATAACTTCAGATAGATTATTTTCCTTATTTTCAAATTCTAGTATTTTTATAATGATAAATCCTTGATGTATGGTAATAAATTTCTGCTTTGGGTTAGTCCTATTTTCTTTCTTTCTTTCTCTCTTTTTTTTTTGTGTGTGGCTAAAAAATACTTTTTCCAGAACACACGCTACACTAGGCATTTTATAGACTACGAAGGATATAAATACGAAGTCTCTACCTTTAAGAAACTCACTGTCAAGTAATAGTGGCAGATACTAAACAAATAAATACAAGACTATATGATGAGTGACATGAAAAAGACAAGGTATAAAAATAGTAGAGAAAAGTGGGATGAATGTGATAGACTGACTATTAAAAGTTATTACATTGCATATGATCTTTCTGTTTTTAGATACTAATCAATGTAATACTCCAAACTGTATGTGATGAATATTTTGGAGCTCAGAATGATTTCTGACGTAATACTCAGAATGACTGATGGGCTTGACTCATAATAATGTTATTATTCTGCCCTTCTTTCAAACAAAATAAAGGTTTATACATATTGCTGTCATCTAAAGGTTTTACATATTGCTATTGAGTACAAACTTTCCTGATCAAACCATCTTGGAATTTTTTCTCATATTTAACAGTTAATTTTAACTCTACTTTTCCAATTTAGATTTGCACTGATACTAAAAGTCATGTTTGAACATCTCTCTGTTATATCATGAACTCTGTAATAACGGCATCAATTTTAGAATAGAGTGGACATTTTTTCCTTTTCACTTTGTTTTTTGGTAAACATCTTTTTCTTTCCCTCATGAAATAGTCCCTTCTACTAGGTCCTCTTTCTACCTTTACTCTGTGGCTCCAGAAAAATCTTTTGTATTACATTATGGTCCCACTAGCTCCAAGTTCCTGATCTAAGAGAGAATACTTGATATAAGAAAAAAAAAATCAGAGCATGTTTCTGCAATGTTAAAAACTTGACTCTTCAAAAATCTTAAGTGGCAAAAATATTAAAACATATATTTCAATATTTTGTCAGCATGAGATTAAAAGCAGTGTGCTCAATGAGAAAACAAAATAAAACATTCAGAGAAGTAAAGTGATAGAGAAATGCCTAGAAGTATTTGAGCCTGTAATTATAACTATTACTGAGTCAAGTTCCATTACTAAATATTCTAATTGTTGATTAGACAGGCTTTTTAATTCTGTCAGTTTTATCTAAGCTGGTTTAAGTAATCATAATACCACCTGCAATACAAAGAGCAATGAACAATGCAGAGACATGAGACACTGAAAAGACAGATTTTAAAGTTTTGGAGAACAATACTAAAATCTAAAACACATTCATTCACATACAACAAACCCATCATTTTTTCTCATCTTCTGAGGTAATAATATTTTTTTCTCTAACAATATTTGGATCTTGTAAAATAAGTTATGCTGATTTAAAACATCATAGACTTTTGACATTGAAGTTAAAGGTGTGTGATGTTTAATTCAATATGTAAAATTAAATGATGAAAATTAATGGAACTCATAAAACTCAAATAAAGATCAATATGTTCAAAGCAATTTCAGAGATACAATCAAGAAATAAGAAAACAAAAATGTTTCTTTTTATCATTATACATCTATTCTTAACAAAATATCAGTTTATAGTACTGCAAACAAGAACACAGAAAAAAGTCACAAACGGTATTTCCTAATTGTTGATAAACTAAAATCCCCTCAAAAACTAGTATTGTGTATGTAATATATATATAGGCATTAAAATGGAAATTATGACAGTATATATTATATCATTAGAATAAGAATTTCATCTGTGTAGTTTGGTTCCTTAGAGAAACAGATGCCAAGACAGGATTAGACATGGAAGAGATTTATTGGGAGAAATATCTGTGAAAGAAAGTGGGATTGGTCAGGGGAGGCTGGAAAAGATTTCAGATTGTGATACAGGCTTGACCAATGTACAGGTATCAGAGAAAGCACAGTGTGTGGGTAGAAAGAGTTTCAGACCGCAGTGTGTGGTTCTAAGAAAGATTCAGTCAGGCCAATGGGGAGTCCTTGAGCCAAAGCCCTTGGACAGAAGAGTTCGTCTTGCAGAAATAAATCGGCAACTGTATACTTGCTGCATTTAGTTATTAGCTGGGAGCATCCCATGGGACACCTGGTCTTGTGCAAATGGATGATTAGTTTCAGAGAGCAGCAGCTGACACCAATGGTCAATTATGTTTCCTGAGGAGGAGGTCGAGTAGTCTATTTTATGCTTATCACAGTTCATACCTTGGTTGCACAGGCCTGTTTCTCCCCCAGGTTTGGAAAGCAGTTCCTCTGTGATCTCTGTTAGCCTCCCTCCCTGAGACAAAACTCAGAAGAGAGAGGTGAGTGGGGGGAACTACAGAGTTGCCTGCCATTCCACTTGATTTCAGTGTCACAAGTAATACTCATCCTCTTCCTCCTCCATTTTTAATTTTAAATTCTCCTCACCTTTAATTGTCAATTCTGCAAATCTTGGTGACCTAACAAACGGCATGACTCATAAATTCATTACTAAAGAATTCAAACCCTGCTTATTATTTCCTTTTTAATCTGGAATTGGTGTAAGTGTCCACTAAGTTTTAATGGGGGAGATGAATACCAGCAGATACCAGGATAGTTCACCTGGATTTTACATGTATTTCTACACTGCTGTTTAAAACCAAATCTCTCTTCTGCTGATCAGGGTTGTTAGAAATTAAGTCTGGAGTTGTAAAGAAAGACGAGTATTTAAACAAAGGATTTTTTAGTAAAGTAAATTTACTTTTGTGCAGAAGGGTGTTTTTTTGTAGGGGTAGTTTTCACGAGGGCCCACTGAACAAAGGAGAGTAGAAGCTTTTATTTTCAACGCATCTTTTCTCCCTGTGTCCTTTTCCCATTGGCTGGGGTTGGACCACACAATTTAAACTAGACTCGATTGGCTAAACATTTAAACTGTTTTAGATAAGGTGGGCGAGTGATGGAGAGAGGGGAGAGGAGGAAGGGGCTATCTACAGAGGACTAGGGAGTCAGTCCATTTTCAAATAAGGAAAGGAATGCAAGCTGGGGCTGTGGCATTCTGGGCATGTAGTAAAATTAGAAAGAAGAAAAAAGGAGAAGAAAGTGGGGGGTATTTCGAATTGGAGAATAAGAAGCTGAGCAGGCTATTTGAAGAGAAACCTTGCTATTTGTCACAAGGGTCATTCATACCCATCAGTATGGTGACTCCTTATCTGCTAGTCTCTATACATAAGGGTTCCAAAATGACTCAACAGCAGTTACAGTTTGAAATTCAGTGAGAGCCTTGCTCATCTCCTGGCAAGTGAACATCCCCTATGGGGAATAAATCTTCCAAATCCACAGACCCCTGAGTTGTAGGGACACCACTGTCCACAATCCCAGTGGTTCATTTGAAGTGATAGTAAGAAGTAACATTTTGGCTTCCCATACTCACATATGAAGCTCTGATATAATAGATACTGCATCTGGAAAGATAGCACACTGTATTTTCAGAGGATTGCCTCTGAGATGAAACCTCAGTTTTGTTTCTAGAAAGAAATGGTAGCATTCTATGAAGCTGTCTATTTCTGAAAGGTGAGGTATGTGGTACTAATAATAGATCCCAAGGTCATAGGCTCATTCTCTCACTGCTTCTGCTGTGAAGTTGGACATTCATAGGCAATAGTAATAAAATTGGTCTTTGAAAATGCAAAACCATGCTACTGGACCTATACATAGCATCTGTCACTGCGATTGTGGACACTCACTTTATGTGTCCATCATGCATATTTCAGAGTAGCTGATAATAAAGTAATATCAACTGGCCAACTTATGTGCATACTTGATTATTCAGTGCTTTCTTATTGATGAATGCTTCCTGGTGGGTGTTGATGTGTGGTACAATAATCTTAACTCTTTATTGCCATTGCTATACATCTGTCCCTGTGCTTCTTTCCATCAAGATCTCCTTTACTCTGATATTCAAGTCATTTTCCTTGCAAGATCCTGATCAAAAGGCTAGGACATTAATCAGTACTAAGAAACCTAAATATTATTTCCTTGACCGCTTTCATTTTAATTAATGGGAATACCAGTTGAACTACTCATAGTTCCTCTCATTCAAGATAGTTCCCCTCTCCCCTGTCTTTCAAGTGAAAGCTAGAAAGTCACTATTATGAAATCACTGGTGATTTTTTAGCTTGTAGCCAATCTCTGGGTAAGTCAAACATAATCCAAGCTCAGGGAATTTCTTCCTCCTTCAGCTATTTATATGGTTCCCCCACCGCTACCCTAACTATGTGAGCTGAAGGAGAGACACCCTGGCAACTGTGATGGGTGACAGGATTTTCTGCGCTATATCTTTTTGGAGTATATACTGCAGAGGGTGAGAATGTTAGCATAGCTCTGAGGCAAAATTATAAATGAATATTGGCAGCTGTCTCACATGACTACAAAGTGTTTCTTATGTCCTTTTCTCTTTGAATGGAAAAGAATACATTCACCATATCAATGGCTGCATATCTTGTATATGGGGTCTTATTTATCTGTTGTCGCATAGATGCTGTCCAGCCCTATGGCTGTGATAAGGATGCCACTTAGTCAAGTTTGCGGTCATCTATAATTATTATCCAGGTATTATCTATCTCCTGAAAGGACCAGAATAATTAATTATAGATATACTAAGGACAATAGCCCCTACATTCTTTAGACGTTTATGTCTCCTCTAGTGATGCTAACCTATCATGCTGCCTGGTATGCAATACTGTTTTTTATGTATTATATCTGCTTGGGTGGGGGACTGTTTCAGTTTGCATAAATCAACAGTTTTTATGTTGCTGCCTGTCATTTTTATTCCTCCTGACTTCATGTTCATCCTGAGAGGCTCCAAGGCCTTGTTATCATCATTGCTGTCTCTTGGCTTCTTCCAGCTAAGTGCTATCCTTTGCCCTCTTCTTTGAGGGTCCAACATTCTCTTGGGTAATAATGACGCCATCTCTATGGCAGTCTCTTCTGCTGTCAGTGATGCTGGTGCCATTCTCATTCACAATTTCCTGATGCCTTTGGTGACTGGTGTGTCCTCTGGGTCCTCTGTGGCACATAATCCTCTCGTGAGTTTTCTAATGTCTCCTGTAATTTGCGTTTCCACATGCCGTCTTTCCTCAGCTTCTTTATTTCTCCTTAACTGTTGGAGTAACACAGCCATCTTCACTTCACTAGGCAGTGGTAATTTACATTTTAGGCCTCAAAAAGCCATGCTGGCTGCATGTTTGCCCACTGCTTGGAATCTTTGAAAGTGTGTTAAATCAAATGTCCCAAGAAAATGCCAAATCAATAGATTTTTGATTATCCACTCTTACATTCTGGTCCCCTTGATTAAGCATTCTAATGCTATTAATATAATCCCAAGGGCATTGATCTGGTCCCTCCAGAATTTACTATCTAATTAGTGTAATATCTTCAGCATCTATACTTTTTCCTCTCTTGGCAGGCCCTCTGCATGTTGGAATTTAACCCTACTTCTTGTCCTGGCAGTCAAGAGAAGAGGTAGGAACAACTACTGAATGTAGCTGTTGCAAAAGTGCTATATCATATTAGGGAAGTGAAGGACACCTCTAGAAGCTCTGAACCAACATCTTTAGGGGTGTCCATCCAAACGTCCTCCATCCCATGCTTAGAGGATCCAGGTTTTTCATACTCAGATCATGATTTTTCTATAACAGAGTTACCTTAACTAAGCATTTAAATGTCTCTGAAGTTCTGCAAATCTTTCACATAAAGTCTCCTGTCTGCTGACTAGTTTCATCTATAAGAGGAAAAAATGCCTCTTGGTAAACCTCAAAAGAGCCCCTTTGGGGCTCACACTGAGCCTTTACCTACATGTGAACGCTGTGATGCCTGTGATCACCATCTGTGTTGGTGTATTTCCCAATATTATCTTTCTAATGCCTGAATCATTACACTTCAGTGGCACTCTTCACCAGGACTTTTTTTTTTTTTATCACTACTTTCTGAGAAGCAGACTTCTGAGCTGGACCAACAAAAGATTTAGTGAGAAAATGTCTTCTAACAGAAATAAAAGGAGCATGTCAGAAGAGATTAAAAGAGCCTTCATACAATAGTGCGTATCTTTATTCTGTGAAGATTGGGAAATCCAGCAGAAAGGCCCTCAGACTTTAGCAGGGATCTAAGAAACACTTGGCCAGGCTGAAGAAGTGTCCTGTTGCCAAATCTCACATCAAAGCTGTCTTGCTTTTGTACATATGGGTCTGTATTAGTGCATCCTGCTCTCAGTTACCAGTTTCAAGTAGTCTGTGGGGAGTGTACCTCAGCGTCAACGTGATGGTGGATTAATCACACAGTAATGGAAGCTTTTTATCAATATCCCTCCTAACAGAAGGAAATCTGAGTTGGACATTATGATTGTTGCCATATCATTTCATTGTCATCATAAAATATAAGCTCCTCAAATATGTAGATAAATGAACAAATAGTAATTGTTGAGAATATTTTAAGCTCTTATTTGAACATTACAGTTTTTCTTTGCTCTCTCTTTCTTATTTTGAAATAATAGATGATGTTAGGCTAAGAGGTAATATGATTTCCTGAAAAGGGGAAGTTCAGTAGCTCCCCAGGTAAATATAAAGTAGATTCATAATGAATATGCTTAGGATGTTCTGCCCCAAACACAATCAATGAAATAGAAATCTGAGTTCCTTCACTCAGTGGTATGTGTACAATGTGAGCATATACCTAACTCCACTGAGCACAGCACTCTATATTTCACAAGATGTAGTATATTTGGGTTTGGATGTGCCCTGGTACAAATCCTACTTTTGCAATTTTCTGTGTTTAGAATCTGGGATGAAATTTATTTCTCCAAATCCCAATTTAATATAAAATATCTAACACAATGATCTTTTGGGGGAGAGAGGGATTTTATGGGATCAAATGAAGAACCTGACAGGTGCTCAGTTTATATTACTTTATTGATTGGTAGACTGGCAATATTTGCTACAAACTTAGGCATTACATTGAAGCTAACTGAGTTTACTTTTTATGGCCTTTGTTTTAAATGAAAAATTATATTAAGACACTATCATATAATGCATTTGACTTTATAATAGTTATGTTCCAGGAAGAGTACATTGTAATGTTTTCATTATTATATTTATTACATTAATAATATAAAACATACAGTATTGCACTTCCAACCTGCCTGTATACCAGAAACATTGTAGGATATTTAAAAATACCTAGATTTAAATTATTGTATTATAGCTTAGATATAATTGACCAGAACTTCATAGAATCTGTAGTGACACTTAGTTATCTAATACTGCTAAGCTTTGTACTGTAGTTTGATAACCACCCTCTTAGCCTACTTGGATGAATGAAGAAAAGTATAACATTATAATATCTATAATAGTGGATAGAGTGATAACTCTAAGTTCCCTGAGGCCCAGACTATCTTTTTCTGGTCAGCAGGTCCTCAAAATCAAGGTCTTACCTCTGGGAAAAAAATGAGAAAGGCATTTGAAGTAGTTATGCAATGCTATGTAGCAAATTACCCCAAGACTTAGAGGCATGACACAACAAATATTTTTTAGTCTCTTCAGATTTTCTGAGGGTTAGGAATCTGAGTACAACTTAACTGGGTGTCACTGACTCAGGGTGTCTTGGAAGGTTTCATTCAAGATGCTGGCCCAAGCTTTTGTTAGATCAAAGCTCAACATGGGGAAGATCAGCTTCCAGTCCACTCAAATAGCTGTTGGCATCCCTCAGGTTCTCACTGGCCATTGCCTGGAAATGTGAGTTCCTTGCCATATGGGACTTTCCATAGTTTAGATGATAGCATGTTAACTAGCTGTCTGCATAGAAAGCAAGTTAGGAAATTAGAGAAGGACCCAAGTCAGAAGCCACTATTTTTCTGCAACCTCATCTTAGGAGTAACATTTCATAACGTCACTTTATTCGAATCTAAGAAAATATTGTTGGAACAGAGGCATGAGACAAACTCAAATAGATGTGGTTCTACAAAATGAAAAAACTGAGTTCTGTAAAAATGTCAAGTCATTAATGACAAAAGAAAGTGGAGAAACTATTCTAATTTGAAGAAGACTAATAGTTTTCATCTGAAATACAGTGGAATTTACAATTATGGTCATTCAGGCAAAAATAGGGAGAGCATGAGCTCTTTCATTCTATTCCTCCTCAGCTTGGACATGCTGTTCTTCCAGAAGAGAGGCATAGAGATGGCAGGGAGTGGGAATGAAGAGGTAAGTTTATTTACTAGGGCCCTTGGAAATATATTCTCTCATGGAAATGAAACAAGGCATGCTTGGTTTTGTTTTTGAAATGTGTTCTAAAGTAAGGACTTGCCAATCCCGCTAAGGCAGATGGATTGTGAAGCAAGAAGAGTAATTTTTATGTCCACTTGTTTAAAGCAGTAGCATGAAATATGTGGAAGGCCCTTCATGGTAGACAGTTTATTGAAGATTACTTGGTCTGTCAATTCCCCCTTCAGGACGGATTGTTTATAAAGCTCAAAGATCTAAAAGGAGCTAGAATTGATTACATCAGTCAGAAAGCTTGATATGTTTTAACTCCTGAGGCAAGAGGAATGCAGCTGCTATCGTCTCTTGCTATAAGTCAAGATGGGAAAACAGAAAATGTGGCAAGAGTTGGAATGTAGACAAAAAAAAGTGAAGCATAATTTACTTGTCAGTATTAACTTTTTTTGTGCTCTATAGGCAAAATTATGTCTTAATAAAATATCTTCTCTCATCATTAGGTTGTATTTTAATTCCTTTGCATAGTGGATTTTATATTATCTAAAATGATCCTTATATTTATTTTAACAAATGAATTAAATGTATAACTGAGTATTTGTATTTTTTTCCTCAGAGAGGTGGTTTAAAATTAAGAATATAATAGACTTACTTTAGAAAATAGTGGAATTGTATATTTGCTAGATTAGCCTACACCAAATATTAGTATCCATAGGATTCATTTGAAAAACTTTTTAATAATGCAGTTTTCTTGAGCCTTATGATTGCAGTGATCTGAAGAGATATCCAGAATTTCAACATTTTAACAAGTTCTCCAGTGAATTCTACTGCAAGGAGCTTTCAGAGCCTGCTTTATAAACCACAGTTCAAGGCCATTGCATGGCATTAAGTTAATAAAACAAATTTAACTTGATGCTAGATGTCTACTGTTAAAACTCAATGCTTCATTCATTAAGGGGAATCATGGTAATTTTTTTTTTTTGCTTTATGGTGAGCCCACATTTGATCTCTTAGGAACACTGCATCAACCATTACATATAATCAAAGACATAGAAAGAAGAAAACACTTCAATAAAATACATTCACTTTAATTGTATTTTTGACATGCCCTTCTAAATAGATAGTTAATCTGGAAGTAGTATGAAGACAGAGCATTGTTTTTGCTTAGACCAGGGAAATCATATATCTCATTTATTCTGGGTCTACTATAATTCTACTTAATCTCCTGAGGGACAAGGTCACTATCTTCTCTCAAGTTTACAAGAAGTCTTGTACCAACTTAATATGAGAAATGTGTTATAAGGTTTTTTTTTTAATTAACAAAATGTACATAAGCATTAAAGTGCTGGATATGGAAAAAATGGATTTTAACCTCTCTACCACCCCATTAAGTACTATTGTAACAAACACAGATGTGATTGACATTTTAACACTCATTTTAGGTTGAGTGGGAACGGCTTACAATACATCAAATAAAGCAATATTGGTTAAGAACAGACAGAAAGAATGGAAACAGTTCTATTCTATAGAAATCATAATCTATTTTTAAAATGACATTTCATAATAGTGGAGATCCAATAAAATATACTTATTCTGCAAAATGGCATTTTAAGTTAGTGGAGAACCAACAAAATATGATGGAAATCCTAGCTGATCATTTGGAAGAAAATGGTAGGTCTGTGGTTCATCTTACATATAATTATAAATTCAAAAAATATCAAATATTCTGATTACAAATTACAAAAATAACAAAGTACTTTTTTATATGTGGTTATATGATTAGGGTAATAACCTAAACATGACATCTAAGGAAGAAACCAGAAAGTATGTGTGAACATAGAAATCCAAAATGAAAAATAGTCATATACAAAGTGCTAACTGTGAACATATTTGCAAAATACTTTACAAATCTTTGCTTTTCAAATTAAAAAAATACAAATCAACAAGTGTATGATGTACTTTCATGAATACATAACGGTGAAATTTATAAATTGACCATTCACTAAAGAAAAAGAGCAAAAGCAGACCAAAAAGTCTTATACTTGTAGAGTTTACATTCTACTACCAGGGGGATATACTTCCTCTTCAGGGTATTTTGATATTAAACAATAAAACTAGTAATGGTATGTACTTTAGATGAAGGAATTGAGTTTATGAAACTTCAAGTTTCTGGACTTTAAGATGAAGACCATATGTGAGCAAATAGATACATTACATGGATGATCATCACAGTATTGAAAGGGAAAATTTTAACACAGCTTAAACCTTGACTTTCTCCCTAACTGGCCATAATAGGTCAGTCTGGCAGGAAGCTTGCAGTTTGCTTTTAAGCATTAAAAAGTACATTTAGGCCTAGTGCAGTGGCCAACACCTATAATCCCAGCACTTTGAGAGGTTGAGGTGAGTGGATCGCTTGAGTCCAGGAGTTCAAGAGGAACTCGGGCTTCAATGAGCTGTGATTGCATCACTGTACTCCAGCCTGGATGACAGAGTAAGATCTAGTCTCCAAAAAAAAAAAGAAAAAAAAAAAAAGAAGAAGAAAATGTATATTTACACTTGATAGAAGTAAAATACGACTTTTTTCTAAACTCTCACTTAAGCCCATAATTTGAGTCATTGCCCTGGTTAATTATGGTCTCCACCATATTCTTTTAGTGGAAAAGAGAGAAGTCAAAGAGGGTGGAGACCGTTGCCTGAATCTGGGTGGTGGGGGCAGAGACTTGAGACCAAATTGTTCTCACACCTCAGCTGGGAGCTAATTTATTTCTTCCCCTGAAATTCAGGCTCTAATCTCAGAGCAGCAATTGTTTTGCAGACGTAATAGCTTGCCAGGATGTCTTTCTCTTCTTTTTCTTTCCCCTTCTCTCTCTCTTCCCCTCCCATGCCCTCCCCTTCCATCCCTTCCCCTCGAGTCAGTCATCCCCTCCCCTCCCCTTCCCTCTCTGTGCCCTCCCCTCCCCTCCCCTGTCTTCTCTTCTCCTTTCCTTTTCTTTCCTTTCCTTTCCTTTTCCTATTCTAATCTTACATATGCAGATTAAGCAATGAAAAGAGTAAAATCTCAGTTCAGACTGCCTCTCATCACTGGGTCATATGCCCAAACCACATCACACCCAGACTCTCACTTTTAGCTGAGAAAAAACAAATAAAAAACAAACAACCAAAAAAAGCCCTTAGCTTAAGATAGCAGTTTGTTGCCCAAAATCAACAACTTGTTTGCAAGAATTGTATACCCATATGTGTAACCATTAAAAATAATTTTGTTGTAATTAAAATAAGTTTACTCATTAAGCATAAGGCAAAATATTTGTTAATTTATACAACTCTTTATAACACTTTATGAAAAATAGTTATAAAGCACCTTGAAAATGCAATACTTATAACTATTTACAACATTTGAATGTAAATATGAATATCAACACAATATAGTAACTTATTATTCTGGATGATGGATTTGGGACAAGTTTCTACCTCCTTCCTCAAACCTATTTAATAGATAAAGGGAAAATCAAATACATCATTGTTCAATGTGCACTCTCAATAGAATAACACCTAATATTTATAAGTTCTCACTATATACCAGGCACTGTGCTAAATAATTCACATGCATTATCTCATTTACTCTTTCAACACACTTATTAGCTAGTTTTCATTACTTTCTCTATGTCTACATGATAACACTGAGAATCAGAAGGTTATCTAAAGTGTTTAAGATAACATACTGGAAATTTTAATTTAAGAAAATTGCCATCTAAACTAAATCCAAACCTTTTTGTCTATAGTTCTTTTTAACTGATTTCATTATAAATATATTCATTTGACTTTAGGTTGAATATGGCAGAACAATCAATAGATTATAAACAAGCCAAAAACAATTTATAAATATGTATCTCTAACATAATTATAGATTGAATGTAGGTGCCTATGTTTCATTTCCAAATATTTTTTTCAGAACATTCCCAAAAAGAAAAGAAAAACAAAACTATAAGAATATTTTAAAAGAAAATATGTGTTCAGAAGAATTTTCTTAATGTAAAGATGTCATAAAAGCAAGGGAAAACTTTCAAATTTAAAGTATTTTCTTCAGTACAAAATTTCTAACACAAAGAACTCAGAAAGGCACGTGTGGTCCCAGAGAACTATAACCTCAGAGACAAAGGATCCTAGGTTAGTGATGAAGATCTTTTCATTATATTAACTATCAGTGTAATGGCTGGAAAAACTGAGTTCGGATATATTGATGGGATAAGTAAACTTTTTGAGCACCAACCAGTAGCAAAGTTATTTGTTCCCAGGACAGAACAGAAAATGCTAACTTCTAATTGGGAGAGTTAGGGAAGGGTCCTGAGTAACTGATGGCAACAATGGAAGGAGAGAGACACTTGTAAGTCAAAAGGGAGCATGTTTCGTATTTGTATTCCCAGAATGTCCCAGTTTCCCATAGACACAATGAAGGCAAATTATAGAAAACAAAGAAAAAATGAACCCAGAGGCAATCAGAGAATCTCAAGTATTTAGGTAAGTACAAAATCACATATAAGGAAATGTTTGAGAAAAGCCAAAGTCTCGACAGAGAATGCCAAATTTCTCGAAGAAAATAATAGATATATTACTGGAGAATAATTACAATAGTCAGATAAACAGATAGGCAAATTGGTGATGAGGGAGATAGACGAATAGATAGATGATTGATAGATAGATAGATAGATAGATAGATAGATAGATAGATGAAAACTGGATAACTAGAAATTGTCACACAATTTAGCACAAGTGGGCAAAAATTTGAAATGTTTGAACATGGACATAAAGGTCCATAAAGATGAGATCCAGATTTTCAAAAATCTGTCTATTAATGTATCCAGAAACAAAGATCTGATCAAAATGAAAGCATAGTTAGAGAAATATTCTCAGAGCTAAAGCAAAGCAGGAGTCTCTCTTCAGTTTGGTTAAATAATAAAAAAGTTTGTGAAAATAGCAGAGAGAGAGAGAGAGAATATAATATAAGAGAGCTTGTATGAGTAAGCATGCATATCAATATTTAGGGACTAAAAATAACAACCATTTATTTAGCTCTCAATTTTTCAATTCTGGGGGTCAGCATTTTGGGCTGGACTAAGCTGTGTGGTTCCAATCTTGGTTCAGCTCACTCATGTATTTGGAGTCAGCTACTGGGTGGGCTGAGGACTAGCTGGTCTAAAATACAACAGCAGAAGCAGCTGATTTGGGGCTTCATGTGGTCTCTCATCCTCTGTGAGCTACCCTAAATTTGCTCACATGATAATCATGGCATGGATACCACAAGTAAGAACACATTTCTAACTCACACAGGCTTAGAAACTCACACACAATTGACTTCTCTGGTAAGTCACTGGGTCAGTGCAAATTCAAGTTTTGGAACAATAGACTCCACTGAGAAGAAGAGTTGCAAAGAATTGCAGCCATCTTTGCAATCTATCATAGAATCTAGGCACAGAGACCTTAGTTTAAAACAGCAGAAGGAAAAATAAATGCATCAACTTTATTGTTATTGATAAGTTCCCGTATTTAAGATAAATTTTCCTTCATTTTGAAATTTTGCATTATATTAACAGAAAACTTTTGGTTAGAATATGTTTAAAAAAAATAATCTGAATATAAATGACCCAGAAAAATTTAAAGGATGTGTAAGAATATAATAAAGAAATAGCAAACAAATGAAAAATCTAAGGTATCATTATATTCTAAAAACTAAATTAAAATGATAAAAGTAACAAAGCATAATTATATGTGAATCGTAGATTAAATATATGGTTATATTTGATATTTCTGTACAATGTAATATAAGGTTTTAGCATAAAACTATTTTGGTCTAAAATATATGGAAAAAACATACATATAATGAAACTTCTAAAACACTTTTTTAAACCTTTATTTTAAGTTCAGGGGTATATGTGCAGGCTTGTTATTTTATTTTATTTTATTTTATTTTTTTACTGTTGAATCCATACTAGAATATTAATGGGAATCTTATTTTTTTTTCCTTTCCAACTTACTTTAGGTTCAGGGGGTAGATGTGCAGGTTTGTTATACAGGTAAATTGCATGTTACAGGGGTTTGGTTTACAGATTATTTCACCTTCCAGGTAATAATCATAGTACCCTATAAGGTAGTTTTTCCATCCTTACTTCCCTCCCTCCCTCCACCTTCAAGTAGGCCCCCGTGTTTCTTGCTTCCTTCTCTGAGGCCATATGTACTCAGTGTTCAGCTCCCACTTCTAAGTGAGAACCTGTGGCATTTGGTTTTCTGTTAACTTAGGATAATGGCCTCCAGCTCCATCCATATTGCTGCAAAGGACATCATTAGCTCATTTCTATGGCTGCATAGTATTCCATGGTGTATATGTACCACATTTTCTTTATCGAGTCTATTGTTGATGGGCATTTAGGTAGATTCTAAGTCTTTGTTATTGTAAATAGTGATGCAATGAACATATGCATAAAACACATTTTTCATTGTAACTATAAATAAGCTCACATAAATTTGAAGATAACAATTTGAAATATATGCTTCATATATACACACGATGGGAATCTCACAAATATAAAATGCACACATTGTTAGTTATGGCAAATTTTAAACATTGGTCATACATGTGTCCACAAAAAAAAATCTTAATAAAGTAAAACTGCAAAATTTGTTCAGGCCAAGTTCTTCTACACCAAAACAATATAACTAAGAATGAAGAGCAAATTGTCAGATAAAGAACAAAACACTTTTCTTTAAATAGTGAGCAAAAGAGAAATATAAAAACGTCAAATATTATAAATATTACTGTATTCTTACAAAATATTACTAAATTATATAAAATAGAATATAAAATATTTGATAATTTATAGAACTTCAAATTACAATGAATAAAAATAACAGATATAAAAAAGACAAGTGATAAAAATGTATTCAAAGTAAACTTCACACACTTAAATGTTTGCTTCAAAGAAACTCACACTCAATTTTTTTAATGGTCAGAGACTGATAGTACTCCATATATTTATTTTAAAAATTAAACCAACCAGGCCGGGCACGGTGGCTCATGCCGGTACTCCCAGCACTTTGCAAGGCAGGCGGATCATGAGGTCAGGAGATGGAGACCATTCTGGCTAACACGGTGAAACCCCGTCTCTACTAAAAAATACAAAAAAAATTAGCCGGGCGTGGTGGCGGGCGCCTGTAGTCCCAGCTACTCGGGAGGCTGAGGCAGGAGAATGACGTGAACCTAGGAGGCAGAGCTTGCAGTGAGCCGAGATCATGCCACTGCACTCCAGCCTGAGCGACAGAGCAAGACTCCGTCTCTAAAATAGTAATAATAATAATAATAAAAATTAAACCAACCAGCAAACAACAAAACCCTTCCACTTTCTCTTAAGAAGAGTACTGTATACAGTCCTCAAGAATATCCACACATGATAGCCCAAAAAAAAACCCCACGATTAAAAATCAAAGCAAAAAATATTTCAACAATGCAAAATTCAATTAAAATCTAACATTTTTTCTTAAAGTTTTAGACGAAGTATTGTATTCAATAAACACACAGGTAAGTGACAAGGCATCAATCAGAGTGGAGCTAAGGGACAAAACCAGTAAACATGACCTCAACCATCATGGAGTAAAGAAAGAAAAATTTATTCCAGCCATAAAGTAATGTGACAGACATAACTGAATGTTATATTACTGGTAATAGTGATAGTAGTAGTTGTAGTGGTGATGATAGTGATGGAAATAGTAAACTTGAAAATAGAAAAGTGGTTTTTTGATAAATCTGTACTTGCTGAAATTGATGTGGTAATTAGGGTTGATAGTTCTGGATTCTTCTTTTTTTTTTTTTTAAGTTTACTCCCAACTTCTATAGTATCCGTTTATTTTTTATTTTTATTTTTTTAATTTTCTTTTTCCATAAGTTATTGAGGTACAGGTTACATGAATAAGTTCTTCAGTGGAGATTTGTGAGATCCTGGTGCACCCATCACCCAAGCAGTATACACTGCACCATAAATGTTGTCTTTTATTCCTCGCCCACTTCCCACTCTTCTCCCCAGGTCCCCAAAGTCTGCTGTGTCATTCTTATGCCTTTGCATGCTCATAGCTTAGCTCCCACATATCAGTGAGAACATATGATGTTTGGTTTTCCATTCCTGAGTTATTTCACTTAGAATAATAGTCTCTAATCTCATCCAGGTCATTGCAAATGCTGTTAATTCATTCCTTTTTAGGGCTGAGTAGTATTCTGTCATATATATATACCACAGTTTCTTTATCCACTCACTGATTGATGGGCATTTGGGTTGGTCCCACAATTTTGCTATTGTGCATTGTGCTACTATAAACATGTGTGTGCAAGTATCTTTTTTGAGTAATGATTTCTTTTCCTCTGGGTAGATATTCAGTAGTGAGATTGCCGAATAAAATGGTAGTTCCACTTTTAGTTCTTTAAGGAATCTCCACACTGTTTTCCATAGCAGCTGTACTAGTTTACATCCCACCAGCAGTGTAGAAGTCTTGCCTGATCTTAACATCCACGCCAACATCTGCTGTTTGCTGGTTCTTTGATTATGGACGTTCTTGCAGGAGTAAGGTGGTATCGCATTGTGGTTTTGATTTGCATCTCCCTGATAATGCTGAGGCTTTTTTTATGTTTGTTGGCCATTTGTAGATCTTCTTTTGAGAATTGTCTATTCATGTCCTTAGCCCACTTTTTGATGGGATTGATTGTTTTTTTCTTACTGATTTGTTTGAGTTTGTTGTAGATTCTGGATATTCGTCCTTGGTCAGATGTATAGATTGTGAAGATTTTCGCCCACTCTGTGGGTTGTCTGTATACTCTGCTGACTGTTCCTTTTGCTGTACAAAAACTCTTTAGTTTAATTAGGTCCCAGCTATTTATCTTTGTTTTTTTGTTGGAATTGCTTTTGGGTTTTTCATCATGAAATCCTTGCCTAAGCCAATGTCTAGAAGGGTTTTTTCCAATGTTATCTTCTAGAATTTTATAGTTTCAGGTTGTAGATTTAAGTCCTTAATCCATCTTGAGTTGACTTTTGTATAAGGTGAGAATGAGTATCCAGTTTTATTGTCCTACATGTGGCTTGCCAATTATCCCAGCACCATTTGTTGAAAAGGGAGTCCTTTCCCCACTTTATGTTTTTGTTTGCTTTGTCAAAGATCAGTTGGCTGTAAGTATTTGGGTTTACTTTGGGGTTCTCTATTCTGTTCCATTGGTCTATGTGACTATTTTTTTACCAGTACTATGCTGTTTTGGTGACTATGGCTTTAGAATATATTTTGAAATCAGGTAGTGTGATGACTCCAGATTTGTTCTTTCTGCTTAGTCTTGCTTTGGCTATGCAGGCTCTTTTTTTGCTTCTATATTGATTTTAGATTTTTTTTTTCTAATTCTAGTATTTTGACAGGCATTACATTGAATTTATAGATTACTTTTGGCAATATTCAACACAATAATAGTGGGAAACTTCAATACTCCCCTGACAGCACTAGACAGGCCATCAAGACAGAAAGTCAGCAAAGAAACAACAGATTTAAACTATACCTCGGAACAAAAGGACTTTACAGATAGAAGCAGATCATTTCATCCAACAATCGCAGAATATACATTCTATTCAAAAGCACATGGAACTTTCTCCAAGATAGACCATGTGATAGGCCATAAAATGAGCCTCAATAAATTTAAGAAAATTGAAATTATATCAAAGCACCCTCTCAGACCACAGTGGAATAAAGCTGGAAATCAACGTCAAAAGGAACACTCAAAACCTTGCAAATACATGGATATTAAATAACCTGCTCTTGAATAAACATTTGGTCAAGAACAAAATCAAGATGCAAATTAAAAAATTATTCGAACTGAATGACCATAATGACTCAACCTATCAAAACCTCTGGGATACAGCTGAGGTGGTGCTAGGAGCAAAGTTCATAGCCCTAAAAGCCTGAATCAAAATGTCTGAAAGTGCACAAACAGTTAATCTAATGTCACACTTCAAGGAAATAGAGAAACAAGAACAAACCAAACCCAAACCCAGCAAAGTAAAAGAAATAACCAAGATCAGAGCTGAACTAAATGAAATTGAAACAACAAAAACCAGTATAGATTACTTTTGGCAATATTCAAAATGAATATTCAAAAGATAAATGAACCAAAAAGTTGTTTTTTTGCAAAGATAAATAATACTGATAGACCATTAGCAACATTACCAAGAAAAAAAGAGAGAAAATCCAAATAACCTCACTGAGAAATGAAACAAGAGATACTACAACTGACACCACTAAAACACAAAAGATCATTAAGGATACTAGGAACACCTTTATGTATATAAACTAGAAAACCTAGAAGAGATAGATAAATTCCTGGGAAAATTCTTGGATAGTTCTGGATCTTTACCACACAATATCTATGAACAAAATATGCTTATAACTTGAAAGAACCTTTAATGTAATTGTATGGGAAAAACTTGGCCTGTAAATGATGTGACATCTCTAAAATCACCTAATATTTAACATGTATAGGTCAACAACTAATATTTTCACAGTAAAGCTTCATCTATTTGGCATAAGTTTGTAGCATGACTTTCAAACTACTTGATTAAAATATAGGCCAGGAGGGGTGGCTCATGCCTGTAATCCAAGCACTTTGTGGGAGGCCGAGGCCGGCAGAGATCAGCATTTCGAGACCAGCCTGGCCAACATGGCTAAACCCTGTCTCTACTAAAAATACAAAAATTAGCCAGGCTTGGTGCTGCAGGCCTGTAATCCCAGCTACTCGGGAGGCTGAGGCAGGAGGATCGCTTGAACCTGGGAGGTAGATGTTGCAGGGAGCTGAGATTGTGCTACTGTACTCCAGCCTAGGTGACACAGCGAGAATTTGTCTCAAAATAAATAAAAATAAATAAATAAATAAATAAAATATGATTGATCAGTGTAAAATAATTTCTGTTTGTTGCTTTGTTTTTATAGTGTTACACAGATACAAATGGTTACCTTTTATCCTCACACAAATTTGATGCACATTTTTCAATTTAATAGGCATTTAAGAGTCTTAGTAATATTTCATAAGATTATTTGACATTAAAGTCAATAATATAATCATTATTGAATGATTTAAAAATAAAATGTATTGCATTAAGGAAAAATTACATGGACTTATATATGAGATTTATTTTGTTTTATAGCCATAAATATATTACAGTGAAACCCAATAGTATAGTATACAATTCACCCAAAATTTAAAAACATCGTAAGAATCTTCCCTTTTTATCAATTGTGTTAAAATAGAAGATAAACATCTTTTCTACTTCTTCTTTCATTGTCATTTGCTATCTGCCCGCTTTCCTGGTATTTCTTGCAGACTCAGTATTGTCTGCGAGACAATATGATAAATATGATTTATCAATATGATAAATTGGTGCTTTCACTTAGAGCATCTCCTTTGCCCTCTAAATCCCCAATCTATCTACAACTGCCTGTGACTCCTGACTACATGACTTTCTGGGATATTCTGTCAGCACTATTCATCTAGGCTGAAGAAGGAGACAGGTTTGCTACTTCAAAATTTGTGAGCATATAAAAGATCCATGTTTTTTAGCAGTATCCTTTTCTTTGTATTTTTCAGTTACTTCCTTTCATTTTGCTGACTATATTTTGTTTATAGGGCTTTTAATTTTAATTAATATTTTTATTTTATGTTCTAATTTCTCAATAATGCAGCACAGCAGTGTATCTTAGTGATATTATGCGGGCAATGACATTTTCTGGGGCAAATAGGTCAACATGAAAATACAAAGATGTTAATTAGTTGATTTGTTTATTTAACTGCAGAACACATGCAGTGACTCTTGTGTAATTAAGAAAAAAATTACGAATATAACTTTTTTAGAAAATTAAATAGAAAGTCTAATGTGTAAATATTATTGATTACTTATTTTTGTTAATAGTTTAATCAAATATTGATGGCTGATATTTCTAAACTGAATGACTTAATCAAACAGAAGGTAATTTGTTTTAAAAAAATCTAAGACATTGAGATATTTTATTCTGTTTTATGCACCATTTGACTTGTTCTATGATATAAAACACTGTAGCATTAAAACATATGGACTGTGGCTGGAAAAAGGTTGGTCAATGAATTAGAAATGCTGTAACTAATTCTTGAGTTTAAAAGTCTTCATTCGAATACTGTCTTTAAAAGATAAAGACTTCAATGCTTACTTGATGAATAGAAAAAATACAAAAGCTACCTACTGAAAAATTGAATTTTCTTTAGCTACATTATGTCTATGATAAAATTTTCTATACTCTGAAACTGTCGTTCTTCTTGCCTCTATAGTACATGAAAATATAATTACATTAATATTATAGGAATATTTTCTATATATTTGTGGTAACTTTTTAATGCTTTTGTTGATGGAATTTACTATTTTCTCTAGTATGAACACATATTAATCTGATTTGCTGTCATTTCCAAAGAAATTTTAAATTTTTAGTTTATATATTAAACTAAATATATCAACAAATAATTAATAATCAACAAATTAACTATTACCATTAATAATCAACAAATAAATATTATTGCTTTAGGAAGAAATTATGCTTAAACCAATGTGCCTCTAATGATGTGGCTGTATCCTCTGTTTTCTGTAAAAAAAAAAAAAATAGTTTGGCAAATCTACTTACAAATCTCTAAGGTTTTTATTTGTTTGTTTTTAATCAGAAGGGACTTTCCTGAATTTGTTAAATATCTGCATTGTCCAGTCTGTTTATGCAAATAGTCAAATACATGAACAATTTTTAAGTACACTGAAAAGATGTGAATGGATCCATTGTGTGATTTAGTCAATAATCATCAGCTCTGGCTTAATTAAAGACCCAGAATTATTGTCTATAAAACACAAATTTCACTGAGTATTTGAATCTGTATTACTTAGCTAGCAAAAATATATACATTTAACTGAGCACAAAATGCAAAAACGATTCGCAAGCTGAAAACTTGAGAACAACTTTAGAATAATTTTGGATTTCTCTGATGCCACTCTATATTTCTAAGATATTCATTACCCTCACATTGTATGTATCTAGTTCTCAATAAATAATAACGTTTATATAAAACTACTTTTTTAAGTTTAAACTGAATATATTTCAAAACTACTCAAAAGTTTTTCTTTTTAAAGAAAACATAATGAGAATAATCTACTTTTGAAATTGACTCAATTTTTAACATTTTTCATTATTTAAAAAAATTTTTGTGAGTACATAGTAGATACATATATTTATGGGGTATGTGTGTTGTTTTGATACAGGCATAAAATGTAAAATAAGCACATCATGGAGAATAAAGTATCCATTCCCTCAAGCATTTATCCTATGGGTTACAAACTATCCAATTTGACTCATTTTTTAATGCACCATTAACTGAATTTCAAATTAAATTGATACTGTAAAAATCTTAAACAGAACTTTTTATTTTTTTCTTTAAAATTAAAGATAAGTAAATACTTTTTAAAGCAGCAATACTGATGAAGATTGCTTATTAGTAATATATATATATTTTATTTTTAACAAGTATGTTTGTGGTTAGCTTTCCAAATAATTCATGTTTTCTTTCTCATTGGTATGAGAAACATAATTCAAATCAAATTACTACCCTGAGCCTGCTATCTAGAGTGTCTTCTGAATCATTGTTGGTCCTCAGAGCATCATTTTTGCTCTTTCATGTCTCTATTGAGCATTTTGCCATTAACAATTATAGCCTGCACACCAAGATTCCTCTACCATTTTAAACCTCTGAGGTAACAGAGTGAGATCACTGCTATTTTTTGCCCCCAAAACACTCAGTAATTTCCCTTATTTTATTATGCCATAAACCAACTTGTTTAGTTGTCCTTATGAAAATATATTTTGTGATTCCTTTACACTGAGTCTAAAGAACCAATAAATCTCAAAACTGCTCTCTATGTATAAATGAGCTTTCAAGGCACAACTGGGATTATATTAGTTTTTCTTTTTTTACATTAAACCACTAACATTATATGTTTTGAAGAGGCTTTTAAACTTGGTCAAGTCATTGAAATTGGTACATATGAATGGAAATGGACATCTAAAAACCACCAGGTCTTTAAAGCACCAAACTCTTAGGTATACGTGTGCTGGCGACCACATGCTCCTAATTGGAAATTGTTGATGTTTACACTGTTTTCTTCTTCCCACACTGCTGCTTTGAAGGTAAAAATTATTATATTAAAAAGGGAAACAAATGTAAGACTAAAAAAAAAGGACCTATATAATAGAACAAGTGTCTTCCAGCTATAAAAATTTAGGCCACCTTTGTAATTATTATATTATAAAGATATTTTAAAGTATTAATCTTGTAAATACATGTGATATTTCTAATCCTCCTATATTTTACGTTTTAAATTCATCAGATGATTATTTTTTGACAGTGTATGTAGTCAGTTCTATGTCAAGAATATTCAACTTTGTTAAAGCATCAATTTAAATAGCATTATTCAGATATAATCTAACAAAACAAATCCTTGAATTAGATGCTATTATTTTTTCCAATTTGGTACCGGAAAAAAAAACTGCAGCGACGTAAAATTAACAGCTTAACCTCAAACAGAAAGTACATAGGTGAATCAAGTGGATTTTAGCATAGGCCTTGGCTAGAATCCTGCTGTAATCTCTTGGCTCCTCAGCCTCAGTGGGAGGTGGAACAGAATGGAGTCTATTATAGCTTCACTCAGTTCAGATTCCCTTCATCAGAACTTTGACCATAAACCTAGTACCTTTCAGGTATCACCTCTGGAATTTCATACGAGAAAGTTAGCATTTACCTGAGCAATGAAGAAAGTGAGTGTCTGTGAGGTTGCTGAGACAATCTTGAAAACCCTGAAGCCATAAATAGAAAGCCCAATGGGTCACTCCATTGACCTTTCTTGTCCCCTGTAGTGTTGATTAAGCAGACTCTATCTGGAGCATATCCACTCCTCTTGGCAGTAATAAAATATGACAGGTCTCTTGAGGCTCTTGTTCAACAGGAAAACATCTCTTCTTCATTTTTTTTTTTTTTTTTTTTTTGAGACAGAGTCTTGCTCTGTCGCCCAGGCTGGAGTGCAGTGGTGCGATCTCGGCTCACTGCAAGCTCCGCCTCCCGGCTTCACGCCATTCTCCTGCCTCAGCCTCCCGAGTAGCTGGGACTACAGGCACCCGCCACCATGCCCGGCTAATTTTTTATATTTTTAGTAAAGACGGGGTTTCACCGTTTAGCCAGGATGATCTCGATCTCCTGACCTCATGATCCACCCGCCTCGGCCTCCCAAAGTGCTGGGATTACAGGCGTGAGCCACTGCACCCGGCCACCTCTTCTAATATCATTCTGTTGGTCAAGGGGATGTGTAGCCAAGCATGAAAGAATAATTACTCAAGAGATGAGACATGGATATTGGGGTACAATTATAAAACCTCACACTGCCTCTTTGTTCTTCCCTTCTTCCTTTACCCTCTAACACTGACTCCCCACACACTCAGCCAAAGCTCCTGTTGTAGTTAGTACACATTGCCTATACATACTTTATCTTTTATATCACAGTCTTTTATGCATTTGGGTTGGATTGAGGTGATATGTGTCCAGCTAAGGCTGTTAAAAATGATTTTGCCTCTTCTCTCTGCCTTTCGTATTTCACATGTGGAGCTGACAGTAGGATAAGAAGAGCAGAACATGGAAAACTAAGTTTCTGTATTGAAGATTGACTCCTCTGACCTACAGCAGATTTTCTGTGATTTATAAATTAACCTTTCTGGTCCTTAAACACTGTGATTTCAGAATTTATTGGTTACTATCACATAGCTTGGCTCAAATAGACTAATTTTATTGTCGCCCACTATGAACTTTTCTCACTTAAGTTTATCTCAAAAACAAACAACGATGTTGATATTTTACTTTGATACTAATTGCACCGTGCTAAAAGGACACAGAGTGTTATTCCTCATTTTGATTTATTCTTTCGTTCTCAAGGAATGTCACCAAAGTACAAGATGATTGCTTAGCCTAAGTAAACAATACAAACAATAGTGAAATGCCTGAAATTTTCTGCCACCCTCAAAAGTTTAATAATATAATTCCCCTCAAATTATCAAGTAAATTCCTTGTGTCTGCAGCTATATTAAAACATAAAAATATTTTCTCCTTTTTCATCGTAAATAAATTAAAAACAAATGTGTGTCTAGGAGTGTGTATGTAATTTGTTCTAATTTATGTTTATTTTTTAATAAGTAGGCATTTGTATCTTACTCAGATTTCTATTTTTTTGCATATATTACCCACAGTTTTTAACAAACCCACACATACACATACCAAACACAAATGTTTATAGATCTTTTTTTAGAATATCTATCTCCATCTTATTTGGTGATCTAGTCAATTTAATCCTACAACCAGAATACAAATGTGAAAGACACTTTTATTGGCTTTCTTTAAAATATAAATTCCCTGCTTCTTTCTTCCTAAATGATCTGTATATCATTTCAATGACTTGAGGTACGCTGATCCTACTCTCAGCTCTAGTTACAAATTGTGATTAGTCAAACGAATTATTGAGCTCTCAAAGTCCACAATGGTGATTGAATTAAGAATGTGATTACAACCTAAGTCAGCTAATCAGACATGGGAAAATATCACCTGGGAGTAACATGGGTAAAATTTCCTCACTTTACTGAATAACTTGGTCACTTTTTTTCCATTTTTGCACATTGCGTTTGATGTGGGCATATCTCCAATCATCTAGATACCAAATTAATGATAAAGGCAACATTTGGAAGTGACAGGAATCATCAGAGAAAAACAGAAAGAGAGCAACGATGAATTATGAATTGATCCTGCCTTACCCAGGGATTTTCTATGCACATATGCAAATACTTTACTTTTCAAATGACCTCGAATCTAGGCTCTAGGATGCTTGCACTATTACGTTATAAATGACACAATTAAAAGTGTACACATTAAAAATGAGAAAAATAAATTATTTTGTGGGGAAAAATAATACAACTTGTACTGAGAAAGCTTGGTTTTGATATACAGCTACATTCCTAACTAGTGTTAAGTTAGTTGCTTAAACTCAACTAAATCTAAATCATTTTAAGTTAAGACATTTATAAAGGCTAACTTTCATGAGTTTTATAAGGATAATTGTGTAAATATGAGTGAATGAACATGCAAATATTTGGAACTAAATAAATTCTTTGCAGGCAGAAAAGTGATTTTTAAATTATTTTTATTAGAATGATAATATAATAAAATAAATTTCTAAATTATGTCAAATTTTTTAGGAGAAAAAGCATTGAAGGTTTTATGTAACACATTAATAAAAACTACCTAATAAATACCACTAATAAAATACAACTAATAAAAACTTTGAAAAGAAGCAAATAGACTTGCTAATTTATAACATTAAAAGTGTCCCTTTAGTTATTATAAGATAATGAGTAACAAATAAATGCAAGCAATTTATTAATTTGAATACTGATAACACATGTAATACTCTGATAGCTTTTAACTGTAGAAGAGAAAATACTGGCAATGCATGTCCAAAACTGAGCTCTATTACCATGGTATTCCCAGTGATATTCTCAGTGGTATTACCATCCCTTTTGTAAGATGAAATTGCATACATTAAATTTATAGCAGAGATATATACTTAAATATAAACTACTAGATAATCTAAAATAATAGCAATTACAGATGGAATGTTCAGTATATTGTCTACCCTTTTGTTCATAAACTTTTAATGAGATTTCCTCGGGGGTATGATAGACACATTTTCTAAATTTGTAAAGAATGTCTGAATAGGTGAATATGCACTTACCATAATTGTGGAAGAAAATAAGATTATAGCCATTTATATCTTCTGGAATTAAGAAAAACCATATTGAGATCCAGAAACAACCTTAATCTAGGTAGGATCGTTGTACTCTAACATAATATCCAGGCCTCAGTTTATTTCTTTATAAATTAGATTAATGTTATTTGCCTCAGAACTGCAAAGGTTCAGAACCTTAGCAAGAACAGAGTAGAATTACCAGAATAATTTACGTTTCATTAAATATTAGTCTTGCATTTATTTTGTTGTTGTTGTTTCTATTTATTTTTGTCTTTCTCACCTTCAGTGGCATAATAAGGAATCACTACATTTTCTGATAATGAGGATTGCCGTACTCATTCTCCGTAAGTACATGCCTGGCTTCATGTTACTATTTTCTCCCTCTGCCCATAATATAGAGCATCTTGAAAGGTCTAGGTCAGTAATTCCCATAATTAGTGCTCATAGGAATCACATAAGGAACTTGCTAAATATTCAGATATTTAGGGCTTACCTTCAAGTATTCTGATTGTGTGAAGATGGCACAAAGAACTTGTGTTTTAATAAGTACCCTAGACAGCATTAAAGCAAAACACACTGCTGTTCATCTTTAGAAATAAGTATTGGAACTATGATTCAGGCCACAATTTGTTGGGATAGGAAAAAATATAAGGAACATAACTTACTAATATTAAGAAAGTCGGGCCGGGCACGGTGGCTCATGTCTGAAATCCCAGCACTTTGGGAGGCCGAGGCGGGCGGATCACGAGGTCAGAAGATGGAGACCATCCTGGCTAACACGGTGAAACCCTGTCTCTACTAAAAACACAAAAAAATTAGCCGGGCGTGACGGCGAGCGCCTGTAGTCCCAGCTACTCTGGAGGCTGAGGCAGGAGAATGGCGTGAACCCGGGAGGCGGAGCTTGCAGTGAACCGAGATCACGCCACTGCACTCCAGCTGGGCGACAGAGCGAGACTCCATCTCAAAAAAAAAAAAAAAAAAAAAAAAAAGGAAAAGAAAGTCAGTATGTGTCTTCTTGTATGCAGGTTTTGAGGAAAATCATCCAATAGCTGACATACTAGGTCAAAACAGAAAATTATGAAAATCTTAGACTAAAGGGTTCTGTGTTTTGCAGGGAAGTTCTGCCACCACTTAGTTTGGTTTCCTGTACCTCTAATTCTTCCATCCTGTGTACTAGTGTTACTATTCGATAAACATAAGTATCCTAGGCTTCAGTCATATTTATGGCACATCATTTACATTTACTTTTTACATTCCCATGCTTTTTAGGACTCTATCCCTTCTTCCATGAATGACGGTTCCTTCTTACGTCTTCTATTCACTCTTCAATATCCAGGTAAAACATCTTCCATGAGTCTTTCAAAAATTTTTCCATGCAGATTTAGTTGCTCCTACCTTTGTATTTCTCTAACATCCCCATAAGTCCTACAAGGTTTTACTGCATTTTTTTATATTATATACTTCTGTTATATATAAGCACATGTAATACAAAATATATGTAGTATAAGTATTATACATACTATATATAAATATATATACTGTGCACCATGCACCTGGAAAAGATGCAGACTCTATCTATCTATCTATCTATCTTAATATATACAGATACATACAGAAATACATAGTATATATAATAATATAGTATGTATAAAATATATATAAGTATTATATACTTCTAGTCTATAAATATTCAACATAATACTTATACTACATATTCTATATAAATATGCACACATATGTGTATTAGTCCTTTCTCACACTGCTAATAAAGACATACCCAAGACTAGGTAATTTATAAAGGAAAGAGGTTTAATTGACCCACAGCTCAACATGGCTTGGGAGGCATCAGGAAACTTACAATCGTGGCAGAAGGAGAGGCGACCATGTCCTTCTTCACATGGCAGCAGAAGAGAAAATAATGAATGCCCAGCTAAGGGGGAGGCCCTTTTTAAAACCATCAGATCTCATGAAAACTAACTCACTATCACAAGAACAGAATGGGGGTAATCACCCTTATGATTCAATTATCTCCTGCTGGTCCCCCGCACAACACATGGATATTATGAAAACTACAATTCAAAATGACATTTGGGTGGGGACACAGCCAAACCATATCATTTCACCCATGGCCTTTCCCAAATCTCATGTCCTCACAATCATGCTCTTCCAACAGTCTCCCAAAGTCTTAACTCGTTCCAGAATTAACCCAAAAGTCCAAGTCCAAATTCTCATCTGAGACAAGGCAAGTCACTTCCACCTATGAGCCTGTAAAATCAAAAGCAAGTTAGTTACTTCCTAGACACAATGGGCATACAGGCGTTGGGTAAATACACCAGTTCCAAATGGGAGAAATTGGTCAAAACAAAGGGGCTACAGGCCCCATGGAAGTCTGAAATCCAATAGGACAGTCGTTAAACATTAAAGTTCCAAAATGATCTCCTTTGACTCCATGTCTCACGTCCGGGTCACGCTGATGCAAGAGGCGGGCTGCCACAGCCTTGGGTAGCTCAGCCTCTGTGGCTTTGCAGGGTACATACCCCTCCTGACTGCTTTCACAACTGGCATTAAGTGTATGCATCTTTTTGAAGTACATGGCACAAGTTGTCGGTGGATCTAACATTCTGGGGTCTGGAGGACAGTGGCTTTCTTCTCACAGCTCCACTAGTCAGTACCCCAGTGGGGACTCTGTGTGGGGGCTCCAATCCCACATTTTCTTTCTGCATTGCCCTAGCAGAAGTTCTTCATGAGTGTTCCACCCCTGCAGCACACCTCTGCCTGGACATCCAGGCATTTCCGTACATCCTCTGAAATCTAGGTGGAGAGTCCCACATTTCAATTCTTGATTTCTGTGCACCTGTAGGTCCAACACCATATGTATGCCAACAAGGCATGGGGCTTGCACCCTCTGAAGCAATGTCCTGAGCTGTACATTAGCCCCTTTTAGCCATGGCTGGAGCTGAAATGACTGAGACACAGGGCACCACAACCCCAGGCTGCATAGAGCAGTGGAGCTCCCCTGGGAAGGCCCATGAAACTATTTTTCCCATGTATGCTTCCTTTTTACCCCTAGGCCTCCAGGCCTGTGATGGGAGGGGCTGCCATGAAGGTCTCTGACTGCCCTGGAGACATTTTCCCCATTGTCTTGGTGATTAATATTCAGCTCTCAGTTACTTATGCAAATTTCCACAGTCAGCTTGAATTTCTCCCCAGAAAATGGGTTTTTCTTTTCTGTCACATCATCAGGCCGCAAATTTTTCAAACTTTATGCTCTGCTTTCTCTTGAACACTTTGCCGCTTAGAAATTTCTTCCACCGGATACTCTAAATCATCTCTCTCAAGTTCAAAGTGCCACACATCTCTAGGGCAGGAGCAAAATGCTTCCAATGAATCTGCATAGCAAGAATGATCTTTACTCCAGTTCCCAACAAGATTCTTATTTCATCTGAGGCCACCTCAGCCTGGACTTCATTGTCCACATCACTATCAGCATTTTCGTCAAAGCAATTCAACAATTCTCTAGGAAGTCCCAAACCTTCCCACATCTGCCTGTCTTCTGACCCCTCCAAACTGTTTGAACCTCTGCCTGTTATCCAGCTCCAAAGTTGCTTCCATATTTTCGGGTATCTTACAGCAGCACCCCACTACTCAGTACCAGTTTATTGTATTAGTCCATTCTCACACTGCTAATAAAGACATAACCAAGACTGGGGAATTTATAGAGGGTAGAGGTTTATTTAATTGACTCACAGTTCAACATGGCTGGGGAAGCCTCAGGAAACTTAGAATCATGACAGAAGGAGAAGCAACCATGTCTTTCTTCAAGTGGTGGCAGGAGAGAAGAGTTAATGCCCACCAAAGTGGGGAGCCTATTTTAAAACCATCAGATCTTATGAGAACTAACTCACGATCACAAGAACAGCATGGGGAAACAAGGCCTGTGATTCAATTATGTCCTTCTAGTCCCTCCCAGGACACAGGGGGATTACGGAAACTACAATTCAAGATGAGATTTGGGTAGGAACACAGCCAAACCATACTATATATGTATATATATTTGACTTTGGTATATGAGTTTTTATTATGTATATATCAGCTACAAATTAAGGGCAATAGACAATTATTTAATGCACCTTAACATATATAGCACTCAATCTGTAATATTTATGTATAAGAAAATGTTGCTAGCCCTATAACGTGAATTATTCATTGCTATGGTTTGATTAATTTTGTCCCATCAAAATTCATGTTGAAACGTTAACCCTAATGCGACTATATTAAGGGGTGTGATTTTTAGGAGATAATTGAGTCTTGAAGGCTCTGCCCTCATGAATGATATTAGGTGCCCTTATAAAAGGGCTTGATAGAAGGAGCTCACCCCTTTTTGCCCTTCTGCTTTCCACCATGTGAGGACATTAGTCCCCGTCAAAGGATGCAGCAACAAGGCTCCATTTTGGAAACAGACGCTGGGCCTTCATAAGACACTGAATCTAGCAGCACCTTCATCTTGGCCTCCTACTCTCCAAAACTGTGAGAAATAAATTTATGCTCTTTATTAATTACCCAGTCTCAGATATTCTGTTATAGCAGCACTAATAAACTCAGATGGCCATGAAAATAATCTCTAAGAGTACTAATAGCTTAGCATCTAATAACAAATAATTTAATAATAATGGCTTATTAAAAAATTTCTTTATATTTGAAATGCCTCAATGTTTATTTCATGATTTCCAGAATATTTATTTTTTGTGTTTACTGTGTGGTCTTTTTATAACATGATCACTTATAATTTGTAAGATCAGAAGTAGGCATTCTGAAATCTGCATGCAAAATATTTTATTAGAAATGAGAAGCCATTATTTAGTTGTTTAATTAATTTGTGAAACTAATAACTATTTAATTCAACATATAATTAAAGTTAATGTAAATTTAAGTTACAAATAATAAAGGGAGAGCAAAATAATAAAAAGCTTAAGGTTGTAATAAAGTTATTTTTTAAAAAAAGATATATAAATTTATCTTGAAGATATGTCATTTGGACTCGGGTCTTCATTTAAGAAGTGGATTTCAAAACAAACCAATGTCTGTTAATGATTGTACTAATTTTGGTTTCCTAACAGGTGAATATTTGGATTGTTTCTATTTTAAATTTGGGTTGAAATTTGAAACAGCATTTTCCTATTTCAAGCCTCACTAAGGTTGTTTGTTAAGGAGGTAAATTACATAATCCATAAAATATTCAATTAATTAATGTCTATTTAGATGGGATACAGGTCAGTATAGTTCTGCTTTCCTGCAGAGTTAAAACTCTAAATAGATACAATGGAAGAGTTTTTCATTAACCTTTTATATTGCAATTTTGCGTATACTGAATGAATAGTGCTTGATATAACTATAATATTATGATAATATGTAGTGGAAACAATATGAACTCTTGTAACCTCTTTAATTAATCAAAAAAATTACATATGAAATAATAGCTCAAAATTAATTTAAAGAATATGTTTAGCATAAAGTAAGAAATTTACAAGAATATATTTTTTAAATGCATAATGTATATTTATGCAGTTTAAAAACAAAATAATTACATTGTCTTTAAACAATGGCATTTTATTATAATATACATAATATTAGAGACAGAATTACTCAATAGTTGGCAAGGCTTAATGTGAACATACTATTTAACACAAATTTTTCAAAGAGATTGAATATTTATAATGTGTAATCATATATGCACCAGTTCATTAATGTTAGTCTCTACACTATAATTTTAAAAAATAATTACAAAATAATGCCCTCAAAATTCAAAGTTTCAGGATCAATACACAGAATAATCATAAGGAAGCTTGAACAAATATCTTGATTCATGCAGACATAGGGGTACTTACCTGAGTGCCAATCAGAAAACAACTACAACAAAATTCCCTCTGAGGACAAACATTTTAAAACATTATGAGGGTAAACTTTACCAATACATACCTTCCTACTCTGTAGCATATATTGTACAGATATGTGTTTGTATAGGCCACATGTTTGTGAGCACTGGATTTTTAAAGACTAATGAGCTATTGATCCTTCCTGATCATCAATGATGTTATTTCATAATGTATACTCCATACATGGCTACTGATTTCCTATTCAGCTCTGCCTCCAATTTGAATACTGGCAATTTCTATCAAAGAAAGCAAAAGTGATCCAATTCCTAGCCAAAGTCTAAGTGAAAACAAGAATATTTGAAGCAAACACAAATGCAGAGTTCTAGGGATTGTTAGAGGAAAAGAAATATTTAAAAGGCGGGATTTTAGAATTAATACTAACAGCAGACGAGTTACCTTTTGAGAGCACAATGGAGGCAAAGAAGGCCTTCACATACATCAACAGGTAAAGCAAATGCACTATTACAGACTGAGCATTATCTGTAAATGACAATATGTATTCAGTTGAAGCTGAGCTGCTAAAATAGAACATGCAAGAGGGGAATGGTAAAGAAACAGACTAGAGGGTTTTTGCTAGAGCTCAGTTTTCAAAAATTCTAAAGGAGGATGAACTTAGAATAAGGACTGTTAGTATTCATATATTGTTATACTAGTATGCTTTCTTAGCTCTTAGTTTTATCATGTAATTGAATCATATATTGTGTGGATTGTTGAATCTGTCTTCTTTCACTTAGCATAATGATTCTAATATTCATTCACGCTGCTGTATATTTTAGTTGTTCATTCATTTTAAATTATTGGGTAGTATTTCATTACATAGATGTCCAATACTTAGGTTATCAGTTTATCAGTTGATGGACATCTGGACAAGTTCTAATTTTATGTGATTGTGAATAAAGTTACTATTAACATTTGCTTACAGGCTTTCATGTGACATAAGCTTTCATTTCTCCTGCATAATACCTAGCAGTAATATTGCTTGAACATATGTGAAGTACAACTTCATAAGATACTGTCTATTTCCCCTAGTGGCTGTTCCATTTTGCATTCCCACCAGTAATGTATAAGTTCCAATTGCTCCGTCTCCTTGTCAACATTTGTTTTTGTCCATTGTATTGGTTTTAGACTTTCTAGTAGGTACACAGTAGTATCAAACTACTTTAAATTCTAGGAAGTTTTAACAGAAAGTCTTAATGTTGGTCATTTGCTGTATAGATATTCCCAAGCAGCAGGTACTGTTTTTAAAAAATATATCATTTTAAGTCATACTTTATTTAAAATAATTTAAAATTATAAATTTTATTATATTTTATTGTGGTTTGTTTCTTTTTAAAGGCACCGATAACTGTATGATGCTCTTTTGTTTACTTTTTGGTAGCTTTTACTGTTTGTTTTAATTCTTTTCATTATTTCTTTTCCTTCATTTTCTATTTCTTTTGAGGAATTACCTTTTATGCTTGTTTTATTTTATACTCCTATTTAAAGTAATGGTTTTAAATAATATTTTATTTTGCATTTCATTCATTGTCTAATATCTACTACCTCTCTACTAAGTTTTTGATTCTTATTCAAATTTTTCTTTTGTACTAACTTTGTCTTTGTTTATGGCCTCTCATTTTGAGACATTAGAAAATAAATTTTATATTTTTCAGTGGACATATCTTTCTGACATGCAGGCATATTTCTAGCATCTATTTGTTCATTAATTTATTCTTTACTCTTTTTTCTTTCATTTTAAATTTGTGAAAGATATGACCATAATTAATTTATTTTGATAATTTTAGTTGAAATTATTTTTCTCTGAACTAGTAAGAATTAGTATACAAAAGTACCTTTTTAAAACATGGTACACTATTTCTGAGATCTTCTGGAATCCATTCTCACTGTATTTTGCAATTATCTTTCTTTTTTCTGTAATGTAACTCTCCTGTTCATTTTCATTTCTACTCCCAGTTTTTCACGGTGCCAGGGAGGGTGGTGGTTTCAGATATTTTCCAGTAGTCATAATGCTTATACTGTTCTAGCTCCTTCAGATCTTTCTGTTAACTTACCCACATGTAGGGGTGCTCAACAACTCTTCCCAGTTTTAGCTTGTTTTCACATTTGCCTGCTGCATATATGAAGAAGTATCTATCTTCACTTTTTGGGTTTTCCTGTTCTTACAAGCTCTGCCACCTCATTGCTTTTTTCGGACCTCTCTAGTTGCTATTATTCTGCAGGTCTTACAGTGTCTTTTATTTTCTTTTTGTCCTAGAGATTTTGATTTTGCTGTGCTTACTGCTCTCTTTGATATTATGTCGATTTTGAATAAATTCAAATATGTTACTACTGCTGCCGACTCTTTCTCAATATACATAACACTTGAAAATATAATAACTATTTACTTTGCAGAGATTATCAAACACAAAGAAGTAAATGGAAAAGGATTACAGTTCAAGCTATATTATTATAGAGTTAAATCTTATACCTCAAGTAAGTAGGCATAAAAATGAAATAATTTGGACAAGTTAGCTTAATTGATAATGAAGAAACAAATTTTGAAGATACATGTGAAAAGTCTGGTTTTATGAAATAAATCTAAATACAGCAATAATAATTGTCTTTTATATTAGTTTGTATAAAATATATATTTATGTACTTTCAATGAAATCAATGAATTCTGCATTATTATTGAAGTTTTTATTTCCTTTATACTCATAAAAGAAAAATATATTCAAGGATGCCAAATAAATATGTAAACAACAAAAAATATGAGAAAAGATTTTTCTCATTGTTCAGGGAATATATTGCTTTACATTTGGGAAGTCTTGATATATAATAAGCTTTTTTTTTTAATTTTTGAGATGGAATCTTGCTCTGTGGCAAAGGCTGGAGTGCAGCAGTGCAATCTCGGCTCACTGCAACCTCTGCTTCCCCAGAGTTCATATAATTCTCCTGCCTCAGCCTCTCGAGTAGATGGGATTACAGGCATGACACCACATCTGGCTAATTTTTATATTTTTAGTAGAGACGGGGTTTTGCCATGTTGGCCAGGCTGGTCATGAACTCCTGACCTCAAGTGATCCACCCATGTTGGCCTCTCAAAGTGCTGGGATTACAGGCGTGAGCCACGGCACCCGGCAAATAATAAGCTATTTTAAGTAAATATTAAATATTAGATTGTTTCTATCAGGCATTGTTTTATTTAAATGAGCATTTTTTATTTGTTAATTCCAATTAAAAGTAACACAGTGCTAACAAAATGATAAAAGCTAATTCAAGCTTACCCTCAGATCTAGGGAGATGATAGAGAATAGTGAGTACTAGAGTAGAGTCAATGTCCTTCTAAAAAGGAATGGATGACTCTCAGCATTGTCTGATCATTGCTATGCAAGTATATGGGGTAAGTGTTGCCAGAGTCTTTTTTTTTTTAACAAAGAAGTTATAAAATTAGAATTTTAAATTAAAAATAAACATTTTCATTAATTAATATTCAAGCATTGCTAAAAACAAACTATGAAGGCTGGAAATATGCATGTCTAAAAATATGTCTCTGGGACTCTATTTGACAAGTTTAGAAGCATCTGTACTGCTATGGACTAAGTTGTTTCCCCCTAAAATTCGTATGTTGAAGCCTAAATTTCAATGTGATCTTATTTGGAGGTAGGACATGTTAAGGGTAAATGAGGTCAGAGAATAGGGCTCTAATATGATTAGTGTTCTTAGAAGAAGATACACCAGAGATCTCGGGCAGTGGCATGCTTATCTGGGACTTTCAACCTCCAGAACGGTGTGAAATGTCTCTTGTTTGAGCCACCCAATTTATGATATTTTATTAAGGGAGTCAGAGCTAAGACATGTGCAAGCTTTTTGTTCTTCCCTTACACTCAAAAGGGTATCATTATTTCCTGTTTTAGGGATTCTACATGAGTCTTTGTCTCAGTTTTTCAATTGGCTATTGAATCTCAATGATGTGGATAATGTTCATAAAGTAACAGAGGTTTGTTTTAATTAAGTTTAACACAATTAAAAATAGGAAATAAAGGACTACTGCATTTAGGCCACATGTGTACCATCTTGAGAGGGCTTTGTATGATTCTGTCTGATAATCTGGCCAACATACCTCAATTTTATGCCATGGGTAAATATACATACATAAGTACATATATCCATACATGTAAATATAAATATCTACAATTATAAACAAAACTTTGCTACATAATGCACTATAATATACAATGATGTATGGCAAATTTTCTTGTATTGTCAAATCAAATTACTGCATAGTGTATTTTTAAATACGCATGTCACTTAAAATGACATATGAATCTCTATGAAGGAGACATTCATAGTTCTAGAGTACATAATTGTGTATATTAGAGCATATCTAGTGACAATACATAAAACCTGTCATCATGTTGATAACCTTAATCTAAAATAACAAACATAACACTAATTAAAATAACTCCCATTTCATATACTTCAAAGAACAAATTATTTATAAAAAGACAATCATATACATAAGTAATGTCAAATTTATTTAGTTTTCCCAAAGAAATATAATGAGAATAGTGAATAATTACAATTGGCCTGTAATATGTGAGGATTTGAATTTTCCCATTATGAAAGAGGAAAATCTCTTTCAGAAACAAATTCTTATCAGAACTTTGCAGAAGAGAATGTTTTTCCCGTCTATTCATTATAATTTCTCAAACTTTTAAGTGTCTGATGAAATTTTATTGCAATGACAGAAATATTTATTAAATAGAGGTCAAAGATGGATAAACGCATTCTTCCAAGTTGCAGTTATAAGTTTAACTATTTCTTTGAATACACAGAGGAAATATAATGAGCATTAGAACAAAAATAATGTTAAAAATAGTCAAGGAACTACCTATTTATTGCCTTATATTTGAAAGTACATTGATGTTGAGTTTTTTAAAGCAAGTGCCCACTCTAACCACATGAATAAAAAGTAAAATACCAGGCCAAGCACAATGGCTGATGCCTGTAATCCCAGCACTTTGGGAGACCGAGGCAGGTGGATCACCTGAGGTCAAGAGTTTGAGACTAGCCTGGCCAACATGGTGAAACCTCGTTTCTACTAAAAATACAAAAATTAGCCAGGCATGGTGACAGGTGCCAGTAATCCCAGCTACTTGGAAAGCTGAGGCAGGAGAATTGCTTAAACCCAGAAGACGAAGTTTGCAGTGAGCCAAGATCGCGCCATTGCACTCCAGCCTGGGCGACACAGCGAGACTCTGTCTCAAAAAATAAATAAATAAATAAATAAATAAAATAAAATAAAATACCAGAATTAAATTTTGTATAAGCGAATTAGAGTAGATGAAATTAACTACTAAAGTTTGAAGGTAGAATAATTGTTTCCTTATGTTTAAATACCTGAAAGGGAATTATACGCCTATAGATGCAATATACTTTCTTTTATGGATTGAAATTATTTATATTGAAAAATCAAATCATTTATGGCAATGTATAGTAACTAACATAAGATCTTATATTTTCTCATCTATACATTTAATAGAGTTTTGTGAATGTGACAATACGTTATAAACACGAAGATTGTACTGCTAGGGTTGTAAATGAAATATTTTTATTTAATTAAATTTTAGGCAAAGGTTCTCTTCTTTTCTGTCACATATAAAAAAAGATCCAAAAAATATGCAGAAGATAGTACCATAAGATTGTGGTTGGGGGCAACTGGTTAGTAATCCAGAATAAAGAGGAAAGGAAGCAAGAGATGAATCAGTAAATGCTGGAATACAACCCCGTTGCTTGACATATTAAGGCACTATTTCCTAATTATTGTACTACTCACTTTGACCTTTTCTCCAGCCCCAAGAGTTAGCAGAGGGTTCTTTTCCCCTTTAGTTTTTTAAAGTTTGTGGTAAAAATTGTATAACAGAAAATTTATTGTCAAGCATTTTTAAGTGTGTAGTTAAATAGTTTTAAGTATATTCACATTGTTGTAAACAGATCTTCTGAAGTTTTTTTCTTGAAAATCTGGAACTCTAAACTTATCAAACAACAACTCCCCTTTAGCCCCTCTCCTTAGGCCCTGGTAACCTCCATTCTATTTTGATTCTACAAATTTGACTACTTTACTCATATATTCAAAATCCTACAATAGTTATCTTTTTGTGATTGGTTTATTTTACTTAGCATGATGTCCTTAAGGTGTGTGCATGTTGTAGAATGTGACAGGATTTTCTTCCCTTTTAAGGATGAATAATACTCAATTTTCTGCATAGGTGACCCTGGCACAACGCAGGGGTCAACTCCATGCAGTCAAAATCTGCATATATTTTTGGCTCCCCAAAAACTTAACTAATAATAGATTACTATTGACTGGAAGCCTTACCAATAACATAAACTGTTGATTAACATATATTTTATGTTATATATGTTATATACTGTATTCTTAAAGTAAAGTCAGCTAGAGAACAGAAAATGCTGTTAAGAAAATCATAAGGGAGAAAAATATATGTACTATTTATTAAATGAAAGAGGATCATCATAAAGGTCTTCATCCTTGTCTTCATGTTGAGTAGGCTGAGGACGAGGAAGACGAGGGATTGGTCTTGCTGTCTCAGGGGTGGGCAGGGATGGAAGAGGCGGAGTAGGTTGAAAGGGAGACAGAAGAGGCAGGCACACTCAGTTTAAGTTTTTGAAAACACATTGCAGTTTCTCTCTGAGTTTTTGCTTTTTCATTTCTCTAAAAATGTTTCTGCATGGTACCAATCCATCTTCCACTGTTTGCTTTAGTTTCAGTGCCTGTATCATACAGAGTCCAATATCATGAGAGAAACCAAAAGCAGTCTTGAATAATTAGAACTCTTCTAACTGTCTAATCTCAATTTGTTCTTTGACACTGTTTCTTCTACATTTTCTTCCTCATGAAGGGGCACTAGTTCAAAAGTGCTCATCTCCATCAGGTCATCTTCTGTTAATTCGTCTTGTGTGGCATCTATTATTTCTTGAATTTCTCCAAGATCCATATCTTGAAACCTTTTACTCCCCATCTTTTTTTTTTTTTTTGCCATATCCACACTCCTTTTATATGATTTTCTTGATTGACTTTGTCATAAATCCTATGAGGTCATGACCATCTGGACAGTTCTCTTCAGCAGGAATTTATTTCTTCAGGCTTCATAGCTTTCATGACATTTTTGATAACAATAAGGGAATCTTCAATGTCCTTCCAGATATTGGTTATGTTCTCTCTCTTCCATGGCATGGGTAATCTTTTTCACAGAACGTCCTGTGTAATGACCCTTAAAGGTTCTTATGACCACTGATCTACAGGCTGGATTAGAGATGTGTTTGGGTACAAGTAGTCCACTTCAGCACCTTTGGTGTTGAACTCATGGGGTTATGATGGCCAGGGGCATTTTCCAATATCAAAAGGATTTTAAAAGTTTGTCCCTTACTGGCAAGGTATTTCCCGACATGGTGGACAACCCATCTGTGGAACCAATCCAGAAAAAAGGCTCTCATTGTCTAGGTTTCCTTGTTGTGCAATCAAAAGACTGGCAGCTGATGTTTATCTTTTCCCTTCATGTCCCATGGGTTAACAGCTTTATAATTAAAAGAGGTTCACTCATAAACCCTACTATACTTGCACAAACCGTAGAGTTAGCCTGTTTATTTCTGCCTTGAATTCTGGTATTTGCTTATCTTCCTTACTATTATATCTTCTTTGTGGCATTGTTTTCTCTTCAAAATAGAGCACTTTCACTGTAGATATTTTTTGTTCTCAACTATTTTTCTTAGTGGCATCTGGGAACTCATCTGCTACCTTTTGGTGGGCAGAAATTGCTTCTCCTGTTATCGTGGTATTTTTAAAGTGAAATCTTTTTCTGAAATCATCAAGCTATAATTTCCTGACATTAAATACTTCAGCTTCTAATGCTTTGCCATATAATGACTTTGCTACATTTCAAATCATGTTCATGTCTATGAATATGCCTTATATTAATAGAAACTCTGTGCCCAAATAAAAGCTGCATTTTTAATATGAGGTAAAAGGTTATTTCATAAAATGTACAAGGTTTTCACACTTGCTGCACAACTGCAGTGATGGTGTCACAAGGGTTTCTGTTTGTTTTTTTTCACATCGGTCCTTATGCTGGATTTATTTATCTTGAAACGGTGGGCATCCACAGCTGTAGACTCAATCTAAGGTACTTATCAAATAATTCAGCTTTTATTATAATTACCTGGCTTTTTTTCTGCTTTTTGGAAGCACTTCCAGCATCACCAGTGGCGCTTCATATAGGTCTCTTGGTGTTATTTGTTTATAGTAATGAAAACCTTTATAGTGATTAAAAATACACAAGAAGCCAGTCATGGTGGCTCATGCCTGTAATCCCAGCAGTTTAGGAGGCCAAAGTGGGTGGATTATGTGAGCCCAGGAGTTTGAGACCAGCCTTTGCAACATGGTGAAACCCTGTTTCCACAAAAATTACAAAAATTAGCCCTGCATAGTGGAGCATACCTGTAGTTTTAGCTACTCAGGAGGCTGAGATGGGAGAATCACCTGAACCCAGTAGGCAGAGGTTGCAGTGACTGCAATCATGCCACTGAACTCCAGCCTTGGCGACAGAATGAGACAGTCTCAAAAAAAAAAAAAAAAGTACAAAGAGATCACTTTTTACTGTGATATGCCATTTACTGGAGAGACAAACTGCTCATGTGAAAATAATTAGCATTTTACATTTTTAGTGAAATGTATTTGATATCTTAAGTGGATACTTGTAACACTTAAGCTCACTGCAATAGCAACAGGAGGTGACTACAAAATTATTACAGTAGTACAGTAGGTACTACAGCAAATTTTATGCAGTATTGATTTAATAATGCATCTTTACATCTGTTTACATGTCTCTCCAGTATGAATGACACCATATCTGCTCTGTGTTCATGTAAGTTTTGATAAATTTTAACTTTTTATAATGGATTTGTTTATCTTTAGGATAGTAAATGATAAAATAGACAAGGAATATCTACATATATTTTAAACATACATGAAATATCTTTCTCTTAATTTTTTTTTATATTTCTAGGCTGCTTGGTTCATTGGTGAGTTTTTCTTTTTCAAGTTGTCACAAACATCCCCCAAATTCTCCAATATATTCATTGGAAAAGATCTAAGTGTATTTGTACCTGCACAGTTTAAACCCATGTTTTCAAGAGTCAACTGTATATACCATAATTTCTTTCTCCATTCATTCATTGGTGTACATTGCATTGTTTCTACCTCTTGGCTATTATGAATAATATTGCAATGAGTATAAATGCACAAAGAGAGTTGAAAGTTTTTGTGAGGTTACAAAGTCAATGTGAATCAAATATAGAATATAGGTGATATCACAGATTCAATTAATAGACCATAATTATAAAGATGGATATTCTTGAGCATTTAATGAAGGGAAGTATCAGTAAGAATGTGTTGTAAGAGAATGTATCAATGGAGGGATTGTTTTAAGTTGGTCTTAGAACTATATGTGAAGTCTGTGTTACCAATCAAGGCAATTAAAATACATGAGGATATATGAAAATCGGTTTTGTTCCTATACACTAGTAATAAACAATCCAAAAGAAAAATTAAAGAATCAATTCCATTTATAATAGCAACAAAAGAATAAAACAAATTTATTTGACTAAGTAGTACAAATCTTAACATTTTTTATAATCAACACTTTGATATCAGTTGATGCTTTACAATAAGATCATTGAACATTTCTTAGAATTTTAATAGAGTTTCAATTCTATTAACTTCTGCAAATGATTAGGAATCATAACTTATTTTGGTCGAAGATTATGGTTTATCAATTTAATTCTTGAAATTTTATTTTTAAAACCATTTATACTAATGGTGACATTTTATATACTGTAGAATTCGGGGAGACTGGAAGTGTAATGAAGGAGTTGAATGTATCCTACATGTTTCTTGTTCAAACTCAGTACACAAATACTAATTTAAAACCATACAGAGACCAGATGCAATGTATCACATCTACAATTCCAACACTTTGGGAGCATGAGGTGGGAAGAATGCTTGAGGCCAGGAGTTTGAGACCAACCTGGTCAACAGTTTTTCTCCATGCCCCATACCTTTCTCTTTACCCCTCTTTCTCCTTTTTCTTTTTAAAATATTTGGATTCATAATGCATATGTTCTCTACTTGCTCTTTAATATAGCAACAGCAACATATGCTGAAAATATTTTCTTTGTTACATGACAGTAATATAACTGTAAAGAATGCATAACATTCATCTTTTGCATAACTGATTTAATCAATCTCCTAATATTTGTTATTTATGTCTTCTCATTATTTACTATAAATAGCAGCATAATGAATATCTATGTATGGAAATTTTTAAATGCATAAATGATTTCTTAAAATTTATTTCTAGATGTCAAGTTATTTGGTTAAAACATTACAAAAATTTCATAATTTTCATACATAAAAAAAGCATCAAAATTCACAAATTGATTTTGGTTCAAATTCCAAAATTAAGGTTAAATTTAAAAAGAAAATAATTCTTTATGTTTGTAAGTTAATAAGTAATTTGAGCTTAAATAACTTTAGCTTTCCAGAATAAGGTAGTTACTTGAGAATTTCATAGTAAAAAGTCATAGGATACGTTCTAGTAATACTATTACTTCCTAATGGAAGTCAAGTGGAGTGAACTGCAAAGTTTTGGATGGAATCTACACCTGAGTAGCTATCTTTGCAACTGCAATTATCTAGGTAATTCATGCAGATAGAATGTGATTTTCTACATTGCCAACTAAGAGAGTTTCATATCTTTTAATAAAATTCTGTCATATCATGTATTATAACTTTATAAAGTTCTAGACACATAAAACACATAAAATGTTCAAATACAGCCTCACACATAATAACTATTGATAATGGGTTTAGGGCATTTTAGCCTGTTCTTAAAAAGTGTGACTTTATTTTGATGATATTCCTAGCCCTTTTATCATGTGAAATTTGTAATCTTTACTATGTGCTTTTTGGCCTTCACAGAACAACTTGTAGCAAACAAAGTGCAATAGGAAATAACGTGAAGGAAAAGTATGGACGTTGGGACCAGCACAAAAGAAAAAGATTTAAGTCTTAATACTTTTGTCTATAATTATTATAAAAGTCACTTAAAATTACTGTATCAATAGTTATAATTATATATTTATGTTAATTCTTAATTATAGAGTTGTTGAGGCAATACCATGAGTTAAACAGAAATACTAGTGGTAGATTTTTTTCACTTATTCCCTTGTACAGTGTGTGCATTTCTATCATAGGGCTAAATAGTACTTACTATTTCGTAAACAAATCTCTCCAAGATACGGAAAGTTACTTAAGGACAAGTCCAACGTATCAGTAACTTTTGTTTCTCCAGAATCTAATATATTTGTGAATATAGGAAAAAGGGTAATTAGTAGTTCATTAATGAATAAATAAAAATTTGGAACCCAGTTACAATGTCATTGCAAGGCCATCTGGACTGAGGTTCTTAGTAGCATTGTGAAAATGTAAGATTTTAGAGGACTTATTGTACGAGGTATGTTTTTTATCAAAATGACAAACAAGACCTCATCCAGAGCTTTTTTATTATTATGACTGAAAAGGTAAGCAAAAGACAGAAAGATGTTAAAAGTGATCCCTAATTAATTCTTATGGGCAGAAGTCATGAAGAACATAAATTATCAAGCAAACAATTTTGGACAATGGTTATAAAGCAATGTGAGGATGTAATAAATTCATTTATTATTATCATTGCAGCACATTAGTTTTTCAAAAAGAAGGGTCTGTTTTTTGTAAGTGATAGTTATACTGTATATGCAGTTGATGGTCCAACCTCTGTTTTTATCAGCTGTCAATATAAATTATAATAAAATTTATTGAAGATTGATTGAAAAAGTGGACTTAATTCTTAGCCCCTCCCTATGCCTAAGACCTTTTCAGTGTGTCTTGTTTTATGCAATGGACTTTATCAGAAGAAATAGTGTGATACACTGAATAAAAACTTCAAAGACATTGTATGCTTAACCTCTTTTTCTTAATTCCAGCTTCTGCCATGAGAACCTAGTGGGCTAGTCTGCCTGAAGTGTATGAGTTATCTCTGTGGAGGACATACTATACAAGCTAGCACCACAATTTTATCTGCCCAAATTATCCCAAATTATGATTGCAAATGCTTGAAAAATATCATCAGGATCAACCAAGTCTAGCTCAGGTCAGCAGAACCACCCAGCAGAAATGCCCACACTTTGAGCTTAGTTAGAGAATGCAGCCAAGAACGGAGACAATTCTTCATGCACTTTGCAATTCAGTTTGCATATCTTCAATTAATGGGTTGTGAATATTTTCTTAAAACTTTAAACTAGCCTAACTAGCTGTTTTTAAAGCCTTCTGTTTTCTTGCCAGTCTCAAATATGGCTTTTGTAGATGTTTTAACAAAAACTTTATAACGGTTTTGTTATACAGCAATAGAAATCTACAAAAGTCACTTCATATTTCCAACAAGAAGAATTGACACTGTATAGACAACGTTTCCTAGAACTAAGTTTGATAATAATATTTTTTGAGACAAGATCTCACTCTGTCACCCAGGCTGAAGTTTAATGGTGAGATCTTGGCTCACTGCAACCTCAGCCTCCCAGACTCAAGTAATCCTCCCACCTCAGCCTTCTGAGTAGCTGAGACTACAGGCACACACCATCACAGTCAGTTAACTTTTTTGTTTGTTTGTTTATTTGTAGAGATGAGGTCTCACTATGTTACCCAAGCTAGTTTGGAACTCCTGGAGTCAAGTGATACTACTGTCTTGGCCTCCCAAAGTGCAGAAATTATAGGCATAAGCCACCATGTCCAGCCTTCATATAAATTTTATGTAATACTATTCAATCACTACAAAAGAAAACTGTGTTGTAATTTTTATATCAATTCTGTTGAAACTAAATTAAATTCAGGAAAATTAATAGCTAGCAATATTAACTCTTTCAATTCATGAACATGCCATATGTATCTCCTCCATCCATTTAGGTCTTTAATTTTTCTCAGCAATTCACTGTAGTTTTGAATATTAATGTCTTTTGGTAAATTTATTCTTAATTATATTTGTTTCTTGATGCTATTGTATGTAAAATAATTTTTAATTTTTTGGTTTTTTATTTCTGGTATAATGAAATAAAATGAATTTTAATGACTGCATCTTCCCTTAAAAATTCATGGAATAATTTCATAAGGTTTTCAAAAAATTTGGGGAGTTTCTGTGTAAATCACACTGTCATTTCACTTCATTGGTAAATAGAGATGGTGTTATCTCTTCTATTTCAACTGTTTAGTCTTCGTGTGTGTGTGTGTGTGTGTGTGTGTGTGTGTGCGTGTGTATTTTTTTGTTTGTTTCTCTGGCCAGGCCCTTTGACATAGTGCCAGACAAAAGTTATAAGAGAAGACCTTGCATTTTTCCTGACCTTAGGTGGAAGACTTTCTATATTTTTTCATTAAACATAATGTATGCTGTAGGTAGGTCCTTTGCAGTTGCATTTCATCAGATTGAGAAAATTCCTTGATATGCAGTTTCCTGAGAGGTTTCATCATGATTGGGAGTTTAATTATTTTTTGGAGTGTGTTTCTGTTTCTAATGAGAAGATTATAAGACTTTTCTCAAATATTCAGTTAATATGGTTAAGTAATTTAACTTTCAATTGTTGAGCCAACTATACAATTCTATGAGAATCCTACTTGGCATTTTGAGGTTACTTAAATGTTACATTACTCATCCCAAAACTTTCAATTATGCGTGTGTGTGTGTGTGTGTGTGTGTGTGTATTTATATATATTTGTATATATAGAGTCAATATAATATATATACCATAATAACAGCAATGCTTACATTTTGAACATTGTTTTCACATTGGTCCAAATTCACTTACATTTTTCCTACTCAATTCTAATATCTGCCATCTCACCGAGTTGCTGTGTTTCCTATCAGTAGGAAATGGCATTTAGAAATCAAAACATACCATGTACTTTGGCCGATAATGACGTGTCAATACAGGTTCATCAGCTCTAACAAATGTACCACTCTGGTGGAGGATGCTGATAATGGGGTAGTAAGTAGTCTGTGAGTTTGGGGAGGCAAGAGATACATGTGAACTCTGTATTTTCCACTCAATTTTGGTTTTGACCTAAAACTGCTCTAAAAAATCTATCAAAAACTAAGTGTATGTTCTATACAGTATTTGGTATAACTATATTGTTTTCTTATTTCTTCTAAATGACGTTTTTTTAAAAATGCACTTTATATTCTAACTGAGTATATTCTGTGCCTTTTAAAAACAGCATTATGCTTCTTTTCAAGATTATGTTTCAATAGACTATTTCAACTGTATGTTACTGATCTCATCATGGATGCATAGGTCAAGTGTGTAAGAAAATATTTTTGTAGCCTTATACATTACAGAAATTTCTCACCTGTTGAAATACCTTCCATGCCAGTTTATGAGATATTTGACAGTGAATATTTTATATTTAGAATGTAATTTTTTAAAGATGATGTAGCATTTCAAATAATTGAGAAAGAGGAGGTCAAAACTTTTAGCTTTTCTTTTACTTTGTGTTTCAAAATCATCTGCCACAAAAAGTACAAATAATTTTATTTTAACCACACAATTTAAGAATAGTTGCTAAGTATAAAGGTATTGGAGGAGGATATTTAAATTGCAGCACATTTCAAACAGATGAAGTCATCTATATAATAAGGCATGCTGCTGTAGGGCAAAATGCATAATGCCAATTTTCAGATTTATCTTCAGTATCATGGGATTTTGAGCCACAGGCTTGAAATGTACTACTCTTGTCAGAATGTCCTGAGCTCGTAAAAAAGCAGACATTTGATGGATTTTTTTCCAGCTCTTTTTATTTCCAGGCAGGTAATTATATAAATTTGTGACAATCACTGCGGTGCTTTAGGGAGGAAATGCCGAAGCACAGCCGTAATAGTTTGAGCATCTTGTTACTATCATCCAGCAAGTTGGCTCTGCTTTCAGATTAAAAATCTTCTCATTAAAGAATTAATATTGTGAAGCCAGATCAGTAATGGTTGGACTTTAAACAAATTAAATTTATTTTATTTGCTGTGTTTATGTCTCATGGATTCAATTAGGCATAATTAATTAAGAATTTAGTTTTGTGTCTCATTTTCCTGGGTTTAAATCCTGGCTTCACTACTTTCTAGCTTGGAATTATTAACTAGTTACTTCTCTACAGCTCAGTCTCTTCGTGTTAAAAAAAGAGTTATTAATAAAAGTGATTTCCTCAAAGTAATGATGTAAAATTAAATTATTTAAGTTTTACAAAGTTTTTGAATCAGTATTCAGCATAGTAATTACTCAAAATTAGCTATGTTAATAATACTAATTTCCTGCTTATTAAGCAATATTTAGTAATATTATTTCACCACTTACTTTAAAAGAAATCCATCAATCCTTGAGAAAATAAAAGATGTCAAAAATTGTAATAGCTCCCATTTTCTTTCTAAGTAGCTGTCCATTTACATAAATTGATATCTCCAATGGAAGTGGAATTAAATAAACTTAATCATAAACTAAACTATTTAATAACTTATTTTGCATATAGATTTTATCTGTTCTGCAATATTTCATGTTCTCAATAACATTAAAATAATATATTGCTTATTAGAAATGCTTAGCATGTCTATTAAATTGTTAATACTTTCATTTCAATTGTTTCATTTCAATTGTTAATACTTTCATAATTAATATTTATACTGTAAAATATACAGTCAGTATTTATAAAAACACTTTTATCAATTATTAATTTTTTCAATACTCTTAAAATTTCCCCACACTTTTATCATTAAAAGCTTTAAATGTTTTTCTAATTGAAGGCAAAATAGAAATATGAGATTTATATTTTTATATATTAAATATCTTTTAAAGAGGCTAAAAATGTGAAAAAAATCTGCCATTTGTAGAAGTTATTAAGCGTATCCTGCAACAAAATATATCATTCTGATCCAAATGACTCCAGATTGACATATTCATGTCTAATTCACCTCCCATTACTGAAAGTAAATATTCCAAATCATCACACTTCTTTCCAGACTTGTATTCTTTTGCTGCCCTAAATCTTTAAAAAATGAACTTACCTCCTAAATGTCATACCTCACAGGTAAATTGAAGTTTATATATATGAATCCAAGAAATCATACTGATAGAAATCCAAATATTCAAGATAAAATAAACAATTAATTATAAATATATAGGTAAATATTAAACATTGTTGTGTAGCTTTTCAAGAGCATTCCAAGATAATTGGTTACCTACATCAAAAATAAATTATGTGTTATAGATTTTGTGTTTTACAGAAAATGTAGAAAAATATTTGCAAAAGTAATAGCACAAAGACAGAGACAGAAAAGCATAGACATTTACAGTTTTAAGGATTGTTATAAAAACGTGAAAGTGGTGTAAAATATTTGAAGATAAAATAAGTTGGTTGTATAAAATGCATTTATTTTTAGATTTTTAACAAATTTTTTTTTTTTTTTTTGGTTTGAGACAGAGTCTCGCTCTCTCTGTGTCGCCCAGGCTGGAGTGCAGTGGCGCGATCTCGGCTCACTGCAAGCTCCGCCTCCTGGGTTCATGCCATTCTCCTGCCTCAGCCTCCCCAGCAGCTAGGACTACAGGCACACGCCGCCACGCCCGGCTAATTTTTATATTTTTAGTAGAGACGGGGTTTCACCGTGTTAGCCAGGATGGTCTCGATCTCCTGATCTTGTGATCCACCCGCCTCAGCCTTCCAAAGTGCTGGGATTACAGGCGTGAGCCATAAGGTATAATTTGCATATAGTGGACTGCACAAATTTAATATGCACAAACTGATGGCTTATAAAACATCACCAAAATCAAGACATTGAACACATGCATAAACTCATAAATACCTTATTCCCTTCTGTAATTCTTCCCTCCTGCCCCTCATGAACCTTTCCCCACTAAACCTTAGATCTGCTTTCAGTACACACTAGTTTCACTTTGCTAGGATTTCATGTAAGTTGAATCATACCATATGTAATTTTATGTTGTTGTTGTTGCTGTTGGTGGGGGCAGTCTGACTTCTAACATCAGCAGAATCATTTTAAGATTCATATATTTATTGTAGGCATGAAAAATCCCCTTCTTTTTGTTTATGAATAATATTCCATTGCATGTATATACCAGTATTTATTTGTTTATCTGTTCACCAACTGATGGGCATTTGTTACTTTCCAGTTTTCACATATTGCAGTAAAGCAGATTTGACTATTCATGTAATAGTTTGTGTAGAAAAATACTCCATCATTTTTCTTGGGGGAATACCTGTAAAGGGAATGGCTAGGTCTTATGAAAGATGTGTGTTTAACTTTTTATGAAATTGTTGGATTTCCAAAGGGTTTGTGTCATTTTACATCCTAGTAATAGTGAATGGGAAAAACACTCCACTTTCTTGTCTATACTTGGTATGGTCAGACTTCGTAATTTTAGTCATTCTGGTAGGTGTATAGTGGTATCTCAATGTAGTTTGGCTTTGCAGTGCCGTAGTAATTAGTAATGTTGAGTATATGATGATATGTTTATTTACCATCCATATATATTTTCTGGTAAAGCATCTGTTCAAAAATATTTTTTGCATTTTTTAAAAATTAAATTGTTTGGGCTGGGCACGGTGGCTCACGCCTGTAATCCCAGCACTTTGGGAGGCCGAGGTGGGAGGATCACGAGGTCAGGAGATGGAGACCATCCTGGCTAACACGGTGAAACCCCGTCTCTATTAAAAATACAAAAAAATTAGCCAGGCATGGTGGCAGGCACCTGTAGTCCCAGCTTCTCCGGAGGCTGAGGCAGGACAATGGTGTGAACCGTGAGGCGGAGCTTGCAGTGAGCCAAGATCACCCACTGCACTGCAGCCTGGGCAACAAGCAAGACTCCGTCTAAAAATAAATAAATAAGTAAATTGTTTGCTTAAGAATTCTTTCCATGTTCTGTGTGATAGGCAATTAATTGATCCTGAAATAGATTATTGAGGATTATCTAGTAGGGTTAATCTGAACACTGCCACCCTAAAACCGAGAGCTTTCTCAAGCTGGTGGCACAAGTCAGAGAGATTTGAAGAATAAGAAAGAATGAATGCACCATTGCTGATATATAAATGGAAGAAACTATATCAGAAAGAATGCGGATGACCATAAGGAGGTAAAAGATGTCCTTGTTTAAGAGTCTGCAAAGAAATGAGACAGGACATCAGTCCTACATCTGCAAGGAAATAGATTCTGGAATTTATGGTACTGTGATTGTGAGCCTAGAAGTGAATTCTTCACTAGGACCACAATCTAAAGTGTTCAACCCAGACATTATCTTGATTAACGCCTTATAACCTTGAGCATAAAACCCATATCAGTTCACTTGGACTTCTGACCTACAGAATTGTGAGATGATAAATGGATATTGTTTTAAGCTGTTTTATGGTAATTTGTTATGCAACAATAGAAAACTAATATATTCTGTGTAAAAGTTTCTGATTAGATATGTTTTGAAAATATATTATCTATGTCTGTGCCTTTTCATTTCAATCCTTTAAGAGAAAAACTCAGAAGGAAAGTTTTAATTTTGAAGAAGTCAAAGCCCTCATTTTATATGAATTATAATTTGGAGGTCATATCTAAGAGATTTTTACCAAACCTTCATTTGCCTTTTATGTTTTCTCTAGATCTTTTTCATAATTTTAGGAAACATATTTAAGTTTATTGCCAATTTTAAGTGAATTTTGGTTATTGTTAGAGACATCAGTCAAACTTTTTTCTTTTTCATGTACATATCCAATTATTTTATCACCATTATTGAAAAGAGTGTCCTTTCTCCACTGCTTGCATTTTTAAAGAGTCTTCATCAATCAGTTCTCTTAATCCATTTTCTGTTGCTATAACAGAACCTGAGACTGGGTAATTTACAAAGAAAATAGGTTTGTTTGGTTCATGGTTTTACAGGCTGGGAATTTCAAGCGCATGGCCCTGGCTTCTGGCAAGGGCTTTCATGCTGCATCATAACATATTGGAGACATTCAAAGGGGAACCAACCATGTACACATGAGAAGAAGGACCAAACAAGAGGAAAAACTCACTTTATAACAATCTTCTCTCTTGGAAACTAATCTATTCACAGACTTAATCCTGTCTTGGGAGTGTAAGAACTCATTTACTACTGTGAGACTAGCACCAAACCATTCATGAGGGATCTGCCTCCATGACCCAAACACCTCTCACTAGGCCCCACTTCCCAACACTGCCACACTGATGATCATATTTCAGCAAGAATTTTGGTGGGGAAATACAAACCATATCCCAACCATAGCAGTTGTCCCTGTATATATAAATCTATTTCTGGGTTCTCTATTCTATTGTTCTGAATATATGTGTATATAACATGTATACAATATATGTAATAGTCAATACCAAACTATTTGATTACCATAACTTTATACCATGTCTTGAAATCAACTGGTGCTGAACTTCTAACTTTACTTTTTATTTGCAAAGTTGTGTTAACTATTCTAGGTTCTTGACATTTCCACATTAATTGTAGAATTGGTTTGTTAATTTCTCCAAAAATTAGGCTAAAATGTTTATTGAGATTGCTCAAAATCTATATATAATTTACAGATAATAATGTCAAAAAATAAATATTCCTACAAATGATCAAGCTATATATCTCCATTTATTTATGTATTTTCAATTTGTCTTATTTGTAGATTTCAGCTATATGGGTATTACCCATCTTTTGCTATATGTATCCCTAAGTATTTCTTAATTTTTGAAGTGCTTGTATGTGATATTTTGAAATTTCAATTTCCAAGTTTTTGTTGCTCTTAATATAATTATGTACACGTGTTAACATTATATCCTAAAAACTTATCTAAACTCACTTAATATTTTAATTATTATTTTTTTAAATCCACTATATTTTCTATATAGAATAGTTTTTCAGCAGAATCACTATTGGGATTTGGACTGTATAATTATTTGTCGCAGGGGGCCATCCTGTGTATCATAGCATGTTTAGCACCATCCTGATCCTCTATATATTAGATGCCAAGAGCACCTCACTTGTGATAATTAAAAATAACTCCAGATATTGACATATATCTCCTGAGGAGCACTATCACTCCCAGGAGGAAACCAAAGATTTATCACATCATCTGCGAATAAAGGCAGTTTTCTAATTCTTTTCCAATCTGGATGTATTTATGTTCTTTCTTTTCTTTTCTTTCTTTTTCCTTCCTTCCTTCCTTCCTTCCTTCCTTCCTTCCTTCCTTCCTTCCTTCCTTCCTTCCTTCCCTCCTTCTTTCTTTCTTCTTCTCTCTCTCTCTCTCTCTTTTTTTGCGGTATTGCTTCAACAATGCATTCTAGTAGTATGTTCAATAGAAGCAGTAAGAAGGAATATGGAATATCATTGTCATGACCTTTATATTAAAGTGGATATATTCAGTCTTTTGCTAATTGAAATAATGTCAACTATATGTTTTATTAAATGCCCCTTTTATTAAATTCAGGTATCTTCTATACCTAAATTGTTGAGAATTTTAATCTGGAATAGATGCTGGATTTGGTCAAATTTTGTTGTTGTTGTTGTTGTTCCATTTTTTGAGATTTTCACATATTCTATTACTATTAAAGTTTTCCATTATTGTGAATTGCATTGATTAATCTTTTTAAATGTTAAACCAACTTTACATTTGTATGATCAACTTTACTTGGTCATAATGAGTTATCCATTTAATTTACAGCTGGATTTTATTTGCAAAATATTTTACTTAAAATGTTTACACTCATGTTGATGGGGAATAATAATCTGTAAGATGGTTTAAATAATATAATTGATTTTGGTGTTAAAGTAATACTGACTTCTTAGAATAAGTTAAAGTGTATTTCATCCTTTTCAATTGTGAGGAAGACTTTCTGTTATATTGCTTGATATTCTGTAGAACTAATCAGTGAAACTGTGTTGGCCTAGAATTTTCTTTGTGGGAAGGTTTTTAAGTACAAATTTAAGTTGTTTAATAGAAATAAGGCTACTCAGTTTATTTCCTAATTAGTGAATGACTTTGGTAATTTGTTTCTGTAAGGGAATTTCTTTATTTCATAATGTAGAATTACTGGCATATGGTTATTCATAGTGTTTCCTTATCCTTTTGACAGCTATAAAAATCTTCATTGATGTTAACTCTTTCATTCCTTACATTAGTAATTTTTGTTTTCTGACTTTTTTTCTCATCAACTTGGCCATGGGTTTATAAATTTTACTGAATATATGAAATAACCAGATTTGGGATTTTTTAATTTTCTCTATTGGCTTTTTGTTATCTATTTCATTGATTTCTGTTTTCATCTTCATTATTTAATTTCTTCTATTTGAGGTTAGGTTTACTTTTTTTCTAGATTCTTCTGCTGTAAGTGGAGATCATTGATGTAAAACCATTTTTCTTTTCTAGTATTGACGTTTACTTCCATAAATTTCCCACTACATCATCATTCTTTAGGGGCATCTCTCAATATTTTATGTGTGTTTTTACATTCTTTCAATTCAAAATGATTTCTAAATTCATTTTATCTCCTGTTCACCTTCATTAAATAAACAAATTTTGTAATTTTAAAAAATGTCTTATTTGACTCATGCATTATTTTTAAAAGTTGCTGGTTTGTTTCAAATTATTTGGAGATTTTTCCAGATATCTTTCTGTTATTGACTTCTAATATAACTTTATTATAGTGAAAGAACTATATTTTGTATGACTTAAATAATTTTTAACTTATTCAAACAGATTTTATGGCTCAGAATATTGTCTATTTTGGTAAAACTTTTTGTACACTTTGAAGACAGTAAATTATTTTGTTATTGGGTAGAGTGTTCTGCATGTGTCAATTAAGTTGGTTGATAGCATTATTTAACTCTTCCATATTCTTATTATTTTTGTCTCACTGATCAATTAAGAGGAGAGTATTAATATTTTTGGCCATACTTACAAATTTTTCTTTTTACATTTTACTTTTAAATTTTTCTTGGTTTTATGTCTAGCTTGAATTCTTTATATCTCTTGCTATTTTATCAAATCAGACAATCTCTAAATTGAAATTAAAAAGCTAGGACACTAACATTTCATGTCATTATTTATATTAGGTAAACCTATCATCATGTTATTTCTTTTCAAATTATTCCTGCTGAGGATGAGAGAGCTTGGTAAACAACACAGCAATTAATCAAATGCGGACTGTATTCTAGAACACATGCCTTAATTATTTCCTAACACAAATTCATAGTACTATGAAGTAGACAAGTATTATTCATGCATACAGTTGTTCATTCTACAAATGTTTATTGATCATCACACATTATCTTTATCTTTCAAGGTGATTATATCCAGTAGATAGTTGTAACAATCAAAAACTAACCAATTTTATGGGAGCAATTTTTACACTTGTCTCCACAAAACTACTATTCTTAGGCCTTTAACCTCCTGTACCACCACCAACTTGCTCTTTGTCAAAGCCTCCTACCCTCTCTATTAAGGACTTATGAGGTACCTTGGGCCTTTAATAAGCTACTGCATGTAAGATGCAGTGGGAAGAGGGCAGTATTGCATGCACAGAATATCTTGCATGGTACTCAGCAAGGTTCTGGGCCAAAGGGAATATCTTGCAGTTGAATTAACTTCAGGCTTATGTGCACATAACTATTTTCCTAAATTTTGGTTGTGCTTGGTCCACACTCTAAATTCCAAGTGATCATTTTTTCCTGTTTTGTTTTTTTTTTCTTTCCAGTGAAGACAAATTCTACAGATTTGAGGTAGTTCTTTTTCTTTTCTCTCTATTTATTTCATTTGTTAGAATTCTAATTTCTTGGAGTGCCTCCCTCAGATCTTCCTTTTTCATTCCCAAATGCCTTGGTTGTGTCTCAAAACAATGAATGCTAACTGATCCTTGTTCTTCTAATTCCTATATAAAAATATTATTTCTCTCTTACTAGTATGGTTGCCTCTTTTTAGGAGAAAAGTCACTTACAAGGGGGACAGAAATTGCTAAGATTAATATTCAAACTACAAAAAGTAGTTTTGGGGTCCAGTGAATGAATGTTGCCAAATGCATGTGTATATATGTATATATACACACACATATGTTCTATATATACACATATATATCATGTATATATTACATATATATGAAGAGATATATGAGATATATGAAGAGAGAGAGACTAGAATGAAGAGAGAGACTGGAATACGTACATATATATATGTATGTGTGTGTGTGTGTGTGTGTGTATATATATATATATATATAATGTTACATTACACAGTTATAATTCTAACCATACTTGCATGGGACTTGCTTCTAGGAATACTTCTTCACCCAATTTTTGGATGTACATTGAAAAGCTTATGTGCTTTAGCACCTCAAAATGGAAGGATGAAAGCTCTGTAGAATAACTAAAATGTGACATGATCACAGGCAGGAGGCAGTTAGCAGAAAACATTTACATTCATAAGGTTGCAAAATTGTAAGTGAAGATCTAGTTCTCATTAATGCCTAGTTAAAATGGCAGTTCTCATCAGAAACTGACAATGCAGCACACAAAATTATAAACATAGAATTTTTTTGTTTTGATTAGCATACCTGCAATTAAAATAATCAGAATCTGTGTTTGTAAGGTACCAACCAGATTATGTTTGTTTGTAAATAGCTTACACATCAAACAATACATAATGAATACCACATGATGTGAGGCTGAATTATCTTTCTACTATCTCTTTAGAAAATTATATTCTAATTATGATATGAAGACACAATTAGAGATTCCACCCGTAAAGCACAGTAAAAAATACTACAGAATAATGCAAGCAGTTAACCAATAATATTGTCTTGTTTTTCTGTATTTTGTGATGCCTTTAGAATTTGCAAGTTTTTAAACATTTATAATCTGTTATGATTTGTTTGTTCATTCTAAATTACTATTATGTTCACATATAATTTTATTTTCAATATTTTTGTGTTCTATATTATTTTAAAAAGATTTGCAATGCCTGACTCCACCCTGACTATACATCAAAAGCTGACTCCACCCTGACTATACATCAAAAGCCTACACAGAAATGGAAGAGCATTAGGAAATGGTCTTTTAAAGCTAGTGCAAAGCCAGATTCTGGTGGACTTTTAGGCAATAGGAAGAATTGAAATTGTATCTTTACTGTGTACCAGGCTTGTATCAAAAAAATATGTTACTCTGGTTCCTGTGTGAAGAGGAGATTAGAGAAAGGAAGCCAGAATAAAATCAGATATGAGCTGGAAATCAATTTTATTATTCAGGCTTAAACTGATGGTGGCTCAGTCGAGAATTTCATGGGTAGGCAAAAGACACTGAAAAGCTTAGAGAATGTGTAAAAACAAAGTGCTGTATGCAACAGTAGTTTCTTTTGTGTGTTTTGTTGTTATTGTTGTTGTTGTTTCTTTGTAATACATTAACTGTTGGGAATACAAAGAAAGAGAAAATGATTTATGTCTCATGGGTATTTGTCTCAAGGCTCTGGGTAAATGGTTGCTACACTTACTAATAAAGAAGAAATAAAACTAAAAGAAATGTGTAGAGCTTGTGCAAAGGTACAGTATAAACAATAAAAGGAAAAAAAGAAACGGCCCAAATGGTTTACAGACATTAAAAATTCAAAGGCTAAGGTTCACAAGAAATGGAGTGCATTCAATAACATCAAATTTTGTTGAGATTTTGACATCAATGAAGACAGAGATGTATTTATTGGATTTAAAAATAAAGTTACTTTGGCATGAACACATGTACTATTCTGGAGGGGTTAGAGCCTTTTGCTGGATTGGAGTGAGTTGAAGAGTACAATGTGAGGAGGTGGTTCTTTACAAGAAATACTATCAAGAAGTGTTTATTGAAGGTGGGCAGAGAAAAGAGTAAATATAGAGTGAATTATAGTCTCTATAAGCAAATGAATGATGTAGCTAGTGTAGCTCATTATTATTAGAATAGAGAAATTAATTTCTCTTGAGAATAAAAAGAAATACGAATATTTCATGATTCAGGAGAGAGAACAATACCAGAAGTTTAACTGATGAATTTTGTAATTTGGATTCCTCCAGCAGCCACCCATGAAAAAATAAATCAAGTGTAAGTAGTTTATTTTGGAGGTACAGAAATACTAGTAGGGCAGTCAGAAATTAAAACTGGAAAGAGAAGTCAGCTAATTAGGTTGTGTTATCAGGCCAGCCAGCATCATAAGAAATAGCATAGAACACATATTTGTTACTCCATCTGAAAGACAGGAATCTGGGATAAATTTATTTGAGACCTTCTCCCAGATTGAATGCCAGGCTCTGATGACATCCAGTAGCCTTCCCTAGAGAAAGGCCTTAAGCAGACATAGAGATAGTGGCAGCTGGACATTGTCCAGGACATCAGAATTATGAAAGCCTGAGGGCTGTAGATGGAGCACCTGTAACATCGTACACATCCAAAGCATGTAAGTTATAAAATTGAGTCTTATATTAATAAATTCCAGGTTAAAGCACATATTTTTACTTAAGAATGTAAATGTTACATTTTTTTATATGTTGTCTCATTTGAACAACTTTTAAATAATTTTTACAGTAATGAAAACAAACTAAAAGTGTCATATTTAAATGGTTTCCCTCAGTAGAATGTTTGGACAGAACAGATTGAAGAAGAAAAGCATTGGTTATTCATATAAATGGAAAAACAATTTGCCATTCATTTTAGATTTTGATATGGGTTGACATTTGGAATTTATTAAATCAGTTTTGTCATTTTCCTAATGCAATGCCTGATGTTGAAGCTACACGTGACAAAACTGGAAGAGACAGGAAATCTTCCTTTGTTCCATTGAAATTAATAATAATAATAAAAATAAACCTTTTAGATAAAATGACTCTAATTCTATGGTCATTAATGCTTGAACTGAAGAAATGTTTAAGCAGAAATTATTTTGTAAACTCTAGCTTTGGGGAAAGGAATACACTGATTATATTCACAGTTAGAATGGTTTTGCTCAGCATAAAACAATCAACTAACTCAATTCACAGAAATATAAAAGGTGAAAGCTACAGTTTTAAATATTAATTCCATCCACTGAAAAGATAACAGTGCTTTTTAACAGTGCTTCTTTAAACTGTTATATCACTGTCCCAGTTGGTGGTTGATGATTCTGACAAACTGTGATGCTAGTTACTTAACAAAGCCCATAGCTTTCAAGCTGCTATACAACAGTGATTTTCTGATATGCTTGCTATGAGTATAAGGTTTTATTCCAATAATGTTATCTGGAAACTCTGACACCCCTGTAGTCTTAGAGAAGAATATGACAGTCACTAGGCCCACTGAGAATCACTTTGTTTAAAATATTAAATATCAGTGTCTGTTGAAAGAAAATGAGATGACTATTTAGATGGCTGAAAATTATTAGGAATCTCTTCCATACCTTAAAAAAACTAAAGAAAATTGGTTTACATTAAGAATAATAACATTTTTACTTAAATCTTATTCTATTTAGATTTCTACTATGATAGGCAAATGTTTCATGCTATAGCTATAAGCATCCCTCAAATATTTAAAAGTTTGCAAATTTATTTTTACTTCTTGGCCTTTTTTCATCATTTAATATCTTGTTAGATAATATTTACTATTTTGATTAAATAATAAATTCTATTCTTTCTCATTAAGCTAACAGTCATGAATAAACAAGAAACAGTAGTCTACTGCTTAGAAAAGGGCAAGAATGTAAATGTGGTCTTCATAATATAGCTGTGAGAGAATAGCCGACAGCTAAGAGACAATGTGTTAAGTTCAAGGACTCATCAAGGAAAATAAATGACCATGAGAAAACAATGTTGAACAAGCTTTATTGGGTGTCCAACCACTTGGGAAGGGTTTCATGAAAGAGGAAGTCATTCTCAGTAGGTGGCTTTCCAAAGATTGAAGTGCAGGGCTATCTCACAGAAACAGAAAAGGCAAGGGAACTACCAGGGAACAGAAGAATTAGTGGGAACTTATATGTCTAGGCAATGTTGCTCAAGGTAGGGAGTCTGAATCAGAGAGCTCGGAAGGACAACAGCAGGTTAAGGACTTGCCTAGTTATAGGGTGGGTCTTTTCTGTAGTTAGGGGAGAACTTATAAACAGTATGGAAATCAGACAAGCTCTAAATGGCTAAAACTTTGTTGATATTAACTATTTTTCAAATAATTGGGTGTTGAAAATTAGAATTTTCTGCCTGATATGGTTTGGCTCTTTGTTCCCACCAAAATGTCAACTTGAACTGTAATACCCGTGAGAGAGGGACCTGGTGGGAAGTAATTGTATTATGGGGATGGTTCCTCCATGCTGTTTTCATGAGTGAGTGAGTTCTCACAAGAGCTTATGATTTTAAAAGTGTTTGGCAGTTCTCAATTTGCTCTTCTCTCTCTCTACTGCTGCTTTGTGAAGAAGGTGCTTGCTTTCCCTTCACCTACAGCCATGATTGTAAGTTTCCTGAGGCTTCCCCAGCCATGCAGAACTGTGAGTCAATTAAACGTTTTTTGTTTATAAATTACTCAGTCTCAGGTAATATCTTTATAGCTGTGTGAGAATGAACTAATACACTGCCTCAAATTAAATCTTTGAGCCAATGATCCTAGCTTGTTATGAAGAAGTAAAAAACATAGGGGCCAATACAGAGGTGCCATTTTTAGCTCATTTATATATAAATCCATTTTCTTTAGCTCCAAATCATTTAAGAATCCAAGTTGTATTGTATTTCATAATATCTGAATTTGCAGCCAGTGATACAGCATCCTAAAGACAAAGAATCCTACAAGGGAGCACAGCAGGATTTCAAAGACTCTTCACAGCTAGCCTGCCCTCAGAGAAAGTCAGAAGAGTAGATCAGAAAATAAGAAGACTTTAATTTGCTCCGTCTGCTTGGTTAATAGTGTGACATTATTTGGTACATGTCACTCGCTATCCAAAAAACTTGCTGAGTGTTATCTACCTAAGTACAGCAAGATATGTTAGCAAGTGCACAGACCTCCCATTAAGAAGTCAATAGTAACTTAGGGGCTATGTGGTTATAGCCCTTAAAATATGAGGAGATTAAGTCCTTGGGCCATTTCTTTAATTTATATGGATAATTCCTTGGATATGACTATTTGTGTTTCTTTTCACTTTTGTGTAATGTCTTGCACATATGACGTCATCACTGCCTCAAGAATTATTGTCCCTAGGGTGGTTAGTACAAGGGGACAATTAGGAAAGATTTTTTTGTATGGCATTAGAGAGTTGCAGCCAGTATGGTTTTGAGGGACAAGTATTTGGGGAGGGTTTCTACTTTACGAAAATCAACTGGAATTTCCAGCCTGGCCAAGGAATTTTGACCAAACACAATGAATGTAGGATATGTTGCCAAAGCTCAGACTAGGGGAAGCTTATGATAGAGGAAGCCATTTGACTTCCATACAGGTCAACAAATCTCTCTGCTGTTTGTATTCTCTGCATTCCTATGAAGATAAATTTGTATTGTTTAGTGTTATTCTAAGTCATGCTAATAGGGGAACATAATAATATAGTCAAAGAAACTTGGTTGTTATCTGCCTTGCATACAGAACCTAGGCCAAATAAATTGGTTATAAACTCAGCCCACTATTTCCCATGTATTTATGGGAGATTAGCCTCTGGTTATTGTTCTTGGATGTCAGTGATTAGGACAAGAAGCTTATTTTGATCAATGAGATTTACAGGGTGGATTGGCCAGAGGATAGGTATTATGCTATGTGTATCAAATTCAGGTTGGAAATATTCTGTTTCTGTAGTATGCAATACGGTAGTCACAGCCACATAGGGCTATTGAAAAATAATTGACATCTTTACTATGTTTATTCTTTCAAATTACAAACATGGTATGTCTCCCTATGTAGAAAGATGACTTTTATTCCTTTCATCAACACTTTGCAATATTCATGGTAAGTTTTTTCATTCATGGTTTGTTTTGTTTTGTGTTACACAAAATATTTTGGTTTCTTTTTAAGAAGTGTGAATAACATTGTGTTTCCATCTGAAATTTGGTTTCCACTTGTTAGTTGCCAGTGTGAGGACATTTTATTTATTTTTATAAGTTGATTGTTTAACTTGTGTCATTGCTGGACTTATTTATTAGTACAGAAGAATTATTTATAGATTTGCTGAAATTTTCAATGTAGAAAATTGTGTTGTATGCAAAAAAAATCTGGTTGTATTTTTCACTTCCAATATATGTGCTTTTCAAAATGTCTTTTGTTCTTTTCCAGTGACTAGAAGTTCCAGAACTATTTTGAATAGGAGCGAACATGCTTGCCTTGTTCTTGAACTTAGGGGAAAAGCATTAGGTCTCTCAATGGTAAGTAAGCTATAAAAAACAGGTGTATTTAGATGCTCTCTATCAAGTTTATATGGTTTCTCTCTATTTTCAGTTTCTTGAGGGTTTTGTTGATTGGATTTTGTGAAATGCTATTTTTTAGCCAATTGATATAATCTTATAATTTTTCTGTCTTAGCTTGTTGCTAGGGTTAATTATATTCATTAGTTTTCTAATGTTGAAATAGCCTTGCATACCCGCAATACACTCCAATTGTCATTGCATATAAATTATACATTGCTGAATTTGATTTGCTAATATTTTCTTAATGAATTATGCATGGAGGTTTGTGACTGGTATTGGTCTGCAGTTTTATTTTTTTAAATAATGATTTGCTTAGTTTTGGTATTGGGGTAATAACAGGCTCATAACCAGAGATGGGCAGTATTTCTCTTTATTTTATGTTTTTGAAAAAATATTGTGTAAACTTGGTATTAATTTTTTTTTTAATGTTTGATGAAATTCTCAAGTTAAAACTTTTGGGCCTGGACATTTCTTTTTTGGGACCTTATTTTGTGAAGGATAATTTTGATAGCTATAACGTGTATATTTTCCTCAGGATCACGAAAATGGCACTCTAATTTTCTGGCTTTTATCCTAGTTTTTATTTTTTTGATAAGTCAGCTATCAAGCTATCTTTTCTTCTCCAAATATGACTTGTCAGATATTTTAATGGTTTGTATTTTTCTAATTATGAATTTACATACTTTCTAAAACCCAAATCATATGTTCTTATGTCTTATAACTAATGGTATTTACTGAAAAACATTGAATATACTAATTAATTAGAATATACTTAGTATCCCTAGTGAATTTCTATGTTTAGAGAGAAGAGTCTAAATTAAGATAGGTTCCTTTCATTGTATTCTGTCTTCACAATTCCTTTTTTAAAATTGTGAACTTGCGTGTTAAATATATAAGGTTAATTTTATGATTTTGATATTCAAAATCACACTTAAGTAATTGAGAATTATATATGTAAATGAATGTTCATATATCATAACATCTTACATTTGTCATGGCACATTTATAAGTTTTATTTTTATGTGAGAATTTCTTAGAGAGGTCACCAAGAAAATAGTGTTCAATTGAAACACAGTTGGTGAGCGGTAAAAAAATAGTAATGAAATTTATCACCATATGGATTCTTCTTTAAAAATGGTGGCAAAGAAGAACACTTGAGGAGTTTATGTAAGAGTACATCATTGCAATCATTTAGATGTGTGGTTGTGTGTATGTGTGTGCATGTGCACACGTGCACACACATATTTGTAAAAATAACTCAAAATAATGCTGAAACTGAAGTGAAGCCATTATATATTATAAGAGAGAAGGAGTCATAGAATAATTCAGGCAAGAAATAACAGGTGATTTTGATTTTATGATTATATATGCAAAGTAAGAAATGTGGCGGCTAAGCTGTTCTTACATATCAACTATTTTTTATGAATGTCATTATCATTTTGACATGTGTTAATATACCCCATTTTACAAGAAGAGGTGTTAATCATATTGATATTGGATTAATTTTTTACATTATTTAAAATGTTTTTAGTGCCTTCCATTCAAACAATGTAGATGTATCTTTTGTCAAAATTTTCCTCAGCATTAATTTCAACGTTTACTTGTGTAATATCTGTCAATTTTATAATAAATTTATTCATAAGTAGTTTTATTTTTTCTTGCTAATACAGTTTAGGTGATTACTTTAAATATAAACTTTAATATTCTATTAATATATAATATCACTAATTTTCCTATTTAATTGCATAAGAAATTGTTACCAAATTCTATTATATTTTGTAATAAATTTTTAATCACACTTTTTTTCTAAGCATGAAATGATGTCATATTTCTTTTTTCTACATAATTTCTGTTTAAATCTGGAAGACTGGAGTTAAAGGAAGTAACTTAAAAATATTTATTATTTGAAGGCATGGACAAGATTTAAAGATATTGTCACTATTTAAAGGGGAAGGCTGGAATGTACAACTTCTTTTCATTCTATTTATTGTTATTTTTATTGGTACATCACATGGAAATACCTGTGATATTTCGGTACATACATACAATATGTAATGATTAAATGAGTATGATTGGAATATCCAGACATCACCTTAAACATTTATTATAGCTTTGTGTTAGGAACATTACAAGTTATCTCTTCTGGCTGACTTGAAATCAACAATAAAAAAACAATTCTAGCAAACTGAATCCAACATCACATAGAAAATACCATTTAGCTTGATCAAGTGGTATTAATCTTATGTATGCAATAATAATTTAGCATATGAAAATCAATAAATGTGGTACATTTATAGATGTTGAAAAAACATCTATCGATGTTGGTAAATTAATATTGTTAAAATATATTTACTATCCAAAGTGATATATAGATTCAATGCAATCTCTCTCAAAACAGCAATGACATTTTCATAGTAATAGAAAAAAATTATAAAAGTTGTATAATACTGCAAAAGAGTACAACTAGACAAAGCAATTCTGGCCTTGCAGAATAAGTTTGGTAATATTCCATCTTCCTCTTTTTTTGAGTAGAATTGGTATCAATTCTTCTTTAAATGTTCAATAGAATTCAGAAGTAAATTTATCAGGCCCTAAACTTTGTTGATGCCAGGATTTTCATTACTGCTTTGATCTTGTTACTCATTATTGAAGAATGAAATAAAACTCTGCAGTTTGTATACTTCTTCATGGTACAATCTTGGTAAGCTCTATGTGTTCAGAAAGTTATACCCTTCTAGATTTTCCAATTTGTGAGCATATAATTTATAGTAGTGTCTAATGATTCTTTGTATTTCTGTGGTATCAGTTGCTCCCCTTTTTTGCTGATTTTATTTATTTTGGTCTTCTCTCTTTTTCTCTTAGTTAATCTACCTAAAAGTTTGTTAATTTTGTTCATCTTTTCAAAAAAGAAAAAAATTCTATGGGAGCTAAAAAAAAGCTGATCTCATTGAGGTGTAGAATAGAAAAGTTGTTAACAGAGGCAGTGAAAGATAGGGAGAAAAGGGGATGAGAGAGGTTAGTTCATTGGTGTCAGAATAGAGTGACATCAAAGGAATAAAGTGTTCAATAGCACAGTAGGGTGGCCATAGTTGAAAAGAGCAAAAAGAACCAAACTGGAAAAATCACAGTACTTGACTTCAAAATATACTACAAAACTATAGTAACCAAAACAGCATAGTACTGACATAAAACAGAAACTTATACCAATGGAACAGAATTGAGAACCCAGAGATAATATCTATACATTGACAGCCAACTTATTTTCAAAGAAGCCAGCAAGAACATTCATTGGGGAAAAGGACAGTCTCTTTAATAAATGGTGCTGGTAAAACTGTATATCCATATGCAGAAGAAAAGTGCATTCCTATTTCTTGTCATATACAAAAATAAATTCATAAGGAATTAAAAACTTATGTGTACGGCCTGAAACTATGAAACTACTAGGAGAAAACTGGGGAAATGCTTCAGAGCATTGATCTGTGCAAAGAATTTTTTTAATTAAGACCTCCAAAAACACAGTCAACAAAAGCAAAAATAGACAAATGGGATTAAATTAAGCTAAAAAGCTTCCACACTGCAAAGGAAAAAATCCACAGAGTGAAGAAACAACCTGTAGAATAAAAGAAAATATTAGCAAGCTATCCATCCAAAGAGGGATTGGTAAACAGAATCTATAAAAAACTAAAACAACTCAATGGTTAAAAAAAATAACCTGATTAAAAACAGACAAAAGATTTGAATAGACATTTCTCAGAAGAAGACATACAATTGATGAACAGGTATATGAAAAAAATGCTCAACATCACTAATCATCAGGGAAACACCAACCAAAACCACAATAAAATATCATCTTACCCCAGTTAAAATGGCTATCAAAAAGACAAAAATAACAGTTACTGGCAGGGATGTGAAGAAAAGTGTACACTCATACACTGCTGGTGGGAATGTGAATTACTACAGCCACTATGAAAAACAATATGGAAGCTCTGTAAAAGACAAAATGCATACGTTTTGAGGGAGAGAAAGACTAAAAGTTACACAGAGCATCCTTTGTAACTAAGACGGTGTATTAGTCTGTTCTCACTCTGCTAATAAATACATACCCAAGACTGGGTAATTTATAAAGGAAAGACCTTTAATTCATTCACAGTTCAACATGTCTGGAGAGGCCTCAGGAAACTTACAATCATGGCAGACGGTGAAGCAAGCATGTCCTTCTTCACACGGTGGCAGCAAAGAGAAGTGCTGAGCAAAAGGGGGAAATCCCCTTATAAAACCATCAGATTTCATGAAAACTCATTCACTATCATAAGAACAGGATGAGGGCAACTGCCTCCATGATTAAATTACCCCCCACTGGAACCCTCCCACGACACGTGGGGATTATGGGAACTACAAATCAAGATGAGATCTGGGTGGGGACACAGCCAAACCATATGAGATGGGGAAAAAAGTAAAACAAAATGTTAGGATCCTGCAAAACAAGAGTACCACAAAATCAGATAATTCAAATCTCCAAACTCATCATCTAATATTAATATTTTTAGTCTGGGTCTAATTGTATTATCAAGTTAATCTTTACATTTTATAATGTTAATAAAATGATGCCTTATTTGCATCTCCATTGAGCTCAATCATACTTAGGAAACATTTGAAATTAAAATTTAATACACCTTCATAACTTTTACAAAAACAGATAATATTTTACTTAGTACTGAAAAAATAATTTGAAAATAATGGGAGAAACAGACTAATTAATTACATGTAAAACTTAGTATCTTCCATGGTAATCCATAACATTTTTATTTTAAATCCGTAATAAAATTTCAATAATTTATTTTTGAAATTTATGAAAATATTATAAACTTTATCTGAATGAACAGGTACAATAAAAAGTCAAAAACTGCTTTTGAATAAAGAATAATAAAAAGAAATGTGTCCTGTAATTAAAATAGAACAACAAATTCATGCAGGATCAGGTTGAATTCCAGAGTAGACAAATAAATATTAATAATAAAATGCAAGAAATTTCAAATGTTCATATGAACTTAGCACAATATAAACACTACACCTAATATTACCCAATCTAGGTTTCTGAGTTTAATAGTGAGTTGACTCCTTTAGATGGATTTTATCCCAAAACACAGGCTTTGTCATAAGGTTTACCATTTTCCTATCTTTAACATAGCAGCATCCATGTTAGCACAGCATTTGTCTGTTTTACTATCCACAGTACATCCAAACATCATAAGAATGTCATGCACATTTTAAGAGTTAGTATCAGTGAGGCAAGGATGGAGATAAAAAGTCAGAGAAATATTCAAAAGTGGGTTAAAACACTTGAGGGGAATTAATACGTGTTGGTGTTTGAATCAAGCATTACATTTTAAAAAATCCAGTGAAGACCTAATTACATAACATATTCAAGCTTTATACTTAAAATGTTTTTGTTGTATTTTTAAGATGCCTTTTTGTATTTTAAGCAGTAAAAATTAATTAGTAAAATTATGAGTGACAAAATATACTCAGTGTTAAGAGTGATATTAAAATATTAGTAAGAGGATTATCAGTATTGACAGAACAATGGAAGCAGAGTCCAAATTTATGCAATCGTATCTAGAAGATATAAAGTCATGTAACTAAAAAAATATGCCTGAGTTTTTCTAATAAATTTGTCTTCTAGAACTTTGCAGAACTACAGATGATTTAGTTTATGCATTCTGAATAAATGGACTCAGTGGATTCAGTGTTTAGAAGAGAATGTTTATTTAAATCTGGAAGTCAGGGCTTTCTATCTATTTTTTTCCTCATCTGAAAGTTTGCCTTTTCTAGGAAAAGCAATTGGTTCTTTAAGATAACATAGGCATGCAGATTGAAATCATATTTAGAGAGTCCTGTTTAAACTATAAAAAGATGTGCTGTATAAGCTCAAATCCAAAGTTATTAGAAGTAAAAAAGAGAATTACATGAAATCATTTAGTAAAGATGCAACAGCATAATTTAATGTCATGAAAATGAATTAGGTTCTATTTTAGTTGGCATTAGTTGTATATTCTACTGATGTTTTCTTATTTAAAACATTTTCTTACTGATTACTTTTAATTACTTAGGTATTTCAGAATGTTATTGGATACCAGAGCTGAGCTAAAATAACAGAAAAAAAAAGTCATCAGTAAATATTTTTAAAAATTTCTTAAAACATATTTTCTAACTTCATGGGAATGGAAAAAAACTATGTTTATTTTCAGAATGAAACTCTCATATAGTATGTGATAAACATAGGGAGTAATAACCTCAAACTGGAAAATAATACTGATAGATATATTTTAAGTATTCAGATATCAAATTACTGGACTTATGTAATTCTGATACCATTCAAAATAGAGTATTTATGGAGACAATAAAAATGCTTCCTACATACAATAAATTATGCACACCAAGGCAGTTGCTTCTGACCTTTCATTCTGTTTGAGAAAAGATTTGGACAGATTACTTAATCTCTATGAATTTATATTCTCATTTGTAAAATCAGTGCAGTATATAACAGTTATATAAATGCTATCAGCAGGCATTTTTTGTTACTTCTTTTATCTTCTTGTGGATGAACTGTATTAAGCCATGATGTTTACCTAATGAGTCTTTTTACTTCTTTATAATAATGTACTTTGCTTCCAATTTTTCTTTAAAGTTTAAAATTTTTACTTTATTTTTTATACATAGTTGACTTCTCTAGTAGCATATATCGTTAAATAAAATTTCTCTTCCTGAAGTATGTTATTAGCCTATATTATTATTCTTGACTGTATCACTTTATTTTTTAATCCAGTTCCTTCATATATACTGTTCTATGTTTTTTTTAACTTCTTTATGTATGTTTTTCTCTATATCCCCCCTCCTCTTCCCTAACCCCATTCCTTCATTTTCTCTTTCTCTTATGAAAAGCCTTGAAGAATTTTTCACATGCCTGTAGTTTGTTTAAAATATCATTTTAGCCAGTTAATATTAATATTTTATGTTAATAATAGCAACTATTTGTATTTTAATATTTATTTTTCTTATTTTTTCTACATACATAGTGTTTCTAGTGTTCTTCATTTTTATTCATGTACTATTCCAAAAACTTTTTCTCTCCAGTTTGATGTATCTTGTAATCTCAAATTCCGCAAGGTCTTTAGATAAAATTGTTTCTAAATCCTGGAGTCTAATAAAATATATTCTGCTTAGGGCATTTGATGGGTCTACAAATTGCCAGACTCATTTATTTCTTGAACTCAAAGATTGATATTTAATATGTGTTTGAGTAAACAAACTAATCAACTTTGCAAACTAAATGAAAATGTCTGTTCTCTTCTATACCTTGAAAAATAATAATTAATATTCTTTATTTGAAAACTCCAAAGTCTTATAAGATTTAAGAAAACTGCAACACGAAGCTTTGTGTTTTTTTCTTATACATTTAATTGAATTTATTTAAATAATTCATTTTACATTTGATTTACATTGGCCTTAGCTCTCCTGTATTTGTTTAAAAGAAAAAAAAAATTACCTTTTCAGGATCACATATGATGAGGAGGAGGGAGAGAAAGTAAACTTACATTTTTACAGCAAGTAATTTGCAAATGCAGAGTATATATTAGAAAGTGCCTTAGTAGGCATACACAATTGTTTTAAGAGAAGTCATTCTGCATATTAAAGCACCAGCATTAGCAAAAAGGACACAAGGGAGCAAGAGTGTCTGGCTGGTGATAATGAAGTGGAGCTCCATACTTAATCTTTTCAAATTATTTTTTTAGGAAGAAGACAACTGAATGAATAAAGAATAATCCAGCTGGGGCTGTGTTCTTGTCAAAATATAAAGGGAAATGTTGAAGCTGATAGCTTAAAATATGTTGTGCACCGTTTCTCTATTTTCTAGTTATTGTTTGGGGACCCTAGTTTTTATAAGGGCTAATTAACATTATAGTCCTAGGGACTAGTCCTTTTTGCCAAAAAAGAGACTGAGATTCAAATAAGTTATATAAATTATGCATTTTCCACCCTCATTGCACACATTTTTTCCTTAGCATTTATTTTCAACCCGTTACTTATATTAAGATGTTTTGATTGTATTAAAAGGAAAAAGTTGTCACTTTGAGAAAATTCTTATTCTTTTATTAATGTGAATATATATCTTTTCTTTGTATTTATCATTATTTTAATTGCTGTAGCATACTGTAATGCCATTGATGGACATCAAGGATAAAATACACTTCATTTTAACATTTATTCTGTGGCACTTAAGTATAATAAATTATGTATATGTTACTTTATTACTTTTAATACCAATAGGTAATATGTGGTGTAATCTTACTTTTCCTGAAGTAAGCTGCCATATTCTCATGGAAATCACTTAAATTTGTTACTGGAAGTAATGATGACAAGCATGATTGAGATGGTACTAATTATTATAAATTGAGAATTATTCCTGAGACTATTCCATGTGACCCACTTGTACCTTACCAGTTAATCTTCTCCACAACCATGTGTATTATGTACTAATAATATCTCTTTTTATGCAGGTAAAGTTACTGAATCATAAGTTTTAATTCGTTTTACTCACCCCTCATAGATGATGGAGTTTAGACTTAAACCATGTTGATGTAATCACCAACACTGAACTCTCACTCAGGATGGAAAAGTGGTGAAATCTACATCTGGGGATTGGGAAATCCATGGTTAAAAGATCAAACCACACTACTCGAATGGTCTGAGAGTGTTCTTAACATTAATAGAAGGATAGGGTTCATTTTCAAGGAGACAACAGATCAGAATTATCAACAATCAGATAAATAGAGATGATTTCACACTAAACAATTACCTTACTCTAATAAAAGTGCCTTAAGGCAGAGACCTTTTTTAATCCCTAGAATATTACCTGTTGAGTGGCAGATAGACCACCCTACAAATTTCTGCTAAAGGAATACATATCACAACATCTTTACCAAACAAATACGTATAAGCCAGAAATGTAGCTAATTTCCCTGTCTTTGCTAGTTAGTCATGAATTCCAACAAGTTAATATGTGGATGACTTGGTACGTGTAAAACCATAAAAAATAGCCCTAAGTTTTGTGCTGGAGAGGCAAAATTAAAATTATCCAGAGTTGTATACTTCATCATATCTTTATTAAAAATAATTCAAATGATATATAACATTTACAGGAAAGTCATAGCACTTCATGGTCAAACTTCTTCTAAAATACAGATTTTTTTTTCTCTTAGTTGAATATGTTGGGAGAAAACATGAAGAGATTTGTATAGTCCTGGATGAGTGAAGGAATTTAGAAGAGTGATTTATTTTCATGGAGAAATTCACTATGAAAAAAATTATTAGGTTACCTTATTCCTTTGAGTAACACAGGTTCAGGAAATAATCTTGCCAGCAAAAGACTCTTCTGGATCAATGTAGAAAAGAGAGAAGAAACAATTTAATATTGGCATATACATTTGGGGTGACATAAAGTGACTATGAAGTCTGAACAGAATTTTACACAAATATATACAGTAAAGTAAAAGAAGGAACAATTAAAATTTCTATCTACTTGAGATACAAACGGCCATGCCTTGTGATTATCTCCTTTATCCTGTAAGAGAAACCTAAGTGTTTCTAGTTCCAAGTGTCAAAAGACTTGCAATGTTGCATTGCAAAATAAAAAGACCAGGCCTTTATTGGGCCTATTGCATTATAAAGGAGACACGCTAAGGAAGACAGGGCAGGGAGGAATTCTTTCTCTCCTCAAAGGAGATTCTATCATTTTATCTTTGTGTATGTTTTTATTACAGCTCTTCAAATGCAGGCAAAGATTTGTTCTTATCAAGCATGTTCTCATATAGGCAGCCACATCAATGACACAGGACAGAAAAAACACAATTAGCTTTGCTAGGAGAGGTGATGGTGAACAGGACAAGAGAGGAAGAACACCAGGGTAATGCTGATGATTGCATTGGACAAAACTTCTGGTGATGCCAAAGTAACTTTTTACCACATTCTTCAGGAGACAGGAATCCTGCATAAACTAGAGATAAACAGAGTTAAGAAATTTAGGGTTATAACTACATTCATATTTTTTTAGGCATTTAACAAGGTTTGTGAGTGTGCAATATTTCAAAAAAACACACACAAATGCACATACAGATATAATCTGGCTCCTTTAGGACGGGAAAGGAAGACTTAATTCAATATAAATTTGAGACTTGGTTCTATGTGGCACGTTATCTATTCATTTCACATGTTTAAAAATATTTGGTATTTCACTATGATATCGCCAATATTGCCAAAAATATTAAGAATAAGATTTGTAAGTAAACAATCAAACAATCAATTAAGATTTAAATGCCCGGACATTTTCTGAAAGTTATAGAGTTTTGAAAGATAATTTTTTTTGAAAGTATCCTATTATTTATTTTAATTTAATTGATTTACTTATTAAACTTTAACTTTTATTTTAGATTCAAGAGGTACAGGGGCAGGTGTGTTGCATGATGCTGGGGTTTGGGTTACAACTGATCTCATTATCTAGGTAGTAAGCATAGGATCTAACAAATAGGCATAATAGTTTTTCAACACTTCCCCTTCATTCTCTCTACACTGGGTATACATGGACATAGGGAACGATAGACATTGAAAGATAATATTTTGAAGTTAACTGAAAATATACTTGTTTCAAATTACTAAACTGTATGAAGAATTAAGTTATATATTAGTTATATTATTCTGAAGCTCTTACTATGTACTTTTACCCTAATAACTAAGTCAAACATCAGACATTATAGAAAAGTGATGAACTGGTAGAAATTTTATTAACTTCAATCAAGTTTAGAGAAAAATTTAACCATTGAAAATAGTTTTATACCTGTACTTCATTTGTTAATTCCAATACTACAGTTGACAAGACATGTTAATTATATTTTCTCCTGCTGGTATTTCCTAGGTAACCAATATGTTAGCAAATATAATTAAAACTCTGTACAATAATTGTATTATTTTAACATCTATACTAGAAGTTCTGAATTTCTTTTCTATTCTAAAGGAGAATGGGATGCAGAGAGCAAAGATGATCAAATGAAGGATATTAGATGGGAGCCAAAAAACAGATAATGCTAGTGGAGGAACATTTATTTCTGCTATGGTCTCCAACAGCATTTTTTGATTGTCATTAAAAAATAATGCATTAATGCTTATGGAAATTTTTTCAGAATATTAGTAATTTTAATTTTTGTGTGTGTATGTGTGTTTCCATATGTGTGATCTCATGTTTAGACTAACACAGTTTTTTTCAAAAGGCACTACAAATGGAATGGAAGCAGAAACCCAAAAGGAAGAAAGACTATAAAGTATATAAGCCTCTCTTAATTGAATTTCAACTTTTGTCAACATTTTTAGGGATATTTGGAAGTGCTTACATTTCTAAAGTTCATAGAATTGTGGAATTCAAATCAAGGACAGGGAGGCCCACCTGACATTTAAGTAACTTAAGGAATTGAATAAAATAAGTGGTGAAAAATAATAATTATATATATTTTCCTTACTATAAAGTTAGATTATTTTATATCTAGAGATTTGTCAAGTATCACTTTGCAATAGAACATGGAGTCTAAAAGAGATTTTGGTTAGTGCATGTGTGTTTCTGTTGTTTTCATATTTTGAATTGTGCAACTTTAGGCATATTATTTGATATTTCTTAATCTTAGTTCCCTCATCTGAGAAACACCTAAACTTCAAAGAGTTTGATGAGAGTTTAAGTATATAAGGCATTTAAGCACACAGAAAATTGCTGGCATATACCAAACTTCCAACATAGGGTTACTGTTGTCATTGATATAGGAATGCTCAAATTAAAATGTTCTCACTCACTTTCCACTTTAACTTACAAACAATGCTGCTTATCTTATGCATTAACTGATAACATTTAGAAATCAGAGCTGTAGAGCCTGGCATGGTGGCTCACGCCCATAATCCCAGCACTTTGAGAGGCTGTGGTGGGTGGATCACTTGATGTCAGGAGTTCAAGACCAGCCTGGCCAAAATAGTGACATCCTGTCTCTACTAAAAATACAAAAAATTAGCTGGGAGTGGTGGCGGGCGCCTGTAATCCCAGCTACTAGGGAGGCTGAGGCAGGAGAACCACTTGAACCCAGGAGGCGGAGGTTGCAGTGAGTCAAGATCGCACCATTGCACTGTAGCCTAGGCAACAAGAGCAAAACTCCGTCTCAAAAAAAAAAAAGAAAGAAAGAAAAGAAATCAGAGTCATATTCATTATTGTCAATGGAAAATATGCAAAATGTATATATGACAAACATAAAAATGATTATTTAGAAGAATAATATATAGATATTGCATATTTATTTATGAAGTATATATTTATGATGTACAATATGCTAGGAATCATGCTAAATGTTATAGAAATTATAAAGATAAGCTTTTTTTTGGCTTTGAGGTTGACAAAAGGAAGATACGATTTAGGTTGATGTAAGGAAGATATGATTGCTTTCATCCCTGCAAAGGCACAATTCATGTTCAGGGGCAGAAAAAAAATGCTTCTAGATGAGGGATAAGGGAAAATAACAGAGAAAGTATCATTTGAATTAGCCTTTAGAAATTGAGTATGAATTTTACAGATGGAGATTACTTGGGACACAATATTATAAATGGAGAAAATAAAACCAGCAAATGTGCTGTGTTCCAAATGTTCATTTACTCTTTTTAAAAATTTTCTTCAACTGTTATTTTAATTTCAGGGGCACATGTGCTGGATGTGTAGGCTTGTTATTAATACATAGGTAAATGTGAATCATAGTGGTTTGCTGCACAGTCAGCTCATCACCTAGGTATTAAGACCAGCATCTATTAGCTATTCTTCCTGATGCTCTCCGTCTCCCCTCCACCTGTCCCTGACAGACCCCAGTGTGTGTTGTTCCCCTTCATGTGTTCATGTGTTCCCATCTTTCAGCTCTCACTTATAAGTGAGAACATGCGGTGTTTGGTTTTCTGTTCCTGCATTAGTTTGCTGAGGATAATGGGTTCCAACTCCATCCATGTCCCTGCAAAGGGCATGATCTCATTACTTTTTATGACTACATGGTATTCCATGATGTATATGTACCACATATGTGTATGTGTATGCTCACATAGCATAAGTTTAAATAGTTTTAATGAATATTTCCACTCATGAATTGAACTGAAAATATACTCATGATTTATGTTAGAAGAATGTTTGTAGAATAAGTTGTTAAATGTAAAAGAACTGATATAGAGTCATAAAGGGAAACAAAATACAGTAGAAAAAAGGTAGAATAGGGTGGAAACAAAATAAACATATGGAATGAAAAATGTGGGGCTGCAAAAGTTATTTAGTTGGAGGGTTTGTAAGCTATGTCATATTTTTTATGTAGGTGGTAGGAATGAAGAAGATATTATGAGTTCCATATATGCACATTATGATGTGCTGAGATGCAACAGTATGAGAATACTACAAATATGAGCGTTTCCTGTGAGTAAGACAACATAGTTTGTTCTGATGTGTGTGGTATCAAGGTTGAATTGGGAAAGGGGAAGAACAATGTAAAATAACATTTCCAGATTTGAAATGCAATTACTCTCATATGAACTACATATGAACGTATGAATCCCGGTTGCCACTTCAGGGATTTAGAGCAAAGCCATTCATTTAACTTGAATTCCTGTCCTGTTTTTTTGTTTTTGGTTTCCTTTTGTTTGTTTTTTTGTTTTTTTTGTTTGTTTGTTTGTTTGTTTGTTTTGAGATAGAGTCTCACAGTGTTGCCTAGGCTGGAGTGTAGTGGCATGATCTCGGCTCCCTACAACTTCTGCCTCCCGGGTTCAAGCTATTCTCCTGCCTCACAGCCTCATAAGTAGTTGGGATTACAGGCGCACGTCACCACGCCCGGCTAATTTTTATATTTTTAGTAGAGACGGGGTTTCACCATATTGATCAGGCTGGTCTTGAACTCCTAACTTCGTGATCCACCCACCTCAGCCTCCCACAGTGCTGAGATTACAGGCGTGAGCCACCACGCCCAGCCTCCTGTCCTTAGATATACCGGATAACATGTTACACTCCTTAAAGTCAGGAAGCTTCCTAGGCTCAGTTCACTTTTAGAATTAGACAAATAACAATAAAGAACTCCAATGCTTATTTCTTTGTTTTCCACTATCCTCTCCGCCACACCCCTCACCACCTGATGCCTCACCCCCCCACACCCCACCCCATGCTCCAAGGTCCTGGTTTTTTCCTACCGACACAATTCTGGTGGAGCTGGAAAATGCATCAGAGAAGAAAATACACTTTATAAATTTACTTCTTTGTACCAAGACGTATTGATTTCCATGGCACACTTTGAATTTGTTTTTTCTTTCTTTTTTAAAAAATGTTAGATATTCTAAGTTTCGAGAAGGTCAGAGAGAATGGAAGAGGAAATAACATCCAACCTTATCTCAATGATGGGAATTGGGGGAATATATTAATAAAAGGCTTTCAATGAGCTTGCAGTCTATTTATGGAAGCAGAAAGTCTAGAAGGAATCAATAAAAGGTTTTTATTTTGTTTTGTTTCTTTTTACAAAGTAATATATAACAATTACAGATTAATAGATACATGAGTTGAAGAGGAGATGAATGGTTGAGGTCATTTTGGAGCTGTATATGAATAAGTTTGTGCTTTCCTTATACTTGAGAAAACTAGAGTCAAATATTTGATTAATGGGAATCTAGTACTCCTGAGAAAAATCAGTTGATATTAAGGGATGAAACAAAAATTTGATGAACAGTGATTTGAAGAAAATTGTCATAAATGAATTGACAAGGGAGTCAGGAGTAATTGGGTTTGAAAGACGAAGGATGCCTGTGGTGCAGAGTATTTAATATTTTAAAAACTGTTTTGATTAAATAAAATTTGTATCTTTTGATTCACTAAAACTTGTAGTTGTTAAAAAACCTTTTTTATATTTTAAAATTTTAAGAATTATCTTAGAATTTATGGATGGGAGGGGAGTGAGGGTTGAAAAACTACCTGTTGGATTTTATGTTCACTCTTTGGGTGATAGGTTCACTAGAATCCCAAACCTCAGCATTATGCAATATAATCATGTAACAAACTTGTAAATGTATCCCCTGAATTAAAATAAAATAAAATTTTAAAAATAAAAAAATAAAGAGTGGTGAAAGACAGGGAACCCTGTGTTACCATCAATATATATGCAATAATACTTTGTAAATTTTGGTAATATAAAGTTAAGGAATCAAGTAATGAATATAAGATATTTAATAAAAGAGGCTCAGGTTAAATCACTGAAAGTGTGTTACTGATACCAGAAAATGATCAGAGCATACGTATATTGAAACCATTCAACAAAGATGACAAGCTCTTACTAAGACCTGAAAAGAGCTGGCCTGTGAGTTCTGTGCCTTGCATATCTGCACCAAAAGGTTTTGAACCTTCTAATAAATTACTATACTTTGTACATCTATCCAATAAGCCAATTCCAATGCTGTTTTTTGCTTGACTATGAAGCCTAATCCTATATCAAGAAATTCTCATGTCTCCATTTAAAAAGCAGTCTATAAAATTGGCAGGATATTTGCACGTTGAAATATAGCATCTGCCTACCTCTTACTAATTAAAGCTTAAATGTTATTCTCCTACTGTAATGTTCCTTGAGTTGACATAATCATTATGCATTTTATTCATTATATGTTTCTGAACTTTCATTCTTATAGAAAATCCGGCAAAAGATAATTTTATAATATCTCTTCCTCTTTTATTTATGCTACACTATTTCACTGTATAGCTTCCTAGGAGAATTAACATATATGTGCGAATATTTATATATGATGACTTATATCACATATTATGGATTTGTCATATAGGAAGTGAAAATCATACACAATGACACTGAGTTCTTCAGAATGATTTCCTGACATTAGATGTATTGGTATTTGTCATCAGAACATTTTACATTCTTAAAATTTAGTAACATTGGGTCTCACTCTTTATTTAAAATTAAATTAAAATTCATTTTTTAAAGAATTGATGTTACCGTATATTTGTAAATACACACACACACAAACACACAGTTCTACAAAATAAACTCATAGCACAAATAAGTTACAGATAACTTAAAAAATTTTAATTCCTTTCTTCTGGATTTTGAAATTAATTTAGTCACGTGTTTTACATCTGAAATGTACAATTTTTGTTGTGAAGTATTTATTGTCAAATTGTTATGATTCTCTCTCAATGGGTGATTTTATTCTCACAAGGAAGCAGTGGGATATAACAGAGTGAACATGAGATTTGTATTAAGATGTGAATTTTTCCAGCTTTGGCACATAAGCTTCTTGATCATAAGCAGAGCCCAAGTTCTCTGAAATTTAAAAGTAAAATAAAAATAATAAAATATAAACTTAAAAAAACTGCATTGGTTGACATACATATTTGTGTATTCCCATTTATATGCCATGTCAGGCATATTACAGGGTGAGATATCTCTGTCTACACAAATTATCATTTTTCATAAACAACTTTGACATTGAAATGAGAAAGGGTCCCTTGTCCCCCTCGCAGGGAGTTCGATGGGGGTGTGGCTCGCTTCTTCAGTGCCCCGCTGCTCAAACCTCTAGGGGAGCATACAGACGGGCAGGCTGTGGGCCTCTCACCCCAGGGCAGTGTATAGGGGTGAATGTTTACGGCTCCTGAAACCCCAGTGGGCATGTGCTCCAGGGCGCTCTTTTAGTTTGCCGTCTGCAGGTGGTTTGTGTTAGCTCAGTTAGACCCTCTACCTTGTGGCAAGGACAGAGGGCTTTCTCTATCCTGGGGTTTCTTGTCTTGGCGTACCGGAAGAATCGGCTCACGCGTGGGCTCGGAGAATGAGTTCAAGGTTTTATTGAGTGGAAGTAGCTCTCAGCAGATGCGGGAGCCATTAGGGAGATGGTTTTCCCCTGCAGTCAGGCTGCTTGGAAGCCTGGACTGTCCTCCAACTGCCCCAGCCAAACTCCGCGTCGTTCCACCTATCAATGGCCCGCCAGCCTGTAGGTGTCTGTTGGTGTGCCCTCCACGAGCAGCCGCTTGTGTCTTCTTCCGCTGATGTGTTCCTCACGACGTCCAGCTGCTTGTGTCTGCCCGCTAAGGTCTCGGGTTTTTATAGGGCCAGGATGGGGGCATGGCGGGCCAAGGTGGTCTTGGAAAATGCAACATTTGCATGAAAGCAGGAGTGCCTGTCCTCACCTAAGTCCGTGGGTGTAGAGCCCTAGCCAGGGACCTGCCTTTCTCTTCCCCACTTTAGTATTATTTAAAGGGACTACGCTCTCCCGTTCCCAGCACTATCGTATCAACATTCATGTCCCCCTTCATGTATTTGGACACTTAGATCTAAAATGATTGAAAACTAACTTTTCACTTGGAAAAACAGACCCAAGATGCAGATGCAGACAAGCATGCGTGTGGTTGATTTCGGTGTGTTGCAGAGATCATCCCTTGTGGAAAAGAAAAGAAGCAAATAGGGCTGGGCAAAGGGAGGAGATGGGTTGGGAAGCATCCAGCAAAGTTTTCATCTGACCCCCTCTAAAACAAGAATGGACCTTCAGTATTGCCTCAAATTGAGGCAAAGGGGTCAGACCTTTATGTGTCTTGTCATTAGATACAGATACAGACTTCTCTGGGAAAAGGTATGATAGGGAGTGAGAAAAATCTTTCTAGCTGAGACAATTCCCAAAGAGGTCTGACAATTGAGGGATGTCTTCTGCCAGCACTTTCAGCAGCAGGCAAAATAATTCTTTCAGTCCTGAAGGGGTATCTGGGTGACACATCAGAGCATAATGATAACACTTTAAAAAAAGAAATGTTGAATAAAGTGAATTTCCTACCCTACAGTCATTCTCTACCTTTTTATTTACTAGTAAAAATTCAATTAAGTTCAATTTACTCTAGCAGTTATTTACTTCAAGAAAGACGTTTGCATCCCTAGATAACAGATCTACGGAAAGAATTATGGTTTATACAACTGGTGCTTTTCTCCTGGAGTTCCGGGAGAGAATTAAGCCCAGATGCCCTAAGGCATTCATTTTATGGAATAAACTAACTTCTCTCCTATGTATCTAAAATGGCGCTGGCTATGTACAGTACCATCCTTGAGAGAAATAACACAGTATCTCAAGTAATTTACTAGAGCTTCATTCTGCCTTTTACTCTGGTTGGAGAAGTCTCATTAGCCTTTCCATGGAAGGCATCCTAAAACAATTCAGAGAGCTTGTTGGAAGGTTTTTCTTGTTCATAAAAAGTATGTTAAGAGAGGGATAATTTCTTACTTATCTAGAAGCTAGCATGTAAAGATAAATCGCCTAAATGTTATATGAAGGTATAGTGACCATATATGGAGAAAAAAAAAACCTGCTGAGAATTGCAGAGTGAGAAGATGAAGAGAAAATAAATTATCTATGACTGCACTTAGTCTGAGAATTAAATATTCTTGGCTCCTCTCTATTAACACCCATCAGCATAAGTGAGATAATAAAACTCTTATTTAACACATTAAGATTTTTTTTTCTGTATTTATGGTTGAAAGCATCTTCATTGTCACCATAGTTAACAACTTACCTACTTATGACTACTTCCAAAACCTTTTTTCCACTATTTGTGCTTCCTACTAGACATACCTGATGCCAAAATATGGTAGTGCTTAACAAAATGAAACATATTAAAAATAAGCCAACAAATGTGTCTATGAATCTACAGAAGCTAGACAAGGTATCTGAGACTGTATTTCTCTTCAATTCATAGGTCTGGACCCATTGCTTTTCCAACAGGGGACTTAGTTTAGAATACTTTCCATACTACTCACCGTACTTGAAGGAGTCAGCTGTCCTTAGTTGCTTGGACCCTAGCACCCTTCTTTTTAGCAGTGAGTTCCTGTTTGCCACTTTTTCAAGGACAGGATGAAGATAAAGAGTTTAGAAAGAGTAAGTGATAGAGAAATGGGTTACTGCTGGTTTTATTTCATATTTAACCAAGCGATAAGTCAACAACTCTTGTTCTGTAGAGCTGCTTCTCCAAAATCATTATTATTTTGAATGTAAATTAAAAAAATAGTTTTAGACTAGAAATAAATTGTGATAAAATTTCATGGATATTGAAGTACCAATAATCTTCTTGTCAAAATTATTGCATGGTTTTGAAACTCAGTGTCCTAATTAATCAAATAAAGGCTATTGATTTCATGATTTCTAACTTTCTTTCAAATCCAAACACTGTCAAATCGATATTGAGTGAAAATACTATGGACATAAGTCTTATTTTTAATGTATTAAATATCTTTAAAATATACATCATATACTTTTAAAGTTTTTTACAAATAAAAGATAATGGTAGTCAGGATGATTTGTGAACCTCTCACACAGTAATAGCAAAAAAATTTCAGAATATATTTAAGAATGTTTGTTGTTAAGAAAACAATCTTTAAGAACTGCATATTAATTAAAATATCTTTATATTTTAATAAATATACTTGTATCAGTAAAATCATGGTCATGATTTTAAGAAGAAAATAATGCAGTTAAAATATTTCATATATAACATGAAACAAAAAATGGAAATTTATAGGTGGAGTAGCAACTAAAAATGTATGTTATTTCATGAGAAATAAGTAGTTAAAATGAGAATAAATTAAGATCCTAAGAGCAACTATAAGTGCTGACTTATGGATTTTTTTAAATATTCTCTTGTTTCTTATCATTTCAAGATTAATATTATTGAACATTGCATTGATTCAGGAAATCCTTTGTGTTATTTTCTATTATTGACATGAGGTTATTTAATAACCACTATATAATCTATTCTTTTCTTTTAGGGAATAATGGAATAAATAAATTATGGCTGTTAACTAAAACTCCCTAATAAGAACTTTTTTTCTAAAATTTGCTTGCCCATCTTTTAGAGAAATAAATATATATATACATAACTTCAAAACATAAAACAAGCAAGTCTAGCTGAGTTTAGATCATGCTAGATTGTATTTAATATTTCTACTAACAGACATCACAGGGGCTTGACACTTACACTCACCCTGAATGTGTAAGAGAATTAAGATTATTTATGATCACTGCCAATCAATTATCTTCTAAAAATTGGGTCAGAATTGATTACTTATACACAAATGGCACAATTGCCACTTTGAAGCAAATATGCTTATAGTCAAAAGCTTATGTATCCACTTCCTAAAAAATAGAATGGGTAAGATTTGCAGTTATGACCAAACATGGCAAAAAGGAAAGAAATTAAAATAAATATAATGAGAGCAGAAAATGTTGTAGTAAATATAAATATTATGCAATTATTTTTTTCTTCCTTTTTTTTTTGGTAGTACAAGCTAAATAAATAGAAGGCTTTAGCTTCTATTCATATTGAATTAACCCAGACCAAATTAATCCTCCAGTATTAAGCATCTTAAAAAGACAAAATATATGAAAAAAATGGCTTTCAGACAATGGATTAGAAAGCAAAAATACTGAAATAAACAAATGATCCTCATGATTGCCTCTGGCTCACCATCTTGAAAAGATTTCTAGACTAGAGAGCAGGAAAGGAGACAGGGAAACTCAAGCTAAACCTGGTGGTTTATCTGAGTAAAAGATACAAGCTTCTGAGTTCTAGGGGCAAGACAGCTAGAATGGCCAAGGCAGAATACCAGAGAAAAGAGAGTTGCTTGGAAAGATGGAGGCAGCTCTGGGGAACAGCAGAGCTTTCTCACTGAGTCCTTGGCTGAGAGCTGTTATGTGGCTGTAGAAAGAAAACTACCTGGGGCTAGAGAAATACCACTGGAAAGAAATAGGCAACATAATTTCATGACAAGACCTAATAGATGATGCATTAGTAGAATCCACTAGAAGTTATTACATCAATAGTTGAGCTAAATTGGACCTGAACTAAAGACTGTTTATACTGGCTTAAAAAAAAAAAGGAAAAAAGAAAAAAACAAAGCCTCAAAAAATTGCCAGTTACTTAACTGTATACCAGAAAGCACAATACTTTTTAAAGTCATATAAGAAAATACAGCACACCAAAATGTAAAATTCTCAATACATGTATTTATTTAAAAATGTGTAATACATTTAAAGAAGCAGAAAAATGTGACCTACAACCAGTAATAATTCTGTCAACAGAAACAGGCAGAAGAATAGATGAGCATGATGGAAGATACATTTACAACTCCACAAGCAAAGTCAAATTTCAAGACATGTAAAATACAGGATCTAAGATGAAAAACACGCTGTATGAGATGAACAGCATATTACACACTGTAAAATAAAATACTCATGTACTCGAGAATGTAGCAGCAGAAGCTATCCAAATAAAACCCAAAAAGGAATAAAACGAAGAATTATACACAGAGCAGTAGCGAGTTGTGGAGCAAATTTAGGCAGTCTAAAATACACGTAATTGGGGTTCAGGAAAAAAAGCAGCAGGTAAATATTGTAGAAATCACAACCAAAATCTGTTTTGAAAATTTGATGAAAATCAAATCTCTAAATATACAAAGGGATTAATAAATAAAAAAAAAAGAAATATTAAGGAAGCGCCATTGAGTTGATATGTAATTCAATTGTTGAAGTGTAGAGAAAAAGAGTATTAAAAACACCTAGGGAAAAAGGAAAATTACTTACAGAGGACCAAAGATGACATTAAACATCTCATCATAAACGCCATAATTTAATGATATAGTTTGGATGTTTGTCCCCTTTAAATCTCATGTTTAAATGTAATCTCCAATGTTGGAGATGGCGCCTGGTGGGAGGTGTTTGGGTCATGGGGATGAACCTCTCATGAATGGCTTGGTGCCATCCTTGCAGCATTGAGTGAGCTCTCACTATACAAGTTCACACAAGATCTGGCTGTTTAAGAGAGCCTGGAACATTCTCCTCTTTCTCTTGCTCCCTTTCTCGCCATGTGACACATTGGCTCTGCCTTCACCTTTTACCATGATTGTAAGCTCCTTGAAGCCCTCACCAGAGGCAGATCCTAGCACCATGCTGGCGAACCAAAACTGTGAGCCAAAATAAACCTGTTTTGTTTGTAAATTACCCAGTCTGAGGTATTTATTAATAGCAACACAAAAGACTAATACAGCTAAAAAATATATATTTAAAATACTAACAGGTGGAGATAGTTGTAGGACAAAATTGTCAACCAAAAATTAGATACCCAGCCAAAATATCTTTTAAAAATGAGATGAAATAAACACTTTCTAAGACATATAGACATATTCAGCTGACAGAATTCATCACCAATAATTGAATACTACAAGAAATGTTAAAGAAAGTCCTTTATAGAGAAGGAAAATAATACTAGGTAGAAACTTGGTTTATTCATGAAGGAATAAAGAGTACCAGAAGAGGTAATTGTGTAGATAAATATAGAATAAGTTTTCATTATCCTTCAAAGATAATGACAAAATAAAATGAAGTGAATATAATAACAAAGTAAAGTATACTTTATAGGACTTGTAACATTAATTTCTATTGCAAAACAAAACAATACTAAAAGAGATGTAGGAAAATGGAAGTAGACTGTTGCAATGTTCTCATACTATATGTGAAGTGCAATCACTGTTTGAAGGTAGACTGTAACACATTAAAGATTTATACATTAAAATAAAACATCACATGAAATCTATTATATCAAGTAGAAAATAAATTAAAAATGAAGTCTAATGATATAAGACTAATGAAATAACAGAATTATACAAATGGAGTTAACCATTTAAAATTAATCTTCTGAGATTTGGGAAGAAAAGTCCCTTATATATAGCTTTGTAAATCTATAATAAACTCATACAATTCATGTATTTATTTCATAATTTTATTTTGATGAATAAATACATCTTGATTGTAATTTTTTAGTCTTATGTCACAATAGAGAGATATTAAGGAAAATTTACAGGGAACTCCATTTTACTGCTTATAACTGCACGAACTTACAATGTTCTCAAACTAAAAATATAATATAATTACGGACAATACTCACTATTTATATAATACATTTAATATTTGCAACAAAAATTATGAACAAGATCTCCAAAACCTGTGAAACCAAACAAGTCACTCTTATAAATTACTCTTATTTATTTTACTGTATTGTGTCTGTAATTTCTAAATTTTGATCAATGTACCATGGTTATTTAAGATGTTGACATGAGGAAAAGCTGGCTAAAGAGTATATAGGAATTTTTTATATTGACAACTCTTCCAAATTTTGTATCTAAAGTTTTCAGAATGAAATTTTAAAAATTCAACAAAGAGAACTAAAGAAAAAAAAACAAATAAATAGTAAAAAACAAAAGCAAAACTAATACAAAGTAAAATTATAATTGATAAAATAATAAAGATCTGAAAATAGATAAATTCAACCAGACACACAAAAAAGAAAGGAAGCATTGGGACAAAAATCTAGCAGTCAGAAAAGTATATATGTTAAAAAATTAAAAATGGACATAATTATAGCAGTCACTTTTCAAGAAAGAGAAAATTTATGACTGCAACTTTGATCCTGATCTTTAAAAATTACACTCATTAAAGAGTATAACTTATAACATGATAAAAGCAAAGCAAAACAAAACAAAAAACACTAACTCAACATACAACGAATACAGGACATATTAGAGAAATCACTATCTAAATAACGAAAAGCCCTTGATAGTATGTCAAATAGCATTGTTATCAATATTAAGTCAATGTAATGGAAAACAATTAAATTATAGGTATCAGTACTGGAAAAAAAGGGTAAACTGCCAGATTTTAATTATGTAAAATACACTGTTTACTTTGGCCAAATTCATCTTCCATATCTTGTGTTACCAGAACCTTTGTTTCTTCCTATTAAGCTGGAAATGCATTCAAATATATGTAATTATTTAGAGTTCTTTCCTTTCTCTCTCCTACCAGTAACTACAAATTTCGGAATATATTTCCAGTTCATCTATTCAGAATATTTATGCCCTGTTAGCTATCACTATTTCAGGGAAGGGCACATAAATCAAGGCAGAATAATCTGATAATCTGAAAATCTCCTGGAACTAATTATTTGCTCCTTAGTATTCTCTAAGTGTAATGCAATCTAACTCAAAAATTGTCAGCTGCAATTGCTACCCCTTCATAGAGTAAGCCTGACTGAACACACAGTGGAAAGAAAAGAAAACAAAGACAGTCTGCTGATTACATCATTTGACCTCTAGATATAACTGTCTAAAGCCAACATAATCACTGCAATAGGCAGGTGCCCAAGACAGAAAAAAAAATCTTCTTTTCTTAAAAACTAAATTTTATTGTGCATATTTGGAGTTTACAACGTGACTTTATAGGATACATAATGATAGTCAAGTGGTTACCATAGCAAAGCAGATTAACATATGTTTTATCTCATTAATCTGAGTTGGATTTCTTTAACTTGCAATAAAAAGATTCCTGAAAAATAGAGCTAATATGATGATAACAAGAAAGGGGAAATTCATTAGAAATTACAATATTATTTAAGAATGAGATGAACTTAGTTTGTCACTTTTCCCAAATGTATTCAATCATTGGATATTTGTAAACCCTAATAATGTCAGGCAAAGCATTGAGACATAATATACATATCAGTTAAAAAAACATAATTTGGTGGCGAATTTTGTATGTCAATATGGTTAGGCCAGAGTTACCAGTCATTAGGTCAAACATTATTTTGGATGTTTTCATGAAAGGTTTTTTAGAAATAGATTAACATTGAAATCTGTGGACATTGAGTAAAGAGCTTACCCTCCATAATGTGGGCGGGTCTTATACAATCCATTGATAACTTTAATAGAAGAAAGACTGACCTCCCTCGAGGAAGAGGGAACTCTGCCAGCAAACTGCCTTTGGGCTGGGACCGCAAGTCTTTCCTGAGTCTCCAGCTTGCTGGCCTACCCTGCAGATTTTGAACTTGCACCTTTAAATCGAGTGAGTCAATTCCTCAAAATGAATACATCTCTCTCTCTCTTTCTAGATAGATTAGATAGATAGATAGATAGATAGATAGATAGATGATAGATAGATAGATAGGTAAAAATTAAATGTATGTGGTACAAAAATATAACAAATACATTCTGTTATATTTTTCTGGAGAACCTGATTAACACAATTCATACCATCTAATTTATAAATCTAACAAAAATACCAAATGCATAAAACAACCTCAAGAAGATAATAATCATGATTTATATGAACAATAAATTACAAGAGTCTACTGAGGAATATAATGGATGCTTCAGTGATGGAACATTGTGTCATGTTTCAGGATGAAACAGAACTTTATTCGATGTAGTTGTAAATATTGTAAACTTTAATACAAATTTTAACATTAATCTGAAATGAAATATTTAGAAAAATTCTTAGACATTTTATGTCTAGAGATACTAAAAGCACTATTTCTAGTGAACACATAAAATGTATTTTGAAAATTTTAGAAGGTTAAAAATGTGGCTTTAGGCTTAGAATGAGAATAAATGAACAGAAGAAGATACCCATAAAGAAGCTGTTGTATAACTAAGAACTAAATAAATATCAATACTTATAATATATATAACACTTAATATGCTGAGTGTCCTAAGCCCTTGTATGGTAATATGAGGATTACCTGTGTACAACAAGCCTATAAGAGAGGTGAAATTATTATTTCCATTTTATTTATGTTACCTATCCAAATTTTGAACTGTAAAGAAACAAAGAAAAAAAAAAGAAAAATGAATAAAACATAACAAACCAAAAGTAAAAGGCAAATATAAATGCAACTTACATAAAAATATTGGCAAAGCATATATATGACAAAGTAATAATAATTGCTAGCTAAATAACTCACTTAAATCAATTATTATAAAATATAGTTAAAATGGGTTTAAAATATAATGCAAAATGTAATCATATTTATATAAATCTATGACATGATAAAATGTCACAGAAGATACACAAAAAGATAACATAAATAAGTGACTGTGTACAAAACTGCTGAGATCCCAGTAATGCAGATAATCAATTGTCTTGGCCAATTTCAATTTTTTTTTTTTTTGATAATGTACTATGGTAACACCAAATGTTATCATTGGGGGAAGGAGGGGCAATAGGTACACTGAAGTATTTTTACAATTTTTCGTGAGTCTATATTTCAAAACAAAAAGTTAAAAAGTAATGAAAATGCCCGTAATGCCTATAAAGATTTTTCTACATTTATATCAGTAAGTTCAATTTTAATGCAACATAAATATATTTTATCAAGTTACTCTGAATATATGAATTTTCAATCTTCCTAAAGATAATTAGCATCAGGCAATAAGAAATAAGTCATTCCTATAAGGGCTGTTTTTCAAATGTGTAAATTAGGAGAATGTTTCTTTTGTGTAATTTTCTAACATGTAAGAGAAGATTTAAAATGCATGTAGTTACTATTTGAAGAATCAATTTATAAGCATTTCCAGAATAAAACTAATTTAAGATATAGGCAAGGATCTGAATTAAAGGATTGCTGATAACAGTAAGAGATAGAACACATTAAACTTTTAACATAGGGCTTTGCTTAAAATATTTATGGAATAGTCATGAAATGAAAAATTATAAAACCATTAAATGGTGATGTTAATGTTCATTCATTGACATGAAGATTGTTCATGAAAACTTAAAACACTTGCAGTAAAACTACAGATTATGAGATTCAATACAGCCATGCATATTTTAGTTGGAAGTATATTCAAATAGAGGAATATCAAAATGATAAATGTAATTTTCTCTATGGCATAGAATAAAGGATATCTTTCCTTAACTCTACTTTTTGTTTGCATTTTCTAAATACTCTTTGTAAATACTCATATATATATATTCTTTACAATGTGTATATATATTCAATTTACAAAGTAGAGCATAAAATTATCAATTCAGTGTTGTAATTTCAATGAAGAAATGAGCAACAAATAATTTTTTCTACTTTTTAAATTATATAGGGGTCAAGAATAAAGTGAACTAATACTAAGCACAACTATGCACTGAGGCCTCAGTTTAACCAATTAAAAAGAAGAAGAAAGAGGAAGGACGGAAGGAAGGAAGGAAGGAAGGAAGGAAGGAAGGAAGGAAGGAAGGAAAGAAGGGAGGGAGGAAGGGAAGGGAGGGAGACAAAGAGTGGGGAGGGAGAGAGGGTGAAGGAAGGAAGTATTTTCAAATATCCTTGGTATGCAGCATTTACCAAAATCCATCTGGCTACTTGTGTGATAGGATCCAAACAGTTCCTATACCTTTTTGTTTTAACCTTCATTTACTCTCTCCCTCCCCCACTCTCCTAGACGGAGTCTTGCTCTGTCACCCAGGCTGGAGTGCAAGGGCACAATCTCAGCTCACTGAAACCTTCACCTTCCGGGTTCAAGCAATTCTCCTGCCTCAGCCTCTAGGGTAGCTGGGATTACAGGTGTGCGCCACCACGCCGGTCTAATTTTTGTATTTTTAGTAGAGACGGGGATTTCATCATTTTGGCCAGGCTGGTCTCGAACTCCTGACCTCGTGATCCACCCGCCTTGGCCTCCCAAAGTGCTGAGATTACAGGCATGAGCCACCGAACCCTGCCCATTTATTCTTAAAGAGTGAAATTGTTCATTGCTGGGAGAGAAACTTTGTAATTTTTACTTATTAAAGTTTACCTATTAAACTTATCAAAAATTGTTCATAATTATAAAAAATTATTATAGGAAAACAAAATTCAACTGGGCAACTATTTTGGTGATAGCATTTAATATTTTCTCTATAGAGTTATAACATTAGATTAGGATTGCCATGTTGCTACATAACTTAAGATAAACCTGGGATAATTTCCAATTTTATTTTTCTGTTTCAAAGTAACACTGTGTTTGAAAGCGGTATTGTTTTCCCATCTAGTATTGATATTAAGATATCCATATTAGACACAATTCATATTTTTCCTTAGTAAACAAATTATTTTAGAGATCTGTAATATATTTTAATATTTTTGTATTTAATATTTTGTAAAACATTATAAAGAAATTATAAATACATGCATGTAGAACAAATATAAAAATGTTTAATATTACCTATTTTTTGTTTAGTATACTGGAAATACTAACTCAGTATACCTTTAGTTAACATTTTAAAGAATATACAAAATGTCTCTATAATTATAAATCTAATATTGATAAAATAACTTCCAAAGCCAAGTCTTCTCCATATGCCCTTCACAAGGCTGTATAGCATTTTTATTTGGCTTTTATGTCAATCTGCTCAACTCCAAGCTGTCACTGTCACAGCTGCATATGTGTTTTAGTGAATCTAGCAGAAAGCAACACGCAAAACGCAGCATACATTTAAAGGACAGGAATACTACAACTAAATGCTGAATTATGTCTAAGCCATTTCCTATATGACATTTTTTCCATTGCCAGATAACTTTATGATTATTCTTAATACTTAATTATTTTCCATGAAGCCTATAGCTTTAATGTTCTTTGCCTTAAACTACTCTCAAGGAAATTGAAGTATAGAATATATAAAAGGATGCTATCAGTTTATCCCATAAGTATAGGCATGGGAGTTTGTTTAATAAGAGTAAAGGAAAATGTATTGACAGAAAGATGAAAAGGTCCTTGGTCATGATATTGCATAAATGCCATAAATGGGAAATACAACATCAGTGACTACTTAATATTTTTTAGCTATGAGTAGATAAGTAAATAATTTCTATACATTTTTTACTTGTGATTATGTATTAAGGCCTAAGCAAGAGGTGTCTCCACTGAAAAACGGATGCCTTCTATGGAGGATGTCTGTAATGATTTTGGAAAGGCATCATTTGAATTGAATTAAGGTTCTTATCAACTGGTAATTATAAAGAACTTCATATTCTGCTGTGAAATACAACTATTATATCTTTGATATATGCCCCTCTTTGCATTCCAGGGATGCCACTTAAATCCAATTATTTCCAATAACTAACCTTATGATATCACCTCCACCACTTCATTTACTCTGTGATGGGTGTACCTCTTTGAAAAATACCCCTTTTTAATTGTATCAAGAACTAAAACCCCATTCCCTGTTTTACCTATAGCACCAAATTAAAAACAAGAAACCTTTGAGCATAAATTAAGGCATTACTCAAAGGAGCAGAAAATAAATATTAAATAACAATCTCTATTCAGACAAAAATAAAGACCTTGCCCTAAATTTTTTCCCAGGATTTCAGCTTCTTCCCAGTCAGTCTTGCAGACTCTTCCCCTCCGTTGAGTGGAAGACTGGAGAGTTTACCTTTAATCAGAAGCCACCCAAACCATACTTGCCTCCAGCATAAACACCAAAATCACATCTGTACACTTGTCACAACCCCAACACCCTCAACAACAACTACTACAATAAAAACAAAGCACCAAGCTATACTATATTTTTTATCTTTGTATTGTAAAGTAATGATAGATTCACAGGAACCTACAGGAAATGTACAGAGAGGCCCCTTCATATTGCACCCAGCCTCCCCCAATGTTAACATCTTGCACAGTTACAGTAAAACATCAAAATTGGTGTTGACTATAGTATAACATGAACATTGAAATTGGTCCAATCCAAAGAACTTATTTACATTTCACCAGTTATATATGCACTAATTTATGTGTATGTGTGCATGTGTGTATAGTTCTATGTATTTTTTTTTTTTTGAGATGGAGTCTTGCTCTGTCACCCAGGCTGGAGTGCAGTGGTGTGATCTTGGCTCACTGCCACCTCTATCCCCCAGGTTCAAGCGATTCCCTGACTCAATCTCTTGAATAGCTGGGATTATAGGCAATGCCACCACACATGAAAAATTTTGAATTTTTAGTAGAGACAGGGTTTCACCATGTTGGCCATACTGGTCTGGAACTCCTGACCTCAAGTGATCCACCCACCTCGGCCTCCCAAAGTGTTGGGATTACAGGCATGAGCCACCAGGCCCGGCCTGCAATTTTATTTTATATAATCCCTGTCCTGATCAAGTTACTTAACTGTTTTATCACCATAAATTACCCTACAATTTTTAAGTAGCAGATACATATACTTTATTAAGTATTTTAAGTGCATTATTTAATCCACACAACCCCACATGAAGTTTCATTTTTGTTAATGGAGAAACAAGTTTTGGGAGGGTTAATAATCCAAAACCACCAAACTAGCAATACACAGGAAAAGGTCAGAGCTCAACTCAAGCTCTTTATTAACCCCAAAGCTTGTGCAACATATTTTCATAGAAGTTCACATCCAAGCAGGCAGTACTTCCATTTCACAAAGCACCATTTTGGGGGAGGCGGTGGGGATGCAAGCAGAGGTATGTGAAGAAGAAGAATATTGATCCACTTGACTCCTGTTATCTAAAACTCAATCACCTCTAGGTACTTTTTCACCGTGTGTTCTCATCTAAATTGCCTGCAGTAGAGAAGGTGGTGGAAGAAGAGGGAAAGACAGGGGGACAAGGAGAGAGAGAGAAGAATAAGGAGGAGGAAAGTGAGGGAAGGATGGAAGAGAGGAAAGAAGGGAGAAACTTTACAGGGAGGAAGTGAGACTTAATCAAAGTTTTAGGGTTTTTTTTCCAAGTGAGTAAAATATATTGAGAAAAACAAATGAAATTAAAAGTTTACATACAAGGAATCAAATATATTAATGGATCATGGGATCTATGCTGGATAAGCAGACAAATTAGGACACAGCAAAATGAGAGGAATAGCAGTTACTATCAATAAATTTTAGTATTAGTAGATTCTGAAAATTATTTGTGCTAGTATTCATAAAATAACAAAAAAATAGAATAACTAACTGATAGTGAATAACACAGGTTTGACATTTGTATTTATTTATAAATAACAAGATCTCACTATGTTGCCCATGCTGGTCTCAAACTCAAGTGAATCTTCCACCTCAGTCTCCCAAAGTGCTGGTATTACAGATATGAGATGCCATGCCTGGAAAAGGTTTGAAACATTTTTAAATGACAAAAATCAATGTATTTGATCAAGAGATTTAGGACCTGAGGTATAGTGGATAATAGAATGACGTCCAGTGACAGATGATAGAAAAGTCTCAATAAGGCCAGAATATTTAAAGAATATACTGCATACACTTTGAAATCAGGAATATGCAAAGAAGTATTGGGAAAAGTGATGGAAGATAGCAACTGAAATATTTATGCAGTGAGAAAGGTAATGAAATAAAGTTTTTGTAACTGGCTACATTAAGAAGGGGTGGTGTTTTGAATAACCTAATTAAATAAGATTTATACCAGTAGCTATTATGAGGAACTGAGAGATAATGGTGTAAAAATAACAGGGAGTCATTTACCAACCTGTTACCAGTAGGGCTAGAGGTGAGATAGAGAATACATGATTAAAGGGAGATTTTCAGGGAAATGTTTTCTTCAGGAGGAATCCAAGTTTCAGTAACAACAAGAAAGTTATGACTGACTTTAAAATTCTTAAGTCCCATTGAAAAGTTATTACAAGAGGTGTAGTTGGGAAAAGGTGAGATTTGGTGTGATTCTTACAAATTTTCACTTTGTAATTGTGACTTCTCAAAGTGTGTGTGTGTGTATCAGTGTGTGCTTGTTTAAATGATTCTGGATAATTGAATATTTGTTGTCTGAAGAGATCTAATGAAAACACATATAAATAAACTGTGGGAAAACAGTGAAATACATGTATACATATAAAAAATTTAAACACTGGCCGGGTGCAGTGGCTCACGCCTGTAATCCCAGCACTTTGGAAGGTGGAGGCGGGCAGATCACGAGGTCAGGAGATCGAGACCATCCTGGCTAACACGGTGAAACCCCGTCTCTACTGAAAATACAAAAAATTATCCGGGTGTGGTGGCGGGCACCTGTAGTCCCAGCTACTTAGGAGGCTGAGGCAGGAGAATGGCGTGAACCCGGGAGGCGGAGCTTGCAGTGAGCTGAGATCGCGCCACTGCCCTCCAGCCTGGGTGATAGAGACTCCATCTCAAAAATAAATAAATAAATAAAAATAAATAAATAAATAAACATATCCATGTACTTTATATTTGTGGTATATTTAAAATGTATACAGTGACTAAAATGTGAAATAATATAACCTTATTTGCATTCCAGAATTGACTTCTAAAGTTCCCCTTAGCGATGCTCTTAGAAGTTACTTGGTTTTACCATTTTAAATAAGTGTATCAATATTTCACTCTCAGGTGGGTTAGAGTAGCCAGCTTTAGACCAGTGCTCTAGCACAGTAGATTTGATCAGCAGGTACAATGAGGTTTCCTTTTAGAATAGATATTTAGGAATAGAAAGGAAAAAAGTAAAAATCACCTTTATTTCTTTCAGTCAATACGGCTTGAAAAGCAACCATGAACTGCTATTTTTTTCTAAAATGCACATGTGTGCATCTTTAATCCTTTGCAACAATCCACAAAATTTAAGAATATACCTGAAAATTTTCATGACTACAATGTTTTGTTATGATGTATCCCTAGGCAAATGTGCAAAAATTGATAACTGATTCTAGAATATCTTACTTTAAAACTATAATAGCATGTAAATATTGTTTTAAACAAGATCATTGAATAACTTCTAAATATTGCATCTTAAAAATTATTACATTTTATTGAATGGTTACACACATGTAAAATATCAACCACTAGATATATATTGGGTCAAATGTGTATACTTACTGATATAGTTTGGCTCTGTGTCCCCATCCAAATCTCATCTTGAATTGTAATCCCCATGTGTCGAGGGAGGGTCCTGGTGGAAGGTGATTGGATCATGGAGGTAGTTTCCCCCATGCTGTACTCATGATAATGAGTGAGTACTCAACAGGTCTGACGGCTTAAAAGTAGCACATCCCCCTTTGCTCACACTGTCTCATGACACCATGAAAGACATGTCTTACTTCTCGTTCGCATTCCACCATGATTGTAAGTTTCCTGAGGCTTCTCAGCTATGTGGAACTGTGAATCAATTAAACCTTATTTTTCTTTATATATTACCCAGTCTCAGGAAGTTCTTTATAGCAGTGTGAAAATGAACTAATACACATACAAAATCTATTATGATCTCACAAATATATTTACTAAACAGTCAGAAGCAGAAGATTTTTCTGAATATAATATATATTAAACAATATGTTAATTAATATATTATATGGTTAATATCTTATTAATAAAATATTAAATGTATTTAATTAATTAATTAATTAAATATTAAATGTATACAGTATTTCAAAATGTCTGTTATACAGTTGATGTTTGAATAATAAAACACTAAAGTATTTTATTTAATAATAAATACACACTGATAAGAATTTAAATGCCTTTAGATAGGCATGAAAATAACTTACTCAATAGACAATATTAAATTGACAAATTATAATTAAACTTAATGAAGTGCTTGGTGTGGGAGTAAGTTAATTTCTGCAGACCATGTGAATGACCTTTCAAACAGCCACTGGCTATTTATTCAGTAGTATTGTCCTGTCTCAACTGAAGATAAAATTATACTTTCTCATTTTTTTAATATAGTAAAGAAAAAATTCTAAAAAATGTAAAATTAAGTTATCATATACTTTTAAATTTATCACATTGAAGTATATAGAACTAAAATTATTTAAAAGAATTACTACTGTGATAGAAATAAAGATAGTATTTGAAGTTTAAACAGAGGAAGTAATTCATTGAAAGGTTTGTTAAACATTGAAAACTATATTTACCAGCATCATGTTCAACCTGCATTCATTCTCTAGGGTACCTGCAGCTGCAAAATTTGTTTGCATTTGGCACACACAGAGAGAAAGCATTCACAGTTAATTTCCATAGAAATGTCCAGTCAAAATTGTGCTGCATAGAATGAAAGGCAAAGAAAATAGCACATTTTAAGAACATTTAATATCATACACACATTTTGTTATGTTTTGCTTTCTGTGTGTTTAATGGCAAATAGGGGAAATATTATTTTTTTAAAAGAATGGTGATAAATGGCTAAAAACACATGCTGAAATTCTGTGTGAGTGAGAAATAGGGCAAAAAAGGAGTTAAAGCTTCCTAATCTCTTTGCAGACATGTTTATGACAGACCTAGTGAAAACCGTAAATGTTTTTTGTTTAGAGAATAGTGCCAGTGTGTAAAATGCTTTACACAAAATAGGCCTGGTTATCTAAAATACTTAAAAAAAAACAGAAGTCTAATCACATATAAATATCTGAGTTTAAAACGGTGGCGTTTCATAATCTACATAGCTCTATTTATGTGAAGTGACCACATATCTCATTTAGAAAGCCCATCTATAACCTAGGTCAAAGCATGTTCAATGGGAGAAGAAGGAAACTGAGGAGCTGTGCTGGGGGGTCCAAGACTTGCCTCTTTCATTTGTGCAATGCAATTTTTATATCCTTAAACATGTTTAGTTAAGCTTGATACTGGTTAATATCTCTGATGTATGGGAAGACTCTGGTCCACAAATCTGATATTATGTGTAATCTCAGATTGGTACTGTTGGCATGATTGTCTTTTAAACCCATGAGTCATAATTGCTAATACACTTTATGGCAAGAAATAAAGAGATAATGATAAAACACTATAAAGGCTTAATGTCAGAATGGCTGTTTCTCTAGCCTCTTAGTATGAAGAAGTGAGAGCTTTTAAAGAAATTATAACAGTGTGAGAATGAAGAGTAATGGTATTTGAAAGAAATTGGTTTAATTCAGGTAAACTGGCTGAGTGGATAGATAAGAAGTACAAAACTGAAAGGGATGTTAGTCATTTTTTTTTCTATTTCTTCACTCTTGCTAGAAACTCTAGCAAAATCCAGACACACAAAGATCAGAACGAAAGTCCATGTAAAATTCATTTCTGTATTCTCTGGCAAGCCTCATCATTGCCTTTCATATAGAAGTAATTTATAAAATATTTGTTGACTGAATTAATGTGCAAATCTGTAAATATAGCATTCCAGACACTGACACTCAAAAATTACTTGCTCCTGCTCTATGAAACCTGTAAGCAGGAATGTAAAGAGTAGGCCTACCACAAGTTGATCTTTAACCCAGCTCTGCTAAGTTAAAGCTGTCACAGTTCCAAAAAATATTATTTTACTCATATGTATGATTTGAGAAAAGGACAAGCCCATAGTTCCAGACAGATTAATAGACTGTATTAAGTCACTGAGACAATAATTCCATTCATTGACATAGATGCTGAAAATTAACATTGGTGTTCTCTCTTTGAGGTTTAATATTAAATAATTTGATCAAAATCAACTTTTCTTGAGGTTACAATAGAAAATTCAAAAGGTTTAACTGATATTTCTAAAATTCATTTTTCTTCCATTTTCAGAGCTTCCTTTCTGTATTGGAGTTAATGGAGCAAATCTGACTTCCTGAGACAGTACCTCCAGAACTCAAGAAGGTATTACTGCTGAACCATGCTTAATCAGGGCACAGATGAAAAACCAAGTACACTTTCTCATCACAATAGAAAGAACATAAAGTCCTAATTAAATTTTTTAAAACACATTTTATAATTTTTCACAATATATGACACTCAAAAATATGTTTAAAGATGGCTAATTAAATGTTTGGAAACAGATGTAAGATGACAACTCTTCTTATTAAATATTTTAAATTTTGAAAAGTAAAATAAGCATTTAATATGAATGATTGCAAATAATCTCATAATTATATTAGAAAGTGCTTAATACTTAAATAAACACTATAATCTAGTTTTTCTATTTGTTTTTGGCTTGGGAATTTTTTCTCTTGAGTTTTTCATTAAGAAAAATTCTGCAGAAGAATAATGCCCAATTTTTATCAGAATCATAACATCAAAGCACTAAAAACACAATGTTTTAAATTGAATATAATTTGGTGTAATTTTTAAGCAATATATTCAGAAAATGCTGATGTTTAAAAAAAGAAGTAATTCAACTTTCTGTAGTCATTTCACAAAACTTTTTTTGCATAAATTATAATGTTTAAATAGTTTAGAGGCCATTCATTAAAGTTTTCCTACTGATTATCTAAACTTGGTAAAGAACATGAAAATAGTAAACCATATGTTTTCCTGGTTTTGCTTGCTAAATTTTATTCACAATAAAGGATTTACTTGCTAAACATCATGGAGTTTGATTCTAGTAGTAGGCAGAATGTACCTGCCTCAACTGCCAAATTGCCAAGATGTTTATACCCAAATCCCTGAAATGTGTGAATATATTTCCTTACCAGCCAAAAGAGTCTTTCAGACATTAAAATGTAGAGATCATCCTGAATTATCTAGGTGAGTCTAATCAAATCTGTTCTGATAAACTTCAGGGTTCCCATCTCAAGATCAAACATTGAGAATTGTAACCACAGAATAAATTCCATAAAATTTGTGCGATGTCTGAGTTGGAATATTTGGGAATAATCAGGAGAATGACACTTTATTGCATATTTACTTAAATATATCATATAATAACATATCAATATTAGATTTTTTATAAGCTCACTGATTCTTCTGTCCAGTAACTAATATTCTAGAGTTTAGCTAGCATTTGAAAGAAGGGAGAGCAACACATTTTATCACAACTGAAAAGGACAAATAAATAGGTGCTGAAGAGAAAAGCTAGAATTGGAAGCAGAAATAGGACAAACAATAAAGAGTAGGTTTAAATGACCATTGAGGGAATGTGGGGGCTGGAAAGAAAGATATTTGGGATAGTTCTGGCATTGGAGCGTGTGTGATATTTAGTGATAGAAAGCTCAACTGAATTAAGAAGTTTTGCTATGGCTTACAAAGTTAATTTGGCATTGTTTAATGAAACCACTCAAGTTAATTTTCAATTATATTTGGACATAGAGATACATATTCTAAATTTGACCAGTGCTAAGCTAGATCATGAAACAAGTACAAGTTAGTCTTATCCTAGGTTCATATCAATACAGAGTAGAATATATGGCCCTTATTTACCCAGGGTTCAGATTTTAAAATACAAAAAAAAATGCTTATATGGATCCCGTGAGGTTGACTTCTACATAACATGTACATGTAGCAAATTAAACATTGCTCACATTTTTCAATTTAATTTGAAAAACATTAATCAAGAAAAAGACAAATAAAAGGTAAAAGGCAGTCAATAAATGGCATAGTTCTAAATAAAGCTAGTTTTAAATTTATCAAAAATTATTAACATTTATCATAAAAGTAATAGAATATTATCTGCCTAGGGATTTTCAAGGTTATCATGTCTACAACAGACTGAGTCTTAGGCAAAATGCTTACAAATATGTCTAATTTCTGTTTCTACATCATCAACCGAACACTTGTATTACCCGCAAATGTCTTTCATATAATTACTAAAAAAAAATTCTATTGAATTTAACTGAATTGATCTGATGTCTTTGCCTTGACATAATTCTGTAAGAAAATGGATGATTGCTTTATCTGAAATATTTGGTTTATTATTTAAAATGCTTCACCGGCTTCTCAGCCCTTAAACAAGAACTATGAACAGGCAAGGGAAAAGACACATTGCTTGGTAAATCACAATCTGTCTTGCATAATAAAATGTCATGATCATGCAATTTTGGAAAAAAACAGAGTAGATGTTTTAAAAAAAACTTGCTTGTTTGTCACAACTATTTGGAATTACAACATAATGATTGTAAAAACAGATAAAGAGTCATTACATTGTACCTAGGCATATAGTTAGCAGAGTTGTCATTGTTACCACTGTTGATATAATTAACTGTTACAGGAACTTCATTTCTGCCTATTTTGGCAAAATACCCCATGTGGAATACTCGAATAACAAAGCAAAGATCTCTTCAGGAAGATACAATAATAATCACATGATTCAATAAAAACTGAGAAGATTCCTGGTTGTGAGCATGAAAAAAGACTCAGTGTGACACAACATTGCTGTTTTCAATGAAGGCCAAAAGCCAAACAAAATGGGCAGCCTCTGAAACTGGAAAAGACAAGAAAACTAATTCTCCTCTAGAGACTCCAGAAAGATTTGCACCTTGATTTTAACCCCGTGAGACCCGTGTTGGACTTATGACCTATAAAACTTTAAGATAATAAATATGTGTTGCATTAAAACACTAAGTGTAGAGTAATATGTTACAGTAACAATAGAAAATTAATACATAATTTATGAGGTTATAACATAAATATGTCTGCCAACTTTGTAATATATTAAATGAGAATTCCTTTAATTCCATAAGGTACTAAGTTGATTAAATGAGCATTAGAACTTAGCACATGATTCATTATTAGTGCTTAGGACTTGATATATTCTTAAAAAATTAGTAACAGCATTATTAATGTAGTGAAAATACAGTTAAATGCTGAGAAAAGGAATAGATATTTCATTTTCTGTGAAGTCTCTATTCAAGACAAAAATAAAAACTCATATACAGACAATATCTCTGTATCAGCTACTAGCTACTGAAAGTTAAATTAATTTATTAAAAATGAATACTCCAATATGTTTTGTTTGGATAGCATTTATACTTTTAAAAGAAAAAGAATATTGAATCAAAACTTATTGAACAACTATATGAGTATGACAAAATATAAAAAGATACCTTTGAATAAACAGATTATGTTTGTAAAAAAAATTTTTGCTTATTCATATTGAAATTAATACAAACATCTAGAATGCAAAATACTAATGCTGAAAAATAATAAGGATTTAGTACATTTTAGTTCACTATTATTTAGTTCATATTAAAGCCAGAAAAATTAATTTTTCATATATATGTATGTGTACATTTCTGTGTGTATATATCTATATACATACATATACATTTATTATTACTAAGTCAACACCACACTGTTTGTTCTAAAATATACTCTGTGTTTATTTTAATGTCCTTATATTACATATATTTCCTATTTGATTCTCATGATATTTTCAATAAAATTGTATGGGTTTATTTTATGCTGTTTTATCTATGTCATTTCAATAAAAATACTTAGTCAAATAAAAATTATAAATAGTATAAATATGGAAATTGTTGACAGGTGACATTTTTATGTAAAACAGCAAATCGAATTATCCAGAAGCATGGATGAATAGAAAATTTTCATTTGTCTTTAAGAAGGAAAAATCTGAATACTGAGCATGCTTAATTGCTTAGAACTTTAAGCAATATTTTGAAATAGACCATAATTATAGCAAATGCAAATTTTAGTTACATATCATTTGCATTAATTGAATTATCTGCATTTTAATTTATATAATGTTAATTAAATATGTCTTACTTCTTTGCCAATGTATTGTTCTTATATAGGGTTTGTCTCCAAATAAGCCCTCTGAGATATTAATTCACATATAATTTGCAGTGGGAAGTATTCAAATGCATACAGGCATTATGAATACATACTTTTTTAATTTGGATGTTTTATTCCATTAACTGTTCTTAAAATATATTTTAAAATGTAAATCTCACAGAAGGTAGAAAATGTGCAAATGGTCTCTCAATATGGCTGAAAAAAATGCAAAATACAAATAAGCAACTCACAGGTAAATAATAAACATGTAACTCTATATGTTAAAATTTCCAGGCTGTGCCAATGTGCTAATTATCCAAAATCAGTTATATATATATATATATATATAGAGAGAGAGAGAGAGAGTTAATATTTCATACTTATAATGCATAAAAACCCTATATATTTATTTAATCACTATGGAAAGAATGTATGTATCTAAATATTTAATGTATATTTTATAATAACTTATTTGTCTGAGCAATTATAGTTTTTGATATTTTGTAGGAAGAACAAAAAGACACAAAAGAATGATGTCAGTAAGATGGCTGACTAGTCTTTCCCAGAAGATAGATGAATGTTCATTTTTCCCACAAAAAGCCATCAAAATATGAGTAAAACAACTAAAATTTGACTGCAGTATCTTAAAAGACAGCACTGGAATGCAGCAAGAAGGTGGCAAGATTCCTTGGCACACAGAAGCCCAGGATGGCAGTATGGAGAAGGGACTGAGGCATTCTGCCTCTGCCACACTATCTACCCTACCAGGATTGGCATGGAGCCAGAAAGAACTCCCTCTTGAGGGCAAAAGGTAAGCAGAAGTCCCCAGCAGCCCTCATTGCCACCGTAGACACCTGCAATTCTTACAATAGGAGGATCCCACAGTCTTCACAAACCATTAGCCCAGTTTGGGGAGCTGCCTGAAATTCAGACAGCTGCATTACTCCAAAGTAGGAGCACATGTTATGCACTCCATAACCACGACTCAAGCTGCTGCAGCACAATGCCATCTTGAAACTGGAACCATTACTGGAGTGTGCCCTGCTCTTGGGGGGCAGGAGCCACTACATCTTTTCAAACTTGAGGTTCCACCATCATTCCAGCAAGTCCACACAAGTGAACACAATGCCAAGCCCCTATTGCTCAGAGGCAGGGCCCAGGAACAGCCATGACTCTGGCCCAGCACAGCTGGGAAGACAACCCCAGGCGAGCTGAACTGCCAGACACCCACACCCTTAGCCAGATAAATGTGTCAGTCCCTAAGCTGACCAACCCATCACATGAATGCATGCATCCACAGCTTGAGAATCAGCCTGGAAAGCCCAACACCAGCAAATCCACGCCACCACTGCCAAAGCAGTCTAGGCCACCGAGGCACTCACAAACATCACTAACATGAATTACACCTGAAGAACTCCACAGACACTACACTGCTGTGTCCAAATAGTATCAAAGCCAACATATCCTACCCAACTAAAACCCTAGAATTCATCGCCATTGAAAAAAAATAAGTCTTTTCCTACAAAAGCTACTCCGTAAAATTAGAAGAGATAATTGTTCCACCAAATGTGCAGGTATCAATGTAGAGACACAAGCATTATAAAAAGCTAGAAAACATGAACCTACAAATGAACACAATAATTTTCTAGTAACAGACTCCTCCCAAAAATTTACAAAAAAAAAAACAGGAAATGAATCAAAATAATTATCTTAGGAAATTTCAGTGAGATACAAAAGAATACAGAGAAACAATTGAACAAAATGAGAAAAACAATATCGTTTATTATTTAAATATTATTCTGCACTAGAGAGTAGCTTTCTACAATAGAGATTAAATCTTTTTCCATATATCTGACTAAACCCCTATAAAAAATGAAACAAGAATGGAAAAAAAAAGGTAAATATATCGAAATCACATACTAATCAGTAAATGACAACTTTAAAGGCATTGCAAATTCAATAATATGGAAATAACACATTGATAATCAGATAATAGAAAACTTAAAAATACCTGGAAACTAATGAAAATACATTCAGTCTTACTCATAATTAAGGAGACTAAAATTAATAATTTTCTATACTAAAATCATTTATCAGTTTGGAGACGCTCTCAGATTTGATGATAGACATACAGGTGATGGTTTAGGGAAATACAGCACTCACATATATTGCTGAGGACTGTATAGTCTGATAACACAGAATATGAAAATATATTTTCATGTATGTGCATTTTAAATGCACATATATTTGTGACCCACTGATTCTACTTCCAGGAAATTACATGTATAATGGAACTTTGATATTTTAAATAGAAACTTTTAAAATCAGTTTTTGTGTGTGGTTTTTTTATGTGTAAAACTAAAATTTAAGAAAGATAAATTATCAGAAGAAAGAAAGCAAAATTGAATATATATATCTATCTATATATAGATATATATAGATATATATAGATACATATAGATATATAGATATATATAGATAGATATATATAGATATATAGATAGATATAGATAGATATATATAGATATATAGATAGATATAGATAGATATAGAGAGAGAGAGAGAGCCAGGAATAAGATAAATACTTCATAATTTCAAAAAAGTCAATTTCCCAGGAAAATGTAAAATTAAAAATTTTATCAAATAAACAATTTAGCTTCAAAATGCATATAAACTTACAGGAGAATAGAAAAACCCAAAATTATAGCTGGAGACCTCCAAACTTATCTCCCAGGAATAGCAAGAACAAAGAGATAGACAATATTTATGGAAAAAAGAAGACCTCTACAACCACCATCAAAACATTTAGCTAATTAAAAATTACAGAATATTTTACCCAACATCATCATCAGAATACACTTTCTTTTCAATCACTTCCCTAATTCCCCTTTGGGAATTAGGATTTCAACATATTAGTTATGAGGGCACACAAACATTCAAACCATATCAAGCATGGTTGAATAAAATGAAAAAATATCAAAAGTTTCAATAAAAATAGAAGATATAAGGAAAATGCAAATTTCACAACTACAAATTATAATAAAATGAAAAACTCAGTAGGTGAGTTCAACAAGAGAATGGAGAGGATGGAGAAAATATGGATGGCAAATAAGCACACCAAAAGATGTAAAATATAACTGGCTGGTAGGGAAATACAAAGAAAAGCCACAATACAATGTTGCTTCACACTTATTAAATTGTTTAATTTTTTTTTAATGTGATAATGCAAATGCTAGAGAGGATGAGAAGGAATTCTTTTTCATACATTGCTGGTAGGAATATTAAAATGGTGCAACCACTATGAAAAACAGTTTAGCAGTTTTTGCCTGCAATCCTAGCACTTTGGGAGGCCGAGGTGGGTGGATCACAAGGTCAGGAGTTTGAGACCAGCCTGGCCAAAATGGTAAAACTCCGTCTCCACTACAAATACAAGAATTACCTGGGTGTGGTGTCACGCACCTGTAGTCCTAGCTGCTTGGGAGGCTGAGGCAGGAGAATTGCTTGAACCCAGGAGGTGGAGGTTGCAGTGAGTTGAGATTGTGCCACTACACTCCAGCCTGGGTAGTGGAGCAAGACTCCATCTCAAAAAAAAAAAAAGAAAAAAAACTAAATATAAACTTACCACACAGCTGAGCAATTGCATTCTTTGGTATTTACTCTAGAGAAATAAAAACTTATGTTCATATAAAAACCTGTATAGGATTGATGACAGCAGCTTTATTTGTAATTGCCAACAATATAAAACAATGTTCCTAATAGTTGAATAAAGAAAATGTGGTATATTCATGCCAGGGACTACTACTCAGCAATAACAAGAACTACTGATACACAGAGAATTTCAAGTGGGTCTACAGGGCATTGTGCTAAGTGAAGAAGCCAGTTTCAAAGAGGCACATACTTTATGATTTTGTCTATAAAAAATTCTCAAAATGACAAAAACCATAAACGTAGAAATCATTCATGGCTGGGTGCAGTGGCTCACGCCTATTATCCCACCACTTTGGAAGGCTGAGGTGTGCTGATCACTTGAGGTCAGGGTTTTGAGATCAGCCGGCCTAACATGGTGAAACCCCATCTCAACTAAATATAGAGAAATGTAGTTGGGCATGGTGGGGTGTGCCTGTAATCCTAGCTACTCAGGAGGCTGAGGCAGGAGAATCACTTGAACCCGGGAGGTGGAGGTTGCAGTGAGCTGAAATCACAGCACTGAACTCCAGCCTGGGCAATCGAGTGAGACCCAGTCTCAAAAAAAAAAAAAAAAAAAAAAAAGCAAAGGAAAGAAAAAAAGAAAACATTCATTTAGGGATTAGAGATGTTGGTGTGGGGCAGGTGGGGAAGTATAAATATAAATAGGTAAGACTACAACAATCTTGGTGACATGGTACAGTTTTTTTGTGGTGGTTGTTTTTTGGTTTTTTTGTTTTTTCTTTTTTTAGATGGAGTCTTGCTGTGTTGCCCAGGCTGGAGTGCTGCAGTAGCACAATCTCGGCTCACTGCAACCTCCGCCTCCTGGGTTCAAGCAATTCTCCTGCCTCAGTCTCCTGAGTGGCTGGATTACAGGCACATGCTACAATGACCAGCTAATTTTTTTGCATTTTTAGTAGAGACAGGGTTTCACCATGTTGGTCAGGCTGGTCTTGAACTCCTGACCTCAAGTGATCCGCCTGCCTCAGCCTCTCAAAGTGATGGGATTAAAGGCGTGAGCCACTGCTCCTGGCCATGGTACAGTTTTATAAGCTGATTGCAGTGTTGGCTACACTAATCTACACATATGATAAAATGCAGTAGGATTATACACAAACAGCAATGTCAACTTTCTGGTTTCGATATTATACCACAATTTTATAAGACATAACCATATGAAAACTGCTTGTGAGTGAAAAGATATTATATGTTTATTGATGAACTATAGCACTCAAGTCATTATTTGAGCCAGGATTGGAGTATTTTCTGCCAAACTGCTAATACACACACACACACACACACACACACACACACACACACAGAGACACACACACACACATATTCTGAAAAAGATTGTAAAGGAAAAAGAAAATAAAAATCTTTGAGCTTGACACCTCAGTGTTGAATTCTGGGGTAACCCTTTTAACGTATGAGTTTTCCTGTATCTCAAGATACTCTGGCTTTGATTATACATTTTGAATTTTAAAGTTTTACTTCCTTTTCTTACCATTATTCTAGCAGATGAATTTCAAAATAATACAGATATTATAAATCAAATGGTAAAATATCAAGGCAAGTAACTGAAAACTTAAGGAACTTCCATAATGTTTAATCCTTAAACATAATGAAGAAGGCTTTATTACAGTAGCTTTGATTCTAGCCTCCTACAAATTAGGTAGATTTACCAAAAAAGCAAACTCATTCTTTATTGAGATTGAATCTATACCCAAATGTTCTTTTAACATAATGTTAAAATAATAATGTCATAAAATGAAAACTTTCTATTTGACATAAAAAATGAGCTGCTGTGTTAATCACACACAGGTTTTATAAAAACTATTTTTCTTTTGTGCTTTTTTGATACTATCAATAAAAAATCTTATCATGATGGAACAGTAGATATAAATTATTTTATAGTAATGATTTCAATAATTATAACACCAATTCCTAATATTGACTGTAATGCTATTTACAATTGTTTTTGTTGCATATGATACTAGACACTTAGAATAATGAACTTCTCTCAATTGGATAATTATTGCATCAAAACTTATAAGGTTTTACAAATATTTCAGTTTGTCAGTTAATATACATTAATTTTCCAATTTGGATTTTTAAAGAGGAAAATTTTATATGCTAATTTATGTAATTTATATGTAATATTATCTTCTATTTTGGAGAAAGTTCTGTATTCCAACTATAGTAGTAATTTTCTTCAGAACTGAATTGAATTTATAACAGTAAAAAGACATTCATTCCTCATTGATTAAAGGACTTCTGCTATTTTTTTATGGTGTAGGCTACCAGATGATATTCCACACCCTCTATTATTCTAGCTTTGTTTTAGCTACTTGCATTCACCTAAAGGTGAAAGTCAGATTAGTTGGCTTTTTAAAGTGGGAATATGAACAAAACACATATTGAGATGTAGCGAATACTTCATTTCTTTTGTATGTTTGTTTCTTATGTTTGCTTCCTGTATTAGTCCGTTTTCATGCTGCTGATAAAGACATACCTGAAACTGGGAAGAAAAAGAGGTTTAATTGGACAACACATGGGAATTATGGGAGTACAATTCAAGATGAGATTTGGGTGGGAACACAGGGCCAAACTATACAATTCCAGCCTTGGCCCCTCCAAATTCCATGTCCTCACATTTTAAAACCAATCATGCCTTCCCAACAGTCCCCCAAAGTCTTAACTCATTTCAGCATTAGCCCAAAAGTCCACAATTCCAAGTCACATCTGAGATAAGATAAGTCCCTTCTGCCAATGACCCTGTAAAATCAAAAGCAAGCTAATTACTTCCTAGATACAATGATGGTACAGGTATTGGATAAATATATCCGTTCCAACTGGGAGAAATTGGCCAAAACAAAGGGGTTACAGGGCTCATCCAAGTCTGAAATCCAGTGGGGGAGTCAAATTCTAAAGCTCCAAAATGATCTCCTTTGACTCCATGTCTCACATCCAGGTCATACTGATGCAAGAGGTAGGTTCCCATAGTCTTGGGCAGCTCCACCCCTGTGGCTTTCCAAGGTATAGTTCTCCTCCTGGCTGCTTTCACAGGCTGGCGTGGTCTGCGGCTTTTCCAGGTGCACAGTGTAAGTTGTCGATGGATCTACCATTCTGGGATCTGGAGGACAGTGCTCCTCTTTTCACAGCTCCACTAGGTGGTGCCCCAGTAGGGACTCTGTGTGGGAGCTCCAATCTCACATTTTCCTTCTGCGCTGACCTAGCAGAGGTTCTCCATGAGGGCTCCCTTCAGCAAACTTTTGACTGGGCATCCGGGCTTTTCCATACATCTTCTGAAATCTAGGTGGGGGTTCCTGAACCTCAATACTTGACTTCTGTGAACCCACAGGCTCAACACTATGTGGAAGCTGTCAAGGGTTAGGGCTTGCATCCTTTGAAACAATGGGCTGGACTGTACCTTGGCCCTTTTTAGTGATGACTGGAGCGGCTGGGACGCAGAGCACCAATTCCCTAGGCTGCACACAGCATGGGGATCCTGGGCCTAGCCCACAAAGCCATTTTTTCCTCCTACACTTCCAGGTCTGTGGTGGGAAGGGCTGCCTTGAAGACCTATGACATGCCCTGGAGACATGTTCCCCATTGTCTTGGGGATTAACATTTGGCTCATTGCTACTTATGCAAATTTCTGCAGCCAGGTTGAATTTCTCCTCAAAAAATGTTTTTTGTTTGTTTTTGTTTTTGTTTTTTTTTCTGCATTGTCAGGCTGCAAATACTTTCAACTTTTATGCTTTGTTTCCCTTTTAAAATGGAATGCTTTTAACCCAAGTCACCTCTGGAATGTTTGCTGCTTAGAAATTTATTCTACCAGATACTCTAGATCATCTCTCTTAAGTTCAAAATTCCACAAATCTCTAGGGCAGTAGCAAAATGCCACCAGTCTCTTTGCTAAAACATAACAAGAGTCACCTTTGCTCCAGTTCCCAAGAAGTTTCTCATCTCCATCTGAGACCCTCAGCCTGGACTTTATTGTTCATATCACTATCAGCATTTTTGTCAAAGCCATTCAACAAGTCTCTAGGAGGTTCCAATCTTTTCCACATTTTCTGGTCTTCTTCTGATCCCTCCAAACTGTTCCAACCTCCACCTGATACCCAGCTCCAAAGTCACTTCCACGTTTTCGGGTATCTTTTTAGCAACGCCTAACTTTACTGGAACCAATTTACTGTATTAGTACGCTTTCATGCTGCTGATAAAGACATACCTGAGACTGGGAAGAATAAGAGGTTTAATTGGACTTATAGTTCCACATGGCTGGGGAGGCCTCAGAATCATGGCAGGAGGTGAAAAGCACTACTTACATGGCAGTGGCAAGAGAAAATGAGGAAGATTCAAAAGCAGAAATCCCTGATAAAACCATCAGATCTCCTGAGGCTTATTTCACTACCATGAAAACAGTATGGGGGAAACCGCACCCATGATTCAAATTATCTCCCACCGGGTCCCTCCCACAACATTTGAGAATTATGGGAGTACAATTCAAGATGCGATTTGGATAGGGACACAGAGCCAAACCATATCACTTTCCTATTTTTGCCTTTCTAATCTAGACCAAAAATTTGTCCTTCAAATTTCTTAATTAGTGCCCTCATTAAGATTAACCATTTTGTTACCATGCGTTACTAAATGAGCAAAGTAATTGTGCACAAGTATTGGTGCTAGGAACAAAGAGATTTGCCTGGATTTGGCTGTTACTGCTTTTCTGGTAAATGAATAAAAATGAATTCAACTTTGATGTATGGCATAGGTCCATATATTTAACACTTCATAATTATCATACTGAGTAGTTTTGCAACTCAAGCTATTTATTTTTTTCCCAATCGGATTGACAAAGCAGTCTCTCCAGGCTCTTCTGTTATCTATTATACACAATACATACTTCACTTTACTTACTGAGGACATAAAATGCTCCCTTGGGTTCTTATTCTTTTGAAAAAGAGTTCAGTATCTACTATTACTATGAGACTACACAAAATATTAGCTTATTAAAATATGTAAAAGAATGCAGGATTTCTGTTTGAGTCTATAGGGGAAAACAATTTCTATTCTGCAAGCTATCAAGATAATGTAAGTTTTACTTATCCAGAGAGCACCTTTAATGATAATATATTTTTGCCTTCTTGTTTTATCATTGTTTTATTATTTCATTTTTGTATGTGTATGGCAAATTAAGATTTATAATAATATGAAAATTATGAAAATATACTTACGTTTAATTTTTTAACAACAATTTCATATCTTTAAGTTACAATTAGATTAACTGTATCATTATTGAAAAAGCAAGATATCAAAATAATGTGTTTTACCTATCCAGACAGCATCTTTAATGATACTCTATTTTTGCCTTTTATTATTTCGTTTTTTGCAGATCCTCTCAATATTAAAGCAAATATCATATGTGTGTGGCAAATTAAAGTTTATACTAATATGAAAAGTATAAAAATATACTTAGGTTTAATTTTTTAACAACTAGTTCATATCGTCGAGTTACAACTGGATTAACTATCATTATTGGAAAAGCATACAATATTCTGGTTTTATGTATTAAATAGAATCCAGATACCAGCAGATAACATTTAAGACACTTTTCTTCAAAATGAATATTTATTATTAGTTCAGCATATAACCCAGCACTGTTGAATAAATGATAAGGTAGAAAAGTAAAGACATGGACGACCTTTTGCCTTGCGTCTGTGGGGGATCTTGGGTAGGGAAGAGTTTCCTGTTTATCCTTCAAAATAGCAGACCTCTGCTTTGCATCAGTGCAGGATTGCGAGAGTGAGTGGATTCCAGACACTCTCTCTGAGTTTGTGCTGTTATCACAAAATACCACAGATTGAATAATTTATAAACAATAGGAATGTATTTCTCATAATTTTGGAGGCCGAGAAGTTCAAGATCAAGGTGCCAGGAGGTTTGCTTTCTGCTGGTGTCTTGTTGCTTCTTCCTCTGGAGCGAACACTGTGGAGTCACACGACACAAATGACTAAAAGGCAAGAGAGTGCTACCTTTAAGCAGAGCCCTTTAGTAAGGGTGCTAATCCCATTCATCAGGGAAAAGCCTTCAGGACTTATTTACCTCCCAAAGCCACACTTCTTAATGCTGTTGCATTAAGGATTAAGTTTCAGCATGAATTTTGGAAGGGACACCGTAATTAAAACCATAGTTCACTCCCTCAGTGTCAGAAAGCTTTTGTTTGTTTTCTTCTTTTTTCATTTTTTTTTTTTTTTTTTTTTTTTTTGAGAGGGAGTCTTGATCTGTCTCCCAGGCCAGGCTGGAGTGCAGTGGCGCAATCTCGGCTCACTGCAAGCTCCGCCTCGTGGGTTCACGCCATTCTCCTGCCTCAGCCTCCCTTGTAGCTGGGACTACAGGCGCCCGCCACCATGCCCGGCTAACTTTTCTGGTATTTTTAGCAGAGACGAGGTTTCACCGTGTTAGCCAGATGGTCTCGATCTCCTGACCTCATGATCCGCCTGCCTCGGCCTCCCAAAGTGCTGGGATTACAGGCGTGAGCCACTGCGCCCGGACCTGGTTTGCTTTTTGTATAAATCTTACAACTGATATGATTTTATATAAATCATAACAACTCCCTCAGTATAATATTTGCTTTACCAAATAATATATGTTTTAATAAATTAAAAAAAGGAAAAACCAAAATATTAATCTCATAATTTACTCATACGTTTACCCTGAATATCTTCCAGGTGATTTCAATTAGTAGTGTCATTTTCCTATAAACTGGCTAACTTCGTTTATCATTTCCTGTAGTAAAACTTTGTTGATGACAACTTTTCTGTTTTGGTTTTATCTCAGTATGTCTTTATCTTGCCTTGTCTCGTCATCACTCTTGTGAGATAGCTTTACTGGACATTGAATTCTTACTTCATAATTTGTTTAAACTTTACTGCATGAAATATTTTGTACCAATGTGTTCCCCCTTCCATAATATTTGATTATTTTCCCCCTAAGGCAATGTATTGGTTTTCTATTGTTGCTTCCAAGACTTTCTTCTTAGCATCCACATCTTGCACTTTACCCTGATGTTTCCATCTATAAGCAGATAATTTTGTGTTTATCTTGTTTGTAGTTTGTCAAGTTATTGGATTTGTAAATTAATACTTTAATGAGTTAGAAATTACCAGCCATTATTTCTTCACATACTTTTTTATGCACCTCTCTCTCTCTCTCCTTTCCTTCTGGGATTGCAATTTTGCAATTTTGTATCACATTCTATGGCTCCACTAAACTCTAATGTTCTTTCTATTTTTCTTTATTTTTTTTCTTTCTGCTCTTTAGATTGAGTAATTTGTATTATTTATTTCTTTTTAGTCACTAATTCTTTCTCCTTGTATTTTCAATCTTCTGCTCATACCACCAAAATGTTTATTTCAGCAATCATAATATGCAACTTCAGATATTGTTTTTTAGAATTGTTATTTCTCTATGGAGATTATCAGTCTCATTCTTCAGAAATGCAACATTATTCTTCAATATTTTGAACAAACTATTATTGCGGCAGAAAATAGGTCCTTTCTTACTTCCCCATCATAGAAATCTTGGCCAACACCCCTATACCAAGAAAGGTTAACTGAGAAAAATATAGCAGATGTATTTGATCACAGTTTTATGTGACACAGGAGCCATCAGAATGAGGACCAAAGAAAAAGGAAAAATTACACATTTTTATGCTCATGTTCAATGAAGTATAGACAGCCAATTAAAAATAGGATTGGACAAAAAGTATATGATCTAATACTAACAGACTGAGTGGGGAAACTCAACAAGGGCTCTCTGTTAAGATTTTTATTGGCCTGCCTGTGTTCCTTTTTTTTTCTCCTGGTTACAGGGTAGGGGCCTACTGAAATGAGAGTCTTAATTTCTTTAAGGCCAGCTATTACAGAAAAATCTGGTGGTAGTAAGTGTTTAGAGTAATAATTTTTAGGCATTATGGCTATTATTTTTGAGTAAAATGATTCTGATTTCTCTGACCTGCTTTGGGGAAGAAGGATGCTAGTTTCTATGACTTGCCTGAGTGAGAGACAGGAGGACAGGAGAAGGTCAGACAGAGACTTTGTTCTCAGGCTGCTTCTTAAGCCTCCAGTTTAGGGCATTGATTTCGAGTCTTTACATTACATTTGATGACTTTTAACTGATTTATATTAGCTGCTGTGAAATCTTTGTCTTCCAAATACAACAGGTGATTCCACTTGTAGTCAGTTTCTGCCTTTTTTCCTGATTATGGGTTAGTCACACTTTTCTTTTTCTTTGTTTATCTAGTAGTACGGTTGGTTGAAAACTAGACAATGTAGATGATATGTTGTGGAGATAAGATTCTGTCATGCTTTTCTGAGAATTATGAAATTTTTATGTAATAGGAAGTAATCTAGCTTCAAACTATAGCTAAAGTATGCAGCTTCTTGTAATCTCCTATTCTTTTTTACTTTCCACTGTCTTCTTAGGCTGGTATCCTCTCAGTTACTCCTCTCCTGAAAAAAGTATTTACCAAACAAATCTTATAGCAGATGATAGAGCTCACTCTCGCTGTAGTTTCCTTATCTTTCAGAACTCTCTGGTCTTCAGCTATTTTGTTAGCTATGGACTCTATACTCAACTCTCTGAGTCTTCTTACACAATTGAAGCATGCACCATGTAAAAAAAAAATCATACTCATAGCTGCTTGTTCTTTTTTTTTTTTTTTCCCAGGCTGGAGTGCAGTGGCACAATCTCGGTTCACTGCAACCTCCACCTCCCAGGTTTTCTCCTGTCTCAGCCTCCTGAGTAGCTGGGATTACAGGCACCTGTCCGGCTAATTTTTTGTATTTTTAAGTAGAGATGGCCAGGCTGGTCTCAGACTCCTGATCTCAGGTGATTCACCTGTCTCGGCCTCCCAAAGTGCTAGGATTACAGGTGTGAGCCACCATGCCCGACTGTTCTATCTTTTAAAAGTGGATTTCTTTCTGGCCTCTGCCTCCATTTTTAGCATCATGCCTCACCCCAGCTCCTAAGTCAGACAGTATTTTAGTGGCTCAACATGTGATTTTTGGCAGTCTATTCTTTGAATATGTTTCATTTCTCCTGTTTTATCTCGCTTCCAAAGTTTACCATTTAATTCCAGATGATTTCTCAGATAAGAACTCTGATTTCTGGACACTTTTGATAATAAACAATGAGATTATCACACTGCTGTTTTCCATGGCCATACCTATGGAATTTGATAAGCATCCTTTTACTAGAAACCCATAAATTTTTAATTCCTCCAATTTATTTCTGTTGCAATTTTTGGAATTAACTGTCTGGCTTCTATCTGTATTTGAATACTAACTGTCTTTAAATATTTTTAAATGTTTTCCAGTTTTTTTTATTATATGTATTTATTTGTTTTTGAAACAGTCTCTGTTACCCAGGCTGGAATGCAGTGGTGTGATCTCAGATCACTGCAACCTCTGCCTCCCAGGCTCAAGTGATTCTTCCACTTCAGCCTCCCAAGTAGCTGTAACTACAGGTTCATGTCACCATGCCCAGCTAATTTTTATATTTTTTGTAGAGATGGGGTTCATCGTCTTGCCAGGCTGATCCCCAGCTCTTGGGCTCAAAGAATCCACCTGCCTTGGTTTCCCAAAGTTCTGGGTTTACAGCTGTGAGCCGCTGCTCCCAGCCTGTAATATTTTATTTATAGTCTAAGTTCTTTAGGTATTTATACTGCTCTTGGAGAGATGAGAAATGGCAGATGAATGTATTTATTATGTTGCATATAATCTCTCAAGTGACTTTGTCAGCCATTTTCCATGTAGAAGGCTTTGATATTCTACCTATTTAAAAGTCAACTTAAGTGTTTCTGCTCAAGACATCCAAGAATACGGTTTGGAAAACAAACTCTGTTCTGTGGCCATGGTCACACTCAGCAGTCACAGCAATATTCTTAATGTATAAAGTGGGGTTTTGGACACTAGGTCAAGACAGAGCATTGACATGTAAAGCAGGACACAAAGCATTGCAATTTTCATCCTGGAACTCAAGAGATTCTTATATCTGACAGGACTCTTAATTTGACTAGGGAATAGACATCATCTCTCTAAGAAAGACGTAATATGTAAAAAGATGTAATACGTTCCTAGACAATGACAAAAAAAAAAACAACAGGCAACCTCCTTAGGGACATAAGCATGACTTAAGTTAGCTTATACTCACTGTGTATTAGCAAGGCTGTCACTATTACTCTAATTTACTATCACATAAGGCAACACTGCCATTCGCTTAATTTTTAAGTTATGCCTCCATGAATACATATCCTCTTAAAGTTTTCTGTGACCCAATGCTGTGCTACCGTACTTGGGATAAAACAACTCCATATAATTCCAATCTACTTTTTAAATTTAGGACAAACAACTTTAGTAACAAATAATTTCTCAAGCCATTTTATAGGAATATATATCCCCTCTTAGCCCTCATAGAATTTATAAGTTATAATACTTAGTTGATGTATTTAATATGTAAACTTTCTTTGCTGGTTATTAAAAAAATGTTACTTATATAAAATATTTTACACTAAAATAGATTTAATACCTTTCAGAGGAGAGATTATGTATTAGATATCTTTGATCATCTTCAAGTTATCTTACAAAATATTTCCAAAATAGAAACATTCAGTAATTCTTTTATATTTATTCTGTTTGGAGAGCAAGAGATATGGAAGTCCTATTTATCAGACAACCACTCAAGTACCACTTAAAATCCTTTCAGAATCACTACTTAATCCAGCCAAAGCTATGGCAACCATTGCTTTGCAATTTTAGACCAGCCATTTGGTGATGTTAACTCTCCTGCTGTCAGTCTTAAGTAGTCACCGGGGAGAGCTTTAGTTGTCTGGATGTCACACAAAACTTAATGCTGATCCACTATATTTGTGACATCATGCTAATTAGATTTAGTGAGAAAGAGATGGCAAGATTTCTAAATGCTTTAGTAAAATACATACATGTCAGATGATACTAGATAAACACCACAAAGATTCTGAGACCAACTGTGCAGAGGAGGTCTGATGGAATTTTGTCATTTGAGGCATTCTGAGATAAGGTAAGTGAAGAGATAAGTTGTTGCACTTTGAATTTTCTGCCACTAATAAAAAACAAGAGTACTTAATTTTGGGGAAATTCTGTGAATTCAGTGAATTTTTAACACACTTACATATATATACTACTTCTACCCATTTATTGGTTATTCAGGATACTGATAAAATTTGATTGCAAGTAGGAGTAAAATTTACTCTGCAGTTCAGGCCATTGTTTAAAAGACTTGCCATTTAGGGCATTAATATGGCTTAGAATTGTGTCCCCACCCAAATCTCAACTAGAATTGTAATAATCCCCACTTGTCTTGAGAGGGACCTGGTGGAGGTAACTGTGTCATGGAGGTGGGTATTTCCCATGCTGCTCTAGTGATTGGGAATAAGTCTCATGAGATCTGATGGTTTTATAAATGGGAGTTACTCTGAACAAGTTCTTTTGCCTGCTGCCACGTAAGATGTGACTTTCTCCTCATTTGCCTTCCACCATGATTGTGGGGCCTCCCCAGCCATGTGGAACTGTAAGTCAACTCAACCTCTTTCCTTTATAAATTACCCAGTCTTAGGTATGCGTGTATTAGCAGTGTGAGAACAGAGTAATACAGTAAATTGTTACAGGTGGAGTGAGGTGCCATTGTAAAGACACCTGAAAATGTGGAAGCGACTTTGGAACTGGGTAACAGGCAGAGGTTGGAACAGTTTGGAGGGCTCAGAAGAAGACAGGAAAATGTGGGAAAGTCTGGAACTTCCTAGAGACTTGTTGAATGGCTTTGAACAAAATGCTGATAGTGATATGGACAATGAAATCCAAGCTGAGGTGGTCTCAGATGGAGATGAGAAACTTATTGGGAACTAGAATAAAGGTGACTCTTGCTATATTTTAGCAAAGAGATTGGCAGCATTTTGCCCCTACTCTAGAGATCTGTGGAACTTTGAACTTGAGAGAGATGATTTGGGGTATCTGGTGGAAGAAATTTCTAAGTGGCAAAGCATTCAAGAGGTGACAGAGCATAAAAGTTTGGAAAACTTACAGCCTGATGATTCAGTAGCAAAGAAATACCCATTTTCTAGGGAGAAATTCAAGCTGGCTGCATAAATTTGCATAAGTAGCACGAAGCCAAATGTCAATTGCCAGGACAATAGTGAAAATGTCTCCAGGGCACGTCAGAGGTCTTCACAGAAGCCCCTCCCATCACAGGGGTGGGGCGTCTAGGAGGGAAAACTGGAGTGGTTTCCCAGGGCCTTGCTGCTTTGTGCGTCTCCAGACTTGGTGCCGTGAGTCCCAGAGTGTCTAAAAGGGGCCAATGTGCAGCTCAGGTTGATACTTCAGAGGGTGCAAGCTCCAAGCCTTGGTGGCTTACATTTGCTGATCCTGATGGTGCACACAAGTCAAGAATTGAGGTTTGGGAACCTCTGCCTAGATTTCAGAGGTTATATGGAAATGCCTGGATTTACAGGCAGAAGTCTGCTGCAGGGGCCGAGCCCTCATGGAGAACCTCTGCTAGGGCAGTGTGGAAGGGAACTCTGGGGTCAAAGCCCCCACACAGAGTCCCCACTGGGTCACTTACTACTGGAGCCATGAGAAGAGAGCCACTGTCCTCCAGACCCCAGAATGGTAGATTCACTGACAACTTGTACTGTGTGCCTGGAAAAGCCGCAGACACTCAACTCCATCCTGTGAAAGCAGCTGTGAGGGTGGCTGTATGCTGCAAAGCCACAGAGACAGAGCTGCACGAGGCCGTGAGAGCCCACCTCTTGCATCAGCATGACCTGGATGTGAGACATGGAGTCAAAGGAGATCATTTTGGAGCTTTAAGATTTGACTCCCCTATTGGGCTTCAGACTTGCATAAGGCCTGTAGTCCCTTTGTTTTGGCCAATTTCTCTCATTTGGAATGGGTGTATTTACCCAATGCCCGTACTCTCATTGTATCTGGGAAGTAACTAACTTGCTTTCGGTTTTACAGGCTCATAAGTGGAAGGGATTTGCCTTGTCTCAGATGAGACTTTGGACTTGGACTTGTGGATTAATGCTGGATTATGTTAAGACTTTGGGGGACTGTTGGAGGGCATGATTGTGTCCTGAAACGTGAGGACATGAAATTTGGGAGGGGTCAGGGACAGAATGGTATGGTTTGCCTCTGTGTCCCCACCCAATTTTCACCTTAAATTGTAATCATCTCCACATGTCTCCACACAGGCCAGGTGGAAATAATTAAATAATGGTGGCAGCTTCCCCCATACTGTTCTCGTGATAGTAAGTAAGTCTCATGAGATCTGATGGTTTTATAAATGGGAGTTCCCCTGAACAAGCTGTCTTTCCTGCTGCCATGTAAGATGTGACTTTGCTCCTCATTCACCTTCTGCCATGACTGTGAGGCCTCCCCAGCCATGTGGACCTGTGAGTCAATTAAACCTCTTTTCTTTATAAATTACCCAGCCTCGGGTATGCCTTTATTAGCAGTGTGAGAACAGACTTGTTTAGCAAGAAAATTTAGGTTACTATGTGATAAAGGCTGTCCAATAAAAGATGGGTATTTCACCTATTTACTGAATTATTGATTTGATAACCATGCAGCTTACCATTGAATGATAGATTTGATTCATCTAGGACCAGTTCCAAGCAAATTCAGAAGACACAAATGAATCGGTTGCATTGATGCCTCTCCTCAGCTCACTTTTATTTTTTCTTTCTGAAATGTTCTCCCTAATGAATTGTTGAAAGCTTCAAGTACTGTTATTACATAGTTCAACATAATCTGTTTATGCTAATTGTATATTGACCAAAACCTTCTTAAAATTACCCTCAGTTTGAGGCAGTTTTAGATAGGCTTCATCTGGACTCTAGTCCCTTAGCATCCTTTTTCTTAGAGCATTTACTTTAACATCAACGACAACAAAAACCTTGTAATTGCAAATGATTTATCACTTTATTTACAATGTACATCCTTTCCCAGTCTCTTGCCAGAGTTACAATTCAGGAATGTCTTTGTCAAGGCCCTAGAAGTCATCCCTATGAAACATAGTCATCTTAAAAGGCAGTACCTATTTTCTACAGGAAGGTTAAGAGCCTCATTTCAATAAGTATCAAAAAGCAAATATATACGGCCTAATCACATTGATCAACATCCCCTAACACCTTCTAGTACTTCTTTTCATTAGCTCACTCCAGCATTTGAAAACACTACTATCTTTTGTTCCAGTAAAGTTGAGTTGAATTTCTCTCCCCTGCTGTTAAGTCATAAAGTCTTTCTTGCTGGTTTAACTCTTCTCTTACACATTTTTTCTTTAGTGAGAATGGCTATAGCAGTAAAATGTGACAAAAAGGTGGCAGAAGATAACTCTGGTGACAGGGAAGAGACACAATGTTGTTCATTTTAAATGAAAGAAAAAGTGATCTAAGCGAGTAGTTACACACTGACACCTGTGACAGATAGGGCAATGGAAAATGTCTTGTCTGTTTGATCAAGATCCTGGGGGAAATTAATATTGTAATACTGAGACAAAGAGATATGAAAAAGAAGAATGTAGATGAATGGATTAGAGTAAGCACAATATATACAGTTTAGGTGAATTACATTAATACCCACTAAGAAACCATTCATCACAGAGATGACACTCAAAAACCAAATAGGGTCAATTTGGCCTCTGTGCACCAGTTTGCCTTTTTCCTTGTTCATTCCCATATCAGTAAAATAGGCCCAGGAAGGGAATATCTATTTTGACAGGGACGGAGGCTGTGTACGAGTCCAAGAACTATGGACTTTCTCTCACCAGTGCCAATCTGGCTATTATCCCTGATGAATGCCAAAATTGCCAGCAACAAAATCAGACACTGAGCCCTTTGGGCAAATTCTCCTGGGTCACTGAAAAAGCCAGACTGAACATTTAGTGACATGAGGCCTGAAAAAAACTGAGGCTGAACCAGTAAAATGAGGGATGCAGGCTCTCTAACAGCCTGAACACAGGATGGTTTCTTGCCCAACCTTGAGAGGTAGGAGATTTTGTCTTTCCTTCTCCCAGCTGTTGTGAGTCTTCACGTGTGCACCGAGGGTAGCAGAATTTGTTGCCCTTCCTGAAGAAGCTTAACTTTTTTTTTTGTTATTCAGAGTAGAAAGAACCAGGCAAGATACTGTGCCTTTCCTACAGCAATATCACTCTCCTTCCCACTCCTGCACCAGCAAGAGAAGCTTTTTCTGGACTCTCCCAGCCCTTGACCTTTCTCATGAGAACTCAGTGAGATCTTTGGAGAATAGCCTTCAACTTTGTACAAATTCCTCTGGGCTTCTATACTCACATACTAGATCACATTTGGCCTTTGGCAATTCAGTAAACATTTTAGCAATTTCTTCTTTCCTGCCTGCTGAAGACTGACTTCCTCCTGCTGCCAAAGGTTTGCAGTGCTTATTTAAGGTGCTGACTTCTTTAGCTTTCAGGCTGGTTGATTGTCATATGAACTCAGGTCTCTGCTAGGTTTAGAAAAAGTTATTATTTTATAGATTACCCAGCTGTGTCTAGTTGTCAGGGTGGGAATGATGTACTTTCTGGTTTTCTACATGCTATGCAGGAGATGGAAGTGTTTGCCTTCAGCATTTCCTGCAGTGCAGTTGTCCAGGCATCATAATCTCTCTGCTTTTGTCCATCTGTTAATGTCTTTATTTCACATTTCCTTTTAAAGCATACATTAACTATATATTTAAAGAGTTGGTTGACAGTTCTTTCTTTTCTTTTGGCGCATTAAAGATGTTTCTTTACTGTTACTTGAATTGCTTATTTTCTGATGAGAAGTCTCAGGTCAGACTTTAAGATTGTTCCTTCGTATGCCTTGTATTTTCATATCAATGTTCTAACATTTTTTTCTGTATATCTTTCTTTTATGAATTTGATTATGATGTGATTTTGTGTTACATTCTTTGGATTTATTTTACTTAGTGTTTGTTGAGCTCCTTGCTTCGGTACATTTTCCTTCAAACCAAGAAACTTTTAGGGTATTATTTATTCATCTATATTCTTATGTGCCCCTCCCTTAGGGAACTGTGGTAACATTTATATTAGGTGGCTTGATAAGGTACCACAGATTAGTGACAATCTGTTTATATATACATATTTTTTCCTGTCTCTCTTTGTGATTCAGTTTAGGTAGGTGCTATTGTTGTCACATAGCTTAGCGATTTTTGCCTTCTGCCACCTCTCATGTGATCTAATCTAATTAAGAAAAATTTCACTTAAGACATTTCATTTTTCATTTCTACCTTTTCCATCTGTTTCTTATTCTATTCTTGTTATATTCATGCATTGTTAAAAGTATCGGGCACATTTATATTAGCTATAGCTCCTTAAAGTCATTGCTTGTCAGTCCCATCTTCTGTTATTTGTTAAGTCCTTCTGTCAGTTGTTTTCATTAATTCATATTTTTCTCCTGATTATGAGTAAATTTTTTTCTGTTTCTTTAATTTATAATAATATATGATTAGATGCCAGGCGTTCTTGTTAGATTGTTGCAGTTTAGGTTTGTTTTTCTTCCTTTAATGTAACTATCAAGTTACTAGCAAATCAGATCGACAGTTAAGGAGCTTGTTTATAAATTTTGTTAGGGAAGTCTGCAGTGGCCTTTACTTGGCTTAATTTACCCTTACTGCTAAAGCATGTTTATTCCTAGTTCTCTACTGATTGCTGCAACTGCTCAACAAGCTCTCTTGATTCTGGCTATATGAACTTAATCTTCTTACACTCTATGTGAACTCTGGGAATCAGTCATTATTGGCAGCTGTTTGTTTGCTTGTTTGGGGGGAATGGTGGCATTTATGCATGATCAGAATATTTTACATCAAAGAATCTAGAAGATTTATTGTGGTTTAGCTCTTACTCTATATGTCTCCCTCATGTCAGATATTATGCCTACAATTTCCAGGGACTATTTTACATTTCAAACTCCAGTCTCTATCTCCAAAGCTCTGAGATGGCCATTGTCTACTTAGGCTTCTCCTTTCTGATGCGTGGATTGAAAAATATCCCCAGGCAAAAAACCAGGGCAATGTTAATATGCACCTCCTGTTTTGGGGGGCTTTTTTCACTTTCAGGGATCACAGTCATGTCTGCTTGCTGTGTAATAACTGTTTGGTTTTCTAATTTTTTAATGCATATAGTAACTCTAGTTTCAGTTACTCTGCTACTTTTGTAGTTCAGGTAACTGAGAAAAAGAATGTGTAAGTATTTCCCCAAGGTCAATTTGTCAGAAGGTTTTACAAAGGCAGAAGTGTTTTCTGGTGTGTTCAGGATCTGGCTCTCAGGAAAAGAGGAGCTGAAAATCTAGGGGAGAAATTTTCTTTAAATTGAGTCAGGTGAAATGGCACACAATACTTCTATTTAGTTTTCAGTTGTATGAACTTAGACGTATGATCAAAAGTAACAATTTGTTTAAAGAGATGAAAAATATATTTTACATCTAGATAGCCATAGGTCTAGGTTATTCTCTGTTACTGTGCAAGAAAGAAGGAAACAAATTTAATCAATAATTCCACAATTAATTATGGCATATTCTAAAATTTATTCTATGCATATTAAATTTTACACTAAATAGATGGTATAAATTACTCTTTAATACAAAATATATTGTATATGATTAATTTCAATTAATTTATTGATGGAAATTTCATTTTGAAAAGACATTGGACAGTACATTTTTAAAAATTTTCTAACCCTAAAGAGATTTTATACATTATTATATTTTATCTGTATATTTATGGGCTTGGAATTTATAAAGTTGAAAGTCAGGTCAAGAAACTTGCTTAGATAAATTAAAAAATCATATGGCACCCATTAGTTTATGTAATCACCCATTATCAGTTTAAATTCTATAGTATCTCTAGTGCTGTCTGATGTTTATTTTTTATGCTGGTAATTTTTGCCTCTCTCTTTTTTTTCCTTAATAAGTGAAATTAGAATTTTATCAATTTTGTTAGTCTTTCCAAAGAACTAGCTTTTCATTTTATAGGTTTTCTCTATTATTCATTTTTCCCATTAATTTATTTCCACTCTTTTTTTTCAATATATTTTTGTTTTTCCTTTATCCACTTTGGATTTATTTTGGCTTTTTTTTTTTTCAGGCTTTCTAAGATGTATGCCTATTTCATTGATGTTTATATGTTTCTTCTTTTCCACCAGAAAGATTTAAAGCTATACCTATTCTTCTAATGGCTGGTTAATTTCACAGCATAAAAGTTTGAGTTTTGTTTTCATTTACACTGTTAGACTATTTCCTAATTTCCTCTGTGATTTTTTTCTTTGGTCCATAGTTGACAGCACTGTTCATATCTTCTTTATATTATTTTTCCTCTCTATTTATTTTATAAATTACTGAGTTGGGGTGAAAAATTCTGTGGACTTTTAACTTTGTACTCTAGGTGCATTAAATTTTGTTTTGTGTATTTTGAAATTCTCTTTTTAAGTACACTCTTATTTAAGATTATTGTATCTCCTTGATTAATCAATTATTTTGTTACACATGTCCTCTTAATCTGTGGTAATACTCATAGTTTTGTAGTCTATTTTTCTGACTTTGGCATAGCCACACCAATTTTCATAGTGTTTGCATTTTTTTCTGTTTTTACTTTCCAAGTGTACTTAATAAAAAAAAAAATACATGTATAGTTGGGTGTTGCTTTTATCTGAAAGTCTCTGATTTTTCATAAAAATGCTTATATTTATTTTTATTCTTACAAAGTATTAATTAAATATTTATAAATCATAGTCTTAAGGCTTTTTAATTGAAAACTTTACTTCCATCTTATTTAATGTAACTATATGGATGGATTGAATTAACTGCTTTGCTGTTTATTCTTTCTTCTTTTTTCATCTGGCTCATTTTTTAATTCTTCTTCAATTCCTTTTGAACAGTAAGGCTTAAAATTCATACTGGCTGGCTGCTCATCTCCAGGCTTCCCACAGGGCTGCTTTGGCTCAGTGAAGAGAGGGTCTCATGCATTCCTTTCTACCTGCTGAACAGTCTGTTTCCTTTCACAGCTCCTCTTCAATTTCAGAGTTTCAGACATCTTCTCTCCCTTTACGGTACAAATAAAATAAAATAAAAGCCTTAATATCCTAAAAAGTATAGATGCTTACCCTCGTCCTGTATTTCTTCTCTACCTTCAAGCATAATTCCAATTACCTTTCTAGAAATTATACCTGCTTTGTCTACTAGAGGCAGTCAGCTGAATCATCGAGTTCTTGCAGAAGCCTTGAGCTTTAGCACCTAAGGGCCCTGAGACAGTTGTATTCAACAACCTTGTTGCATGAAAGAAGGGGAGTTCTGAGGGACATGGACATTGCAGACTTTTTCACCAACCAGGAAAACTTTTCAGGCATCACCCAAGAGGTCCAGCTGAAGATGTAACAGGTGGTTCATAAGTCCATGCTGCAACTTGATGAGAAGAGTGTGAGGCAGCTGCCACCACTGGGGATGTCCTAAAGTTGATGTTCAAGCCTCTTATTATCATTTTCAGCTGGCCCTTCATTGTGATGACCTTTGACCATTTCAGATACAGCAGCCTTTTCCTGGGCAAGGTCATTAATCTAACCTAAGGGTATGCCCACCCAGGAGCCAAGGCACCATGTGACTTTGGGCATCAGAAACAACACAAAAATGTCTTGGGGAATGGGAGATTTCTCCAATGTTTTACAGTTTTTCCTGAAATCCAATGAGAAGTGTCTCTAGCTTTAAGCATCTTGTAATAAATAAATGCTATTAGTGGGGGGAAAATAATACAAGGTGAAGTTTTTATTCTTTATCTTGTTATTGTGGAAGACATGAAGGACTTCCTCCTTCCTCTACATTCTAACTAGAAATGGGAACACATTTTATGTTCAAGTCTGCAAAATCTATTTGGCTTAGATTTTATTCCTTCTCTATGGATCTGATAACATCCTTTTTACATTAAAAAATAGTCTCATCTTCCTGTGTGTGTGTGTGTGTGTGTGTGTGTGCGTGTGTGTGTGAGAGAGAGAGGGAGAGAGAGTTTCTTTTTATTTATTTTTTAAATAGCTTTGGAGTACCAATGGGGTTTTTGGTTACATGGATGAATTGTACACTGGTGAGGTCTAGGATTTTAGTGCGCCTGTCACCTGAGTAGTACACATTGCATCCAATAGGCAGTTATTTGTCCCTCATCCCCCTCCTACCCTGCCCCCTTCTGAGTCTCCAAACTCTGTTATACCACTCTGTATTCCTTTATGTACCTGTAGCTTAGCTCCTACTTGTAAATAAGAAAATAGAGTATTTGGTTTTCAATTGCTGAGTTGCTTCTCTTACAATAATGGCCTCTAGTTCCATCTAAGCTGCTGCAAAAGACATTATTTTGTTCTTTTTATGGCTGAGTAGTATTTCAAGGCATATATACATATATATATATATATATATATATATATATATATATATATATCTCCTAAGGATTATTATCTCAAGAGCCTACAACCTTAGGGGAGTTCTGGGGGACATGGACATATACAAAAATATATATGTAAATATATATTTTATATATTTATAGATTTATATTATAAATAAATATATATAATGTGTTTTTATATGTAAAAAATTTTCTTTATACACTTATTGGATGATGGACACTTAGATTAATTCCATATCTTTCCAATTTTGAATTGTGCTGTGATAAACATGTGTACAGATGCATTTTTGATATAGTGACTTTTCCTTTGGGTAGATACTCAGTAGTGGTATTACTGAATTGAATGGTAGATCTAATTTCAGTTCTTTGAGAAATCTACATACTGTTTTCAATAGAGGTTTTACTAATTTACATCCCTACCTGCAGTGTACAGGCATTCCTGTTTTATCACATACACACCAATATCTACTGTTTTCTAAATTTTTAAGAATAGCCATTCTGGGTAGGGTAAGGTGGTATTTCATTGTAGCTTTAGTTTGCATTTCTATGATGATTAGTGATGTTGGACATTTTTTCACATATTTGTTGGACATTCATACATATTATTTTGAGAAATATCTATTCATGTACTTTGCCCACTCTTCGATGGGATTATTTTTTTTCCTGATGATTTATTTGAATTCCTTGTAGATTCTGAATATTAGTTCTTTGTCAGATGCGTAGCTTGTGAATATTCCTATTCTGAGGGTTTTCTGTTTATTCTGACGATTATTCCTTTGGCTGTGCAGAAGCTTTTTAGTTTAATTAATTCCGATTTAATTACTATTGTTTTTATTGCACTTGCTGTTGGGGTCTTAAACATAAATTATTTGCCCAAGCCATTATCCAGAAGAGATTTTCCCAGGTTATCTTCTAGAATTTTTATGGCTTCAGGCCTTAGATTTAAGTCCTTGATTTATCTTGAGTTCATTTTTGCATAAGGTGGAAGAGAGGGATCCAGTTCCATTCTTCTATATGTGGCTATCCAATTTTCCCAACATTATTTATTAAATATGATGTCTTTTCCCCAATTTGTTTTTGGATGCTTTGTCAAAGATCAGTTGGTTGTAAATATTTGGTTTTATTTCTGGGTTCTCCATTCTGTTCCATTGGTCTATGTATTTACTTTGATACCAGTATCATGCTGTTTTGGTTACTATAGGCTTGTAGTATAATTTGAAGTCAGGTAATGTGATGTCTCCAGATTTGTTCTTTGTTCTTAGGATCATTTTGAGTATTTGGGCTCTTCTTTGGTTCCATATTAATTTTAGGATTGTTTTTTCTAATTCTGTGAAAAATGATGTTGGTATTTTGATAGGAATTGCATTGAATCTATAGATTGCTTTGGGCAGTATAGGCATTTTTACAATACTGATTCTTCCAATCTTTGAGCATGAAATATATTTCTATTTGTTTATGTCATCTATTATTTCTTTCAGTAGTGCTCTGTAGTTCTCCTTGTAGAGATCTTTCACCTCTTTGGTTAAGTATATTTCAATTGTTTTTGTAGCGATTTTAAAGGGACTGAGTTCTGGATTTGATTCTCAGTTTGGTCAATGCTGCTGTATAGCAGTGCTACTGATTTTTGTACATTGATTTTTTAGCTTTACTTAATTCATTTATCAGATACAAGAGTGCTTTGGATGAATCTTTAGAGTTTTCTAGGTATAAGATCATATCATTGGCAAACAGAGATAGTTTGATTTCCTCTTTTCCAATTGGGATGCACTTTATTTCTTTCTCTTGCCTGATTGTTCTAGCCAGGACTTCCAGTACTACTTTGAATAGAAATGGTTAAAATGGGCATCCCTAATTCTTAGAAAAAATGTTTCAACTTTTCCCCATCCAGGATGATGTTGGCTGTAGATCTGTCATATATGGCTTTTATTACTTTCATATATGTTCCTTCTATGGCCAGTTTGTTGAGATTTTATATCTTAAAGTATGCTGGATTTTTATCCCATGCTTTTTCTGGATCTACTGAGATGACAATACGGTTTTTGCTTTTAATTCTGTTTTTGTGATGAATAACATTATTGACTTGTATATGCATATGTTGAACCATTCCTATATCACTGGAATGAAAACAATTCCATATTGATGTACTGTTGAATTCAGTTTGCTATTACTTTGTTGAGAATTTTTGCATTTATATTCATCAGATATATTGGTCTGTAGTTTTTTGTTGTTATGTCCTTTGTTGGCTTTGGTATCAGGGTGATACTGGCATCATAGAATGAGTTAAGAAGGATTTTTGAAATCTTCTCAATCTTTTGGAATAGTTTTAGTGGAATTTATACCAATTCTTCTTTGAATGTCTGGAAGAAATCAACTGAATTTATCTGTTCCTGGGATTTTTGGTGTTGTTGGATTTCTTTATTATTACTGACTCAATCTCACTGCTTGTTATTGGTCTGTTTGGAATTTCTATTTCTTTCTGATTTAAGCGGATGGTTGGGGGAAATGTATGTTTTCAGAAATTTATGAATTTCTTCCAGTCTTTGTAGTTTGTGTGCATAGAGGTGTTCATAGCAATCTGGAATGATATTTTTTATTTCTGTGATGTCATCTGTAATCTTCCTTTCTAACTGAGCTTATTTTAATTTTCTCTCTTTTTTTTTTAAATCTAGCTAGTGGTCTATCAATATTGTTTATCTTTTCAAATAATCAGTGGTATATTCATTGATCTTTTTTACTTTTTTGTTTCAATTTCATTTAGTTTTGCAATGATTTTTGTATTTCTTCTCTTCTGATAGTTGGCGGTTTGGTTTGTCCTTGTTTCTCTAGTTCCTTGTGGTGTGATATAATGTTAGGATGTGAATTTCTGATCATTCAGATTTTTCTGATGTAGACATTTAGCACTATAAACTTTCCTCTTAGCATTGTGCTGTATTCCACAGATTTTGATAAATTGCATCACTGTTGTCATTCATTTCAAAATTTTCAATTTTCATCTTGATTTCATTGTTAATCCTGAAATCATTCAGGAGCAGATTAGCAGATTGTTCAATTTCCATGTATTTGAATAGTTTTGAGAGTAATTTTTATTTATTTCTAGTTTTGTTTTGCTGTGGCCTGAGAAGATATTTAATATGATTCTATTTTCTTAAATTTGTTGATACTTTATTTTGTGGCTTCTCATATGGTGTATCTTAGAGAATGTTCCATGTGCTAATGCAGTTTTTGGGTACAGTGCTCTGCAAATATCTGTTCGGTCCATTTGTTCTAGAGTACAGGTTAAATTCAGTATTTCTTTCTTTCTTTCTTTCTTTCTTTCTTTCTTTCTTTCTTTCTTTCTTTCTTTCTTTCTTTCTTTCTTTCTTTTTTTTTTTGGAGACAGAGTTTCGCTCTTGTTGCCCAGGCTGGAGCGCAATAGTGCAATCTCGGCTCACCACAACCTCTGCCTCGCGGGTTCAAGCAGTTCTCCTGCCTCAGCCTCCTAAGTAGCTGGGATTTCAGACGTGTGAGGAGTGTGCCACCATGCCTGGCTAATTTTGTATTTTTAGTACAGACAGGGTTTCTCCATGTTGGTCAGGCTTGTCTTGAACTTCTGACCTCGGGTGACCCGCCCGCCTCAGCCTCCCAAAGTGTTTCGATTACAGGCATGAGCCACCATGCCCGGCAGTATTTCTTCATTGACTTTCTGCCTCTATAATCATTCTAGTGCTGTCAGTGGAGTGCTGAAATCCCCCACTCTTAACTGTGTTGCTATCTCTTTTCCTAGGCATAGTAGTAATTACTTTATGAATCTGGAACTTCAGAGTTAAGTGCATATATATTTATAATTATTACATCCTTTTGTTGAATTGATCCTTTTATCATTATGTAATGGCCTTCTTTGTCTTTTCTTTTTTTTTTTTAAAGTCTGTTTTATCCAATATAAGACCAGCTACTCCTGCTCACTTTCAGTTTCCATTTGTGTGAAATATCTTTTTTCACCCCTTTACCTTGAGTCTATAGGAATCCTTACATATTAGGTTTGTCTTATGAAGACAGCAGCTATTTATTTTGAGAATTTTTAAATTCATTCTGCCAATCTGTATATTTAAGGTGGATAATTTAGACCATTTACATTCAATGTTAATATTGAGATGTGAGATACTGTTCCAGTCATCATGTCTATTGTGACCTAGTGACTTTGTTTTCTTCATTGTGTTGTTGTTTTATAAGTGTTGTGATTTTATGCTTTCAGGAGTTTCTATTCTGGTGTGTATTAACCTTATGTTTCAAGATTTAGAACACCTTTTATTATTTCTTGTAGGATTGCTCTAGTATTAACAATTTTACTCCACATTTGCTTGTCTGACACTTTATTTCTCCTTCATTTATGAAACTTAGTTTTGCTGGATACAGACTTCTTGGAGGATAGTTACTCCATTTAAGGAGACAAAAGATAAGGCCTCAAGCCCTTCTGGATTGTAAAGTTTCTACTGAGAGGTCTCCTGTTAGTCTGATAGTTTTTCCTTTATAGGTTATCTGATTTTTTTTTTCTCACTGTTTCTAGAATTCTTTTCTTACCATTGACTTTAGATAGCCTTATGACTATAAGCCTTGGTGATATTCCTTTTGCAATGAGTCCCCCGGGAGTTCTTTGAGCTTCCTGTATTTGGATATCTAAATCTGTAGCAAGGCAAGGTACGTTTTCCTTAATTAGTCTCTCAAATAGATTTTCCAACTTCTTACTTTTTCTTCTTCTCAGGAACACCTATATTTCATAGGTTTGGCTATTTTATTTAACCCCATGTTTCTTGGAGACGGTTCATTTATTTAAATCCATTTTTGTTTATTTTGTCTGATTGGCTTAATTCAAAAGAGACAACAAGGAAAGTCTTTCTTCTACTTGGTCTAGTCCATTGTTTGAACTTTCCACTGCATTTTATATTTCCCTAAATGTGTCTTTCATTTTCAGAAATTCTGGTGGGTTTTTCTTTAAAATACCTGTCTGTTTAGAAATGTTTTTACTCATATCCTTATTTTTTTTAAATTTGTTTATGGTGGCTTTCATCTTTATCTTGTTTCTATTTGAGTAACTTAATTATCAACCCTTTGAATTATTTATCTGATGTTTCTACAGTTTCGTTTGGATACACTAATAGATAGTTTGATATTTTAGGGATGTTTTAGACCCTGTTTTTCATATTGTCAGAATTATTTTTCTGGCTCCTTCTCACTTGGACAGACTATTCTTCTAATGACTTTTGAATTCATTTTTGATTGAACTAGTTTGTCTTTTTAATTTTTTTTCCCTTAAGGATGTGACTTTAATGTTTATAGTTTATTGTCACCTAGCTGCAGCTCCATGTGCTTTCAGTGGTGCAGACTTGGTATGAGTCCCTTGGTTATAGAGAATCTTTGTGCAATGGCTTTCTCAGATGGTGGTTGTGGTGATGCTGTGCTGGATGTGTGAGCAGGTTCACTGTCTCCTGTAGGGAGTTTTTAGTCTGGTTCACAATTTAGGCTGCAGCCTGCTGCTTCTTTCAAAAGATCTGTGGTTTCTTTCAGTTTTTCTGTTAAGTTACTATGTTGCTTCTGAAAAGAAACTGCTTTTCTTGTGACTACTGAAAATGAATTCCTCCTCTTTCCCTGAAAGCAAAGTAGTTCTATGGCCAGCAGCTCTCACTTGGAGAAGACCACACAGCTCCAGCAGGGCAGCATTTTGTCTCTTGATTTCTCCTCAAATCTGATGACACACACTAACCCCAGCCATCTCTTGAAACATGTCCTCAAGCATTCAGCACAGTGGTGCGTCAAGACAGGCTGCCCAATCCAATTGCTGGGGCTGGATGTCTCTTAGGGATTGAAGGCTGAAGGGAGGATTGAAACTGGAGCTCTGGGAACTCCCAGTCAAGTAACCTGAGCAACAGTTTCATCTTCTGAAAAAGTTCTTTTTCTTGATTTCACATTTTATATGTTTATCTCAAACATTTATATTCCTCAAAGATCCTCTAAACTAACTACAAGCTCCTCCACATTATCAGGACAAACACAATTCTAACTCTCAAAAGGTAAGCATAGTAAGTATCATGGTAGTGGAATTAAAATATATGATTGCTACATTTTAAGTTATTAAGTTATGAGGTCAAATTTCAGAAAGAGAAAGAGTAAGTAGAAATGGAATTTCTTGGGAATGTTTAATTAGTTATATTACATCTTTACCAACAATAAATAAAACAAAATACTTTATTTAACCATTCCTAATTGCTTTCACTTTTTAAATGGTTTTAATCTATCATCATCTACTTTTTAATATCTATAACCATTAATACAATAATTTTCAGATTTTCAAAATGACAAATGCTTGTATTTTTATCAGAAAGTTTTAGGATGTTTCAGATTGACCAAATATGTTGTTTTTTCCCTTCCTAATGGAGAAAGCTAAGTCTTTAAGTTGCCTTAAGTCACATGTGACACCTCCATATTATAATATGCATGTTGTCAATGTCCTGGGGACAGAAATGATATGTCTCGTTCTGAATTTCAGCAATTTTTGTATTCCAGCATTATAAAAATTGTTCAAACCATTGTATAGATTATATGTTTCATAACAAAATGAAATATGCATTTAAAATTTAAAAAATCAAAGTCTTGTGGCACTAAATATACTTTTCCTAAATCTTTTAACTTTACAGGGAAATTTATTTCATTAATCCTTTTTTATGTTCTTCTAGCAGTTGTTTCTAAAACACTAAGTTAGAAGTTCATATAACTATTTTAACTTACTATAAGTTATTGAAAATGCCTCTATACATTTATATAATAAATGTATGCAAATGTATGCAGATTATACATAATATTATCTCAATTTTATAAGGCAAAAACATCATAAGTGTTGTGTAAAAGATTTAAACAGACACTTCACAAGAGAAATTATAGAAAAGTCCAATAAACCAAATGACAAATTCTCAAAATAATTGATCATCAGGCAATGCAAATATAAACTACAATGAGATATCAGTACACAACTTTCAGATAAGAAAAATTTTCAATATGTGATAATTCCAAGTGTTAGCAAAGATGAGGAACAACTAGAATTCTCATAGTTGGTAGAAAAAAAATAACTATTTGAGAAACTATTATTTTATAATATTAACATAGACTTTTCATACAATTCAACAATTCCACATCTAGGCATTTACAAGTAAGAAATAAAAGCCAATGTCCACACAATGTCTTGCACACAGATATGTAGTATTTATATTCATAAAGCAGAAACTGAAAAAAGACTGTTTATCAGCATATGAATGGATAACCAAATGATGGTGTATTCATACACTGAAATACTACACAACAGTAAAAAAAGTTCTGAAACAAAATAATATAGAGGATTCTTTAAACACTATTGAGTAAAGAAATCAGATATGAAAATGCATTCCACTTGGATCCCTTTTATGTGAAAATCTGGAAAGACAAATCTATTACTGAGAGAATGAATATTAGTGGTTGCCTGGGGACAAGGAAGTAGAGGATCTATTGGTATATGGCATAAAGGCAGTTTGAGGGTAATTATAATTTTTTATGTCTTATTGTGATGGTTGTATAGATGTATGCCTTTTTCAGAACACATTATATGTTGACAAATCTAAATTGCATTCATTGACCCACATGTAACAGGATTTTATAAAAATTATTTTATTCTATTAACAAATATTTAAAAATTATTCAAATGAGGCTTTATTTATTTGTATTTTTAATGTAGTAGCAGAGCAATTGTTGGGAGGAAAAAGGTTCCAGTTAACTAGCATCATTTTTCAAGAGATAAGGACTTTTTTCTCTAAATGTAAGTCTATCTACATTATAATTTATTATAAATACATTTATCACTTTTATACAAAACGTAGGCATTCAAACAGAAACAAATTATCCAACCTCAAGAAATAAAACAACTAATATGTGCTTTTGTTGGTTAAGTTAAATGTTTATACAGAAAAATCGCTCCTCCAAAATATGAATATCATTTATATTACCAACAATTGAATGTGCTTTTTGTAAAAATTTTAGTAATCTAAATAAGGAATATTTTTCTGTCATATTAAATTAATAATATTTAAGTTAACATATTATATTAAATAAACAATTATTCATTAAAAAGGAAATACGGTATTTCCTGGCTGGTCACCAAGATTAAAATTTGTAGTCACATCATTGAATTCAAATTACAGATTTAGATGTTTGACTCTGAACACAGACCTGAGATTAAATAACACTGGAGACCCAATAACCTCTTCATATGAGAATAACAACTAATCTTAAATAATAAGCACCTACACAATATTCACAATTAATTTAGAAGTTATGGGGGCATGTTCTGCTGGTTGTGCCTACCACTTGGGTTTAATATCCATCCTGTACTAAATGAGTTAGTTGGGCAACAGGCTAAACCAATCTAAGCCTTGAGAGATATAATAATAGTACTGGTCATGCAGGATGATTGTTAAAATGAATGACATAATTCATACAAAGTACTTGGGTCACAATTAAGCATCAAAAGTACTATACAAATATTAAATATTAGTATAGGCTTCATTTCTAAAATAACTTCTCCAAAGTAATGCTAAATATTGTTAAAATTAAACAAATGGCAAACCTCTTCTTTACAGCTATATTTCATATTTTTAAAAAGCTAAATTATCTTTTATTACAAAACAGATAAATTAATATTTGTATAGATAGTTGTAAATATAAAATTTCAAAATATTTCATGAAATTTTTATTATTCGTGAAGGAATTAACCAATGGTCTACATATAATTAAGAATATAAGTATAAATATATCTAAAATGTCTTCTTGGGTGACCAAAGAGTAAAAATTTAAACCAAATTCTCTCGAAACACATTTTATAGACAATCAAATATGCTGTGAATAATATAGTCACCCAATATATTTTCTTAGATTTGAATTCATTCATAATAACTCTGATGTAAATAATTAAAATATTTGCTTTTGCTTCAAAATCTATTTTATATTGCACCTTATTTCGTATATAGTGTTAGTGTACAAGAAATCATAAATGAAAGTTTACTTTATTAAATGCCATTTTAGGATCCATTGCTATCTTAATCCATGTTCACTATAAAACAGAGCCTCGGCCAGGCATGGTGGCTCACACCTGTATTTCAAACACTTTGGGAGGCCAAGGTGGGCAGATCACGAGGTCAGGAGATCGAGACCATCCTGGCTAACACGGTGAAACCCCATCTCTACTAAAAATACAAAAAGTTAGTCGAGCGTGGTGGCAGGTGCCTGTAGTCCCAGCTACTTGGGAGGCTGAGGCAGGAGAATGGTGTGAACCCAGGAGGTGGGCTTACAGTGAGCTGAGATCGTGCCACAGCACTCCAGCCTGGGCAACAGATTGAGACTCCATCAACAAACAAACAAACAAACAAACAAAAACAGAGCCTGAGACTAAGTAATAAGTAATAATCCTCATTAACTTTGGGAGGTCATGTTCCAAGGCAGGTAAAATGATGCAAAGGAAAGTGAAGCAAAGAGGAATGTGAGTAAAGGCAAAAAGGATGCCAAAGGTTGCCCTCTTTCATCACTCCTATTCAACATAGTATTGGAAGTTCTGGCCAGGGCCATCAGGTAAGAGAAAGATATAAAGGGTATTCAGATCGGAAGAGAGGAAGTCAAATTGTCTCTGTTTGCAGATGACATGATTATATATTTAGAAAGCCCCATCATCTCAGCCCAACCCAAAATCTCCTTAAGCTGATAAGGAACTTCAGCAAAGTCTCAGGATACAAAATCAACGTGCAAAAATCACAAGCATTCCTATACACCATTAATAGAGATCCAAATCATGAGTGAAATCCCATTCACAATTGCTACAAAGAGAATAAAATACCTAGGAATACAACTTACAAGGGATGTGAAAAACCTCCTCAAGGGGAACTACAAACCACTGCTCAAGGAAATAAGAGGGGAAACAAATGGAAAACATTCCATGCTCATAGATAGGAAGAATCAATATCTTGAAAATGAAAATGGCCATACTGCCCAAAGTAATTTATAGATTTAATGTTACCCCATCAAGCTACCACTGACTTTCTTCACAGAATTAGAAAAGAAAAACTACTTTAAATTTCATACAGAACCAAAAAAGAGCCCATATAGCCAAGACAATCCTAAACAAAAAGAACAAAGCTGGAGGCATCATGCTACCTGACTTCAAACTATACTACAAGGCTACAGTAACCAAAATGGCATGGTACTGATACCAAAACAGATACAAAAACAAATGTAACAGAACAGAGGCCTCAGAAATAACACCATACATCTACAACCATTTGATCTTGGACAAACCTGACAAAAACAAGCAATGGGGAAAGGATGCTCTACTTAATAAGTGATGTTGGGAAAACTGGCTAGCCATATGCAGAAAACTGAAACTGGACCCCTTCTTTACATCTTATACAAAAATTACATCATATTCTTAAAATCCTTTCACACACAAAATGCCCAGATTTTTCTGTCAAAATAGTTTGACAAAAATCATGCAATTATTGTGCAACTATGGGTCTTACTTTGTACCTCACTCTTTGGTGTCCCTGAGGAATTAAAACTTGTTATATGTCTCAAAGCAATGATTCATGCTTTGGATTTTAAGCATGATGGATTTTAAGGCAGGTCATCAGTCCCTCCTGAGACAACTAAGCTAAATATTAACAATTGTTTCCACAATCCTTAGCGCAGGGGAACTTTGCAGGCGAAATTAAATTCTTCTGCACAGAAGGGACAAACATCACCTACTCTTCCATTTCTTTGGACAAAGGTTGTCAAAATGGCTTCAATTCTGGAAGCAGATGCAACTTTCCACTGTGCTGAAAATAGAGAAAAAAACATTTTGTTGTGTAGTACTAATATCTACTGTTCTAGAAAGAGCAAATTTGTTTTGCTGTAAAATTAAGGTGCTAATGATGGTAAGAAAAACTTGAGTTAAAACCGTGACATGTCTAGATGATTTGTGTGTTATAAAAACAGGAAAGTATGATATTTTTTAAAGTAATGTAGCTCAAATTATCTTTTTTGTATAATACACTTCCATTGTTTAAACAAGGATCCTATAATTCTTTTTGCCTAGACAGCTGTTCAAAGGCTATTAATTTATATCACAAAATGAAATATAACAGTGTGATTGGGTTGGTGGTACTACAGAGGCATTTTTAGAATTCTTAGTATAATGCACAGTAAATTTCACAAGTTATATTTCCAGTATGATTCTATCAAGTTAAATGACCTTGGAGTAGACTATTAAGGGCAAAGACACTTCTCTTATAATCAACTTCAGCTATTAAAGCCATCCAGAATTTTTTCTCATATTGAAAAAAATTTATCCTCTACCCCCTGATGGCTACAAGAAAGGGTTTGGGCCATTTGTTCCAAATCTCATATATAACTCTATTATAGAGCTATTATGCATGTTAAGAACATCTAAATCCAGTCTAGTCTGATGTACCTATTATCAGAATTTGTGAAAATGCCACTTATTTAAAAATTATTTCTTAAGACTGCTCATGTATAGAAAGTTTCTGAATATAGTCAGACTTCCTTTGCAGTAAGAAAAAGGATGATAAAAGGGTATGAAACACTTTGAATAAAAATTAAATATTACAAATGTATTACAATACTGATTATAATAACTCTAAGTAATTTTTTGTTTGTTTAAAAAAATAATGTATCCCTATTGATTGGCAAGTATGCTACCAAATCCTGAGGATTCATTCCTGATATTCCATGCAATGAATGGACACAATATCTTAAGTGTTTACCAGGACATGTTCTTGCAATTTAAATATATAATAATGGATTAATAATATAGTTTTTACCATTCTATAAGTGTCAGTTAAAGTTATATAATAGCCAAAAATCTAACCGCAGTCACACACACACTGCCTAACATTTCAGTCAATGGTGGACCACATATATAATGGTAGTCTCATAAGGTTATAATGGAGCTGAAAAATTTCTATTGCTTAGTAATGTCATAGCCATCATAATATCACAGTGCAACACATTATTTATATGTTTGTGGTGATGCTGGTGTAAACAAACTAACTGTGCTGCCAGTCATACAAAAGTACAGGACACTGGGAGGCTGAGGCAGCGGATTACGAGGTCAGGAGTTTGAGAGCAGCCTGTGCAATATGGTGAAACCACGTCTCTACTAAAAAATACAAAAAAAATGGCCGGGCGCGGTGGCTCACGCTTGTAATCCCAGCACTTTGGGAGGCCGAGGCGGGTGGATCACGAGGTCAGGAGATCGAGACCACGGTGAAACCCCGTCTCTACTAAAAATAAAAAAAAAATTAGCCGGGTGTGGTGGCGGGCGCCTGTAGTCCCAGCTACTCGGAGAGGCTGAGGCAGGAGAATGGCGTGAACCCGGGAGGCGGAGCTTGCAGTGAGCCGAGACTGCGCCGCTGTACTCCAGCCTGGGTGACAGAGCGAGACTCCGTCTCAAAAAAAAAAAAAAAAAAAATTAGCCAGGTGTGGTGGCATGCGCCTGTAGTACCAGCTATTTGGGAGGCTGAGACAGGAGAATCGCTTGAACCGGGGAGGCAGAGGTTGCAGTGAGCTGAGATCGCCCCACTGCACTCCAGCCAGGGTGACAGAGAGAGACTCCATCTCAAATTAAATAAATAATAAATAAATAAAAATATATAAAAAATAGGACATACAATTTTGCACAGTATGTAATATTTAGTAAGTATAGTAAATGATTATGTTACTTGTTTATGTATTTACCAGACTATACTTTTTATCATTATTTTAGTGTGTACTACTTTTACTTATGAAAAATGTTAACTGTTAAACAGCCTCAGTCAGTCCTTAAGGAGGTATTCCAGAAGAAGGCATTATCATCATAGGCAATGACAGCTCCATGCGTGTTATTGCCCCTGAAGTTCTTCCAGTGAGACAAGATGTGGAAGTGGAGGACAGTGATGTTGATGATCGTGACCCTTGTTTGTCCTGGACTAATAATGTGTGTGTTTGTGTTTTAGATTTTAACAGAAAAGTTTAAGAAGTAAAATAAATAAATAAATTGTTAAAATAAGAATATAAAGTAAAAAAATATATTTTACAGCTGTTCAGCATGTTTGTGTTTTAAGCTAAGTGTTATAAAAAAGAATCAAAAAGTTAATTTAAAAAAGATTTTTAAGCATAGCATTTCAATATCCTTTGACCATTGTGGTATGAATAAAAGTTGCTTGAATCAAGAAAGCAACACAAATTATAGCATCAATACTATCTATGTATCTAGAAATACATAAAATGAAATGAAAATGATTAGTGAAGGAATTCATCTTAAAAGTCAATTAACTTACTGAAATTTAAGGATAAATGTTATGAACCAATTGTAAATAGGGGTGTTTTCCTAATTGTGATAAAAAGAGGGGTTGCCATATCTGTCAGTCAATATGTTGTCTTTCTTCGGTGTCAAGATGTATGTGTCCTATGAAACATTTTCATATTTTTTATTTTGAATGCTCAAACTGATCATTTTTACATCCATGCTTTCTCATTAAATTGATTTTCTTCACCAGATACTGCTTCAAGCTGTCTACCTCTAATACCACTCTTAAATTCTGTATATTTTTGGAGATATTTCTCAAGGTCTGTTCCCATCAGAAGATGAAGTTGATAAGTAATATGGAATTTGAATTACATATGTCCCACTTTAGGTAAAGAAGTTAAGCTCTCCATCTTACAAGGCTGTGGATAAGAAAGGCTTTTAACTTTTTTTTTTTTTTTTGTCAACACCTAAGAAAAAATGTAATATTTATTCTTCTGGATAGAGAAGGAAAAAATATATATATATTTCTAGAGTTTTCCTCAGGCACATATCTACTACCACGCTACATCACATCTTTCAGAATTTGAATTGGATAAGCTTTCTTGCCACTGTTTTTAAAATAAAAAGCTCTAGACCCTCTTCATTCCATATAAAATTATTGCACAAAATACTTTCAGTGTTCTCTTTCAAATTGTACCTGTTGTGCTTATTAGTTTTATATAAAAGCAAATAGTGACAAAGTAGATGCAAAAGAAAAGTTACTAACACATTATTAGAAGTTCAGAATTTTAAGGGTAGCCAGAGGAGCTAATTTAGAAACAACAGAAACTAAAGAAATTCTTAAAATTAAAAACAGAAACAATAACTGTATTATTATGATTACAGAGTTCATACCCTCGCTCTGTTCTTCATTCTCTCAGATACGAAGTCCATTTTTTTAAAATAAATAAATGGTGATCACTAAGTCAGTATCATGGGTGGTACATGATTTATACGTCACAATATCATTAAGTGTATTCTTTAAGAGAGATAACGTGATAAGGACATTTTAGATTGAAGAATAAGCATGCACAAAGCATTAAAAGTTCTGAAAATGTGTGTAATATTCAGTAAACTAAGTAATTTCTCATTCTAGAAATATAGGGTGCGCTAGGTTGAGGAGAGACAACAATGATTTCTAGGGAGATGATCAGGCAGATGTTTGTCTGTCAAGCTTAACTGTGAATTTATTACGCAATAGTGATCTATTTTAATGTTTCAAATAGGTAAATATATGTTATATTTATTCTTTAGAATGATTCCTTTGGCATGGTTTAAAGGAAGAATGAAAACATTGTGAATTTAGAGGCAGAATGTTAGCAAGGCTACACTCCCAACAGACCCAATAGAGGTGATGATAACTTGAACTAAGGCAATTATCAGTGTGGATATGAAGGAGAAAATTATCCCAGAAGTTGTTAAGGAGATAGAATTCTGAGTACTACAACAGCGGTTAAATGCCTGGGGTGAGATAAAGGAAAAAGTCAGAAATAATACTCACAGTTCTAGTTTTAGTGATTGCATAGATACATCAAGAATCCAAATATTCCTGTGTCTTCTCTCTCTCTCTAAGTTACCTGAGAGAGATTTGCTACCAATTTTAATTCTAAAGTTTCCTCTCTTATGGATATGGATATCTTAAAATTCAAAATACCTTTACCAATCTTCTAAACTAAACAGTAAAGAATCTCATATTTTTACATAATGGTTTCATCAGTGAAGAGTTGATACATAGAATTTATTCTTCATTTACAATTTCATCAGTGAAGAGCTTAGAGATAGAATTTATTCTTCTGGCAAATGCTTTTTATGCCTTATCTCAAACATATATGCTATAAAATTAAGTGCTATGGGACTGTAACTATGTATGCAATAGTGAGGTATCAGCACAGATGTTGCTCATCAGAAAAGGAAAAATGCAAAGAGAGAGGTTAGGGTCAAAAGTCTGGTATGGAAAAGCATTCTAAGGATATTGCTGAAACAAATGAGCTATTTTCATAATGGCATATACTCTATTAAATCTATGTAGCTACAATAAAATATTTCAGAATAATACAAGAGAAAAAATGCACTGTTTAGGATGTTTCAAATTCTGTAGAGTTGACTATAAATTATTGAAAGATCTGAAGTAATGATCACAATCTTGATGGAAATAATGAGACATGATCCACAAGAAAAGTCAGTGGTAAAGTCAGTAGGGAACCACCAATTCAAAGTTGAGTTTCACTTTCTCTAGTATGTATGAGATGCTCTAGGTCTTATTTTTGCGGTTACTATGATATTTCTTAATTCTCTGAGGCTATAATCAACACCATAGGCAGAAAATTACAAATATTGTGATTGGGTAAATCAAACATTTTGCCTATTACTCTTTTTCAGTGTCTTACATATTGCTTATGAGACTTTTGAGACCAAGTCCTAATATATATAATTTCTAGAAATATTTAAGCTAATCTACATAAATTCCCACTGGCCTGCTAATCAGAAAGTTCTGATCTAGAACACTAAAAACTTCCAGATCTAATATCCAAAGGATATGAGATAAATAACAAACACTTAAATTCACCCCACATATTCTGTTCCCTGGTATTTACTGGGGAAGAATTTACAGTTTATGAAATAGAAATACTTAGGTATCTTGGACACTTTTGAAGTATGGATTTATTAGGTGGACTCTCTTCCTTAAAATAATAACAGACACTTTCTTTGCAAATATTACATACAAGTTTACCAAGTAACAATTCCTGTGCTAAGTAGTTGATTCACTCACAACCTCCCTTTTCAAGTGACCTATGTGTAAGAGTTAAAGAAAGAGGAAAGAAACAAGAAAAGCAGCTCAACAGTCAAAGACAGGTTTAGTTTGGAGAATAAACGTGAGAGGGGCTTCAGGCCGAGTTAGGTCAGGAGCACTCTATCTTACAGACAAGAGTATTTAAGGGTTCAGGGCAGGAGAGCTTATCACAGGCTCAGAATGTTTCTGTGTCTTTTTGTCTTGCTTATCTGGGAGGGAGAGTTTGGGGTCTGTTCCCATACGTCTTCCTGCAGCTGTAGGTATTACCCCCAAGTCTGCTTTTAGCTTCCTTATCTTAGTGCACCTAAAGGGAAAGGAATGTGCTTATTAGGGCCCACCGTTTTACTGGGGCCCATTGTGTGTGTGAAGTTTGGTGGTTACCCAAGAGACTTTCCCCTCTCTCCCTGTGTCCAAGCTGTCTTATCTGTGTTTTACTGTCTGCTCTTTTTGGCTGCTTGTTGTTAGAAGAGAAGTGATTTCCTTGAAATGCATGAGGTTAGAAAGGGAGCTGGAACTTAAAGTGGCAGTGTTTGTCCAAGATGACGGTGCTCCTGCTCTATCACTATACAGATAAGCAAATGATAGCTTTGACATGTTTAAACTTGTCCAAAGTCACATGTATTGTTAAGTAACAGAGATTTGAGGTCACTAGTGTATCTTGAAAGGTCACCTATTTTGTCAAAATTTATGCTGCTTTTAGTCCAACTATATAAGCACCTCTGCAAGGCAGCAGACCTCAATTCCTATTTTGTGGCAAGAAGTCCTTTCTGACCACTGAAGAACACTCCTTTGTTTAGAGGCTTAGTTGTCTTGTTCAGGGTCTGCAGAATGCTAAAGAGTACTCATTGGAAAACAGGTTTGAAGTATCCTAAGTAAGAAAGTCTGTTTTTAGTGTTGTAAATCCATACTAAAGATCAAAATAACAACTTTACAATCATTATGACAACAGAAATAATACATAAGATTAACTGTTCCACAGATAATTTTGCATTACACACCTTGCTCAAACCATGCAATTATTCCATGAAGTAAATGTTATTTTTCCTCTATTATACATAAAGATATTTTTATAAAGTTGCCATTATAATTATGGAAGTTTGATGGCTCAAAGACGTCATAGTACTTTTAGGCAAGGTAGAGAAAACTTTCCTTTTCTACAAGTTACTGAGTTGAGATTTGCTTAAGATTCTTCATTTCATAATCTGAATATATTTAAATTGTCCGTTGAAATAATGCTAAAATTGCATAATCTCTGAAAAAACATCTTTTAATTTCTTTATTTAAAGAATAAATATCTTTATTCTTTATAAATTGGGTTTTTAAAATTTTGTTAACATTGTGTTATATGAACCATTCATTATTTGGCCAGGAGACTTTTTTTTTTTGTCTGCTCTGCTTAGTCAGGAGTTTGGGTACCTCTTTCTATTCAGTGAATCAGTGACTTAAGTCATTTGGGCTTGTGCATATGTGTTTGCGTTTGTGCTTTATAATAAATATTAAGGGTTATAAGCACTGGTGCATAAAACAATATCATGCTTTATATTTTAAATGATTTTTCTACCAAAAATAATCAATCATAATACATAAACCAAGGATAATACATAAAATTCAATTCTTGAAGCTGTATGAGAAACTTGAATTTGAATGAATTTATTAAAAAAGTCAATTTCTTCTCAATTCATTTTGAAGAATCTTGAAATACATCAGCTTTAGAGAGTTTTGTCATATAGAAAAAAATATTTGAATGAATATTCTCCTAATATTTGGAAAAATATATCTTTATTAAAAGCTGTGTTCCGTATCCCTGAAAAAAATCATGACAAAAATATTTCAAGTGAATGAGGATATTAATATGTGTGTTTCATAAAATCATGTCAACTCAATTTTATGGGCCCTTTATAAAAATATTTAAAAAGTTCAATAAAATCAATGGTTTTTCAATTGTCTGTTTCAACTGTAATCAAATTTCTACCTATTATAAGGCAATTTGAAAATACTTATGCACAGATTATTATAACTTAATAATTAAAATATAATATAGCACTTTATTGGTAATATGAAATCTAGAAAATAATTATTTTATTGTAAATTGGCTCTGTAAGGAATAAGAAAAGTGAAAATTCTCACATAATTTGATAATTAATGACAGTATGGTGAATTGTCAAGGAAATCCAATTGAATATAATAGGATGTTAAGTGACAGGCTCACTATACCTAAAAATTTAGTTTTCATAAGGACATTTTCTAAGAAATAAAATTAAGTCATTGTTGATGACAAAATATCACTGATCTTTGTTGTTTGTCACTTAGGAAAGAGCTATTTAATTTGATAAATGAATTCTTAATACGAATGCTTATGCAGACTCTTGCAAAATTATGTCTTACTAGAAGTAACAGAATTCCATAAAAAGTAATAGTTCCTTCATTCAAGTATGAAAAAAATTACAATTATCTAAATGAGTTTCATTTGTTGGAGAATGAGGATAGTATTTCCCAATTACTTTTCTTTTACCACACAAAATATTTATATTACTCCTCAAATATTTTTTATTTTGTTTTCTAAATGATCTTGCAATTTAACTATATATAACTATATATAACAATTGAATTAGTAAAATTTTATTTTTATTTAAAAATATATAAATATGGATTTATATAAGATAGAATTATGTAGAAAGATAATACTATAATACAGTATAATTACATAGTATATCGTATATAAATATACTATAGCTTAATTACTTGCCACTGAAGTTAAAAAGGGTTAGAGAAAAGTCTACCAGAAAAATTATCAGCTTCTATTGTGCAGATGGTAGGAATGTGGACAGGTTTTGAGGCATAGTGGTTGGTGCCAAATTTATCAATTCCTGGCACAAATATTCTTTATTATCATTTAAGATCAATACACTGAATATCATCTATTTTATTAATGATATAGAGAAGTGCTGTCAAATTAACTTTTTGTGATAATAGATATTGTCTATATCTGTACAGCTCAATACAGTAATCACTTGAAACCTTGAAATGTGGCTAGAGAGGTAAAGTGGTCTTTTGGCCATATGATACACCTTAACTTACGGGGTTTCTTTCTACATTCTTTTTAGTTCTATCCACTGAGGAATAAGTCTTGAAAATGAAGTCCATTAGGAAATTCAGTCCTATGCCTCATATAATGCCTTGCTGGAAGCATATGTACAGATTTGGCTTGCAGAATTAGCCTTGATCTGTAACATTGATGATTTCTTTTTGATGCATTGTGTTTTTCACCTTTCAGACTGGGATTCTCTTTATTTTTGCCTAGGACTCTATTTTCTTTTAGAGCTGTAAGATAGCCTTAAACCCCATTTGACTATATGCTGACCTTCTGGTGGCAAGATTCTTCCTGTGTTATGCAGGAACTTACTGAAGCACTATATTGAATCAAAGCATTTCCAAACAACACAATGTTACATGTAAGAAATGCCTCCAGGAATCCACTGCCTGGAAATTCTTCTTACTCTTCTTGCTAGATTATATTCTTCATTTCTATTGGAATTGCTACTATGTTAGACAATTTACATCATAATCTTTAAACTCTCTCAGAAAAGCCCACTTTTAATATATTTTTCAATCAATCTTATGTCTTATGGCTTCTTTCTTTTCCCTGCTTCAGGAGCTGAAATTTTAATATGCTGAAAAGACAGCCGTTGCTTCACACCAATTTCTCTAGTTTTGAGTAGCATAAGGTTTAGATGGAATAAGGTGGATGTATTCATGTTTGCATAAGAAAAAGATCAAATGTATGGGTCATAGATAATTTAGTTCAATACATATATTTATTGTAATGGATATATAATCATTGTGACTATTCTACATGTACACTAAATGAGCCTTCTATCAAAATACTCTCAGGTGAAAGATGAAATAAAAATTCAAGTAAAAGTTACTTTAAAAGCAATGAAAACAATATTACATACTGAAATTTGTGGGATACTTTTAAAGCAATGAACAGAAGAAAACAGATTAATTAAATCTCTAGATTCCAGCAAAGTAAACAAAAAATGTATAGGAAGAAATAAAGATAAAAGCAGAAATTAATGAGGTAGAGATACAATAGAAGTAGTCATAATTAATGTGTCAAAGTTTTGTTTTTTAAGTAATTGATTTAGAGAAATATAGATAAAGCACAGATTTACATAAATAAGCATTGTCTATTGGAAAACAACCAGTAAAGGAGCAATTAAGTAACTGAACAAATAAACAAATGATTCATTTACAAACCTCTGATATAAATAAACATGAAAACCTCAATGAAATAGATAATTCAGTATCAAACATACAAAAAAAAGACATCATTCACAATAGATAGTATAGTGGCAAAAGAATAAAAAAGAGGAGACTTAAAATAGAAAGTTTAAATAGCCCAGTTTCCACAGATTAAATAATGAACTCACCCACAAAAATCACCAGGCTCCCTGCACTTTGAGAGCCTCCAATGGGAGGATCGCTTGATCCCAGGAGTTCAAGACCAGCATTGGAAAAATCGTGAGACCTTGTCTCTAGAGAAAAAAGAAATCATCAGGCTTAGATAATTCCCAGAAGAATTCTACCAATTCTTCAAACAGCAGATTTTTCCAATGCTCCACAAATGTTTTCAAAATTGAAAACGAAGGAAAAGGCAAGAGTTTTCTGGTTTCTCGTGCAGCATGTTAAAAGCTGGAAGCCACCACTTTGTCCTGACAAGTAAAAAGCTGAACAAACTGAAATATCAACACTCTTTTTAGATCTGTCAGAGAAGTGAGATCACAGGGCAAGCCAGGGGTCCTCAAATTGGAGAGAATAACTGTCAAATGCAGAGAATAGTGGCTTGTCTGAGCAATAACCCATGAGCATAAACCACCTTGAGAACCAGTGCTGAGGTAGGGAAACGTGAACTGTGAGAAATTACTAGAGGCTCAGCATGGACAGGTTTGAGACATAAAAACCTCCAGGGGGACCCAATCACTGAGTACCCCCATACGTTTGTAAGTTTTATCTCCAAAAGTTCTACCAGGTTCACGGGCCGGGCGCGTTGGCTCAAGCCTGTAATCCCAGCACTTTGGGAGGCCAAGGCAGGTGGATCATCTGAGGTCAGGAGTTCGAGATCAGCCTGGCCAACATGGTGAAACCCCATCTCTACTAAAAATACAAAAATTAGCCAGGCACGTTGGCATGCACCTGTAATACCAGCTACTAGGGAGGCTGTGACAGGAGAATCACTTGAACACAGGAGGCGGAGGTTGCAGTGAGCCGAGATTGTGCCACTACACTCCAGCCTGGGCAACAGAGCAAGACTCTGTCTCAAAAAAAAAAAAAAAAAAAAAAAAAAAAAAGAGTTCTACAAGGTTCTCACTACGAATATTAAAGAAAAACCCCTGCTTCTGTCAGGAGAAGTGAAAGGAACCATTTTGACATAAGCCAGAGCACTTTTCTTAAAAAGATTTGCCCTCAGGAGAAATAATTTAAACAGAACCTAATCTGCTTGGGTTTAATCAGAACCTAACGAACCTGGAGGAAAGAAAACACCAACTACAGCCCACTCTTGCCATCCCATCTGACTGAGAAGGGAGCAGGACAGGATTTGCAAAGCTCACAGTCCAGAGGCATAGGGTCACTCACTGAAAGACTGAAACCTAATCAAAGGAGCATAAAATGCTTCCCCTGTCATGTCATTATTAAAGGTCTATTCATAAAACTCTTTTTCCCAAGTACTTCATGTCCAAGTATTAAGACAAAATTGACAGTCCATACTAAAAAGCAAAAAACACAACTTAAAGAGAAAGAGCAAGCATTAGAACCAGATCCAGACATGGCAGTGAGGTTTGAATTGTTAGATAGAAAATTTAAAACTACGATAATTAAGATGTTAAGGGCTCTAATAGATAGAGTAGAGAGCATGCAAGAAAAGATGGACAAAAAAAAAAAGAGAAATAACAGATGGACAGTGTAAGCAGAGAGAGAGAAATTCTGAGAAAGAACCCCCCCAAAAATGCTAGAGATAAACCCACTGTAAGAGAAATTAAGAATGCCTTTTACGGGCTTACTGGTAGACTGGACATGGCTGAGAAAAAGAAAAAACAACAACAACAAAAAACTCCAATCTTGAAGATATCCCATCAGAAACTGCCAAAACTGAAAAGCTAAAAGATAAAAGGCGAAGAAAAACATAATAGAATATCTAAGAACTGTGGGACAGCTACAAAGTTTGTAACATACATGTTATGGGAATTCCAGAAGCAGAAGAGAGGAAGAAAGATAAAGAAAACTAAATTCTTTTTTTTTTTTTTTAAGGCGGAGTTTTGCTTTTGCCTAGGCTAGAGTAAAGTGGCGCGATCTTGGCTCACTGCAACCTCTGCCTCCTGGGTTCAAGCGATTCTCCTGCCTCAGCCTCCTGAGTAGCTGGGATTACAGGTGCCCACCACCATGGCTGGCTAATTTTTGTATTTTCAGTAGAGACAGGGTTTTGCCATGTTGGCCAGGATGGTCTTGAACTCTGACCTCAGGTGATCCACCTACCTCTGCCTCCCAAACTGTTGGGATGACAGGCATGGGCCACTGCGCCTGGCCTACTAATTCTTTTTATAAAGCCTGTATAACATTGATTTCTAAAAATGACAAAGATAGCACAAAAATGAAAATTGCTAGCCAGTATTTTGTATAAAGGTCAGTGCAAAACATTAAATAAAATGGTGATCAGAAGTCAATATCCCATTAAGACAATAAAACTTTATGGTCAGCTTGAATTTATTTTAGAAACAAGGTTGCATCAACATTACAAAATCTCTTTATATCATATATCAAATATTAGATCTAAGAAATTTTAAATATATAGAAATAAAGACTTTTAAAAGCATGAATAAATATACCTTAATTATAAGTCCAATCTTAAGTATTTCATTTATTTGTTGCTATCGTAAAGGGATTTTCTCCATCTTTTAACAGGTAATTGTTTCTTTGTGCAAAGGCCATTGATATATGTGGTAAATTTATTTCATAATACCTTAATGAAGACTTTTAGAATTCAAGTTAGCTTTATCAACAATTCTCTGTGTTTTACAGATATTCTATCATGGCATCTACAAATCAAGAAAGTACAAAGATGAGCCTGGAATATATCCGGGTTTATAAGAAAGTGCTCAAAAATTGGCTTCACATAGAAATGACAAAGGAGTCAACTTTAATTCCTATTGACTAAAACTGTGACAAGTTTAGCAACAAAATAAATACACGTTAACAGGTTATAACCTATAGAATATCATTTTATTTCTCAACTATTTTTGGTCAAAAATTATTCCAAAACTCAAAGTTAAAACAATCAAGAATAAATGTATTTAGGAGCCTTACAATTTTTTCTCCCCTTTTAGAACTCATCCCCCTTTTATAATTTAAACATATTTTTTATAAAAGTTAAATTAGGTACCCTAACTCAGTTGAAGCAAAAATCTGTAAATTAGATTTGTTTTTGGTACATGAGAAAGTTGTTTGAATGTATGACTTTAAGTTTATTTTAAATGTCAGGTACTCTAAATGGGCACAGTCAAATAATCCATTAATAAAGAGCCAGTCTTCATGAAAATAACTCGTTCTAAACTGAGAGAATATCAAATGTATGATTTCCACTTTTACATGCTCATTTTGTAATCAAATGCGTTGGAGTAAGAAAGCTGCCAGTTCACCATCCATTCTGTTCTCTGGCTCATTTTCTTTCTAGGTAAAAGCTCAGAAGTATTGATTTCTCATAATGCTCCTTAATTTTCACCTATAAATTTATATAATTTGGAAGAATAGACAAGTCTACAATTAGTTCAAAATCCCTGCAATATTGTTCTGTATCTTTAATTTCATGTGAGCTGTGTGTCCCAGTTCTATCATTTCTGTTAGAACTATTACCATTATTCTCATAACACAGCACAGAAAACTTGCAATATTTGCTCACTTTTCCACAGTATGGTAGTGACATTCAGAGTCTGTGTTCACTTGCAATACTTGCAAATATAACTAAAAAATAATTACTTACTGATGGATTACACTTTGCCAAGCTGTGTGATGAGTGCATTACATATAGTATCTCCCTAGTCCTTAATGTAGCCCTATAAATAATTATTGCATAATTTATTTTCCAAATTAGGCTTATAAAACATAGATAGAATACACTTTTTTAAAAAAACTTCAAAAATTGGATAGCAGGAAAACAAATAACCCAATAAAAATAGACAAGGTATTTTAACAGATGCTTAACTCTGGAAATATTTGGGTGACAAATAAGCAAGTGAAAGCAGTTCAGCATCATTAGTTATGAAGAAAATGCAAATTAAAATCCCAAGAAAATACCACTACACATCTATTACAATGACTAAAATTAAAAAAAAATAACCTCTAATGAGGATGTAGAAAAATCAGAACTCTCATACATTGTTGGTGGGAATTTAAAATGATACAACTACCTTGGAAAACTATATGTCAGTTTCTTAGAAATTCACGATACACCTACTGTACGATCAAGCCATTCCTCTCCTAAGTATCCAACACATGCTTTCCCCAAGACTTGATTATGAGTGTGTGTAGCAGCTTTGTTTATAATAGCCCCAAACTGGAAGCAGCCAAAAAGATCTAAAAACAGATGAGTAGACAAACTATGACCTAAACATATAATGGAATACTATTCATCAGTAAAAATGAATAAATATGGATACAAGCAGTGACAGAGATGAATCACAAGATAACTATGCTGAGTTTTAGAAGTCAGAATATATGTTCCATACTGTATGATTCCACTTGTACAAAATACAAACTTACCTATGGTAGTTGTTAGTAAAGTAGACCATGGTGAGAGAAGGACTCCAAGAAGCACAAGGAAAATTTTGGGAGAGATGTATCTGTTGGTGATCTTAATTGGGTGATAATTTCACAGTGTGATATGTTAAAAATCTATCAAATTATGCACTTCAAAATTTCAGTTTACTGTATGACATTTGTACCTTAACACAACTCTTTTTAGGCCAGGAGTGGTGGCTCATGCCTGTAATCCCAGCATTTTGGGAGGCCGAGGTGGGAAGATCACTTGAGGTTAGGAGTTCGAGACCAGCCTGGCCAAGATGGCAAAACCCCGTCTCTACTAAAAATACAAAAATTAGCCAGGTGTGGGGAGTGGTGGCATGTGACTGTAATCACACCTACTCAGGAGGCAGAGGTGGGAAAATTGCTCAAACCTAGGAGGTGGAGGTTGCAGTGGGCTGAGATTGTGCTACCGCACTCCAGCTTGGATGACAGGGCAAGACTCTGTCACAATAAAAAAATAAAAAATTTAAAAAATACTCTTTTTAAATTGAAGAAACTTTAAAAATCTACCATCACACAAATATTCTCTGCATAAAATTTTTATTCTATGATGTGTAGAAGCAAAAATCATATTAGTAAAAGAGGAGGTGTAGTAGAATTAATGACTTAAATGTACAAATTATCTTCTATTTTTATGGTAGAAGTGGAGTTTATTTATTTGGCTTGGTTTTTTTAATTACTTTAAAAAGAAAAAATGGAATACATGTACAGAACATGCAGGTTTGTTGCATATGTATATATGTGCCATGGTTGTTTGCTGCACCTATTGACCTGTCCTCTAAGTTCCCTCCCCTCGCCCCCAACCCTTTAACAGGCCCTGGTGAGTGTTGTTCCACTCTCTGTGTCCATCTGTTCTCATTGTTCAACTTCCACTTATGAATGAGAACATACAGTGTTTGGTTTTCTATTCCTGTGTTAGTTTGCTGAGGATGATGGCTTCCAGCTTCATCCATCCCTGCAAAGGACATGATCTCATTCCTTTTTATGGCTGCACAGTATTCCATGGTGTATATGTACCACATTTTCTTTATCTAGTATATCATTGATGGGCATTTGGGCTGGTTCAATGTCTTTGGCATTGTAAATAGTGCTGCAATAAACACATGTGTGAATGTGTGTCTATAGTAGAATGATTTATATTCCTTTGGGCATATACCCAGTAGTGGGATTGCTGAGTCAAATGGTATTTCTGGTTCTAGATTATTTGACTTGTTTTACTTTCTTATTTACATGACTTGAGATAACTGTATTTTTTTGTATTTTTTGTGTTTTTTTAATCTAATAATGATTTGAAGTAATATATTAATTCTTTCTACTTATCCCCTCCAGAAACATATGTTTTCATGTTAGATATTGTTTATGTTTACACTCAGGAGTCAATGATAATTTCATATTCTTTTTTGATATTGTATTAAATTACTTGAGTTATTTCATCCACCCCTGAGTTTTTATTTTTACCTTCATACATAACAGATCTACATATTTTGGAGTTATGTAATAATTTAATACATTCATATAACTTGTAAAGATCAAATCAGTGTAATTGGGATAACCATCATCTTAAATATTTGTCTTTTATTTATGCTAAAATCATTCAAATTATTCTCTTCTAGGTATTTTGAAATACATAATATTGTAAACTAAAGTCAGCCTACTGCTCTCTTAAACACTAAGTCAAATTTCATGTATCAAATTGAATATTTGTACCCATTAATCAAACACACTTCATCTTCCTTCCTTTATTCATTTCCCAACCATTGGCAATCTCCCATCACTCTCTATCTTGAAAAATTCCACCTTTTTAGCCCTCACAAATGAGTGATAACATTTTTTTTTAATTTTTAAAAATAAATTTTATTGTGTATATTTAAGGTATACAACATGATATGAGGTACATATACCTATAAATATATATGGTAAAATGGTTACTATAGTGGAACAAATTAACATATCAGTCACCTCACATAGTTACCCATTTCCTCTCCCCAACCCCCCATCATGAGAAGAGCAGCTATAATCTCATTTAGCAAAAATCCTGAATGTAATACACTATTATCAATTATAGTCCTTGAGTTGTACCTTAGATCTTTAGACTTGTTAGTCCTACATATCTGCTACTTTTTTTTTTATTATACTTTAAGTTTTAGGGTACATGTGCACAATGTGCAGGTTAGTTACATATGTATACATGTGCCATGCTGGTGCGCTGCACCCACTAACTCGTCAGCTAGCATTAGGTATATCTCCCAATGCTATCCCTCCCCCCTCCCCCCACCCCACAACAGGACCCAGAGTGTGATATTCCCCTTCCTCTTTCCATGTGTTCTCATTGTTCAATTCCCACCTGTGAGTGAGAATATGCGGTGTTTGGTTTTCTGTTCTTGCGATAGTTTACTGAGAATGATGATTTCCAATTTCATCCATGTCCCTCCAAAGACATGAACTCATCATTTTTTATGGCTGTATAGTATTTTATGGTGTATATGTGCCACATTTTCTTTATCCAGTCTATCACTGATGGACATTTGGGTTGGTTCCAAGTCTTTGCTATTGTGAATAGTGCCACAATAAACATATGTGTGTATGTATCTTTATAGCAACATGATTTATAATCCTTTGGGTATATACCCAGTAATGGGATGGCTGGTACAAATGGTATTTCTAGTTCTAGAACCTTGAGGAATTGCCACACTGACTTCCACAATGGTTGAACTAGTTTACAGTCCCACCAATAGTGGACTTCTGCCAGAAGACATTTGCTTGAAGGGGAGGTTGAACAATCTATGCTGGTTTGGCAAGAACAAAGCAGTGAGCCATGATAGGGATATGACAAGTGGATTAGGTTTGGTTTTGTGTCAGTCCATGAAGTTTTATCAAGAACTGAGCTTTTTTCTGGCAGGTGACTGATATCAAGAGTCTTTTATACCCTGTGTTAAGGGCACAATTTTAAATATCTGGCAAATCAATTCAATGGGAAAAAGAAAACTCTTTCCAACAAGTTTTACTGATTTAACTGGATATCGAGATCTCTTTTTTAAAAAGGAACTTGGACTCTCTCCTCACACCATAAACAAAATTAATTCAAGATTGATTTAACATAAACATAAACATAACATAAACATAAACATAGGCATAAACATAAAAGCTAAAATCATAAAAGAAATATAAGAAAATAATTTCATGACTTTCAGGAAAGCAAGCATTCTTAGAAGGACACAGAAAGCAAAATAAATAAATAAAATACAATGTTGATAAATTAGGTTTGTTCAAATTAAAAACTTCTGTTCATTAAAATTTGTTAAGAAAGAATAAAACAGCCACAGATTGAGATACTATTTATAGAACAGAATAAATAAACATCTCAGAAATAATACAGAAGGAACATGTATAACTCTGTAAGAGAATGCTAAGTAATTTAAATAGACATAAGGTTGTCAAAATGATAATTATTGAAGTTAAAAAATGGTCATATCAATATTTTCATATTGTCCTTTCTACTTTTCAGTGTTAAATTTTTTTGCATTTTTAAATACAAATGAATTGAAGGTTTTAGCATTTGAAATTAAACCATGAAGCAATTTTGAGTTTAAACCAATGCAAAACAAAACAGAAAAGTGTATCTTTACAATAGTCGGTATTCCTGCCAAACCTGATCAGTGGCTACTTGGTGATGAAATGTCTTTTAGCAATTGGAAAAAGAAATTGAGATGATCAGCAAATTATCTAAGGAAAATAATTGGAGATGATTTCTTTAAATATTTAAGAAAACATTTTTTATCCCTGCATTGTGAACTAATTGTGCTGTAGATTACTCTCATTAACTGTAAATATCTAATTTCTATTAAATTAATAGAATAATAATGATATTTAACTTCCATTATTTTTATACCACATTTATAGTAACAAAGAGTAACTCATGATGTTATGTGTATGTGTATGTATTTGTGTTTATAGGTAACTGTTTATTATTTTACATCCAGTTTTTAAAGGGAAAAAACAAAGTGAAAAGAAAATATGTAGATTTTATTGCTTTAAACATTGTAAACACTTGGAATATTAAAATTAACCTTTAATATCCTGGGAAGAAAATAGGTTCATCTTAAAGATCACAGATGTAGAGATACAATACTGAAATTTTCAGTGTGTGGATAGAAGTAAAGGGAATAGTATCTAATTTATATTAAAATATCCAGTAGATATAAAAAAGAAAATCTCAAATATCACCAAATACAGAGTTGTATAACTTTTATATTTAAATATTGCAAATAAAACAACAGGAGACATCTAAATATAAATCTGCATGTAGAGAACTACTGATGAGTTCATTTACACAAAACATGGGTAACTGCTCTACAATTTTTATACAGCAACTGTAAGAATTAAATGTTTACAAGATATTTTAATATAAATAGATCTTGCCAATAAGATATTTTAAAACAGTTTTCTGGAATATGTTTTGTGAACAGAGTTGAATTTTTTTGACTTTTATTTTAGATTCTGGTGGTACATGTGCAGGTTTGTTACAAAGGTGTGTTGCCTTTATGCTGAAGTTGGAGTCCAGTTGAGCCCATCACCTAGGACACCAGCAGAGTAAACAATAGGTAGTTTTTCAGCCGTTATTCTCTCCTTACCTTCCCCATTGTATTTTCCAGTGGCTATTGTTCACAGTTTTATGTCCGCGTGTACCTAAAGTTTAGCTCCCACTTACAAGTGAGAGCATGTGGTATTTAATTTTCTGCTGCTGTGTTAGTTTGCTTAGGATAATGATTTCTAACTGCATCTATATTGCTGTCTTTTGCAGCAATATAGATGCAGTTTACACCTGTAAATTCAACTCTTAATTCTTTGAGAAATCTCTAAACTGCTCTCCACAGTGGTTGAACTAATTTACATTCTCACCAACAGTGCACAGCCCCACCAACATCTGTTACTGACTTTTTAACAAAAGCCATTCTGACTGGTGTAAGATGGTACCTCATTTTGGTTTTGATTTGCATTTGTCTAATGATTAGAGATGATGGGTGTTTTTTCATATGTTTGTTGACTACTTATATGTGTTCTTTTAAAAAGAATCTGGTCATGTCCTTTGCCCACATTTTAATGCAGTTATTTATTTTTCACTTGGTAATTTAAGGTCCTTATAGGTTCTGGATATTAGACCTTTGTTACACGTATAGTTTGCAAATATTTTATTTCATTCTGTAGCTTGTCCATTTACTCTGTTGATAGTTTTTCTTGCTGTGCAGAGCCTCTTTAGTTTAATTTGGTCCCACTTGCTTATTTTTGTTTTTGTTGCAATTGCTTTTGAGGATTTAGTCATAAATTCTTTCCCTAGGCTGATGTCGCAGAGAGTATTTCCTAGTGTTTCTTCTAGCATTTTTACAGTTTGAGGTCTTACAATAAGGTCTTTAAACCATCTAAGGTTAATTTTTGTATATGGTTAAAGGTAGGTATCTAGTTTTATTTTTCTGCCTATGACTATTCAATTATCTCAACACCAATTATTGAATAGGAAGTCCTTTCCTCATTGCTTATTTTTGTTGAAGATCAGATCAAATTAATATGAAATGGCTGTAGATCAGATGGTTGTAGGATTGTGGCTTTATTTCTGGGTTCTCATTATTTTCCATTGGTCTGTGTGTTTGTTTTTGTACCAGTACCATGCTGTTTTGATCACTGTTTTGTTGCATTTTGGTATAGTTTGAATTTGGTAATGTGGTATCTCTGGCTTTGTTCTCCTTGCTTAGGATTGCCTTGGCTATTTGTGTTCTTTTTTGGTTGCTTACGAATTTTAGAAAAGTTTCATTATTTTTATTATTAGTCTATTAAAAATAACTTTGGTAGTCAAATCTGTAAAAATATGTAAATTCCTTTAGGCATTATGAAAATTTTAACAATATTGATTCTTCCAGTCCATGAGCATATTTGTGTTACCTATGATTTTTTTCAGCAAAGTTTTGTAGTTCTCTTTGTAGAGATCTTTCACTGTCTTGTCCTAGGCATTTATTCCTTTTATGGTTATTGTAAATGGTTTGAATTCTTGATTTGCCTCTCTGCTTGACTATTAGTGGTATATAGGAATGCTATTTATTTTTGTACATTAATTTTGTATTCTGAAACTTTATTGGCATTACTTATCCTTTCTAGCAGCATTCTGGTAGAGTCTCAGGTTTTCTGCAAATGAAATTACTTCATCAGCAAAGAGAGATAGTTTGACTTCTTTTACTATATGGGTGCCTTTCATTTCTTTCTCTTGCAGGATTGCTTTGACTAGGACTTCAAGTACTATGGTAAATAGGCGTGGTGAGAGTAAGCATCTTTGTTATGTTCCAATTCTCAAAAGGGATGCTTCCAGCTTTTGCCCTTCAGCATGGTGTTGCCTGTGGGTTTTTCATATATGGCTTTTATTATTTTGAGGTATTTTCCTTTGATGCCTACTTTGTTGAGGATTTTTAATTTTATAAAAGATTTTTCTGCTTCTATTGAAATGATCATGTTTTTCAAATTCAACTTATATGATGAATCACATTTATTCATTTGCATATGTTGAACCAACCTTGTATCCCAGAAATAAAGCCTGCCCTATCATGCTGTATTAACTTTTTAATGTGTTGCTGAATTCCATTTGCTAGTATTCTTTGAGGATTTTTATGTCCATGTTCATCAGGGATATTGGCCTGTAGTTTTCTTTTTCTGCTGTGTCTCTGCCATACTTTGGTATCACAATGATGCTGGCTTCATAGAATGAGTTAGAGAGGAGTCACTTCAGGTTTTTTTGAAATAGTTTCAGTAGATTTGGTATCATGTCTTTGAAGATCTAGTAGGATTTGGCTGGGCATCTATCTGGTCTAGGAATATTTTTGGCAGGGGTGGGTGTTGGTTGGGTTTTTCTTATTGATACAATTTAGGAATTAATTATAGGTCTCTTCAGGGTTTTTTTTCTTCCTGCTTCAATTATGAGAGGTTGTGTATTTCCAGGAATTTATCCATTTCCTCGATATTTTTTAGTTTGTGTGCACAGAGTTGTTCATAATAGTCTCTGAGGATCTTTAGTATTTCTGTGGAATTTGGTATAATGTCATCTCTGTTATTTCTGATTGTGCTTATTTGGATCCTCTCTCTTTTTTCTTTGTTAATCTAGCTAGGGGTCTGACAATGTTATATAATCCTACCAAAGAATCAACCTTTGGTTTTGTTGATGTTTTACATGGATTTTTGCATCTCTGTTTGTTCAGTTCTGCTCTGATTTTAGTTATTTATTCTGCTAGCTTTGGGGTTACTTTGTTCTTGATTTTCTAATTATTCTAGGTTAGATTATTAATTTGAGATTTTTCTAACTTCCTGATGTACTATTTAGCGCTACAACCTTTTTTTAACACCACTTTTGCTGCACCCCAGAGATTTCAGTATGTTTTCTCTAATTTCAAAAAATTATTTGATTTCTGCCTTAATTTTAGTATTTACCCAACAGCTATTCTGGAGTAGGTCGTTTAATTTCCACGTAATTGTGAAGTTTTTTGAGAAGTCTTCTGGGTATTGATTTCTATTTTTATTGCTCTGTGGTTTATAAGTATGGTTGATATAGTTTCAATTTTTTAATGTATTTAATACTTATTTATGGCTGAACAGGTGGTCAATTTTAGATTATGACGTGTGTACAAATAAGAATAATGTATATTCTGTGGTTGTTCAATTGAGTATACTGTAGATGTCTATTAGGTCCAATCATTCAAGTGTCTAGTTTAAGTACAGAATTTCTTTATTAGTTTTCTGCCTCAATAATCTAATGCTGTGAGTAGGTTGTCAAAGTCCCCTACTATTATTGTGTCACTGTGTAACTCATTTTGTACCTCTAGAAGTACATTTTTATAAATCTGTATGTTCCAATATTGGGTTCGTATATATTTAGAATAATTAGATCTTCTTGTTGAATTTTACCCTATATCATTATGTAATGCCCTGTATGGTGTTTTTGACAGTCGTTGGTTTAAATCTGTTTTATCTGATATAATAATGACTCCCTATTCTTTTTTGTTTTTTGTTTGAGTGATAGATCTTTCCTTTCCTTTCCTTTGAGGCCATAGGTGTCATTACATCTGAGATGTGTCCCTTGAAGACAACAGAAGGATTAGTCTTGTTTTGTTGTTTAACTTGCCACTCTGTGCCTTTTAAGTAGGGACATGTGGACCATTTACTTTCAAGGTTAATATTGGTATGTGAGGCTTTGATCTATTGTATTGTTAGTTGGTTGTTTTATAGATTTGACTGTGTAGTTGCTTTATAAGTTCTGTGGGCTATGTACTTAATTTTGTGATTTTGTGTGATAACAGGTATCTTTTTTTCATTTCTAAATTTAGAATTTCCTTAAAGACTTCTTGTAAGGCTGGTCTAGTGGTAACAAATTCCCTTGGCATTTGTTTCTCTGGAAATTATTATATTTATTTTTTCCTTATTAAGCTTAATTTGGCAGGGTAAAAAATTCTTGGTTGAAATTTATTTTCTTTAAGGATATTGAAAATAGAACTCAATTCTCTTCTGGCTTGTAAGGTTTCTGCTGAGACACCCAATGTTATCCTGATGGACTTCCCTTTGTAAGGCACTTGAACATTTTTTCTGGGTAACTTTAAGATTTTTCCTTTCTCATTGACCTTAGAGACTCTGATGACTATTTGTCTTGGTGATGGTCATCTTATATGGTACCTTGCAGGGTTTCTCTAAAATTTTTAAACTTGCATGTCATTCTGTCTAGGAAGATTGGAGAAATTTCCGTAAACTGTATCTTCAAATATGCTGTCCAATTTGCCTACTCTTTCTCCTTCTCTATCAGAAATGTCAATGAGTCATAGATTTGGCATCTTTATACAATCCCATATTTCTCAGATACTTTGTTTATTTTTAAATTCTTTTGTTTTAATTTTTTTTCTGACTGGTTTAATTCAAAGGACCAGGCTTCAACCCCTGAGATTCTTTCCTCAGCTTGTTTGGTTCTGCTGTTAATGCTTCCAACTGTATATGAAGACCCTGTAGGGAGTTTTTCAATTCCAGAAGTTCAATTTGGCTCTCTCGTAAAATGACAATGTTATTTTTCAACTCTTGGATAATTTTATTGTTTTCTTTATACTGGTATTTACTTTTCTTCTGAATCTAGTTCAGTTACCTTGTCAGCCAGATTCTGATTTCCGATTCTGTCATTTTAAACTGGTTAAAAATCTTTCCCGGAGAGCTAGCACAGTCATTTAGAGGTAAAAAGACACTGTCGTTTTGAATTGCTGCAGTATTGTGCTGATTCTTTCTCATCTGTGAGGGCTTGGTGTTCCCTTATCTATTTGTAGTTGCTTTCATATGAATGGGGCTTTTTTATTTCATGTGTGTTTTTTTTTTAATTTCCATTAAGGTTTGGCTGGGGTTTATGTTGAGTATAGCGAATTGGCTTCGTTTCTGGGTGATTTCAGAGGTATAAGGCTCTATGCAGAATGTATATTCGTCATTATGTTCATTATGTTCCTGATTGGGTTTCATTGGCGATGTGTGCTAATTTTTGTTTGTTTGTTTTTTGCGGTGTAATTCAGGCTATGACCCTGTAGGTGGCACTTAAGACTGAGGGCCCGCAGATACGCTGTCACTCATCTGCATAATTCTTTCATTTCAGCACATTCACAGCATTGCCCTGGGATGGTGGAAAGAGGGCAATAAGTAACCCCCTTGCCATGTCTGTTCCTGGGCCTTAGGGGAACTGTCTCCAATCACTGGAAACTTCATTTACTTAGCCTCAAGGAAGGCCCTGGTAGGCTGTACTCCTCTCTCTCTTAGGGAAAACCAGCACCAAAGGTAAGGTAAGCAGGAGACCTGCAACTCCCGGAGACCTGCTGGCTCGCTGCTTGTCAGAGTCAGAGCATGCCTGTAGGATATGTCTGTTAGGTATGTCTGCGGGTGGTCTGTTGATGCTTCTCAAAGCAGTTTAAATCTTAAATAGACCAACAGTCCTATACAAAATAGTGAGTTAAATAATTAAACAGGTCACAGAGTAAAACAACAAACTTTATTAATAAATTTTCTTCTTGTCCTCTCTTTTATCATTCTTTTTACCTTAAAATTTTGATGAATTTCATCAGAGAAAGCATCTGGTTTTTTTTCTTTTTCTTTTTCTTTTTTTTTTTCTTTGTTGTTGTTGTTGATGAAGGGCAGGAAGCAAAAAAGTTTATTACCAATTCAATTTGTTTAGTAGATATAGGACTACCTTGATTGGCTATTGTTCATTGTTTTTTTTTCTCTTTCAAAGAATTAGTTTAATTTATCTGGGTTATCAAACTTACAGTACAACATGATTCAAAATACATATTTTTAAATCATTAAATTGCCTAAGGAGCTGTAGAAGTGTTAGGGTTCTCCAGAGAAACACAACCAATAGGGGATTGTATATCCTTTATATAATGACATTTATTGTGGGAATTGTCTCACACAATATGGAGACTAAGAAGTCCTATGTTCCGCCATCTGCAATTTGAAAAACCAGGAAAGCTGGTGATGTGTTAATAATTCAGATTCCGAAGCCCCAGGAACCAAAAACAATGAGCATAGGAGGAGATTGATGTTCAAGCTCAGAAAAAGAGACTACATTTATACTTTTTCCACCTTTTTCTTCCATGCAAGACCTCTACAGATTGAATAATGCCCACTCACATTGGAGAGGGTCATCTACTTTACTCAGTTAACCAATTCACATGCTAATCTTCTCCAGATGCCCTCCCAGACACACCTAAAAATAATATTTTATCAGCTGTATAAGCATCCCTTAGTCAAGCAAGTATACACATTAAAAGTAACCATCACAGCTGCATACCTGTCTCTCTTGCTATTGGAAGTGTGTGTTTTATCTCATTTTTACATGGTCAATATAGACAGATGTTTGTCAATTTTATTGTTTTTTTCAAAAAACATTTTTTGGTTTTCCAATGAAACCATTGTGTATTGTCCTTTTGTTTTTCATTTATTTATGCTCTCGTTATTATTTTCTTTGCTCATTTTTTTTGTGTAATTTACTCTTCTTTTTCTAGCCTCTTAAGGTATAAACTTAGCTTATAGAACTTAAACCTTTTTTTCATTATCTAATATTGTTATAAAACCAACAGTTTTGTATGCCTGCTGCACAGTAATAAACCAATTACACTAAGACAGCAGAATTTGCAGCAAAAAAAAGAGTTTAATGATCTCAGTGTCAAGAGATGGAAGGAGACCCACAAATCTATATCCCCAAAGAATTCTGGGCTAGAGTTTATAGACTTTGTGGACTTGGGTGGAAGGGGGTGAGGGCAGTGAGGGGAAAAGACTATACATTGGGTACAGTGTATACTGCTTGGGTGATGGGTGCACCAAAATCTCAGAAAGTACTACTAAAGAACTTATTCATGTATCAAAACACCACTTGTTCCCCCAAAAAACTATTGAAATAACTTTTTTAAAAGTTTTGTAAATGTCTAAAGTGCAGTTTAAATTCAAGGTTTCTTTATTTTCTGTCTAGATGATCTATCCAGTGCTGAAAGTGAGGTGTTAATGTTTCCAACTATTATTGCATCAAGGTCTATCTCTCCCCTTAGCTCCAATAATATTTGATGAATATATCTGGATATTCTAGTGTTTGGTGTATATATATATTTATAATTGTTCTATTTTCTTGCAGAATTTATTTATTATTATATAATGACTTTCTTTGTATCTTTTTTATTCTGAGTCTATTTTGTCTTATATGGAAATAACTACTTCTGCATGATTTTTGTTTTCATTTGCACAAAGTATCTTTTTCCAGTTCTTCACTTACATTCTTTGTGTCTTTACCAGTGAAGTGAGTTTCTGATAAATAGCATATATTTGAGTCTTGTTTATTTATACAATCAGACTTTCTATATCTTTTAATTGTGGAATTTAAACCATTTACACACAGGTTATTATTGATAGGTAAGGACTTACTCCTGTGATTTTGTTATTGGTATGTTTGATTATTTTATATATATTTTCTGTTCTTTTCTTCTTCCCCCTTTGTTTGTCCCTGGGATTTGTTGATTTCTATAGTGATAATTTTTAATTTCATTTTCTTTCTTAATTGTGTATCTGGTATGTCAGCACATTTTATAATTTCGTGTGTTTTCATAATAGTGATATTGCCCTTTAACTTCCAGATTTTTGACTCCCTTAACCATTTCTTATAAGGCTGGTGTAGTGGTGATTAACCCTCTCAGTTTGTGCTTTCTGGGAATAATTATTTCCCCTTCATTTTTGAAAGTTAGATTTGCTGGCTATAATATTCTTGAATGTCAAGTTTTTTTTCTTTGAGCATTTTGAATATATCATTCCATTTTTTTCTAGCCTGTAACATTTCCACAGATAAACATTTTGTTAGCCTTATGGGGATTCCCTTATGTGTGACATCATGATTTTCTCTTGCTCCTTTTAGAACTTTTTGTTGTTGTTGACTTTTGACTATTTGACATTTATGTACTTCAGAAAGGGTCTTTTTGGGGTAAAGCTATTTAGGTATATTTGAACTTCCTCTGCCTGAAGGTCTATTTCTCTCCAAAAACTTGAGAAGTTTTCAGCTATGATTTTGTTATTCTATGCTTCTTCCCATCCATTTGCCTTCTGCAATTCCCAGAATGCAAACATTTGTTCAGTTAATAGCATCTCATTTATCATGTAGGCTTTCTCCATCTCCTTTTTGCTTTTTTGTCTGACTGGGATATAACAAAAAGCTGTGTTCAAAGTCAGAAATTCTTTCTTCTCCATGATTTAGTCTATTGTTGAAGCTATTGATTATATTTATTTCATTCATTAAAAGGATTTTTTTAAATGATATCTGTTTATTTTCTTATTCAGATCTCTGATTGCTTTTCTGATTTCTTTGTATTGCCTATTTGTACTCTAATATATCTTGCTGAGTTTCCTTAAGATTATTATTTTGAAACACTCTTTAGTCCTTTCATAGATTTTCTCTTAGTGGGTTCTGTTATGGGATAATTATCATATTCCTCTGAAGGTGTCATGTTTCCTAACGTATTCATGTTTCTTTTTGTCTTTGCTTTGATATCAGCCCATTTGGTGTAATAGTCACTTCTTCCAATTTTATGGAATAGTTTTCATAGTACAAGACTTTTTCCTGTGAATATATCTATAGTGTCAGTTGGGTAGTGTTTGTTAGCTTTGGTTTCGGGTGGGTAAAATAGTGTAGTCTTTGTGCGATTTGACTTTGGCTGTAATCAATGTCAGTGGTACCTGTGAGTTCCTCAGCAGCTTAGGCTGAGATTGTTTGTGAAGTCTGTGGCATGACTTTTCTGGGAATGAAGACACAGGGCAGGCCCTTGGGAAGTATATTTCGGCACCAACAATGGTGACCAGTGGCCACAGGTGAGCAGGTCCTCAAGCTCCTGGGTATGCTTCAAAGGTGTGCTATAGTCCCACTGCTACAGCAGCTTGGGTTCCATGATGTGGAGGGTACCCAGTATGAATGTCCTCTCTGAAAAAATGGAATCATGTGGACTTTAGTCTGATCCCTATACTAATGATATGGTTTGGCTGTGTCCCCACCCAAATGTCATCTTGAATTCCCATGTGTTGTGGGAGGGACTCTGTAGGAGGTAACCAAAACATGCGGGCAGGTCTTTCCCATGCTTTCTCATGATACTGCATAAGTCTCATGAGATCTGATGGTTGTAAATAGGGGAGTTTCCCTGCACAAGGTCTCTTATCTTGTCTGCTGCCATGTGAGACATGCCTTTCACCTTCTGCCATGATTGTGAGGCCTCCCCAGCCACGTGGTACTGTTAAGTCCAATAAACCTGTTTCTTTTTTTAAAAATTGCTTAGTCTCAGGTATGTCTTTATCAGCAGTGTGAAAACAAACTAATACAGTAAACTGGTGCCAGTAGAGTGGGGTGCTGCTAAAAAGATACCCAAAAATGTAGAAGAAACTTTGGAACTGGGTAACAGGCAGGAGTTGGAACAGTTTGGAGGACTCAAAAGAAGACAGAAAATGTGAGAAAATTTGGAATCTCCTAGAGACTTGTTAAATGGCTTTTCCCAAAATGCTGATAGCGATTTGCATGATAAAGTGCAGGCTGAGGTAGTCTCAGGTGGAAATGAGGAACTTGTTGGGAACTCGAGCAAAAGTGGCTCTTGTTATGTTTGAGCAAAGTGACTGGTAGCATTTCACCCCTGCCCTAGAGATTCATGGAACTTTGAACTTGAGAGAGAATTTTTAAAAATTTTTTCATAAGTTATTGGGGTACATGTGGTATTTGGTTATGTGAGTAAGTTCTTTAGTGGTGATTTGTGAGATTTTGATGCACCCATCACTTGAACAGTATACACTGCACCCTATTTGTAGTATTTTTTCTCTCGTTCTCTCCCACTCTTTCCCCCAAGTCTCCAACGTCCATTGTATCATTCTTATGCCTTAGCACCCTCATAGCTTAGCTCCCAGATATCAATGAGAACATAACGATGTTTGGTTTTCCATTCCTGAGTTACTTCACTTAGAATAATATTCTCTAGTCTCATTCGGGTCACTGAAAATGCCGTTAATTTATTCCTTTTTATGGCTGAGTAGTATTCCATTGTATAAATGTATCACAGTTTCTTTATCCACTCATTGATTGATGGGCATTTAGGTTGGTTCCACGATTTTGCAATTGCAAATTGTGTTGCTATAAACATGTGTGTGTAACTGTCTTTTTCATATAATGACTTCTTTTCCTCTGGGCAGATATCCAGTAATGGGATTGATGGATCAATTGGTAGCTCTACTTTTTGTTCTCTGAGGTATCTCCACACCATTTTCATAGTGGGTTGCACTAGTTTACATTCCCACCAGGAGTGTAGAAGTGTTCCCTGTTCACCACATCCGTGCCAACATTGACTGTTTTTTGATTTTTTTTATTATGGCCATTTTTGCAGGAGCAAGATGGTATCGCATTGTGGTTCAGATTTGTATTTTCCTGATCATTAGTGATGTTGAGCATTTTTTCATATGCTTTGTTGGCCATTTGTATATCTTCTTTTGAGAATTATCTATTCATGTCCTTAGCCCACTTTTTGATGGGATTGTTTGATTTTCTCTTGCTGATTTGTTTGAGTTTGTTGTAGATTCTGGATATTAGTCTGTTGTCAGATGTATAGATTGTGAAGATTTTCTTCTACTCTGTGGGTTGTCTGTTTACTCTGCTGATTGTTACTTTTGACATGCAAAAGCTCTTTAGTTTAATTAAGTCCCAACTATTTATCTTTTTTTTATTGCATTAGCTTTTGGGTTCTTGGTCATGAAATCCTTGCCTAAGTCAACATCTAGAAAGATTTTTTCAATGTTATCTTCTAGAATTTTTATTGTTTCAGGTCTTAGATTTAAGTCCTTAATCCATCTTGAGTTAATTTTTGTATAAGGTGAGAGATGAGGATCCAGTTTCATTCTCCTACATGTGGCTTGCCAATTATCCCAGCACCATTTGTTGAAAACGGTGTTCTTTCCCCACTTTATGTTTTTGTTTCCTTTGTTAAAGATCAGTTGGCTCTAAGTATTTGGGTTTATTTCTGGGTTCAATATTCTGTTCCATTGGTCTGCTTGCCTATTGTTATACCAATACCATGCTGTTATGGTGACTATGGCTTTAAAGTATAGTTTAAATTCAGGTAGTGTGATTATGTCTCCAGATTTGTTCTTTCTGCTTAGTCTTGCTTTGGCTATGCAGGCTCTTTTTTTTTTTTTTTTTTTTTTTTGGTTCCACAGGAATTTTATTTTATTTTTTCTAATTCTGGTGTTTTGGCAGGGATTGCATTGAATTTGGAGATTGCTTTTGGCAATATTCAACACTAAAATAGTAGGACACTTCAATACTCCACTGACAGCATTAGACAGGTCATCAAGACAGAAAGTCAACAAAGAAACAATGGATTTAAATTATACATTGGAAAAATGGACTTAACATATATGTATATATACAGAATATTCCATCCAACAACCACAGAATATACATTCCATTTAACAGCACATGAAACTTTCTCCAAGATAGACCATATGATAGGCATAAAACAAGCCTCAATAAATTTAAGAAAATTGAAATATATCAAGCACTCTCTCAGACTGCAGTAGAATAAAACTGGAAATCAACTCCAAAAGGAATCTTCAAAACCATGCAAATACATGGAAATTAAATAACCTGCTCTTGAATGAACATTGCATCAAAAACTAAATCAAGATGCAAATTAAAAAATTCTTCAAACTGAATGACAATGAATGACACAACCTATCAAACCTCTGGGATACAGTAAAGGTGGTGCTAAGAGTAAAGTTCATAACTGTAAATGCCTACATCAAAAAGACTGAAAGAGCACAAACTGACATTCTAAGGTCACACCTTAAGGAACCAGGGAAACAAGAACAAACCAAACCTGAACCCAGCAGAAGAAAGGAAATAATCAAGATCAGAGGAGAACTAAATGAAATTAAAACAACAACAACAAAAATACAAAACATAAATGAAACAAAAAACTGGTACTTTGAAAAGCTAAATAAAATTGACAGTCCATTAACAAGATTAACCAAGAAAAGAAGAGAGAAAATCCAAATAACCTCATTGGTAGAGATGATTTAGGGAATCTGGTAGAAGAAATTCCTAACCAGCAAAGCATTCAAGAGGTGACTTAAGTGCTGTTAAAGGCATTCAGTTTTATATGGGAAGCAGAGCATAAAAGTTTAGAAAATTTGCATCCTGATAATGTGATAGAAAAGAAAATCCCATTTTCTGAGGAAAAATTCAAGCCTGCTGCAGAAATTTGCATAAGTAACAAGGATCCAAATGTCAGTCCCCAAGACAATGGGGAAAATGTCTTCAGGGCATGTCAGATGTCTTCACTGCAGCCTCTCCCATCACAGGCCAGTAGATTTAGGAGGAAAAAAGTGGTTTCATGGGCCAGGCCCAGGGTCCTCATATTGTGTGCAGCCTAGGGACTTGGTGCCCTGCGTCTCAGCTGCTCCAGCCATGGCTGAAAAGAGGCAATGCAGAGCTCGGGCCATGGCTTCAGAAGTTGCAAGCCCCAAACCTTGGCAGTTTCCATGTGGTGTTGAGTCTACGAGTGAACAGAATTCAAGAATTGAGGTTTGGGAACATCTGCCTAGATTTCAGAAGATGTATGGAAATGCCTGGATGCCCAGGCAGAAGTTTGCTGCAAGGGTGAGGCCCTCATCGATAACCTCTGCTAGGGCAGTGGAGAAGGGAAATGTGGGGTCAGAGCCCCCACACAGGGTTCTGGGGCACTGCCTCGTGGAGCTATGGGAAGAAGGCTGTCATCCTCATGACACCAGAATGGTAGATCCACTGACAGCTTGCACCATGCACCTGGAAAAGCCACATGCACTCAATTCCAGCCTGTAAAGGTAGCCGAGAGGGAGGCTGTATCCTGCAAAGCCACAGGGGCGGACCTGACCAAGACCATGGGAACCAACCTCTTGCATCAGCATGACCTGGATATGAGACATGGAGTCAAAGAAGATCATTTTGGAGCTTTTAGATTTGACTGCCCTCCTGGATTTTGGACTTGCATGCCACCTGTAGCTCCTTTGTTTTGGCCAGTTTCTCCCACTTAGAATGGCTGTATTTATCCAATGCCTGTACCCCTGTTGTATCTAGGAAGTAACTAACTTGCTTTTGATTTTACAGGCTCAGAGGCAGAAGGGACTTGCCTTGTCTCAGATGACATTTTGATTGTGGACTTTTGAGTTAATGCTGAAATGAGTTAAGACTTTGGGGAACTGTTGGGAAGGGATGATTGGTTTTGAAATGTGAGGATATGAGATTTGGGAGGGGCCAGGGGCATAATGATATGGTTTGGCTGTGTCCTCACCCAAATCTCATCTGGAATTCCTACTTGTTGTGGGAGGGTCTTAGTGGGAGGTAACTGAATCATGGGGTTAGGTCTTTCCTGTGCTGTTCTCCTGGCAGTGAATAAGTCTCATGAGCTCTGATGGCTTTAAAAAGGGGAGGTTCGGCCGGGCGCGGTGGCTCACGCCTGTAATCCCAGCACTTTGGGAGGCCGAGGCGGGTGGATCATGAGGTCAGGAGATCGAGACCATCCTGGCTAACAAGGTGAAACCCCGTCTCTACTAAAAATACAAAAAATTAGCCGGGTGCGGTGGCGGGCGCCTGTAGTCCCAGCTACTCGGGAGGCTGAGGCAGGAGAATGGCGTGAACCCGGGAAGCGGAGCTTGCAGTGAGCCGAGATTGCGCCACTGCAGTCCGCAGTCCGGCCTGGGCGACAGAGCGAGACTCTGTCTCAAAAAAAAAAAAAAAAAAAAAAAAAAAAAGGGAGGTTCCCTGCACAAGCTCTCTTCTATTGCCTGCTGCCAAGTGGGATGTGCCTTTCACCTTCCACCATGATCGTGAAGCCTCCCCAGACACGTGATACTGTAAATCCAATAAACCTCTTTCTTTTTTTTTTTAATTGGCTAGTCTTGATTATGTCTTTATCAGCAGTGTGAAAATGAACTAATACACTAAGCTCAGGGCCTGTTAACACTGAGAGGCTCCCTGATAACTAGGATTCTTGGCATCTGTGATGAAAATGTGGACTGCTGGGGATCTTCTGATTATCTTTTCCCTGAAACGGAGAACTCCTTTTGGTTTATAACTGGTGTCTGGCTGGCTGCTTTGCTCCCCACACTATTCTGCTATCCTGAGTCTCCATGTCTCAGAGGGTCTTTGTCATTGCCATGCTGAATTCCAGTGGTCTCCCTTAGAAGCTCTGCTCAATGTGTGGTTATCTGATCACTGTCTTCATCTCTCTTTTTGGAGGAGGTGAGTGTTGTGTGCATTGAGTCAGCTATCTTGATGACATCTTTCTCATTTATTTTTAGCTGTAGTGTTTTTCTCTGCCAGGTGAGGGCGATATTATTTTGAAGTAAATCATTTACTTGCAAGACCACTTCAAATACTGTCTTTTATTGAATGATAGTGTTCAGAGACAGTCACAATTCTAAGTTTATGAGCTGTTAAACAATCCCTTATATCTGTTACATAAAATGTAGTCCAGAAGAAATTGAAGTCAGTACTCATATTTTTGGTAAAATATTGATTAAAATCCTTTCTTAATTATACTGTATAAATAGAGAAAGACCCATTCATTTCTGTTTTTTGATACATTTGAATAAAAAGAAAGTTGTTATGAATTTATTATATTACTTCAGAATTAATTAAATATAATTGTAAGATATTGCAGTTCTTATGGGGAAAGCAATGTGGATATAAGAAAATCTCATTATCAAAAAATTTTGTATGCAAATTAAAATTTACTTATGTGAATTAGATGAGATAAATAAAAAACTTACATATACATTTTCAGAGCTATTAAAGCATAATATACAAAATAGAAAACAAGAAACATTTAATTAAAAAATTAATAAGTGGTAGATGAGGAGCTCAAAATTATAAGTAACTGATATTTATTTGACCTCTGTATTCTCTGTAAGTAGTAGAAAGAAAGATATAGCAAGTGAATTGATGGGAAGAAAAAGGCAATTAGATAAGAACATAGAGGGAAAAGAGAAAATTTTCAAAAATAGTTTTGCTTGTTTAATCTTATGGCCAATAAATGTGAGTATGATAATATGAAAAACTCACACAAAAAGATAAGAAATGTATAATAAAATATTTTTAATTTTATACTATCATAAAATTAAGAAGAAAAAAGGAAGAGAAGAATAAGTTGTTTTAAAAAATGTAAGAACACTTTATCCCCTAGCATAGTAAACAAATTGAGACATTGCTTGTTATCTAGGGAAGAATATGTTTATAAACAATTTAAAATTGCTTGTGCAGGTTGGTATAACCAAGAAGCATGAAGAGTACAAATAAGTAAATATGGAAAGAATTATCTTATTTTAATAGAAACCAATATCTAATTTATAATAAATGTAGGGTGGTCATGCATGGTTTAGGACAGGCCTAGGGCATCTGTTTTTATAATGCTTACAAAGCATTATTGTCTACAAGAGTGGGAACAGATCAGGAGCCAATGGCTTACTCAGCTTGCATAGTCTCTTTCATATACATGGACAGTGTACTACAGCTCACTGTGCTCAGTTGCAACCTCTCATCAAGAATTTCTAGAAGATACTTTGCAAGCTCATGCAAGTAACAGTTGGGCTCCCTGATTTAGAAACATTGCTGACAGACTTTTTTTTCCCTTCTTTGGTCTCTCTATGAAAGGAGGGAAAGAATATTTTCACATTAAGACATAAAAGAAAGAAATAACTTACCCTTAAGCTTTAGTAGAAGTAGACTTACAAATTAGAGTAGGTATAATTATGAGGGTCGTGTTAAGAAATAATGTTATAATAAGGAGTGATTTCAGTGTTTAAAGGAGGGAGGATTACAAATGTGGATAGAATGAAGGTAAAACTATGAAACTATGATAAAGAAATCTGGGTCTAGCAGCAATGGGAAACTACTATCACCCTTGGAATTAAAAGGACATGCAGAATGAGCTGTTAGAATTAAGCAGAAACTATACCTGCAGAACATGACCACTAGGTGGTATTTATAAACTTGGTTAAAAAAAATTGAGGCTGTTTTTTGAACCAAGCATAGGAAAGATGTCATGAAATTCCCAGGTAATGCAGTACATAGTAATCAAATGTCAAGTACAGAGAGCTGGGCAGAAAATGGATCTGGAAAAACTAAAAGGATACCCAACATAGTCTACTCATTTCTCTCATAGCATTCACTCTTGTTTTTACTTCCAGAAAAAGGAACTTTTTCTCCAAATCCTGGAGACAAAGTCCTATCATCTACCTTATAGTTCAGTGATATGAATCCAGGAACACTTCTCTGATGAGCTGAATTGTGACCCTACACCCAAAATTATGTTGAATTTCTAATCCATGTTACCTGTGAATGCGACTTTATTTGAAAATAGGGTTATGATGGATATGATAAAGTTAAAATTAGGTCATTAGATCCCTAATCCAATATGACTCACATCCTTTTAAGAAGAAAAGAATTTGGACACAGACAGACAAACACACAGATAATTCCAGGTGATGACACACAGGGAAAGAGGATTAAAAATAAAATCTTCTAACATCTTAGAAATCCTCCTCACAGAGGTAGTAGGGGAAAAATATATTTTTCCTTCTTTCCCTTTCTTTCTTTCTTTCTTTCTTTCTTTCTTTCTTTCTTTCTTTCTTTCTTTCTTTCCTTCCTTCCTTCCTTCCTTCCTTCTCTCCTTCTTTCTTTCTCTTTCCCCTCCCTCCCTTCCTTCCTTCTTTTATTTTCTTTCTTTCTTCCTTTCTTTCTTTTCTCTCTCCTTCCTTCCTTCTTTCCTTCCTTCCTTCCTTCCCTCCCTTCCTTCCTTGCTCCTTCTTTCCTTCCTTCCTTTCTTTCTTTCCTTCTTTCTTTCCTTCTTTCCTTCCTTCCTTCCTTCCCTCCCACCCTTCCTCCCTTCTTTCTTTGTTTCTTTGTTTCTTTCTGTGTTTCTTTCTTTCTTTGTTTCTTTCTTTCTTTCTCTCTTTTTCTCAGTCTGTCACTCAGGCTAGGGTGCAATGGCCTGATCATGGCTCATTGCAGCCTCAGCCTCTCTGGGCTCAGGTGAACCTCCCATCTTAGCCTCACAAATAACTGGAACTACAGGCTTGTACCACCATGCCTGGCTTTTTTTTTTTTTTTTGTAGAGACAGGGTTTTGCCATGTTGTCCAGGCTGGTCCTGACCTCCTGGGATCAAAAGATTCACCTGTGCTGGCCTCTGAAAGCACCAGAATTACAGTTGGGAGCCACCATGCCCTGCCAAAATATTTTTCTTACCCAATAAACATTAAATCAAAACTTGATATATATCACAGACAATCCACTAAGAGATTCAAGGACAGAAATAAAATTCCAACCTTTTCTGTAGTTAAGCAGAATCCATGTTTCATACATGTTCTGTAGATAAACAATATGTAGTTCTCAGGTAAGAAGTTCCTCTTACACATAATTCATCCTAACTTTACCTGGTTATTAAGGTGGCCTGTTGTTAGCAAACTGGCTATATCCAAAAGAAAAACAAACTTCTTATGTTTTTATGACATGAGCTAGGTTTGCAACTTGAAGAATGGCACCCACTGAAGTTAGGCTCCTAGCCTCCCACACAAACTGGGAGATAGGGCTAGTATCTCCCTTCTTGTTGACATTTCAAAGAGATGACTCCCAAGTTTTTGAGAAAGATGTTCTTGAATCATAAAGATGATAAAAGGTCTATTTAGTTTACAAAAAGATCTCATTACATTTCAAAGAGAGGAGAAAGTACTTGCAATTTTATGTTTTCTAAAGTAGATGCTCTAAGAAAAAGGAGGGAAGAGAATCTCTTTCCTTAATTTTAACAGGGACAATGAAGCCTCTTATTTTTAGTTTGTATTTGTTCTTACAAGACAGAATAAGACATTGGACGTATGACATCACAAGCCAAGGATTATTCCGAGCTACCAGAAACTGGAGGAGGCAAAGAAATATCCTCCCCTAAGGTTTTAAAGGACACATGGCCCTAATCAACATCTTGATTTCAGGCTTCTAGCTTCCCAAACTATGAGAGAACAAATATATGTTGTAAGCCACCCAGTGTATAGTACTTTGTTTTGGGAACCTTCGGAAACTAAACTCTCATCTAGAACTTTAAATGTTAGCATACAACATTGCCTTCATTTCAGGTAGGAGAAAACATTGTGCAAATTTAGGAAAAGACAAAATGAATTAACCCAAATCATAGTTACTTTAGTCTTCCGTTGACCAGTCACAAAGCCTATGTTGATAATGAAAGCTTCCTACTTGGGCTGCCCATTTCTCTTTCTCATACTCTCCACCAGGAACATGGTGGATTAGAGAAGCTTACCAAGTGCTGGCATCCTAAATTTAATTCCCTCAAAATCCGACTCCTTAGCAGTCCTGAGAATTTTCCCATTAACCAGTAATATTAGCAATACTAACAATATCCCCTGATTTCCAAACATGGGCAAGTGGTATTCTCAAATTTCATTTCAGATGACGTATTACCTGACAGAATTATTAGTTACTGGGACCTCAAAAGCCACTGAGCCCAGTGCCATGGAGGTGCAAGAAAAAATTCCCTAAGTGAATGACAAAGTATAAGGAGAAAGATTACTGGCTGTCCATCTGCTTCCACTTCTTCAGGCTGCTTCCTCTCCTGGAGGAAGATAGAGGCAAGCCAGTATGTGTAGATATGACATGGCAAGAGAGGAAGGCAGACAGCATAAGGGGAGGTGCCAGCCTCTTTTAAACAACCAGCTGTCACAGTAACTAACAGAGCAAGAATTCACTGTCTACCCTAAGGACAACACCAAGACATTCAAGAGAGATCTACCCTTATGACCCAAACACCTAATATTTTGCCCCATCTCCAAAATTGAGGGACAAATTTTAACATGAACTTTAGAGGGATCAAATATCCAAACCATAGCAGATGCCACAATGATGAATCAAGTATGTTTAAGTCCATACATTATACTATTACCTGTTTTAGGACAAATGAAATAACAGCAACGAAGGATAGAACAGAATTACAGACACTTAAAATAAAAGATGAAATAGTGTATTTTGAACACATTTTGTCAATAAATTTGGCATTTTAATAAACAAGTACATACTGCTTAAAAGGCACAACTTATCAAAACTGACAGAATAATAAAATAGAAATCAGGAAATGTCTATACCTAGTACAATAATTGATGACAAAACAGAAAATAAATATGTAGACACAAATGATTGCAACAATAAAATTTTATTGAATAATGAAAACAAATACTACACAAACTCATTCAGAAAAGACAATATATGAGAAAACTTCCCAACTCTTCTAAGTTAGTGACATCACCTTAAGTTTAAAACCTCAATTAAGATATTACAGGACAAGAAAATAAGAAGCCAATCACTCTTATCATCATAAATGCAAAATATTAGCAAATTTAAGTCAGATCTATATTTAAAAATATGTTATGACAAATTTTAACATATTTACTTCAGTGTTTATTATTTTAAATTGAATCATTATAACTTTTTGAGTTAGAGTAAATGAGGAAATAAATTTCACTTTCTGTAACACCAAAACTGCACAGAAAACAAAATCTCAGAAACATTTATGTGACAAATACTATAAAAACTGTAAAAACTATAAAACAAATCTGTATAGATTCTAGGGAAAATATTTTATTCAATGATAAAATATTACAATTTCCTTTAACTCAGGGAGAAGATAAAAATATCCCCTATCTCCACATCTACCTAAGGTATTACTACAAGTTTCAGCTACTCTAATAAGGAAAAAGACAAAGGATGCAAACTGGAAAGGAAGAAATAGAATGCTATTATGTATAAGTGACATTATGTTCAGGTGACATTACATATACTATTACTAAGTGAAATTATAAAAGTTACTATAATAAGTAAATGTGTAAAAATAAATTTTATTTCAATAAACCAAAAGCCAACAATTATAAAGTTTTTCTGTTAAATTTGACACTTTGGTTCTAAAGTATTTGTGGAGAAAGTTGATGATAGCAAAGATAATCATAAAAAATAGTTAACACAAATCTTACAAAAAAGTAAGAAAAGTGTTTTTTTTACAAAACCAGATGAAAAATTATTACAAAGCAAAAAACAAAATAAAATATTTGCATAAAGATAGAAAACTATAATGATGAAAAAGAATTTAGTGGTCAGTACTGACCCAACCATGCTAGTAAAATAGTTTATAGTAACTTTGTTCCTACAAAGCTGTGTAGAAAGATAGTGCTTCGAAGGAACAGTGTTATGGTAAATGAAAATTGATACATAAAAATAAACAAGCCTTGTTATCTAAGTCATATAATAATAATAAATATTACATGCAAAAGCATCTTAGAGAAAGATGTGAAAGACAAACCAATAAAGCATCTAGCTAGGGAAAAATGTAAAGAGAATGTTTTATGACCATGGGATAGTAATAATAATCAGAATAAAAGACAGAAGTGGCTATAAAAATATTTGGTAAAATGTAGATGATGGGTTGATGGGTACAGCAAACCACCATGGTACATGTATACCTATGTAACAAACCTGCACGTTCTGCACATGTATCCCAGAACTTAAAGTATAATAAAAATAAACATTTGGTAAAATGGTCTTTATTAAAATTAAGAGCTCTTGTTATCAAAAGCAACCATGAATAGCGTTAAAAATTAAAATCATAGTGTAAGAGATAAACTTGCATTACTTATTTTAAAAAAGGTTAAATGAAGAGATATTTTAAAGTACAAATAAATGCCGCTTGAAATAATTAGAAAAAAATGATCTGAATATGTACTTTATAATAGAGAATATTCAAATTATCATTAATCATAAGATAAGAATTTCACCTCATGAACAAAGAAATGCAAATTTAAATTACAACATTTTTAAGTTAGTAACTGTGAAGTGTTATTTTACCCAATTTGCAAGCTAATGGGGAAGTCTGACACACAGAAAAATAAACATACAAACACACACACGTAGAAGAGAGAGAACGACAGAGAGAGAAAGAGAGATTGATATCTGGGTTAAAAACAAAGACAGTTTATCACTCACAGCAAAAGCAGAAACCAAGTTAAAATTACACTGTTTCCTACAGCCCCAATTCCCATAGGGAAAAGTGGTGAGTTCTAGCTGATAACTTTACATGTAGTGACAAGACGTTACAGGATGAAAAATACAAATTTGGGACACTCTGATCTTATGTAGTAGCTGCTAGTAAACTTGCTCATTCACCCTCTATTCCAGAGACAAATGTCAATTTCTTTACCCTGGAATATAAGCAAATATTTCTAGGGAGTGGGGGAAGGCACCCCTAACTTGATTACCCAAAAAAGTAAGCAAGAGTTTTTTCTGGGAGAAATATCTCTCAATATTTTAGAGAGAATTACTGTCTTTATCTTTACTGTCCAAAAAATAAAACAAATTGGCCTCAGAGAGATTTTCTGTCTCTGTTTCCAGGGCTGCATACAGATTCCAGAAAAGACAGTCTCAAAGCATGAAGGCTGTTTAATACCTGGATGTGTAGTACCTCCACAAATCTATGAAAAAATTGTCTTCCAACAAATATAATACCAATCAAATAGAATAGTTAAATTTGCAGAAAATGTCAAATCAAGTTTAGCTATAATATCAAAAAACTGGAAATTTCATGTACTGCTGATCCACCAAAACTGATTGACTACCTAAACTGATTATAAGCATACTCTATTTTACAACAAAGCAATTCCATTCTTAGTAATATAACTTATAGAAATGAGCAAGATTATTCCAAAAGGTATGCAAAAGAAAGTTCAGAGCAACATTATGTGCAATAACTCTAAACTAGGAAAAAAAATACCTATCAATCAAAAGTAGATTTATTTATTTTATTTTTTCAAGTAAAGCGTGTTTAATATGGAGCAGTAGAACATGGTTATATTACACCATTTAAAATGTTCTGTCATATGACTCTCCTGTAGTATATCTAATCATATATTTAATTTTCTTATTCAACCTGTAGGTTCAGGCGGTACATGTGCAGGTTTGTTACTTGGGTAAACTACATGTAACTGGGGTTTGGTGTTCAAATAATTTCATCACCCAGGTAACGAGCATAGTGCCCAATTGGTAGTTTTTGACTCTCACCCTACTCCTACCCACCACCTTCAAGCACACCCCTGCACCTATTGTTCCATTCTTTGTGTCCATGTGTATTCAATGTTTAGTTACCACTTTTAAGTGAGAACATGCAGTATTTGGTTCGCTGTTCCTGCATTTATTTGCTTAGGATAATGGTCTACAGGTGCATCCATATTGCTGCAAAGGATGTAATTCCATTCCTTTTTATACCTGTGTAGTATTCCGTCATATATGTGTACCACATTTTCTTTATTCAGTCCACTGTTGATGAGCATGTAGTTGCTACTGTGAATATTGCAGCAGTGAATATACGAGTGCTTGTGTCCTTTTGGTAGGGCAACTTATTAATATTTTCCTTTTGGTTTATATCACTAATGAGATTCCTGGTTCGAATGGTAGTTCTAGTTTAAGTTACTTGGGAAATCTCCAAACTGCTTTCCACTGTGCCTGAACTAACTTACATCCCACCAGCAGTGTATAAGTGTTCCTTTTTCTCTGCAATCTCACTAGCATCTGATTTTTTTGACGTTTTAATGATAGTCATTCTGAACTGGTGTGAGATGGTATCTCATTGTAGTTTCAATTTGCATTTGTTTAATAATTAGTGATATTGACCATTTTTTCATATTCTTGTTGGCCCCATGAGTGTTTTCTTGAGGAGTGTTTATTCATATCCTTTGCCCATCTTTAATGGAGTTACTGGTTTTTGCTTACTGATTTGTTTAAATCGCTTAAAAATTCCAGACATTACACCTTTGTCAGATACATAGCTTGCAAATATTTTCTCCCATTCTCTAGGTTGTCTGGTACTCTGTTAACAGTTTCTTTTGCTGTAGAGAAGCCCTTTAGTTTAATTAGGTCCCACTGGTCAATTTTTGTTTTTGTTGCAATTGCTTTTGGGGACTTAGCCAAGAATTCTTTGCCAGGGCCAATGTTGAGAAGGGTATTTCCTAGGTTTTCTTCTAGATGTTTTATACTTTTAGGACTTACATTTAGGTCTTTAATCCATCTTGAGTTGACTTTTGTATATGGTGAAAGGAAAGGGTCAAGTTTCAATCTTCTGCATATGGCTAGCCAGCTATTCCAGCACCATTTATTGAATAGGGGGTGCTTTCTTCAGTGCTTATTATTGTCGGCTTTGTCAACAATCAGATAGTTGTGGGTGTGTGGTGTGGCTTTATTTCTGGGTTCTCTAACTGGTTCCATTGGTCTATTTCTTTTTCCAGTACCAGGCTATTTGGGTTACCGTAGCCTTGTAGTATAGTTTGAATTAGGTAATGTGGTGCCTACAGCTTTGTTATTTTTGCTTTGCATTTCTTTTGCTATTCAGTCTTCTTTTTTGTTTCCATATAAATTTTAGGATAGTTTTATCTAATTCTGTAAAAAAAAAAATGATGTTGGTAGGTTGATAGAAACAACATTGCACCTGTAAATTACTTTGGGCGGTATGACCATTTTAACAATATTGATTCTTCCTATGCATGAGCATGAAATGCTTTTTCCTTTTGTTTGTGTAATCTCTGATTTCTTTTCAAAGGGTTTTGTAATTCTCATTGTAGATTTCTTTTACCTGCTTGGTTACTTGTATTTCTAGGTATTTTATTCTTTTTGTGGCTATTAAGAATGGGATTTCATTCTTGATTTTGCTGTCAGCCTGAATGATACTGTTGAATAGAAAAGCTACTGAATTAGTCTGGGCACGGTGGCTCACGCCTGTAATCCCAAGTAGAGGTTGCAGTGTGCTGAGATTGTGCCATTGCACTCTAGCTGGGGCAATAAGAGCGAAACTCCGATGAAAGAAAGGAAAAGAAAAGGAAGGAAGGAAGGAAGGAAGGAAGGAAGGAAGGAAGGAAGGAAAGAAAGAATTCTGCTGAATTGTGCCCATTGATTTTGATCCCAAAACTTTACTGAAGTTGCTTATCTGTTCTATAAGCCTTTTTGGGAGAAACTATGGTGTTTTCTAGGTATAGAATGATATCATCTGCGAAGTGAGATAGTCTGACTCCCTCCCTTTCTATTTGCATGTCTTTTACTTTTGTTTCTTTCTCTTGCTTGATTTCTCTGGCTAGGACTTCCAGTGCTATGTTGAACAGGAGTGATGAGGATAGGCATATTTGACTTGTTCTGTTTCTCAAGGGGAATGCTTCCAGCTTTTGTCTATTCAGTATGGTGTTAGCTGTGAGTTTGTCATAGAGGCTCATTATTTCGAAGTATGATCATTCAATGCCTAGCTTGTTGAGGGTTTTTAAGATGAAGCAATGTTGAATTTTATTGAAAACATTTTCTGCATCTATTGAGATGATCATGTGGTTTTCTTTTTAGTTCTATGTATGTGATTAATCATATTTATTGATTTGTGTATGTTGAGCCAAACTTGCATTTTCAGAGTAAAGCCTACTTGGTCATTGTGAATTAGCTTTTGAATGCACTTGCTGGTTTCAATTTGCTAGTATTTAGTTGAGCATTTCTGTGTCTACGTTCATCAGGGATATTGGCCTGAAACTTTCTTTTTTCATTATGTATCTGCCATGTTTTGGTATCAGAATGATTCTGGCCTTATAGAATGAATTAGAGAGGAGTCCCAGTTCCTCAATTTTTTGGAATAATTTCTGTAGGATTAATACCTTTGGGTATATACTCTGTAATGGGATTGCTGGGTGGACTGGTAGTTTTATTTTAAGTTCTTAGAGAAATCTCCAAATTGCTTCCCACTGTGGCTGAACTAATTTACATTACCACCAAAAGTATGTAAATGTCCCCTGTTCTCCACAGCCCCACCAACTCTGGTAATTTCTCAACATTCTAACTGGCGTGAGATGGTATCTCATTGTAGTTTTGATTTGCATTTCTCTGATGTATAGTGATGGTGAGCATTTTTTCATATGGTTGTTGGCTGCTTAGATGTCTTCTTTTGAGAATTGTTTGTTCATGTACTTTGCCCTCTTTTTAAGGGGGTTGTTTGTTTTTTTGCTTGTTGAATTGATTAAGTTCCTTATAGATCTGGTTAGAATAGACTTTTGTCTGATGCATAGCTTGCAAATATTTTTAAACTTCCAGAGTTCACCTGGATTACTTGGCCCCTGGCCACTTAGTTTATCTTCCAAGTTACAATCACTGGTTGAGTTTTATTGTCATATTACATTATACTGACGCTCTTCTTCTATAATTAAATCTCCTTCTTTTCCTCTTATAAGGACCCTTGTGATTACATTGGGCCCATGTGGATAATTCAGGATAACTTCTTTAACTTAATATCCTTAATTTTAATCCCATCTGCAAAGTCCTTTTTACTAGACACAGTAACATATTCACAGGTTCCGGGGATTAGGACATGAGTAGCTTGGGTCAGCACAGGGAGGCATTTGTTAGCTTTTTGTACTTTCTTTTCCTTTTACTTAGCTCATTTAAATCAGAAGCTCATTTTTAATACAATTTTTGAACAGAAATTTTCACAGAGGAGTGGAAATCTGAAAGAATGTTGGAACTAAAGGGAAACTAAACTGTGATTGTTACTGTCTTGGAGAGGAGAAAGATTGAAAGGTGAAAGGAACCTGGTTACTTCTAGGAGAAGAGAAAGTATATACTACTTCACCTGTCTAGGAACACATAAGGATGTCTTTGATATGAAGCCAGTTTAAAAGAAACCTTGTTTAGCATTCCATTTTGTGAGCAGTTGAGGCCCACAAAATCTTCAAATTTTAGCAACTATTACAGATTTGTCCAAAATAATAAAAGTGTTTTTCTACAAAGAATACAGATGTAGTAGTTTTATTTTAGGTTTTTGAAAGTAAAAATATGGTAAACCAAGAATCATGGATCAATACATAGCCCCAGCTTTCAAATGTGATAAAATAGTAATTTTAAATTTCATTATGCTCATATACTGGGATGAATTGTTTAACAATAGCATATGTTCATTTTCTGTTTGGATTGTTTTCTATCCAGCTGTGAGAGTTCTCTTTATATTCTAAATACTAGTCCTTTGTTGGATATGTGATTTGCAAATATTTTCTCCTATTCTATAGCTTGTCTTTTTATCCATTTAGTAAGTATTTCAAAAAAGGAATTTAAAAAAATTTTGATGAGGTTCAATTTCTCATATTTCTTTCATGGATAATGCTTTTGGTGTCAACTCTAGAAACTTTTCACCTAGCCTTAGATTCCGGGATTTTTTTTGCAATTTTTTGAAATTTGTTTACATAGTCTTATTTGCAGAAACATTAACTGTTACCTCAGAGTCATTACAGCTCCATGTTTTTGACTGCTGTTTACTTTGGCACAGGAAAATCTGCTAATTCAATCAAGTATCTCTGTGAGTTTCCTATTGCTATACTGTGTTGTAACATCCCTATTATGGTACAAATTACCATAAATTTAGTTACTTAGAAAGACACATATTTATCACCATACACTTTTAAAGACCAAAAGGCCAAAAGTTGGTAGGGATGCGTCCTTTTCTGTAGTCTCTAAAGAATTTTTGTTTTTCTTGCCAATTTTGGCTTCTATAGATTGCTCACATTCTTTGGATCATATCCGTCTTCCATCTTTAAAGCAAAGAATGGGGCCGAGCGCGGTGGCTCATACCTGTAATCCCAATACTTTGGGAGGCCTAGGCAGGTAGATCACCTGAGGTCAGGAGTTTGAGACCAGCCTGGCCAACATGTTGAAACCCTCTGTGTATTAAAAATACAAAAAAATTAGCCGGGCGTGGTGGTAGGCACCTGTAATCCCAGCAAACTCAGGAGGCTGAGGCAGTAAATCGCTTGAACCCGGGAGGCAGAGGTTGCAGTGAGCCGTGATCACCTCATTGCACTCCAGCCTGGGCAACAAGAGCAAAATTCCGTCTTAAGAAGAAGAAAAAAAAAAAAGCAAAGAATAGTTATTTCTCAATTTACATACTGTAACTGACTCTCCTGCGACCTTCTCCCATTTATTATTACTCCAGTGATTACATTAAATCCCAGATAACTCAGAATACTCTTCTGATCTCAAGGTCAGCTGATTACTAACTTTAATTATATTTGCAACCTTAATTCCCTCCTACAGCATAACATAACATATTCACAGTTTCCAGGAATTAGACCATGGGCATCTCTTGTGGGCTATTTTTCTTCCTACCACAGTATCTGTAAATGTCAACAAAACTGTTGAGCAGAATTCAGTTATTTCAACTAATCTCTTGGCATTTTGTAGGAATAGACACAACAAAGAAAGATCATAATATTTTAATTTTGAAAACTTCATATGACTTTCCTTCCCACTTGAAATAAGCTTCGTCACTTGATAGCCTTAGTTTTGGTTGCTACAGAAAGATGCACTCAGAAATTTGCTAGTGTTACTCGCTTCAGCTGGGATTAATAAATAGAAAGCCTCAGCTATTATTTGTTTTTCTTCCTTTTCCTGTCCCATAATACACAGCAATTTCTAAGCAAGCAGTGGCAGAGCAACCTAGGGGAAAATGTACCTTTCTAGTGTTAAAGCTTTTCTCCCGGGAGGTTTTAACCAGAGATATGAAAACCGTACTGAGAAAGAAACACAAGGTGATAACAAAACAAGAAAAGGGCATGTTAACACTACTCCGTAAAAACAATCCTATTAACCTGAGGTGAAAATAAACCTTGGACCATGTTGCTGAATATCCAAACTCTTCTGCTTAAATGGAGTTGTCAACTATAAAACAACCTTCTAGTAATGTTAGCTACATCAAATACTACCTACTAAGATAATACATTTTAAAGAAATTCTTTTAGCATGTTGGACTGGGTTTGTCTCATTACATGCCAAGTATAATATCTACTTTATTTTACATATATTTTGAGTGTAGGAAAATGGAAAATAAAAATGATTGTCCATATATTTTTCAAAACATTTAAGGAGAAAATAAGCTTGGCCTCCATTGGTATTTAAATTTGACATCAATATTGTAATCTTAAAATTGAATTTTTTCTCGTTTTATACAAGAAACTAGGTAATTTTACTTAATAAATACCGCTATCTAATTGAACTTAGTCTATCTAATTGAACTTAGTCTATCTAATTGAACTTAGTCTACAAAAGTAGACATTTTGTAGAATCTTATCATATTGATTTCTTACATATCACCAAAAAACTGCAATACAATTAAGTTAGTTTTAAATTAAAACTGTATTTTGCAGATTTAAGTACATATTTATTAAATAAATATTTATGGAGCATTTATTATATTTCCCATTGTGGATACAGCAGAGAAAATAGCCTCTTTCTTAAAACTTATATTCTAATGAGGGAAAAACACAAATAAACCCATAATACTATACAATATTATGTGAGATTATAAAATGAAGAAATTTAAAGCATAGTAAAAAAATAGACAAGGAAGGGACATCTGTTTTCATAGTCAGCAAAGTTATCTCAGTTATAACCTTTTTATTACCTTGTTGGCATACAGCAGTCACAGACAATATGCAATTAAAATTTTTTATAAATAAGTAATATTCATTTACAAGACTCAGGCAACAGAGACACAGATAATGAACCAAAGCCTATTTTTATTCTAAAATAGTTTGTTTTATATATTAGTAAGAAGATGTTATAAAATTATACTGTAACTAGTGCACTTCAAAATATATTCTACTAAATACACAATAAAACTTCAAAATTGAAGTAATCTTAACTAGTCACAAAATTAAAACTGTCACCTATCACATTTAATTTTTGTTTTTATCTTAAAGCAGTTTTAAATATGAAAAATATTAATTTCTATGTATAATGAATCCACGACTGAGGTGTTCAGCTATTTTATTATTTTGAAAAAAAAACACAAATGCCTCAAGCTAGAATAAAAATTCAGATAGCCACCATTATTTCAAATCAACTGTGTTTTTACCCAAAGATCTAGCACTTTTAAATGGGAAAGTGAAGGATATAAATGAAAAGGAACAGTTGCAGAAGTTCAATGAAAATTGGGCAAAAGTTATGTGTTAAATCTGTATTTGAAGCTGTTGTGTTCATGCAAAGGTTTTATCCTTTCCGTGATTATCAGTTCTGTTATGAGTACACAGAAGACATATGATACAGAAATGGGTCCCCAGCTCTCATCATATCTTCCTGGAAAATTAATATAGGGTCCAATGTACTGGGCATTGAGAATACAAAAATTAATGGAAAATTCTTTTATATCAATAGCTAATAAGCTACTGATGAATTGGCAGATAGTTTTCATCTTATTTGCTTAGTTCAATCTATTTTCAATAAACACTTGGAGCTCATCATGAAAAAATTATTTCAATTCCACCCATAGTGGGGTTTCCTTTTTAAAATTATAATATCAATTATGGGTAAGGTGTTTTATATCTGTTGTATATTTGGTGAATATATATATATTTGTCTTGTGTCATCTTTACCCAACCTAGTCTATGTAGTATATGCAGTTATTTTTTTAATGTCTATATGAACTAAAATTTAAAAACTTTTTAGAAACTCACTATAGAATGATAGTGAAAGAATTTCATTTTACTGAATCAGACAACTATATTTATGAAGATTTAGGAAACAGAGAGGAGCGTGTGAAATGAGAAGAGAGACACAGATATTATTCATTGTAATTAATAACTGCCTGCAGTCTAACATGTATCCTATAAGGTGAAAATAATTTTATTGTTGTTCTTAATAAAAATGTCCAACAAATCCCTTCAGAGGTTTTATTCATACCTGAGTAAATTCTTCATAATGATTCAGTTTCATCATGTAATTAGAATGGGATTTACCATTAACATCCCAAAATTATATAATTAATTACACTCAGCTTCAATTACAATTACTAATTGATACAAGGCCTCTAGCTTAACTCCTAGAGGTAATCAATTTTACAATAGGCATTTTGAACAAGTGGTTAGATCACATTGGCCTACTAGTTCATATGAACTGGCTAATTGACAAAATTTTGTTTTGCTAAAAATCTCAAGAAAACAATACCAGGAAATTCTGCAGGCAAAATTTCTCCCAAAGTTATTTATTCATGTGATTTTCACCTGGATAAAAAAGGTTCTTTCTTTGGTTGTCAGCACTTCCAATAGTCTTAACTATGTTCTATCCTTTAAGTCCTTCTCTAGTTTTTCTCCTATTCATTTTCCTGTAAATGTAAGGTAGAATATTCTACCCAAGTTGATCTATTTATTTTTCGGGTTCTTTCATGTCATCAGTGCCAGCTGTAGTTTGCTGGAATTTCACTTATGGTATAAATAAATAATAAGAGGCGCAGAAATAAAATTTATTTTTCAGCATCCCCAAATTTCAAGGAATAATATGGTTAACCTTAATTATGGTAAAAAGGTAGATCTTTTTTTTTTCTTTTGCAGTTTTTAAGTTCCTGGGTTGAAGCATTCGATTTTGAATTTGGGGGCACTTATGTATCACTGGATATGTTTCTTACAATACAGATACCTGAACACACAGAGAATCTGATTCAGAGACCCATAGCCTGTGGAGCACAATTTTAGAAATCCTGACCTAAGATAGAAAGATATTGTTACAGGTACCAGGAATTTGAGGCCCTTCGGTAACTTCAAAATTCAAACTGACAAAATTTATCTGACTTGTATGAGCTGTGGGTTTTTATTTTACCTGCGATGCCAAAACATCACATTAGGAGAGGAACACTGTTCCTTAAGCTTGGTTAAATGATGAAAACCTTAACCAATATTTGAATAAATTCTTATTAAACCTTTTCCAGTGTATCATTTTAAAGTGTTCTCCTTAGTTCAATTATTTTTCAGCAACCCATTACCAATATGATATGAATGGGGTTGAGAAAGAAACATTGATAAACAAGAATATATAAGAAAATATTGGCCTTCAGTTCAGAAATTTGAACACGGTTTCCTTGTAGTTTTGGTTTACCCAAGTGATGAAAAAATGGTTGTCTACTAGGCAACTTAAACCTGAGACCTGCCTCAAATCACATGTATAAGAAAATAGTAATAGCATGCACAGTTAAATTAAAATGAGTATATACTTAAAATATATGTAACTTTAAAAACATTCTAAGTGTAAAGAAACATACAGATAAGAGTCACTGTGTACCTAAACCTAATTTGTAACATGTAAGTTAGAGCCACAGACTCAAAATTAAAGCCCTCAATAATATATGTACTCATAATTTGTTTTATGTTACAAATTATGCAGATATTTAATAAATATTCAGGCTTTTTGCATAAAATTGAAAGATCTCAACTATTGTAAAATACACACACACACACACACACACATATATATACACACACACACGTGTTTATATACAGCCTACATATATACTTTATAAAAAGTTTGTAAATATTTCAATATATATGTACTGTTTTTCAATAGCATTAAATTTATGGAGTATATAGAACTACATTATAAAAGTTATTTAAACATTATAATACTACTATTAGTAGATGTGTCTGTGTGTATGTGAGGATAAAATATTTCATTTAGAACTTGTTTGGGTGCGTGTGACAGGAAACCTGAAAAAATTGTCTTAAATAAAATAAAGTTACTGACTCTTATAAATGAAAACCAGGACTACAGTTATATATTCAAGTACAGCCATATTAACTGTTGAAAGAGATACATGATTTGGATTCAATATATCTGTTGACTTGACTTTCTTTACCTCAATGTGTTTACTTATTTTCTTAACCATGTGGAAGTTTGATGGTTGTAAATTCTGTTTTTAGTATCAGAGGTTAAAACCCAACAAGAGTTATTAATGATGGTTATTCTGACATTACATGTGGGATCTGAATTGTTTAATTTAGCTTGTTTTATGAACCTAGCCTTGAACCCCTTACTATGAACAGGGAAATATCATTAGGGTGAAAAAAGCAAGCCTCCTACATCAATGATAGTCTAGGATTTTCAAGGATAATGAGTAGATTTTTAGCAAGTTTAACTAAATGGGCCATTCCTTTTAAAATGTAGGAAACTTCAAAAGAAAAAAATTTTTAGAATGTTACCATATTATCTATTATAACCATTTTGAGTTTTAGAGGTTTGATAGCATCAAGTGCTATATTAAGTACAATGTTAGCTGTATGATCTGGAGTGTTGAAGAAATTATACACTAAAAAATATAAACTTGAAAATCATCAGCATAAATGTAATTTAAAGTTTGGATTAAAACATTAGGCCCTGAAATGTTTATAAGAATGTTGAAGAAGCACTAGTAAAAGAAGGCAAAGAAACAAAAACAGAGGAGTGTTAATTCCATGGATGCTGATATCAACCATTTCCTCCTCTACCGGACACATGGTAGAAATTACTTCCTGGGCCATTCTGTTGGGTGATGCTGGGTGGCTGGTTTTATCAAAGCAGCCTTGTGCCTATTTGTGAACTGTAGCATTTTGTTGGCATATGGTACTCTAAGATTCTCTCTCTCTTTCCTTCTCCCCAAGAAATAGCACCTTAATGATGCCAGTTACTCATTATAACTGCCTGGATCCATGAGTAACTCCAGTGAGCACAATTTCTCTGCTAACCAGCAATGGACAAGTAATTTGAATAAGATATAAATGTGTGTTGATATTTATAACTGTATAACCATGCCTATCCTGGCTGAAACATGCTGTGTTTCAGCTACAAATGGAAATATATTCAAAGGAGCATGTAAAAAACAGTCTATTAAAGCAAATTGAAAATCAAAACCTATCCATCAGATGGCTTATCAAAAGTTAAGTGTCAGCAATTATACAGATATAGATACTGAAGTAAAATATGAAAAGTTTAAATATTTTACATTCTTTGTTGTTTGTTTATTATTCTGGGAGATTGTTAAGAATTCTGGGAGTTATTAAATAAAAATATATTACTAATAGCTTGAAGTTTGTAGCTTTGTATTTGTTACTTATATTGTGATCAATAAGGAAAGTGCTCTTCATATAAATAACATCAAATTAAATAACAATTACAAACATTTTACCAACACTGCTTTGAGTAATCTAAAAAAAAAATCCCTCTGCAATAAGCCGGAATGGCCACTGGAGGTCAGGATTATGTTATGCCTATTGATTATTTACTTTTGGTTAGTAGTTTCCTGTAGATATCTCAAAATTTAGAAACCTATATTTTTAAAGAAAAACTTCGAGCAAAAATAAAACAGCCATATTATCTTAAGATTGTTTATGTTTAGTAAATCCAATATTTAAATTCACTTAAAACCTAACAAGATTTGTTTTATGTCTTTGACACTGAATTTCAAAGTATTCAATGGTATTTTAAAATACCCAGAGCACTTATTTTTCTTTGTTTTAATATGCCTATTTCAGTAATTTGGACATTGCCACTTTAACCAGTAGGAATATTCAAAATTGAAGTTTCTTGTTATCTGTTGAAATTACCAAATTAAGATTATTCTAAAACTGGTCAACTAATTCATAAATATAATTTGACATTTCAAAATTATTTTTAAAAAATTGTATTTGCCTTAATAGATTTATCATATTGTTTCATAGAAACTGTAAATTTTATGAATATTTCAGTATGAGTTTTTAAGAATAGTATGTGATGAATGATAAACTGATTTATCTAAATGATAGAAGTAAAAACAATGAACTTTTTTAACTAGAAAAAAATATTGAGTTAAATATATTACATTGGATTTCTGGATTTGAGACCACAGCTATTTGTAGTGCTTCATGCCATTCTCACTACCAATAAAAATGTACATTCTTTCTGAGTATATCTGCGATTTTGTTCTCTGAGCAATACTGAGTCTAAATTACCATATGATAATAAAATAGGCATTATGTACATTTTTCACCTTTTGGTGACTGGAGCTTGATCGATTCGTTTCTTTTAAAATTTCTTAGAGAAAATTGTGCTTATTAATTTTCTGAGACACTAGTTATTAAAGTATTTTATCCATATATCTTCTTTCCTTAAGTATTCAGAATATTTTATTGACTTTTAATATTTACTTAAAATGAATAAATACGTATATTAGCATAGTATATAAAGATAGCACTAGTTTATTTAAAGTTATTAAAGAAAATCTTATTAAACTTGCAGATTCAATGTAATTTTAGACAAATTTTTAATGTTTTTACTCAACTTTTTACCTTGAATTCCTCAAGTTTTCATTCACAAATTTTACTTTGAATGTATGTTTACTTGGTTAAGTAATCTGAGTAATATCACTTACAGAAATGCTCCACGTTTATACTCTACATTTAGTTTTTTTCATATGATGATGAAAGTTTTACTATAATTTGAGAAATCAACTATATATCACATGAAAGTGTCAAAATTGCCGGAATTTATATTATGTATGGAAAGTCACTTCATGTGGGATCTATATGCAAGAAGTTTGATGTGGATGGGATTCCATAAACCTTGGATATGCAGAACATCAAGGAAGTTTGTCTTGTCAGCCCTGGGTGTCCATGGAGGATGGGTTTTAGGACTGCTCACTAATACTGAAATCCAAGCATGCTCAAATCTCTCATATAAAATGGTGTGCTATTTGCATACAACTTACTCACAGCCTCCCATATACTTTAAATCATCTCTAGATTACTTATAACATCTAATACAATCTAAATGCTATGAAAAGCATTGCTATCCTATATTTTTTAAAATTGTATTTTTGTTGTATTGTTTATTTTTTAAAATATTTTTGATTTGAGGTTGGTTTAAACTTCAGATGTTGAACTCGTCGACATGAGAGACCAACCATATATAGTATCAACTGGAGTGAGGAGAAAATAATGCATTTAGAGTAACACAATTTACTTAAATTGTATTATTTCATATTTATATTACAGTCAATGTTTTTCATTTTCACTTCAGCTACCAGTATAATGGAAATACAAGGAGTATCAAACAAAAGGAATGAAGTAAGAGAAAAGGATAATGTCTTAATTTTGTGCTGCTATAACAGAATATAATAGACTGAGTAACTTACAATAAAAAGTTTTATTGGCTCACAGTTCTGGAGGTTGGGAAGTCCAATATCAAAGTGCTGGCATTTAGCAAGGGCCTTCTTGCTGCATCATAGCATGGTGGAAGGGCAAAAAGTAGTCCAGACAGAGCTAGAAAAAAGGGTGAAACCCACTCTTGGGATAACAAACCCACTATTATAATAAAGGCATTAGTCCATTATGAGGTCTTAGCCTTCATGACTTTAACACCTCTTAAAAGTCCCACCTCCTAATACTGTCATAATGGCAATTAAATTCCAACATGAGTTTTGAAGGAGACAAACATTCAAACCATAGTAGATGACAATACATTTTTAGACTACAAAACAACCAAAACTGCAACATTTCAAAAATCGAGTTAATTGTTTTACCTCTTTTTAAGGCCAAAAGGTGTAATTTTTTCCTCTTTCTTATGAAGGCATTTTATTTTCACATTTTTTTTTTTTGCAATAGACTTCCTGCCTTTAATCATGGCTTCTATGGACAGCTTGGACTTGCAATGTTACTGGTATGGCCTTGAATCAGTAATTTTTATTACAAGTGGCCCTGTTATTTAAGAGGTACCATGTATTGAGTATTAACTCCAAATACCTTAATGAGAGGATCTGATTGATCTAATCTGGAGATTAGAGATGTGGATCAGTTGGCATCTTTCCTAGAGTAATCTATTACCAGTATTTTGTATTTATATAATATAGAGTTTCTTTTTTATCATTTTTAAAGAGTTTAATGGGCTCACAGTTCTGCAGGCTTTACAGGAAATGTGGTGCTGACATGTGCTTCAGGTGAGGCCTCAGGAAACTTACAATCACGGCCAAAGGTGACAGGGATACAGCATGTCACATGTGAGAATAGGAAAAAGAAAGTGAGGTGGAGGAGGTCCCAAGCTTTTAAACAACCAGGCCTTGAATGAACTTACTGAGCAAGAACTCAGTTATCATCACGGGGATGGTGCTAAACCATTCACAAGGGATTTGTCCCCATGATCCAATCACCTCCCACCAGGGCCCACCTCCAACATTGGGAATCATATTTCAACAAGAGTTTGGAGGAGTCAAACATCCAAACTATATCATAGCCTTAATATCCATCAATAGGGGATTAGTTAAACAAATTATGGGACTATGTATTGTGGCTCACCTTATTATCCCAGCACTTTGGGAGGCCAAGGCAGGTGGATCACTGAAACCAGCCTGGGAAACATAGCAAGCCCCTATCTCTACTTAAAAAAAGGGGGTACATCAATAATCTGAGTACTATGCAGCTAAAACAAAACAAAGGAAGCTCTTTATGCACTTGTATGAAAGAATCTTCAAAATCTATTGGTATATGTAAAAAGTCAAGATGCAGAATAGTGTGTAAAGAAAGCTAGAATTTAGCCAGGTCTGGTGGCTCATGCTCATGGACCTAGCACTTTGGGAGACCTAGGCAGGAGGATTGCTTGAGGCCAGGAGTTCAAGACCAACCTAGCCAACATAGCAAAACCCCATCTCTATTAAAAGAAATAATAAAGAAAACTAAAATTTGTGTTAACAAGGGGGATAACATCAGTATGCATGTGTATATTTGATTGTATTTACATAAAACATCTCTGGAAAGATAAAGAAAAAGAACTGAGAGGCTGGGAATAGGGGTGGGAGGGACAATTTTTACAATTTGACCCTTTATACTTTTTTGGACACAGGATGTTGCTGTCGCCCAGATTGGAGTGCAGTGCCACTATCTTGGCTCACTGCAACCTCCACCCCGTGGACTCAGGTGATCCTCCCACCTCAGCCTCCCAAGTAGCTGGGACCACAGGTACATTCACAACACTTGGCTAATTTTTGTATTTTTTGTAGAGATGGGGTTTCGCCATGTTGCCCAGGCTGGTCTCAAACTCCTGAGCTCAAGTGATTTGCCCACCTTGGCCTTCCAAAGTGCATTCACAGATGTGAACCACCACGCCTGGTCCCTTTTATACTTTTTGGATTTTGATTTTTGTTTTGGTTTCTTCTTCCAAGGTTATCATATTATGTATATAGTATTATTGCCCCACTTTTACAAATAATACAACAAATGCTTAGGATGTCCAAGTAATTTTTCCAAGTAGAAGAGAGAACAGAATATATGCACTCTGGTTGTATAAACTGTTTGTTTTTGTTTTTTTCACTTTACGTTTGCTTTGTATTTTTAATTAGGAAATAATATATGTTCATAGTCACTAGGGAAACTATAATGAATAAGAAAAAGATGAAATTCTTTCTATCTTTCTCTTATCATTTTTGTAGGAGATACATACAAATAAATAATGTTGAAAACCACCAAGTATTTTGTCTTCAAATACTTTCTCCATTTTCAAACATAACTAGTGTATTCAGAACCATTAAAACCTATAATCCTTGAGAATGTCAGAAAATAAAAAGTTCATTTTTCTCATGTTAGTAAATTACAAAATAAAAAAAATCAAAATGAGGAAAGACATGCAAAGTCTTTGTAAGGAGATAAAATAGCTTCCAATTTGTCTGACTCAATTTAAATTAGATAGATTGTGTTAACATATTTAAATATTATTCTATTGTCGGGGCAACATTGATGAACAATGAACATGTAAAGTAAGCATGGCAATTTGGAGACTGTTTATTCTTGTACTGTCCAAAAGAGTGGAGCATATTATCATCCACTGACCAAGATCATTTTTGCAAATTAAATGTATTAATCAGACATATCTTCGTATCTTTGAAAATTCATACTATTTAACTTCCTTTATTTTCTTTAACACCAAGTATTGTTTCTTCATTCTTATGTAGATTTTCTTATAAAAAGACTATATTAGTATGACCTTAGTATTTAATTGCATGTTATAACATTATTTATCATTAAACTGATCACATGATGTTCAGAATTTGTAACAGTGCTCAGGAGATTATTATGGGCCAAATAATCCATTAACTTTACATACATCATCTAATTTAATCATAGTAATTAAATGAAGTAAATGTTATGTTTTCATCTTATAGCTAAAAAAATTGATCATTCAATAAGTTAAATGATTTAGGCAAGGTCAGATAGCTAGGATACAGAGAAGGAGACAGGTTTTCAAGTTAAAGTGAAAGCTGAAGAAAAATCATTCTATAGACATGCTACAGTCAGGAGTTTCAGAGATTTTTATTCAACTCATATCCCTGGGCATAAATCCCTGAAGTCTGAAGCATAATGCAATCTTTATAATTCAGAAATTCAAATAGGAACATGCTTTACTTTAAGTGTGGCATATCTCTTCCTGCAATGAGTTTGCCAAAATCAAAGTTAATGGAAGAGTTTCCCGCAAAACTGCCCTCACTTTAGACTTTAGACATCATCCACAAGTTCAGTGGTCCCAAGATAACTCTCACTTCAAACCACTGACTACAAATGTGAGGGTTCCTACAGTCATGGTAAGGTTCTATAATTTGCTAGAAAGTTACACATAAGTCACTTCAAGTACTTTACTCACTACTGCAGTTGTGCTATGGCTAAAAGATAAAAAGGAGAACCAATTAAAAAACAGAGAGAGATGCATAAGGCAAAACATGGAAGGATTCCAGGCATGGAATTTGCAGCAACTTCAGGAAACATTTCTCTCCTGACGCTAATAACCAACTGTGGAACCTCAACTGAGGTCATAGGTGTTCGGAGTTATTATTAGGTTGTATATTATAGGCACCATTGATTGAACCATTGCTCATATGACCCAGTCTTCAGCTAGAGGTCTGGCTAATATCAGGTGGCTCAAAGCCTTAGCTCTCTAATTATGTTATTGGTCTTTGTGGCATGATTGGCACATGTCCTGAGTCATATGATTAGTATAAGCTATCTAGGGTCTCATCATAAACACCTAATTAGCATAATGAGGACTCCATCATCAAAAAAAAAGACACTGTTATTACTTAGGAAATTCTAAAAATGTATATACATCTGAAGTGTATCTACATATACATCAATCTATCTCTCAAAATCAATCAATGTCTCTGTCTCACATACATACACACACAAGAGAAAGAGAGAGAGAGAGAGAGAGAGAGAAAGAGATTGATTTTAAGAAGTTGGCTTATGTGATTGTGGATGCTTGGCAAGTCCAAAATCTGTAGAGTAGGCTAGTAGGATGGAGACCCAGAAAAGACATGCATTTCAAAGGCAATCAGCTGGCAGAAACCCCTTTTCTTTCAGGGAGGTCCATTTTTTTCTAGGCTGTCAACTGATCAGATGAGACTGCTTATGAAAGGTAAACTATTTTATTCGAAGTCTACCCATCCCCATTTCATAAAACATGAAATTATCTAAAATAATGTTTGACCAAATATCTGGAAACTCTGACCCAGTCAAGTTGACAAATAAAATTAACCATAATGAGAGGCAAACTCTCAAGAACCAGAAATGGATGCTTTATTATACACTTCCTAATTTGATTGATATAAATGACATAGTGCGCAATTTTTTTCTCCTGAAATTATGCTTTTTTTCCCTAATTTATTCCCCTCGTGGGGTTCAACACATATCCAAGAAAATAAAGCAGAACAACACCTATTAATGGAATTCAATTCAGAAACACAGGAACAGAGAAACATTTGGCAGCGGCTTTGAGGGCTCCAACAAATAGCTGCTCTTTCTCATCTTAAATTCCTGACCTACAGCTTCAAAGATTGTAATATGTTGGAACAGAATGATTGACAACTTCATGTATAGGCTGAGGAGAAACAGCAGGACCCTGGCGTAGTTATAGAAAAGAGATGGCTTTAGAGGAGAAAACTGAAAAACAGAATTCAGTGTTAGAGTTTCTTTTCTCAAAAAGTAATGGGCTCTAAGAGACGGTACCAGAGTCTATATGAAAGTATCCGTGGCTTCTGACAAGCTATGGAAATGCTGAACATCTAGAGGGATCAGTTCTCTGCAGACTCTGAATGTAATCTACATATTGTTGTTTTGTAATAGATCATGTATCTTTTCTCTTTAATGAAGAATAGCTTAATACTGCATTTGCATTTATTTATGTACTTTGTTATTTAAATTTAGTAAAGACTGGCCTTAGAGTGAATCAAAATTAACCACTAAGTCAAAGTGCTAAATTGTCTGGTCTATGGCCAGATGTTCTTTGTATGTGCAGAGCAAGACATAGATATGTTTCTAAATTTTGTTATCTTTCTATTTTAATGGATTGTCTGTGATGAGAAGTCATTCGAAGAAAAATTAGATTCATGGCATTATCAAAATAGTTGCTATCCTTTGCTTGTCTATTTAAATAATAGGCATTTTCTCACATGCTTTTATACTTGGAAGATATTTATACATTAAACAAGGTAGAAGACTGTTTACTTAAGTCATGTTATTAAGTCAGTAAGTTTGTCAAATACTGTATTTCAGGGGTCCCTAACCCCCGGCCACAGACAAGTACTGGTCCATAGCCTGTTGGGAAACGGGCCTCACAGTAGAAGGCAAGTAGCCAGCATGCGAACAAAGCTTCATCTGTATTTAAAACCACTCCCCATCACAACCATTACCACCTGAGTTCGGCCTCCTATCAGATCAGCTGTGTCATTAGATTCTCATAGGCCTGCAAATCCTATTGTGGACTGCACATGTGAGGGATCTGGGTTGCATGCTCTTTATGAGAATCTAATGCCTGATGATGTGAAGTGGAGCTGAGGACGTAATGCTAGCACTGGGGAGAGACTACAAATACAGATTAACATTAGCAGAGATGTTTGACTGCACAGAGAACATACAAATCAAATGCTTGCAGATTCATATCAAAACCCTATCAGTGAATGGCAAATGACAATTAAGCTGCATCTGGTGGCTGGCTTTATAGTGGCACTTGAGTTGATGTACTTCAATTGTACAGCTGCATCTGGTGGCAGGCTTTAAGTCAGAATCTGACACTTATTCTAGTCCATGCATGGGTTGCCCATTATTTTATTTACCACTTCTGTTCATGCCTCTTTCCTTTACTGTGCACTTGTCTCAGCCACAGTTTGGGTAAGCCCACAAGCTAACCCTAGCCAAAATGAGTAAAAGCAAATGTCACTGGAGAGTTTCTTTGAAAAGAGGAAAAGACACAATGATGAGACAGCAGAAAACTCTACGGCTGACAACAAAAATACAGCTGAATTTAAAAGAAAATACCAAGTGTCCTACTTAAATTGTGGATTCATTGAAAAAGGTGATTCATATTCTGTAAACCTGCTTTGTATAATATGTGATGAGCAGTTATTTAATGAAGCCATTAAACTCTCAAAACTTCTTCACCACATGGAAACCAAGCACCCTCTATTAAAAGACAAGACTTAGGAGTTTTTCAAAAGAAAAAAAAAGTTGTGAACATGAAGAACAGAAGCAATGAAGGCCACCACTTCATCAAATGTGTCTGTACTGAGAGCATCATTCTTAGGGGCTAACTGCATTGCTAAAGCTAAGAAGGTCTTTACTGCTGGCAAAGAGCTAATCCTGCTTGCTGCTAAGGACATTTGTTGTGAAATTTTAGGAGAGGATGCAGTTCAAAAAGTGGCACGTGTTTCTCTTTTGGCTAGCATTATAACTAGACAAACTGATGAAATAGCAGAGGATATATAGGCACAATGGTTATATAGGATTAATGAGTCACTGTGGTGCACTATCCAGGTTGATGAGTCTACCGATGTTGACAAGAAGGCAACAATGCTTGGTTTTGTATGATATATTTTTCAGGAGGATGTTCACAAGGATGCGTTATGTACACTTTTGTTGCCAACCAACAACACAACTGCAGAACTCTTCAAGTTTTAAAATGATTACATATCTGGAAAACCGAATTAGTCATTTTGTGTCAGTATATGCATGGACAGAGTGACTACCATGACTGGATGGCTTTCTGCTTTCACTATTGGAGTCAAAGAGGTCGCTTCTAAATGAGTCTACACCCTGTGTCATCCATAAAGAAATACTAGCTAGCCCAAAAACGTTACCTGAACTTAACAATAGTTTGCAGGATGTGATTAAAATTATCAATCACATGAAAGTACATGCCCTTAATTCATGTCTGTTCGCAGCACAGATCTGTGAGGAGATGGACGCAGGACACACACATCTTCAACATGTAAGTGATATGGCCTTCTAAAGGTAGATCACTGGCAAGAGTTTTTGAGTTGTGAGAGTTGCTCCAAAGATTTCCTTTAGAAGAACAATTACCACTAAGAGCACATTTCAGTGACCCAGAATGGGTTGCAAAACTTGCTTATTTGTGTGACATATTTAACTGGCTCAATGAACTCAATCTGTCACTTCAGAGGAGACTGACAACTGTGTTCAAGTCAGCAGTTAAAATGGCTGCATTCAAAGCCAAACTGGAATTGTGAGGGCAACAAGTGAACATTGGGATTTCTGATGTTTCAAACACTAGCAGAGATTTTGAAAGAGAATGAGCCAGGGCTTTCTTTCTCCTAGCTGGTGCATGATCACCTATCTCAGCTTCCATAAGAGTTTGAGCATTACTTCCCAACTACACTACTTCCCTGAACTGGGAAGGAATGGATCCATGAACCATTTGCGAATAAGTCACATAAGTTGACTCACCCATACTAGAAGAGAATCAACTGCTTGACATCACAAAAGATGGTGCCTTTAAAAGTATGTTTGAGAAGACATCAAATATCCATACATTCTGGATTAAAGGCGAGGCAGAATATCTTGAGATTGCCATAAAAGCACTGAAAAGCATGCTTGCATTTCCAACATCCTATCTTTGTGAAGCAGGCTTCCCTGCAGTGACAGCAACCATAATGAGATTGCAGAGTAAACTGAACACAAGCAACACACTTCAGTGTCACTGTCTCCCATCACCCCTAGATGGGACCAACTAGCTGCCAAAAAAAAAAAAAAAAAAAACCTCAGGGCTCCCACTGATTCAACATTATGTTGAGTTATATAATTATTTCATCATATTTTACAATATAATGATAATATATATAAAGTACACAATAAATGTAATGCACTTGAATCATCCCGAAACCATCCCTCCTTGCCTTCTGTGGAAAAACTGTCTTCCACAAACTGGTCTCTGTTGCCAAAATGTTTAGGGACCACTGCTTTATACAATTTCCAGCATCATTTAAGAGATAAATTAAACCATTTAGCTACCATATTATCAAAGCAGTCAAACAAGACGTGCTCAAGAGGAATGTTTGTGTACAAATTGTGTGGGTTCAGGACAAATATGTTTAAAGTGCTTCAAAAATCTAGATGGTTTCACATTTTACTACCTTTTTTCACTATTTAACCTTTTTTCCCCATTTGTATTTTCTAAGGGTCCAGTCACATGCATAAAAAACAGAATTTAACCTTAATTTGGCCAGCACAGTTGACCAGAATAGTAGGTTAGTTAGAAAAAGTATCTAAGAACAATGTGGGACAGGTCTGATTTCATTTACAGACTTGACTTCAATATCTTTATAAAGTATCTGTTGAAAGATACTGTAGACCCCTTATAGCATACAGAGGTAACTAACTTAAGAACTACATTTCCAAGACTACCTTGCAAGTTTAGGGACATAATTTAGATTCATCCTTTCAAGATTTTGATTCAGAACCAAATTACATTGAGACAGAGAGAGATAGTACAAAACATCCATTTTAGAAAAATTACAAAAATCAATGTGCATGGTTATGAAATGACTATGGTACTTAGTCTCTGCTTCTTGATTCTGAAGCTTGTGTAGCTGGTGACAGTAGAGATTCTGGCAGTTATAGGGGGTTCTGCATTCAGGAGAGGCCCATGTCCTTTCTCATGTTTTTAGCCCCAACCTGAACCCAGATAAAAGGTGGAAAGAGAAGTAATAGGAAAAGGAGAGAATAGATATATTAATAACCTATTAATATCTTTCTTATTAATCATTGATTTAAATTAACTACACGCACACATACACACACATACAATGGAGAAATTTGTATATTGGAAGAAAATAAACATCTCCACAGTTTCCATGGACCAAATCTGTGCACCACAAAAAATAACAAATTATCACATAAGATCGTAATTTTTTCCTTTATTTTTCAGTGTAGTCTACTGTCATGAATAAGTTCATTATTTTCTGCTACGCTAAATAAGCAAACGATTTTGTCTATTTCCTATTTAAATATGAAGATATTATTATGTTAATTTGCATACAAAAAAAACCAACAAACATTTGGAGTTAGTATGACTCTCATAAGCAAATGCTAAATATAATTATTATTTCCAAGACTAAAATTGACTCAGCATGTATCTAGTTAGAGAAAGTACCTTTTTTTCTGTTTTTTTTATTTTACTTTTAAAAACATCTCTACTAAAAGGAATCATAACACTTTCTAAAAATTAGTTCTGTGATAAAATGTTCTCAGTTTTCCAAAGGAAAACTAATATGTATTATGTTTATCTTTAATGCAGTTATTGATTTAATTGTAAACAAAAAAATATAGGTTAAATAGAATGTTGGGAAACAAAATTAAAATTTGACATGATCTCAACAAGTAAAATTTGGCTTATTTATTACTTACTTATTAGTAAAATTGACTCAAAAATGAAAATTAGAGCTTAAGTAAAATAAGCAAATATACTCTTTACAATGACAAAAGGCATGATATAAATAACAAAATTCAAATGTTATCAAACTACTGCAAAATACTATTTAAATGACATTGTATTAATATGCATAGGAAATAGTTATAAGACATGTTCTCTTTACGTAGAGATTTCACAATTTTAGTTTAGGTATATGAGCACTTGAAGGCAAGTGTAATAATTAAAGCAATAAATACAAATAAAGGATCCAGAAAGAAACAGTGCATGAGCAGCTTATTCTCTGTTGTAAAAATAAAATCTCTAGGGTAGACAAGGACATTTATGGTCTGGCTGCTATGTCTTGGACCTTCTCTCTACCACTGTCCACGTACTGTACAATGTGTTCTAATTTGTGTGTGAGTCCTTAAGTAGATCAGAATTTATGCTAGTAGTACCGGTGTTTTCTGCTTAGAGTAAACTCCATCACTTTCAGCCTCCTGATTAACTTAACATTGTCTTTAAGAACTCAGCTGTGTCTAAAATCCATCTGGAGTCCTTCCCTCCAAAAACTTTAGAAAACTTTAGATCTTTAGCGGATTTCTGGCTCCAAGTGAGACACCTGTTTCCTGATTTTTTCATGGTTAGGAGTTACAGGTATCTTCTACTTGCCTGGTAGCTAGTGATTTTTCTATCATAGTATTTTGCATGACATTAAAATCTTTGGCTTACATTTATTAGATGTGTTTAAAAATTTGATACATGAAATAATTTTTTATTTTCAAATTATCTATTTCCCCACTTCCACTTCCATGAAGAGGTGGGCATTCCTGTCCTAAATTGCCCCAGAATGGCTTATGATTCTCCCCTAAAGATAAAGCTGGCTGAATTTACTTTTCTTCTTGGCATTTTATTTTGTTTTTCTAAAACCTATCTTTTTTAAAACTGGATTCTTGTAGACTGAAGGGAGAGAGGTGTGGAGGAGATCCAGGGGGGACAACTATGTGATTAGAAGCAGCAGCACCCTTGGGAAGCAGCAACGCCAATGAGAAAGTGACTGAGGCACACATAGGGAGAATGAATCTCAGGCCTAGCACCTCCTAGGGTGAGTGAATTTCACCCTAGGCCATGGGCCCTTACAAACATGCCCAATTGGCCCTGCTCCTAGCATGGCCTATAGCAGCAGATCCTGTGGACAAGGGAGCACCATGGGAGCTAACATAACGGGTATCTCATCCAAAGCCAAAATATTCCCACAACCAGTGAGACCTCCCCTATCTATCATCTCCTTTGACTAACCTTGTACGTAGAAAGTCATGGAAAAATGTGATTGAGATTGAAACTCTAGTTGCCTCTGTTTGCTAAGATTCTAATTTTAGTTGATTTACATATTTATACAATATTTAAAAACTATATTTATGCCAAATAATTGAATTCATTAATAGTTTACCTTGCTTTAGAAATTATTAAAATTGGCTGGGCACGGTGGCTCAAGCCTGTAATCCCAGCAGTTTGGGAGGATGAGGCAGGCAGATTGCCTGAGCTCAGGAGTTCGCGGCCAGCCTGGGCAACATGGTGAAACCCCGTCTCTACTAAAATACAAAAAACATTAGCCGGGCATGGTGGCATGCACCTGTAGTCCCAGCTACTTGGGAGGCTGCGGCAGGAGAATTGCTTGAACCCGGGAAGCAGAGGTTGCAGTGAGCTGAGATCGTGCCACTGCACTCCAGCCTGGGTGACAGAGCAAGACTCTGTCTCCAAAAAAAAAAAAAAAAAGAAATTATTGAAATTGCATATTAATTTATTTGGCTTTTTTTTGTCATTAAACCTTGGAAGGCAGCCATCCTGTTTTCTTTTTATCTTCTGTAATCATCATAATGCCTGACTCATAGCAGGTACTGCATCAAATGAACAAATGCAAGATAGAATAAGTCTCACGTATGTTATACAATAATTATTTACCCTGGACTTCAAAACCCTTACTGAGAGGCTAAATAACTTGAAATTACTATAAAACTACAAAAGAAGAACATTTCTGGGAGTTCAGAGAATGTCAAAAGCTCATCCATCATTTGACCTACAGCTATGTGGGGAAAGAAAGAAAGCCCACTTCTTGTGCACACACAATCAGGAGCCAAGGTAGCTTTAAGTAGATTGTCCATAAAGTTGCATAAGACAAATATCTATGCCTTAGTACATATATATACACATATGCTGCATTGTATATATTTTCCTGACAGCCATAGGCTGTAAGAAAAATACATATGATTGCTCTTGCAGGTGTTGACTATGACACTAAAATAGAGAAGCCAACTGACCCAGAGAGGAGCTAAGTCAATTGCAGAAAAGAAAACTAATACACAAATAACAATAATACAACAATAAAGCGATGAAAAAAATGTGTGAACTCATTGCAACATCTGGGGGTTATTTTCCTCACCCGAGTTGATCAAATAAAGATCATATTCCATTTGGATAGCATGAGATCTTGCCAGATAACTATTTGAGACAGCCTTTCTCCTGAGATGGTGGACAGGCTTTCGTGGCACTGGATCCAATTTTTATTCTGAGGATTCGGTCAGTCTTAACATTCTAACTAATGCCTCTTTTAATAAATTAATGCTTTTGTAAAAAAATGGTTTGTTTTATATCTTGATCTTTCATTTATCTTCTGAACTGTAACTTTTTAATATATTTAATTCAGGTTCATAAAATGTTTAGATGGTAATATATGCATGTATGTGTCTAAATATTAATAACAGCTACATAGAAATACTTCATAAAGGGAGATTATGATGTTTATTTTAAATGATTCAAGGAATAACTTGTGTATATTTTAAAATATTCTAATTGATAAAAGTTTTGTCTAAAAAATATATATTTTAGAACTAAACACTATTCATAGAATTCATTTCAAGATTTGGAAGTAAATATTTAATTTTTACAACATTTTTGAAATATTTTACAAAATAAAATTACTTTAAATGAAGTTCTTCAATCTATATGAAGATTGTTTGAAATTATTTTAAAGCTAAATCAAATAAACTAAAGATTTTTTACATATTTAGAAAATGTTGGACAAAATAGTGATCTAGAGTACAATAGTAGCCAAGAAGAATACCATGCTTAATGAAAAGAAAGACTTATAGCTCATAGTTATGTATATTTTACCTACTTTAAACTCAAATAACAAATAAAATACAGTTAACTTAATGTTAGGAATAAAATCTTTAGGCTTGCAACTAAACAAATGTGGACTGCTTCACACAGATAAATTGGATGGCTGAAGAAAAACATTATACAAAATTAATGAGCATCAAAAAGCAGAGTCTATTTTTTTAATGAAGTCAGGGGAAACTTTTCTAATCTCAGAAAACAGCAATCTAAGACGCAAAATAAGATAATACCAGCAGAGGGACAGTGTGGGTGTCCAGGCCACAGACTTTCATTTAGATAACAAGGTTTTGGAAAATTAAATTCTCTCTGGGTTATACAGGCTTTAAGTTAAAATAATATTATGCTAAATGTAAAGAAATTTGAGGTCCGAAACCATTCTACCTTTTCTAAATTGTTTATGAAGTTCAAGCATCTATAAGGAATTATTTCCTTACAGAATTTTATTAGAGTAACATCCAATTCTCTTATATTAGAATACAAAAATATACTATAGATAAAGTCCTTCAGCTGAAACCAAAGGATCTAACTCACAGCTTCAAACAGGTATATCACAATCATAATATAGCAAAACACCTTGTCCAAAACTTTGAACATCAGCATGGTGTAACTTTTTTATGAGGACAAGATGGGTTACAAGCCCAGGCTTTTTAATTTTAAAGATGTTTGATGTAGGATAACTGTATTTTCCAATATCTGCTCACCTTCTCTACCCTCAGATATGTCTTGAAGTCTATTTTGAGAAATTTAGTAGCCACAAGCCATCCACTCTTTAATCTTTTGAAAATGAAGATCAATTCCAGACTAAAAAACAGGATTACAATGAAACACTTCATTTTTCTTTCTTGTAGAATTGGAAAAAAAACTTTATATAAACTGAAACATTAGATTGGTTCTAAATATCTAATTTTCATAAATTTTTATTAGATTATTTTGTGAAAATAAGCATAAATTAAAATATCTATTCATTTATAAGTATTCATTAATTCAATCTTCACTTAGCCTTTTTATGTGCCAAATACTCTTAATTAGACATTCATAAGGGAAAACTCCCTTCAAAAAGGAATTGAAGACTGATGGAAAGCACACATACTATAACACAAACACATGTGCTTTGTCTTTTTGTGTGTATCTATTCACCACATATTTTGACACTTTGTAAGAAAAGTATGAGGACAGAAAGAGTAGCAGACTATCTTTAAACTAAGAGAGCCTGGCACTTTCTTCTCACACTTGGCTGTAAATGTTCAAGATTTTTTTTGACTACCTTATTGGGAGAATCATTGACTACAGAGCAGGAATTTACTGTTTCTATAAATTTATTATAGTCATTTTAAGAGTAAACTGAACTTACCAGTCACTCCCATAATTGTTTTCATGGAAGAAAGGTATGATGGTACTATCTACTAGGACCCCACACAAAATGATTTTCAAATCTTCATTTTTCCAAGTCTTTTGAGAACCAGCATCCATGAACTGTTTAACAAATTACAAATTATCTGGACAAGACCATATTTAAAACTACATTACATTTAAGATAATTTACTCAGTTAGGCTGGTCACTGACATGCTTTAACCTTTCAAAAGAAGGTGATTTTTTAGCATATTTTAAAATGTCTGGCATCATTTGGAGATTAAAAACCCTTCAAATAGAAATGTTCACATTTCCTCGAATTAGCAACCTTATCTTAGTATATATTTTAATTTTTATGCAAAGCAATAAATAAAATCCTTCTTTATCAACTGAATTCAGAGCCAATTAAGAGTCAGATTCAGGAGTCATCCTCATGGACATAAAAATGTTAATCTTATTATTGAAATTCACTAAGTAATTTATCAATCAGCTTATGTTAAGTACATTATGCTACAGTAACAAAGGACCTTTAAATTTTAGTAGCTTACAACAAGAAAGGTTTGTTTCTTGATCATATTACATGTCTTTATTTCTCGATTATATTATACGTCTATTGTGGTTTGGCTGGAGCACTGCTCCAATCTTCTTCATTTTTGGGTCTAGGTTACAGAGGCAGTCACATCTGAGCCCCTACACCCATCTCATGGTAGAGAAAAAAAATAATGGCAGAATCATACTATGATTCTTACGATTTCTGCTCAGAAATGGTTCATGTCACATCACACACATTTCATTGTTTAAAGCACTTTCAAACACAATATTACTAAATTTGGAGACCAGATAATTCTTTGTGATGGGGTTGGAAGAGCTATCTTGTGCATTATTATTTAGCAGCATCTTTTTTTTTTTTTTTTTTTTTTTTTTACCCACTAGATGCCAGTAACAGCCCCACAGTTGTAACGAACAAAAATGTCTGCAACATTATCAAATATTCCCTGGGGGACGAAATGTTTTCAGGTTGAGAAGTATATGTCTAAATCTAATCACTTGGCTTAGTCTGGGGAACAGTGGTATAATCTTACATAACGGAGATGTACTGTAGAAAAGAACCTGCTATGGAGTGTTCCAAAAACTAAAAGCCTGATAAGAGAGCAATGCATATTTTTACAATAATACAATCTACAAGTACATAGAGAACACACACACACACACACACACACACACAGAGAATTAGCAAATATTTGAACTTTCTGTGTGCATGATGCCTCAAACGAAAGATTGAAATTAAGTCATTCTGTTTGTGACGTCACGTGCCCCAATCATTTGCTGATGATCTGAAGATCACTGAAGGGAAGGTTATTTTATTTTTTCACAGAATGGTATAGTTTAAAAATAGTCATAAGGTGGTAAAATTGATTCTAATGCTACTCTGAACCTCAAAAAAATCCAAATGTTCATGCCATATACTATACAAGGTTTTACAATGAGACTAAATGATAAAATACAGATGCTACAAAAATAAAATCCCAACCATGAGGAGATGTCCTCTAATTTCAATACCTACCATTAGCACTGGTAAGGAGAAATTGATTATGGATCAAGCATTAAAGTACAAAAGGGACTTTAGATACCTTTATGCCGTTGAGGTAAGTTAAAAATTCTTGATTAAATAAAATCCAAACTTAAATAATATTTTTAACATGAATTAAAAAATAAAACATTTGATTACAAAAGTATTAAAGGACAAAACCATCTCTTTCATTAAAAAACAAAAAAACAAACTGCACTCATTTTAATCCTGAAGCATGCTGAATACCTAGCTCAAGGACTATAGCTTACATAGTATATCTGGAAAGTATTTAAGTCTCTTCAACATCTTTGTGTTATCCATAAGTGTTCACTGTGTCTGTCAAAACACCAAGCAAGCAAATAAGAAAGGATAGGCTTATCCTGATCTAGTATTATTAGTTCTTGTGATAAAACTATTCCTGGACAAACTATATTCGAATAACCCAGGACCTAGCATTGGCAACTACCCTGGCAGTCTTTTGGTTGTTGTTGTTTGTTTGTTTGATTGATTTGTTTGTTTGTTTTTGAGTCAGAATCTTGCTCTGTATTCTAGGCTGGAGTGCAGTGGTGTGATCTCAACTCACTGCAGCCTCCACCTCCTGGGTTCAAGAGATTTTCGTGCCTCAGCTTTCTGCATAGCTGGGACTACAGGCATATGCCACCATGCCCAGCTAATTTTTGTATTTTTAGCAGAGGCAGGGTTTCACCTGTTCATGTTGCCCAAGCTGGTCTCAAACTCCTGGACTCAAACTATCCACCTGCCTCAGCCTCCCAAAATGTTGGGAATACAGGCATTAGCCACCATGCCTGGTCTACCCTGGCTATCTTAATGGTAACTTAGAAACAGAGCCATTGGGAAAAGCCTTTTGGCTTCAGTTTTACCAGGATATCTGTCAATCTGTGTCTTGGGCTTGACCACCAGGGCATTGAAATGTAATTTTAAATATGAGAAAATGCCCATAAATAGTATATTTATGTCATATTGCTTACTAGATACAGATAAAATTTCACCTAGACATACTCTCTATACTGTATTTTTTGGTGGGTGGCATTTATGACCCTTCGAGAAAGTTAGCACTTAGTTGAGATACCTTCTCTTCAAGAATATTCAAAAATTCTTATTTTCCAAGTTCCAAGTTTTGGTTACCCCAGTGCTGAGTTGCAAGAGAGGGAGCACTCTAGTTCACCATCAAGTTGCAATACTTCTTACTATAAAAGCCGCCTGCCAAAGACACAGTGTAAAATTCAACCACACAAATTTATAAAAGTGTCCTCATGGTACAACATAATTCACTATGAATCCTGCATGAATTGAGCCTAACTAAGTCCCACTAAATCTTAAAGTCATGAATTTCCTTATATTGCCTGTGTGTTTCACTTCCTAATACCATTCTACCATTCTGTGTCTGTGCCTGTAAATTCAGAGATAAATGCAACAAAATCTAGGGCTAAAACAGGAATTTTTTTTTCTCCTAATCTGTGTTAAGCCTTGTCTTAGTTCAGGCTGCTATTGCAGAATACCAGACTGGGTGATAGAAACCACAGAAATTTATTTCTCACAGTTTTGGAGGTTGGATCTGAGGTCAGAGTGCCAGCATGGTTGAGTTCTGCTGAGATCCCACTTACTGATTCATAGACAGCTGTCTTCTCACTGTATCCTCACAGGCTAGGGGAAAAAAAAAAGGCAAAAGAGCTCAATGGAGTTTGTTTTTTTTGTTTTGTTTTGTTTTGTTTTCTTGAGACGGAGTTTCACTCTGTTGCCCAGGCTGGAGTCCAGTGGCACGATCTCGGCTCACTGCAACCTCTGCCTCTCAGGTTCAAGTGATTCTCCTGCCTCAGCCTCCCAAGTAGCTGGGGCTACAGGCACGTGTCACCATGTCCGGCTAATTTTTGTATTTTTAGTAGAGATGGTGTTTCACTATGTTAGCCAGGCTGGTCTCGAACTCCCGACTTCATGATCCGCCCGCCTCAGCCTCCCAAAATGCTGGGATTACAGGTGTGAGTCACTGCATCCAGCCTACGAGGTCTCTTTTATAAGGGTCCTAATCCCATTCTTCCATCCTCATGACCTAATTATCTCCCAAAGACTTAGCCTCCTAATACCATCACATTGAGGGTTAAGATTTCAACATATGAATTTTGGTGGAACTCATTGAGTCCATAAGAAGCCTTTATAGAAGGTCACAGAGTTCAAGCAGGTAGAATAAAAATAATTTTTTAATAATTATACACTGACACCCAGGGACTCCCACTCCTAGGGGAAGGAGGAGCACACCACATCAAGGGAACACCCTGTGGAACAAAATAATTTGGATGGCAGGCCTTGAGCTCCAGATCCTTCTGCTGGTGGAAAGCTTCTTTCAGCAGTGGCACAGTTGAAAGTGCTGGGCTCAGCAGAGGAAGCTTTCTGCTCTATCCCAACACTCAGAAACTCCTGGTGTGCATGAAGGGTCTTGGAGAAGAGGACCCTTCCATCCTGTTGTTCGGAGTTTATTGCATTTCACCCCTTTGAGTCCTGTCCTTCATGAAAATTTATCTTGCTTTTTGATCCATCGGTATTCATAGATTTTCATCTGCTTTCTTTTTATCTCTCACCCATATATCAAGAAGATATATGGCCAGGAAACGTGAAAAAATGCTTAACATCACCAATCATCAAGGAAATGCAAATTAAACCACGATGAGATACCACCTTACTTTTGCAAGAATGGCAATTATTTAAAAATCACAAAACAATAGATGTTGGTGTGGATGTGGGGAAAAGGGAACACTTATACACTGCAGAGGGCAATGAAAATTAGTACAACCTGTATGGGAAACAGCATGGAGATTCCTTAAAGTACTAAAAGTAGAACTACCATTTGATCCAGCAATCCCATTACTGGGTATCTACCCCCACAAAAAAAGAAGTAATTATATGAAGGGATACTTGCACACATATGTTTATAGGAGCAAAATTCATAACTGCAAAGACATGAAACTAACCTAAGTGCCTATGAACTAATGAGCAGATAAGGAAAATACGATAAATATACACCATGGAATACTACTCAGCCATTGAAAGGAACAAAATAATGTCAGCAGCAACATGGATGGAGCTGGAGGCCATTATTCTAAGTGAAGTAATACAGGAGTGGAAATGCAAAAACAGTATGTCCTCACTTATAAGTGGAAGCTAAGCTATGACTATGTAAAGGCATAGAGAGTGAATGATATAATAGACTTTAGAGACTCAGAATGTGGAGGGTGGGAGGAGATGAGGAATGAAGAACTATCTATTGGGTGAAATATGTACTACTTGGGTGATGGGTGCACCAAAATCAAAGAATTCACCACTATATAATTCATTTATGTAACAAAAAGCCACTTATACACAAAAAGCTATTTAAATTTGTAAAAATAAATAAATAAAATGCATACTGACAAAATCTAGGTTTGAATACATGGCTAAAGATTTAATAAGATAATTGATTATTTATGTTATACTCCTGAATAATTAGCTCCACCTAGACACAGAAAATACTAGAATGCAAAGGCTCTGTGATGGAAATCCATCCTACTAAATCTAATAAATGACCAAGAAAGAATGAGAATAGATCCTTTGTGCAAGTTGGCAGAAATAAAGGGAATGAAGGAAGGTGGGGCTGAGCTAAGTGTAATCATCTTCTCCTTATAACCACACTCTCAGTTAAGCCAATCCTCCCTTAATAGTGAGAAATAACTGTGGAATGCTGAAGGAGACCAACAGTACCACTCAGAAAAACTCCCCCACATAGAAAAATAGAGCCAGAAAATAAAAGCTCCCCTCACCAATAAGACAAATATTTTATTGAATGTTCTACTGAAATGTTTCAATGATGAGTATTAATATAATAAAAACATATGGCATAGAATAAAATTCAATCTTTAGAGAAGAAGAAAAAAGCTTCTTTTAAAATACACATGATTCTATATTATATATGGAATAAGATTAAATTGTAGTGCTTTCTGAGTGAGTTGTCCTTAGCATAAGAAATGATCAATGTTGATAAAAGTAATTGTGTGATATTTTTTAATTATATATTGCTCTTTAGATACAAATAATTAGTAATTTATATTTAGAAAATAAAACACAAATAAATTTACAATATATCTTAATAACTTCATGTGTTAGTCCCAGCTGCTGTAACAAAGTACCTTAGACTAGGTGGCTTGAACAACATTTATTTCTTACAGTTCTAGAGTCTGGACGTCTGAGATCAGGGTGCCAGCACTGTCGAGGTCACAGACTGCAGACCTCCTTGTATCTTCAAATGGAGGAAAGAGGACAAGAGAGCTCCTGTGGTCCCTTTTATCAAGGTAATAATCCTGTTCATGAGGGCTCTACTCTCATGACCTAATTGTCACCTAAATTCCCCACCTGTTACCATCTTGTTAAGGGGTAGAATTTCAACGTATGAATTTTGGGAGGACACAAACATTCAGTTCATAACATATTACAACTTTTAAATTTTCACATTAGTTTATGCTAAAATACATTATTCATATCTCAAGTAGATAATACATTTCTTTCTTCTTTCTTATAATATTTAGGAATAAAGTTTCCTTAGAAAATACTGCCTTTCACCTTTTTTCAATAGGCAGTGATTTTTATCGGCTACTTACAAAGTGGACAATAATTTTCTCTCTTTGAAGTTACAATGGAGTATCCTGTACATTCAAAGACATCACACTTTCTTATAATGATGATGTTAGAATGTAAGTTGTTATTTTAAATCACCACCAATACTATCATTCAACTAGTATTTATTTGACACAACATATATATGGCATCTTTCTAGGTATGGTAGGTTGTTAGGTTTACTGAAATATATAGCTTATGAAGGGAGAATATAAAGATGATTCAAGAAATGCAACAGAGATTTTACTTGTAGTCACTAAAAATAATAATTATGTTAATAAAAAGAAGTATATTTTATGAGATAAAGAGTAAGTTTAATTTCAACATTGAGATACTGTATTTTTCATTGTTTCCCTAGACAGGTAAGTCAAAATCAGAAATCCGTTGTTTAAAAAATACATTTTTTTCTTAAACAATGCATCTTAAGTTGCTACTCTTATTTCCAAATTATATTTAGGAAGGCTGTGGTTTTACTTATTATATTTTAATATATTTTATTTTATCCTTAAAATCCCAAATTCTAAAAATCATAAACATTCTGTTCTATACTGTAGGTTTTTAAATGCCAAAATGGTATTGGAAATGCTTCAGAATTTTAAACTAAATTAAAATTATTAGTTAACTTTAAAAAATTACCTTGAGGTTCTTATTGTCCTGGAATACATTATACAAAAAAAATCAATTAGAAAGAATGCTGTTCAAAATACATTACATAATTTTAGTGACTTACGTATGCCTTTTTTGTTGGGTATATTTATAAAATAGAAATTGTTGGGTTATAAGGTATGCATATATGGTAGATATGCCAAAGAGTTTTCCAAGCTTTCTTGAATAAATGTAGTCCACTGGCAGTGAATGAATGGTCCACATGTTCCAGAAAACATTATATCATGTCAGTTTATTTAATTTAGTCTAAAGGTTATCTTTTTTGGGTTTATTTTATTTTAATATATAGTAAAATTGACTATGATTTTGGATGTGAATTTCCATAAATTTTAGCACACATATAGCCACATATAACCAACCACACTACATCAACTCTATACCCTGACAATTACTGATCTGTTCTCCATCACTATAATTTTGTCTTTTCAAGAATATCTTGTAAATGGAATTCTTACAAATATAAAGTAAATGTTTATTTTCTGGCTATACAACTAGAATAGAATACATAAAGACAAATATGTTTTATTCCTTATTGGCGTGGTACATGGTAGCTTGCCATGGACATTTGTCATACAACTGAATAAATAAATGATGTTTGTTAGTTTATTTCAATTACGTTTTCAATTGTTTCAGTTTTAATAAAAATGAGCATTTTCACTGCTTTCATTTATTTTTTCTTTCCTCCATTATTCACTCCCTTATTCAGAAACAGTTCATTATGTATCTTACTTTCTCAAAATATTAACCTTACTTTCACTTTAAATAGTATACATGGAAACTAATATTTTGTGTGTGTTAAGTATATTGATTTACTTGAAAAATAAAAGCAATAAAAGCACCTAATATATTCTCAATATACCTACAATGCCATAAAATGTACAAATATCTTGAACTACATGTGTCTATTGAACAGAGTAATGAATTATAGCAACAAAAAAAAAATACAAAATCCAAGTAATTTAGATCCACAGAAGTAAATTATTAGTTATATATAGGTGAAAGTAAACATTTTATTTAAAGAATTAAAGTTTAAAAACAAATCTTGGCCTATTGCCAAATTGTTAGTTGGAAGTATTGTAGTGTTAGAGAATTTGAAAATCTGCTCAAATGTGTAGAAGAGTGCTTCACTTCACTTACTGCAGTCCACAGAAGTTTAAATGTGGTTAAGATACTTAGTTCAAATCAATATTTTGCTGATCCATGTGTGAAAAGGTATATTCAACTGACTCTCCTAGTAATACCAAGTAACTATTAGAATAATTCCATGGGTATGTGTGTTTCTATTTTTATTTTGTGTCTCTGAAAGCCTAGGGCATTGAATCTCTTCATTGCCTTTGTTAAACCTCATATGTAATTGAGCCTTTGTTGGAAACTCAGCCAAGTCTTAAAGATATTTCAAGCTACAACATATATTGTTACATAACTAGAAAGTGCAATAATCTCTCAGGAAACTACAGGAATTTGCATATGGCATGGACCATGACTTAATTTTATGTTAGCTAAATTCCTTATCAAATTATTTTGAGATTTTTCTTTCCAACATAAGAAAAACAATTGAAAAATGGAAAATTAGTGAAACCAGACCTGATGTTGCATTTCAGCAGGGGCCTTTGGGTAGAAAGCATGAGACTGTTTTTTTTGCTTCCTCTGCAGTCAGTGCATGAGGGGATGTTATGCCACAGTGTTTCACAAGTCTGCTGATTCTAGGAAAAAGCAAACAACCAAAAAGAATAACAGCAACAAAAATGAGTTGCTTTCCAGGCTTATACTAAAACAACATGACTTCAGCTATTACAAATACTTGAGTTTGAATTCCAGTGAGTTCACTTAGATCTATGAAGATTTTAATTATGAAAGACTAAGGATTATATTTCCCTCCCTGTTTCCTTTATCATCTAATTGCAGCATTTATTTTTCTCTACTCATCATCTACAGCTTTGTATAACATATCATTTTCTTTGTAAAACATAGTTCTCAATAGGATGCTGGATGATACAGTTTGGGATTAGGGTGGAAGAGAAAAAGGCAGGGAGAGAAAGAAAAAGGAAATGAGAGACAAGAGAAAAAAGAGAAGTGAGAAGAGAACAGGAGGAGGAAATGGCTGAAGCAAAAAACGGATGCAGCAAGAAAGGGAAAGAGAGAGGCATTAAACTTTTAGTTCATCAAACTAGAAGCTACAATAACTCAATTAGTCATGTGCAATTTTATTGAAGGGGATAAGATAAGATAAAGAACAAAGATAGATAGCAACCAATAAGAAATGTGATGTTTAAGAGAAATACGGCTTAAAACAGGACAGGCAGGCGGTATACACAGGCAAGAAAATAAAAAGGTCAAGGAGTATGTTGTAATCAATTGTTAAACACAGGGTAGGAAGAAAATACTCTGTAATACTGGTTCTACCAACAGGGGAATAAAGCCAGTTTGTGGCAAATTGTACAAGATCAATTTTAATATAACATTATATTATCTACATCATGTATTATGAGATAGTGCTTGATGCAAAATGAACTTATGGTCAGTACAGAAACTAAAGGTTCCATAGAAAATATACTTTATTTTTACATTAAATATATGTATTGGTAATAGGTTCCAGTGACATGCATATAGAAATAATATGTATTTATTGAACATGCAAAATATGTTTTATTATTTAGATATTGTATTAAAGTTTCTACAATACAGCCTAAATTAATGATATTTTCCTTAGCAGTTATTATAAAAATAAACAGTAATTGTTATATAAAAATTATTTTTCTTCATATCTCAATTTGCAACGTTCATCTATGTGAGTTTGTTAGTAAACTCTCGCAGCCTCATTTTTTAAAACGTGATAATAAAAAGATACTGCATAGAGTTATTATGAGTATTAAAGAATTTTAAAGCACTTAGGAAAATATCTGACACGTAAGGAATACACAAATATTAGATATAATTGAATATCTGTCTAAGGAGAGATAAAGAAGGGATTCTTGATATGAGATTCTTGATATGAATTCGTGTCTTTTTTTTTTTTTGTAAGTAAGCACTGTCTGTATGTTACTGTGTCTGTAATTATGTTTTTCCATGTGACTGAATGCATTCTTCAAAAGGCATTTGCAGTGATACATCCTAGTGATGGCAGCAACCGCCCGTCTGGAGCCGCGGTTGGGAAGACGTCGTCTGCAGCAAGGGAGGCGTGGTGGGGCTGTGCCTCTGTGGAGCTGGTGAGGCCGGGAACAGGCAGGCCCCCCGCCCCTATCAAGTCGCGGGGCAAGAGCCCCTCCCTCCAGATGCAACTGCAAGGGTGACTCCAGACCTATACGCCCTATGGCACTGTAGGCTCGGAAGGGCCTGCTCCCACTCCCTGGCCTGTTCCGGCTCGGGCACCCACACCACTGTAAAGCAAAGTTGTAGCTGAGCCTGGGCGTTGTGGCAACCCAGCCGAATGTGTGTGCTGGAGGAGACGCTGACATGCCAGCCTCCACTCCCACACCTCAGTCCCCGTGGGACTTTGGGCACAGACGATCAAGGGACAGAGGCTGAGGGGGGGCTGAAGCTGGTGCAGTGTAGGCTTGCAGGCGACCATTGGCATGAATAGCCTTCGTACCACAGATGACATATTGATGGAGGCAGGAGGCAGACACTTTCCTAGGCAGAAAGGGGTGAGTCCTTGGTGAGGCCCCACCTTCAAACCAGGGACAGGGAAGACTGGGGGCCAGGCCGTAGGCCGCCTGTAGTGAGAACTTACAGTGCTTTTTCCAGGCCTGCCCATGGCCACCCATGAACCAATCAGCATGCACTTCCTTCCTTCTGAAGCCATAAAAATCCTGGACTCAGCCAGACTCACACAGATTACCTGCCTGCAGATAGGAGCTACCACTGTGGTGCTTCTCTCCACTGAAGGCTACAGATGTCAGGAAGACCTGCCTGCCTAAAGGAGCTACCTACTCCGGATCTCCAGGATGATGTGCCTGCTTATAGGAGCTACTCACTCCAAATCTCCTCCTTGTTGAGGGCTGCAGACTTGACAGGACGACTGCCTGTGGATAGGAGCTACCCACTTCAGGTCTCCTAGAGTTGTACTGTTGCTCAATAAAGCACTTCTTCACCTTCCTAGCCCTTCAGTTTTCTGCATACCTCATTCTTCCTGGATGTGGGACAAGAATTTTGGTAGTACTGCAGATTCTTTTGGAAAAAAAATTCAGAAAAGTCTCAGTGGTGGTGGCTTTTCTCTGCTCCACAACTTTCAGGATTTGCCCTTGAAGACCTGAATGATTGAAAGTTGAACAATTAGATATGAAAGATTTACTTCCCAGATATCTTCTTCGGTGACATGCTGACCTCTGGATGTGTCGGCTGAGGTTTTGGATTAGTTGGGATTGTCCACAGAGCATCTAGAGGTGACCTCTTCATGTGACTGGGGCTTATCACAATATGACATCAGTATCTGAATGGATATACTATGAGAGGTATTATCCTTAGAGCTAGGTGAAAGCTGGATGCCTTATTCTCACCTAACTTCCAAAATAATGCATTATCATTTGATCATATTCTATTGATTACAAGAAGTTATAAGCCCTGCTCAGATTCAACAAGAAAGGATTTTGATGAAGGGAACAGAGTGGAAGAGTGTATTAGTTGGGAGATACTGTGATGGTGGCTAAATTTTGAAAATATAATCTGTCACACACATGGTATATGCAGAGGAATATAAATCATTCTACTATAAAGATACATGCATGTGAATGTCCACTGCAGCACTATATGACAGTTTGAGTAAGTAAAATGTGGTACATATACACATTGGAACACTATGTCCACCAGTGACAGTTTGAATAAGTAAAATGTGGTACATATACACAATGGAATACTATGCAGCCATAAAAAATGAGGTCATGTCTTGTGTGGGAACATGGCTGGAACTAGAGACTATTATCCTTATCAAATGAATGCAGGAACAGAAAACCAAATACTGCATGTTCTCACTTTTAAGTGAAAGCTGAATGATGAGAACTAATGAACACAAAGAAGGGAGCAACAGATACTGGGGTCTCCTTGAGGGTGGAGAGGGAGAGGAGGGAGAGGAGCAGAAAAGAATAACTATTGGGTTCTAGGCTTAGTACCCGGGTGATGAAGGAATCTGTGTAACAAATCCGCACAATACGAGTTTAGCTATGTAACAAACCATCCTATGTACCCACGAACCTAAAATAAAAGTTAAATAAAAACCCGGAAGATTTGTGCTATAATATGTTTTCTAATACAAACACAGAAAAGTCATTAGCCATTGCAATATTTCGTTTGTTCATATAATGTTTGGAGTGTTTGAATTGCATAATTATATTTGTTTAGGGCTCAAAGAATATATGATCCAGAATGTCGCCTTCAAGTGATCTCTTCATTTGTGGTTCCCTTATGTACTGTCAGATTGCTGGGATAGTTATTAAACCGGTGCGTAAGCACCAGTTTAATTTGATTTCTGCTAGAAAACAGTAAAGCCAGATAAAAAGTAAATGATATGGAATAATATGGCTACTAATAGAATTTTATATCATGTAGGTAAAATATTAGTTTGAGGTATAACATAAAGAAGGTCTTCCTTATTTTGTTCATTCAACAATTGTCAGTTAAGTTTCTTTACTGTCATTACAAGAATATATCAAAATATTAATAGATTTTTATTACAAAAATATATAATCTAATTTGCAACCTTACAAAAATATGTAATCTAATTTGCAACCTGCTACTTCAATAAGACATCATAGTAAAGAGGCTTAATTTTTATTAGTATGTTATGTAACTTTATAGCTTGAAAAATAAAATGAACTTGCAATTACTTAGGAGTTTTAGTGAGATCCATATACTAGTACCCATAAATATTTCTAGTCATAGAGTAATTATTCGAGCAATAAGAATTCAGTGAAGAAGCACGGGTTGAGTGGAAGGCAGAAGATGATTCCGGCTTCTTAAATATTAGATGCAACATGATGTAACTTTTAGAAGTAAGCTAATTATATTTATGATATATTTATTGCATAATAGCAAACACAATACTCAGGATTATAGGAAATTTTAAAACTCTGAAAATTTTAGTGTTTATTTTCATACTTAATAGCTACATATATTTTGATGTTATTCAGACATCAGTTGATTCTGATGCAAAATAAGAGCTAGATTTACAGACTTTCAAGGCTCCTTACATATTAAGTTTCCTTGAAAAATAACATAAAGAGGGTAATGAAAATCTCAGTCAATATAGTAAAATAATTGACATTTTCATAGCATATACTGAACACCTTTAATTGACATTTTAATGACAGATGTTGAACAGTAAACAGTTGCATCTAGACACCTTTCCACATATTTATTTATATACCTTTTTATGCATCATAGAATCACAAATAAAATAGCAGATTTAGCATTAGCCAAACCTTACTCTACGAAATAAATAATACATAGTCACTCAATATATATACATATATTATCTGTTGTCACCAAATATATGAATGTATATATACATATACACAATAGGCAGGATAGGTAGTCAAGCAAGTGACCATGTTCTCAGGATGCAGCAACTGTGTTGACCATCAACACAATCAACACAACAAGCCTCACCATTAGCATTGTAATTGAGCTCATTCAAGCAAAGCTATCTTCAGTAGACTTTCCCTGCTAGACAGCATGAGCACTTTGATTTTACCTGTCCTCAAACTGACCCTTTACTCAATATCATAGTAAAAAACCCACTTCTGGGTGGAGATTTAATATGCTAGCTAGACATGCCATGTATGAACAAGCATGTACAGCTACTGTGCATGTGCACCCATAGGACCACCTAGAACATGTTTATGACCAATGCCACTTTCCACCTCCTTACGAATAATCATGTAAGACTCCCATAAAGAAAGTCTTCCTACTTCCAGTCTTTGCTGTCTTGACCTTATGAGCAGCCTGCCCTGAATTCCCTCTCTCAGATTGTACTGTCTATTTTGCACCTCACTTTCAAAATATTCTCTTTCTTTCACAATAAAATACTCTATGCTGCATCTCCTTTGCCGTGTATCTCTTGTTTAAATTCTTTTAAACTAAGAAAACAAGAACCGAGGTATCACATCAGCATTTCTAGTGCTGCGACCCAGATAGAGGTTCATCTGCTTCATTGATTTCAGTCTCCCTTCACCCGTGATGGGTACTATGGCAGTACCAGGCTACCTGGTTGACTATCACTGCTTTTCCTAGCTTTATTTCATTTAGGTTTCTGAGGAGGACCTTTTAAATAACTCACATTCTCCGTGCAAGTAATTGTGATTGCTTTCCATTTTGCTGCTACTTTGGCAATGTTAATAATTACCTTATTCAGATGAAATGTCCTGATTATTAAGCCTTTGGATTCTTTTGCTGTTTTTATCTCACTGTTTGTTTTGCTGTCCCTCTCAGGACCATGCCTGACCAGTAATAATTGGCCACTGTAACTTGTTTGTTAAACAAGTAATCTCTTCAAAGATTTTTGATCACCTTGACACTTTAAATCTAATTTTGCTAACAGTGCCCTGTGTCCCTCCAGGCTCTATGTGTTCTGAGACTCCTTTGGGAGACTTTGCAAGAGGCCATCCATGTTGAGCATCGGATGCATGTCCACATAGATGCACAGTCATGGTGACTACACCCATGCATTCAAAGCATTATAATTGGGCGTCAAAAATGGCAGATCGGTGAAGTAAGGGAAGGCTTATTGACGAGTCATCAGGGACCCCCAGCCGGGGGCAGAGGCCATCTCAGTTGGGCCTGGAGATGGCCAGCACTGAGAGACCCAGGACGATGCATGGCAAACACCCATGACCCCCTAGGGCCTTGGTTTAATGGAGTTTCAAAGGGACGCCCTGGACCGCTTCGTGGTTCAGCTTGGCTCATGGGTATGCCCATGGTCTGCTGGATTTCAGTATATGTTTCTGACTTTGAAGGATTCTTTAGCATCTAGGAGCCACCTCTCTACTCTCACTGAAACACTTCTAGGGTGTATATCAAAAACTGGAATATTTTTAAGCCATATAAATTAAAAGATAATTAAAATGTGGCCAAAGAATAAAACTCTTGATACCATCCTCACCACTTTAAGGCTTGGGGTTTTATTTTCCATCCCTGAGTCTTTCCCTTTCCTCTCATTCTTTCACTTACTTATAAATCTCCAGAACAATCCCCCTCAACCATCGTGACTTTACTCCCTCCTGCTGATTTCTCAGTTCATCTTGATGGGTGATTAACGGAGGAGGGAGGACTTTGAAGTCCACACAAAGTAGATCTAGGTCACTGTCGCCTTCCCTGAGAGGAGGCATGTGAGGGTGGCAGGGCTTAAGCCCAGGCCATGCAATGTCTAGAGACCTTCATTTTTCCCTAGTAATAACCATCCTGTTGTTCGGAGTTTATTGCATTTCACCCCTTTGAGTCCTGTCCTTCATGAAAATTTATCTTGCTTTTTGATCCATCGGTATTCATAGATTTTCATCTGCTTTCTTTTTATCTCTCACCCATAAGGCTATAAAGAGTTGTCCTAAAGGTTCTTTCTGCTGTGTGTGTCGGGACTCTTCTGCCTTTGACTAGGGCAGAGGGAATTTTGTCTTTACACAGAAGAAAACTGTAATTGCTGGGTAAAACACATTTTCTGCCAAATTCCCTACATGGAATCTAGAAAGCCTAATGGACATAGCTACTTATTCCTCCTAAGCTGTTATTTTAAGACCAAAATTAAAACATGAATGCCACATATGTAAGGTTGGCCATTACTAACCTTAAAAAAAGATAAATAAATGCTCCATAATTAGGCTTATTCAACATAGCAGGGTCCCAAACAATGCTGTTTTTCTATCAGGCCTTTTATAAAAACAAAGAAGGATGATCAGAAGCTCCCCAAGGGCCCAGGGGAACCTGACATTATTCCTTCCTCTAACCAAACATCTCTATACTGACAAGTCTCTTAAAGGCCAATACCAAATATATAATGCCCATGTTATTCAAAAAAGTTCAGGAGAACGTAACATAATCAATCACTCTATATTAAGAAATTTGCCTCCCACCAACAACTTTATTTTATTAAAATCTAGTCCAGGGTTGCTTTTTAAACCTCTCAAGCTTCTACTCTTTCTAGTAGTCCTTTGTCACTTGATGCACAGTCTCCTGTACATCTTCCACATCAGCTTGTTCACCAAACACTCCCTGAAGATCTCAGTCCTGTTGGAACAACTCGTAGCAGAGTATCCTATTATCCGCCAAAACAACAATAGCAACAACAACAACAACAACAACAACACTGCTCTCTTGGGAGGATAAAAATTATAGAGACAGATTCAATCATAGAAACCTACTCATTAGTCAGCCTGCCTCAGGTATTAGAAAAAAAGTCACAAAAACTAGCCAAAGGTGCCAAAACTCCAATAAATGAACTACTAAAAACAGCTTTTGGAGTCTTCATTAACCAAGATAGAATGAAAAAACACACAGATGAAAGAGGAAAAGAGAGGCAAAAGACAGATCCTGTTGTTGGCTCTCATTACGCAAAAACTCCCACTTCCAGGTCATCCTGGGCAGAACCTAAAGAGCTATTGCCACATTTATAAAAAGCTGGGACACTGCCACCAAATAACTCACAAAGGCCTTTAAGCTTGCAAACTTTCTGGAGCCTATCATCGATGAGACAAAGAAGGGCACTGAAAGAAGGACTGTCCTCAGCTCTAAAGAGAGGACGGGACTCCTAATTCCTTATTGTCTCTGGCTAAATCCTAAAGAGGCCCAAGGCAGACAATGACTGCCATGCGGCAATTAGTCCCAGTCACAGCAACAGAGCCTTGGTTGCTCTTGGATATGACAAAAATATTATTTTTCATTTAAACATAGAGGCTGGCCTATCAGCCTTCACTTTCTGCCCTGGACCTCTGCCTGCCAAACACTGCACTGTCATCGGTGTTAATAGCACACCCCAAACTAGGATTTTCACTCTACCCCACAGCTGACCAACTTCAGCTGCAGTAAAACCTAGGGGTGTGGGGTCTTGGGTGCTCTTAACAAAAATACAAAGTTATTCCTTTTTAGTTATCACAGAAACCCACAACACAGACTCCAAGCTATTCCTGTGAAGCTCTGGAGGATCTAGAGCTCCTGTTCAAGAAACAGCCAGCACTCCAAACATCAAACAATTACTATTGCCTAAGCACCAGCTTCTATTCCAGAAAACAACTTGCAGTGAGACCACCTTAAAAGATAAGTAATGTTCTTATTTTTCTCTTATTTACTCACTCATTGCATTTTAGGTATTCTTGGCTAGCTTATTAAAATTAATCCATACTTGCTGGCTTTGCATGACTACTGAAAGTTGAAAATATACCAAATCTGTGCCTCAAGAAAACTGGGCCAAAACTTCTATACACCTCTTGGTACAAACCCATTGGCCCATAATATGGGAATATCTGATTAAACGAGCAATACAAAGAGACTTTCTTGGAACTGGCTATAGCCAGTTCAACTTTCCACTTTTAACTCTTCATAATAGCTCCACTCTGCCAAAGGGAATATTGCTTTCTTACCTTACCTTTTATCTGCAGCAATTCCCCTTCTGTTTTTATAGCAACAATGCCAGTTCCACTACCTTTATAGAAAAACTCCAAGCGACAGTCAGTGTAACCAAATATTTGTCAGTGAGTCATCTATACACCTTATGATGAGACCCTAAAAGGGGGATATTATTGTTAAAAAAATACTTATTAACACCACCACCCAACTCTACTACCCTCTGATAAACCCATGGCCACCAAACTTCTATTACTTTTACTATCTTAATGCGAAATACTTTTGCAGCACAAATTTCAGCATCACATGGAATTTTTGGGGGTTTGTGAGATCTTTGGCATATCTACAACTTCCTCTACCATGCAAGGGGAGATGCTCCATTGCTTACATTTCTCCTTATTTAACTTTCACATGTATTAAAGCATCTCTCCCTTGCCCCATGTACTAATATCACAAGATCCACCTCTGAGCAGGACCATTTGTTCCTTTGGGGTAAGTACTATCTTCTCCTCTGGGACTAACCCAGTCAGCCATGGGAGGCAGAGCATAAGCATCTTGCAGAAATAAAACAGTCTCAGAAGACCACAGTGGCCCTCCAAAAAGTAGCTAAGGATCTCACTGGACTTCAAACAACTGCTAGACTCCCTGGCCACTGCAGTCCTACAGAACCAAAGAGCCTTAGGTCTTCTCAGAGACGGGCAAGGAGTACCATGTTTGTATCTAAAAGAAGAATGCTGTTTTTCTATCAATCAGTCTGGTTTTGTCCAAGAAAATGTGAAAAATGTCATTACCTATGCGGACAAAATTGAGTCTTTAGGAAGGTCTATGGGAACTTGGAAGCAATGGTTATTGCCTGCCTTGCTCCCTTTAGTGGTATTAGTCAATACCATACTTTTAGCTTTAACTTTTGGTCCAACTTTGTTTACAATGTTAACCATTTCTTGCTCTCTCGCTTACAGCAACTCCACTCCTGCATGATGGTTTTGCAAGGGCTTTCAACCTCTGGCTGCCAGTATTTTACCCACTAGTCCCATAGACAACATGGTTTATATTCCATTAGATCAGGCAGGAAGAGACTTTAGGGCCTAGGGTGGGCAGGGTCGGTGCCCCACTCAGGAGGAGGCAGCTTCAGACGACATTACCTAGCCCCTCAACTTCCCGTATAATCATAATCCCTAAGATCTCTTAGGGGGAGACTGGGGCAGGATAGGTAGTCAAAGAAGTGACCATGTTCTCAGGACACAGCTACCGTGGTGACCTTACGATCAACACAATAAGCCTCAACATTCGCATTTTAATTGAGCTTATTCAAGCAAAGCTATCTTCAGTAGGGACTTTCACCTCTACAGGGCAGGAACACTTTGATTTCACCTGTCCTCAAACTGACCCTTTGCTCATCAAATAGTAAAAAACCCACTCCTGGGTGGAGATTTAAGATGCTAATGAAACATGCTATGTATAAACAAGCATGTACAGCTACTGTACAAGTGCACCCAGAGGACCACCTAGAACATGCTTACTAGCAATGCCACTTTCCACCTCCTTATGAACAATTTTGTAAGACTCCCAGAGAGGGAGTCTCCCTAGTGCCGGTCTTTGCTGCCTCACTTTTACAAGCAGCCTGCCCTGGAATCTCTCTCTTGGGGTGTGCTGTCTATTCTGCACCTCACTTTCAAAATATCCTTTTTCTTTTGCAATAAAATACTCTATGCTGCATCTCCTTTGCAGTGTTTCTCTTGTTTAAATTCTTTTCAATTAAGAAGACAAGAACTGAAGTATCACATCAGCCATCAACACACACATACACACACACACACACATATATAGTCACCAAATATATTTGGAGGATGAAATAATCTGTATAACAAACCTTCATGACATGAGTTTGCATATATAGCAAACCTTCACATGTATCCCTGAACTTAAAATAAAAATTAAAAAAAGCCAAAAGATCTGTGCTGTAATATTTGTTGAATATATATTTAAAATGAATATGTATAATTTTAACTTGCAATTTTTCAAATATATATATATATAACATTTGGGAGAGTTTGTGTTGAAAGCGGATAAGTAAAATTAAATTAAACTATTAACCATAACTTTTTTGTTCTTCGTATTTTATGGGTAACGCATTTCTTTGAAACAATTTTCTATTCTTATTCCTTTTCAGGAAGCCCATTTAACATTTATCTAAATAAGACAAATAAGTAGAAACTGCTTAGAATTAACAGATAAAAACCTAGAACCTGGCAAATTCATGCTTTACTTAGAGATCCAAATAACTGGTTTCTGTAAAATCTCTAGAATCTCACTAATATAATCTGAAATTTTAAAGTTAAGCCTTATTTTTATAGCATCATATATTAAGATGAAACTATGTCTTAGATTAAATTAGAGAAGGTCATTAAACTAGAAAAAACACTTAAAAGTGATACAGTGATATACAATGTTAAATGTGGGAAAAAATATCACCTGAGTGCTGAGGCCTAATTCTCTAAAATGTAGAAATACGGTGATTTAGAAGATAGTTTTCTCAAGGTTGTGATTTCAGAAGAATTGATTGCATTTCCTAAAAAGACTGAGTAATATTTTCACAAATTGTAATTTTTGGAAGTTGAGTAAAGGTCTGGATTTGGTGCTTTTTATAATAAAAGTAATTTGCAAAGAATATATACATTTAAATAAAAAATCACCTATAAATAGATTAATTATTAATCACCCATCACCTACAAACATCCACTAGTAGTCACTAAGTGAATGGGACATAGCAGTAAGATGTTTTGATGGAGGCTAAGGAGTTGAATTTGATAGGTATGAAGAGAGGCCCATTTTTAGCTAGGTATGGGTATACCCAGAGTCAAATGGAGAATATCTAAATTGTGGTGCTGAGGATACTGTAATTTAAGTTAAAGTTATTAAAGACAGTTGAAGCCTACTCATAAGATTTTCTCAAATTACCCTTTTGAGATAACATAGTCATTTAAATATTTTTCAAATTTAAAATATGGTATATTTTTGTAGTTTATAATTATGTTTTTCCCATTGTTTGAAAAGTTTATGCACTAGATTTTTATAGTAAAAGGAATTTGCATTGAGTGAAAAAATAAAGCATGTGAATATAGAGATAAAATATTCAAGAATTCTTTCAAATGTTGCTTGGTAAAACTGCATGTTTAATTTTAGCACTACAAATATTAATATGATTACCATCTACTTTTATCTTTTTACGAATTCAATAAATACCAAATACACCCATATTTTCTTAAAAAAAAGCATTCCTTGAGGAAAACCATGCTCTCTCTCTCTCTGCATATATATATTTTTTTAACTTAAAATATTTAACTTTTTAACTTAAAAATATGTATAACTATATATAATATATAGAAGTTAAAAAGCTAAATATATATTTGTTTATTATATATTTATTCATATTTATATTTATTATTTATATTTTAATATATATTTATTTTTATATGTACTATATTATATATATATATGTAAAAAAACTTGTGTACTGCAGAAGAGGATATGTCCTGTGACATGAAATTCTAAAAGATTTTAAAACATTGTCCTTCATATCCTTAGGGTAGAAAATATTTTCCTTATGTAAAATATATGCATTTGTTCAGCCTTGGAAGAAGATTGAAAGGAAAAAAATGCTGTACCACTTTAATTCTCCCATATTTATCTATTTTTGGCTTCTGTCTCAAGAATAAAGCTTAGTACATTTTAGAGAAACTGGTAAGACAGGTGTCTGCAAAATTTTTATCAACTTACTTGGCTTCAATATATAACCTCATAACATGTACATTTATTCACAAATATGTATGACTATTAATATAGTATTTATCTAACTCGTTCAGGAAAATATGAATTATAAAGAAGGAAATAAAATCAATATAAGCAAGTGTTCCAATATACTTTTTACATGCTAATAGATTACTATACACTCTCCAAGGTAGATATCTCCCTTTGGAGACTCTGCACAAGAATATGCTCAGTGAACAAAGTGAATCAAATTGTCTTGTTCACTATCATATACTTAAATATTTATATTCATATAGAGCGCATTTTATGTGACAAGTAGTGCATAGAATAAATGTATTTGAATTTAATTCAATTGGTTAATTAGTACTAAGGAGCAGAACTTTTAAACCTATTGGTAATTCTTTGCAGGATTTATCCCAGGATTCAATCTCAAGTTTCCTCTATCATTGCTCCCATGTATCTGAGCAATAAACAATGTCTTAATTCTGTAAGTTTCTTTAAACACATACACATACAGGCAGTCATGGCTTCAGACATTATATATATCCTGTTATACTTTTCTCTTGTCAGCGGACTCTGCCTTTACTAAGATTTTTGCAGGGATAGTATCTACAAAATTACCACTCACTATTTAGTAGGAAATACCTAATGCCCAAAGCTTTAGATTAACATTTATTATTATCCATTTCTGACCTCCCACATTTCTTCTTGAGTTCAGTCCACATCCATGTATAGATCTGATGCTCTAGCCACAGTGACAATTTTATTGTTGTTCAACTTAATAAATCTGCACTTTTGCTCAGCTCTTTTCTTTCCTCTCATTATTCTTTTTTCCATTCATCTCTTCTTCAGTGCTAGCTCAGATCCCACACTATCAGAAATCAGATATCCTGCATCGATCCTTATTTTCTTTTTGTAAAATTATTTTCATTTTGTTTAAATATACATAACATGGAATTTGCCATTTTAACCTTTTTTTTTTTTCTTTTTGAGATAGAGTCTTTCTCTGTCACCCAGGCTGAAGTGCAGCAGCGTGATCTCTGCCCACTGCAAGCTCCACCTCCTGGGTTCAAGCAATTCTCCTGCCTCAGCCTCCCGAGTAGCTGGGATTATAAGCACACGCCACTACGCCCAGATAATTTTTGTATTTTTAGTAGAGACGGGGTTTCACCATGTTGGTTAGGCCGATCTCGATCTCCTGACCTTGTGATCTGCCGGCCTCAGCCTCCCAAACTGCTGGGATTACAGGCATCAGCCACTGTGCCCAGCCCATTTTGACCATTTTTAAGTGTACAATTCAGTGGCATTAAGTGTACTGACATTCTTGTGCAATCACCATCACCACTATCTTTTTTATTATCCACAACTGAAACTCTGTACCCATTAGACAATCACTCTGTTATCTCTTCTACCATCCCCATGTAGCCACTATTATACTTTCTGTCTCTATGAATGAAATTGTTCTGGGTACCTCATATAAATGAAATCACATGTTATTTATCCTTTTTGCATCTAGCATATCACTTAACATGTTTTCAAGGTTCACATCTGCTGTAGCATATATCAGAATTTGATTCCTTTTTAAGGCTGAGCAATATTCTATTGTGCATATACACCAAATTTTGTTTATCCATTCATCTGTTGATTGACAATTGAGTTATTTCCACATTGCAGCTATTGTGAGTAATGCTGCCATGAAATACTGATGTACAAATCACTGTTCAAGTTTCTATTTTCAATTTTAAGTACTTACCTAAAAGTGGGAATTTTAGATCATAGGGTAACTCTATAATTTTTTGAAAAACCATCATACTGTTTTTCACAGCAGCTGCACATTTTACATCCGTCCCCACCAGCAATACACAAAGATTCCAATTTCTCCACATCCCCATCAGCACTTGCTATTTCTTCTTCTTTTAAAAAATAGACTAGCCGTCTTAATAGGTATAAGTGAGAAACAATGGATACTTCCTTAAAAAAACAACTTAAAATAACACTTCCATCCTCTTATTTCACAATTATCTGTTTATGTTTTTAATGATATATTGTAGTTGGTCTGGAGATAACTTAGCACTTTTCTGCCTGTCTGAATCTATTAAAATATTTGAGAGAGTGAGGATTATGCTTAGACTTACTCTCTCCCTCTGCACACCACATTTTTTATAATAAGCACTTGATATATGTTCATAGGATATTCACTGTATTTCTACATTATCCATTTTAAATTGGGCTTGTTTGACACTTGAAAATATTAGGCAATATATTGTGATACAGTTGACAGAATTTCTTTAAAATCACATTATTTCTGCTTATTATTCTGACTCATAGAAGCACTTTAAATTAACCTATACAATTTTAGATTTCCTTATAAATAGCATGTATCGATTAATTTTATCATTGTTGGGACATTTACAATATTTGTAGGTACATGAGTTTAACTGCTTATTATTTTGTCAGTATTGCTATCTATCTACATTTATATGATGAAGGCACTTTATATGCATTAATTAAAATTTAAAATATCTCTCTAAGTAGGTATATGTTGCTTAACATTTTTAAAATATTGTGTATCTTACTAAATTTAGTAGTTTTCCCTGAGGCTTCTATTCACATTCTCCCTCATATTTAAAATTCTAACAGGGCTCTTTGAAATCTATAAAAAGATAAATTATAAATGGCTCATTAGATCTTCTTTGACAGTAAGAAACCTAATATAGGATTGAAAATGTGGATGAAACAGAGCACTTAGTACCGTGTACTCACTGGCTCTGACAGACATAAGAAAGGTGAAATATAAAGCTTCCTCTAAAGTCAATATGTTGACTGAATGTTATGATGGTGTAGACTAATCTTTAGTTTATGTCAATATATCAAAATCCACTTGGAATGAGATTTACATGATTAAACCATAGCTTACATAAAAGTTACATTTAAAAACAAAAGTTATATTAAATAGTATAAAGCTACTTTTCTTGAAGGTTCTAAATATTCCAGAATGGCATTATTCTAACAGTGTGCTCACTGTAATATATAACAAAGGAGAATGAATTCATTATAGAAGACTATAGAGCCATAATTTCTATGTTAATAAATGGCTGATAGGTCATTACTGTGAGCAAATTAGAGGAAAGCTTAAACAGTCAGTTTGTCCATTTTAAGGATGCCCAAATACAAAATAATAAATAAAAATACAAATTAAAAAAATAACCATTATTGAGATTGGAGTTCACATTTAGAAATCCTGGAGGTTAAACATATGGTTGAGTAAACCACGCTTTAGAAATATAATAAATTGGCCAGGTGTGGTGGCTCACAGCTGTAATCCCAACACTTTGGGAGGCCAAGGTGGGCAGACCACCTGAGATCAGGAGTTGGAGACCAGCCTGGCTAACATGGTGAAACCCTGTCTACTAAAAATACAAAAATTAGCTGGGTGTGGTGGTAGGCGCCTGTAATTCCAGGTACTTGGGAGGCTGAGGCAGGAGAATTGCTTGAGCCTGGGAGGTGGAGGTTGCAGTGAGCAGAGATGGAGCCACTGCACTCCAGCCTGGGAGATAGAGTGAGACTCTGTCTCACTCAATAAAAAAAAAAAAGCAAACTATTGCAAGGACAAAAAACCAAACACCGCATGTTCTCACTCATAGGTGGGAATTGAACAATGAGAACACATGGACACAGGAAGGGGAACATCACACACTGGGGACTGTTGTGGGGTGGGGGGAGTGTGGAGGGATAGCATTAGGAGATATACCTAATGTAAATGATGAATTAATGGGTGCAGCACACCAACATGGCAGATGTGTACATATGTAGCAAACCTGCACGTTGTGCACATGTACCCTAAAACTTAAAGTACAATAATAATTTAAAAAAGGAAAGAGAGAAAGAGAAAAAGAGAGAAAGAGAAAGGAAGAAAAAGAAAGAAAGAAGGAAAGGAAGAGAAAGAAAGAAAGAAGAAAGAAAGAAAGAAAAAGAGAGAGAAAGAAAGAAAGAAAGGAAAAGAAATACAACAAATGTTTCCATCTGACAACATTGTTTAGGTTGAATTGATGTTTTTAGTTAACTCCAAACTGTGACAGAATTATACTCTGCACTTGCAGATTCAAGGAAGTAGGTAATCATTCTCATTCATGGATAGATTAACGAGGAAACATAAACAAATTTTTATTGTACATGATGAAAACTATGACTTGAATGTTTTAAAATAAGTTTAGAAGGTAAAACTAAAACTTTTTGAAGAAAACATAGCAGTACATATCCACGACCTTAGATTAGGCAATGCTTTCTTAGGTACAGGACAGACACATACAAACATACATTTGGTGCTATTAGGTTGGTGCAAGAAAATGATTGTGGTTTTTTGCCATTACCTTGGCAAAAACAGCAATTACTTTTGCACCAATGTAATCCAAACAATACAATTAAGAAAGTGAGCCTGGGTGCAGTGACTCATGCCTGTAGTCACAGCAATTTGGGAGGCTGAGGAGGGAGGATCCCTTGAAACCAGTAATTCAGGACCAGCCAAGGACACAGCAAAATATTGTTGCCACAAACACACAAATACAAATGAAATTAGCTAGACATCATGATACATGCCTGTAGCCCTGGAGACCCAGCTACTCGGGAGGCTAAAGTAGAAGGATTTCATGAGCCCAGGAGGTCGAGGCTGCAGTGAGTTATGATTGTACCGCACCTCTGCACTCCAGCCTTAGCGACAGAAGGAAGACACTGTCTCAAAAAAAAAAAAAAAAAAAAAAAAAGAAAGAGAAAAAAAGTAAAAAGACAACGTGCAGAATGAGAAAATATTTGTGACTCATATGTTTGACACTGAATTGTTTCCCAGAATCAATAAATAATTGTTGCAACTCAATAATAAAAACAAATAACTCATTCATGATTTGGCTCTCTGCTTGTCCATTGTTGGTGTATAGGAATACTTGTGATTTTTGCACATTGATTTTGTATCCTGACATTTTGCTGAAGTAGCTTACCAGCTTAAGGAGTTTTTGGGCTGAGACCACAGGGTTTTGTAAATACACAATCATGTCATCTGCAAACAGAGACAATTTGACATTTTCTCTTCCTATTTGAATATGCTTTATTTCTTTCTCTGGCCTGATTACCCTGGCCAGAACTTCTATGTTGAATAAGAGTGGTAATCAAGGGCATCCTTGTCTTGTGCCAGTTTTCAAAGGGAATGCTTCCAGCTTTTGCCCATTCAGTATGATTGGCTGTGGGTTTGTCATAAATAGCTCTTATTATTTTGAGATATGTTCCATGAATACCTCATTTATTGAGAGTTTTTAACATAAATTTTATCAAAGGCCTTTTCTGCAATTATTGAGATGATCATGTGGTTTTTGTCGTTGGTTCTGCTTATGTGATAGATTATGATTATTGATTTGAATATGTTAAACCAGTCTTCATCTCAGGGATGAAATCGACTTGATCATGGTAGGTAAGCTTTTTGATGTGCTGCTGGATTTGATTTGCCAGTATTTTATTGAGGATTTTCGCATCGATGTTTATTAGGGATATTGGCCTGAAGTTTTCTTTTTTGTTCTGTTTCTCCCAGGTTTGGGCATCAGGATGATACTGGCCACATAAAATAAGTTAGGAAGGAGTCCCTCCTTTTCATTTGTTTGGAATAATTTCAGAAGGAATGGTACCAGTTCCTCCTTGTATCTCTGGTAGAATTTGGCTGTGAATCCGTCTGGTCCTGGGCTCTTTTTGGTTGGTAGGCTGTTAATTACTTCCTCAATTTTAGAACTTGTAATTGATCTATTCAGGGATTCAACTTATTCTTGACTTAGTCTTGGGAATGTGTATGTATCCAGGAATATATCCATTTCTTCTAGATTTGTGTAGCTTATTTGTGTAGACGTGTTTATAATATTCTCTGATGGTAGTCTATATTTGTGCGGGGTCAGTGGTGGCATCTCCTTTATCATTTTTTATTGTGTCTATTTGATTCTTCTCTCTTTTCTTCTTTATTTGTCCAGCTAGTGGTCTATCTATTTTGTTAGATTTAAAAAAAAAAAACAGCTCCGGGATTCACTGAATATTTTTGAAGGGTTTTTGTGTCTCTATCTCCTTCAGTTCTTCTCTGATCTTAGTGATTTCTTGTCTTCTGCTAGCTTTTGGATTTGTTTGCCCTTGCTTCTCTAGCTCTTTTAGTGGTGATGTTAGGCTGTCGACTTGAGATCTTTCCAGCTTTCAGATGTGGGCATTTAGTGCTATACATTTCCCTCTTAACACTGCTTTAGCTGTGGCCCAGAGATTCTGGTACATTGTCTTTTTGTTCTCATTGGTTTCAAAGAACTTCTTGATTTCTGCCTTAATTTTATTGTTTACCCAGTAGTCATTCAGGAGGAGGTTGTTCAATTTCCATGTAGTTGTATGATTTGAGTGAGTTCCTTAATCCTGAGTTCTAATTTGATTGCACTGTGATATGAGAGATTGTTTGGTACGATATCCATTCTTTTGCATTTGCTGAGGAGTATTTTACTTCCAATTATGTGGTTGACTTTAGAATAAGTGCCATGTGTCCCAGAAATTAAAGTAAAATTAAAGAAAAAAAAAGGAAAAGAAAAAATATAACTCAATTAAATTGGGCAATGGATTTAAATATTTATTCCAAAAATGTACAAATATCCAATAAAAATATAGTAAGATTCACCATGTCAATAGTCATTAGGGAAATGCAAATTAAAATCATGAAAAGATACTACTTCATGTCTGCTACATATCTATAACAAAAAAGATAGATAATAACAAGTGTCGGCAAGAATGTGGAGAATTTATATATTTCATTTATCATACCACACTTTGCTGGTGGGAATGTAATACAGCTGCTTTGGAAACAGTTTAATGGTCACTTAAAATATTAAACATATACATAACACAGGACCAAGCCATCCCGCTCCTACTGTATACCTAAGAGAAATAAATATATATGTCTGCGCATACATGTGTGTAAAATCTTGTATATGAATATTCATAAAATATTTATTATTCATAATAGCCCAAACCAGAAACAACCAAAATGTCCATCAACTGAAAAACAATAGCATAAATAAGATGTGTTACATTTATACAATAGAATATATGGCTATAAAAGGAAGTACTGATACATGGCACAACATGGATAATACTTGAAACATTATGGTAAATGAAATAAACCAATTACAAAGTAATCTGTATTGTATTATTCATTTATGTGAAGTGCACAGAATGGATAAATATATGTAGAGACAAAAAGTAATTTCATGGTTTCTGTGGAGCTGACAAAAAGGGGTTTGGGGCAGTGACTATCATGACTAAGAAATGGGTAAAGGGTTTCTTTTTTGGGGTGAATTTACTAACATGAAATTATATTGATGGTTGTAAAACTATATATACACATATATAATATAGATTTATAAATATATACATATATTCATGTATTGTATATTAATTATAAACCAATAATTCTGTTAATAATTTTAAAAGGAAAAAATATTTACAATTTAAAATAGTGAAAGCAGGTATATAATATAGATAACATGAATTGCATCGTTATACAGAATTCAATATACTACTTCTTTTTGGAAATTATAAATTTGCAAATAAATAATATATATTGCAATGTAGCCAAGTTGAAAGCTCTAGGCAGATTTGTAAGACTTGGAAAAAAGCAAAATGATACGTCAATTAACAGAAGATATAATAAAGAGGTTAGGTTAGCACAGAGCTGACCTTGTGGCAGGAACACAGTGTCACTGAATGACACAAATTGGTGTCTATTGTATATCACTCTTGTGATTGAACACTTGCCCCCCAATATAAAAGTTCAGAGAAAACTAAATTTTTCTTATAATTCTGGTTAGAACTTGCAATCAATATACACTAGATCTGAAGTTCCTCTAATAGTAAAAGCTACCTAAAAGTTGTAGTAAAGATTAAGAGGATAAATCCTACGAAGTGCTTAGCACAGTGTTGGGCTTTATACAAGGCAGCTACCTCTAGGTCGCACCGGCTGATAATGCTAAAGCTTGTAATTTTTCAAGATCTTGTTAATTAACTGTCAGATATTTTCTATTAACTGTCAGATACTTTTTGAGGACCTATTGTGTACCACAGACAGTGGTAAGCATAGCTGATAACCTCATGAAATTTAGTCTGGTAAAAGCAGACAGACATTAGTCAAAAAATTCACAAATAATTTGTAATTATAATTGTCATAAGATTTTTAAATGTCAAGCACTGAAGTGATAAGATACAGTAAAATACTTTGGTTTAGGGCCAGTGAGGCTTTCCTTGACATACTGGCATTAAGCTGAAGTTTAGGAAATGAGTAGGAAGTACCAAATGGATATGGAAAAAAGCATTCCAGGTAGAGGAAAGAGCATGTCACCTCTCTGTTGTAGAAACGTAAGGAACACTAAGAAATGAAGTCAGTTCAAGTCTTGATTAATGTGTTCCTCTTGATTAAGTCATCTTTTCCTTCTATGTTAAAAAATCACATAATAAATATTGGTGGAGATCATAATTAAAGGATGGTTTTTTGTAGCTTCTAAAAACATCGTGTTTAATCGCATAACTATGCTATACAAACATTATGAAATACTCTGCAGCTGCTACTAATGTAAGTTGAAAATATATTTACTGTCATAGAACTATATCATTTTGAGAAAAGCAAATTAAAACATAAATATGAATAGTATAAAATGTATTATTATTTTCTCTCACTGTCTCATATATAGATAGGTAGACATAGATGTAGATGAATGATCAAGTAAAAGTATATATATGTATATGCATTTATATGTCAAATATATCTATATATATACCTACGTGTACATGCCAACAGCTATCCATATGCATATGCAAAATATGTTCTTATATCTGTATAGGTTTTTCTAAAAGAAACAGAAACAATGAACCATCATGATCCTTAGGGACAGGTTTGAGGGTGAAACTACAGTGACAATTTTGGTTTTATGCAATCACATTTAAATTTTTACCATGGTCTTCCATTTTATATGTTGTAAATTAGCAATCCTTCTGTCTGTTTCTAAATACATAACCTAGCCCTCTATCATCAATTTCTTAAAATCACAACTTTTAAGCAATAACAAATACACAAATTTCGTTACACAACAAAGAATATCTCTAAAATGGAACACATAACTGAAGAGTTTTTAACCAAAGAAGAAATTCTGTAGTAATATTAATATTTTAAGTAATAGTGCCTGTGAGTTCAAATATATAACACAGCCATTTCTCAATAAAGTAATAAATCATGTGAATTGAGAACCTACTTAAGACTGATTTGGCCTTATAAGAATACTGCACTGTGCTCCTGTTTTTCAAATAGGTTACAGTGTTTTTAAAATGATGTAAAACCATAAACACATAAGACAACCAAAACTTCAAAAATTATTTTTGTGTTAAACAATGTAAATAATCAAAGTTTTTAATTATTTTGGTATTCAAAAAGTCTTAATGAAATCGAAGTTGGACATTGAAGGAAACAAAAATTGGAAATGTAATAAAGAAGAAAACCATTTCTAATGAGGAAAATGGAAGTAGCACACATGCCGAGTTTGAAATTCACATTATCACTAAGGAAACAGAGAACTATCTACTCTCAAGTAATGTGAGTTAAGATGGACTGGTCAAGTTATGGAGGGCCTTGATTGCTCTGGCTGATAAAGCAGATTGCCATCCTTTAAGAAGTGGAAAGGTATAGGTTGATTTTCAGTAAGTTAGCAATATGCTGGAAGTGGTATTTAAAAAATTAATGTGATATCAATTGAATAATTGAATGCTCTTTTTCATTGGCTTCTAAGTTATCATCCATCAAAATGCAGTTTCAGAGGAAAAAAGCTTATGCAGCTAACATAGTTAGTTAAATGTACCAAAACGCCTAATTGGGAAAACGTAACTATCATCAACATGATTGTGGATGGCTGTCAGCAGTGGGTATGATGGAAACTATGGGGCAGAATGAATTATTCTTATCTGACTGAGGGTTGGAAGTTAAGCACAGGAAGATTAGAAAAACTGAAAAGCAGAAAACTAAAAACAGAAAAAGCAGAGCTGCAGACTAAGTCATGCCACGTGAAGTGTATCAGAAGTCAAACAAATAGACAAGTACCAAAAGGACACTCCTACCAAATGGAGTCAACACATAGGGAGGAAAATAAGTAAACAGGCAGGAATTTGATTAATTTTTTAAAATTAGAAGACAAGGAAATTCATTATAGTTACTAGATTGCCTAAGGCTTTGCTGGAGAAGCAACTCTTTATCATATAAGTAAATAATTTTTTAGATTGGATAACCTTAGGTTGCCTGGGAAATAAACAAATGCAGATTTACCTGAAGTGGTGCAAACCCAAGGCAACTTTTGGGACTAGCCATCTTTGTCAAGCATTCTCTGTCCTACAGTGAAATAGAAACTTGTAAAATTACTTAAGTTCAGAAAAACAAAATATTTATATAGAAAATATTGCTTATACTCTTAGACATTTTCATGTCTGGTTAATTTTTATTTGGAATGATTAGAACATCTGTAACTTATAAATGCCTTTTCCACGATCAAATGGTACTTTAAAAGATGGAAAAATAATTTTTACCTTTGAAAATATCAAAGAATATCAAATTAATTACTGCTAAATAGACAAGTATGCGAGGCTTAAAATAAGGAAGCCACATTCACATTGGCTACACTAAGAAATGTCATTTGCAAAGTGAGATTTAATCTATGTTGCTGAATTCTCATTATACGTGATAATAAGTAAGAATGGATTCTGCTATAGCACTTTCCAAATTCAAAGCTCTCTATAAACATTAAGTAGGAGTTGGTAAAGTCATATAGGCAAATTTAGCTAGGAAATAATGCAAAATAGATTAGGTAAAAGAAGCTATCTGTAATGAATATTAACTCTAGGCCAGTGCCTACAATGGACAGGATCATTGGGGCTTCATTAACTCTTTAAGATCATAAGTTTTTTTTGCTTATAATTAAAATATTTCAGTTATATGAATTATTCATTGTATTTCTTTGTAGCTCATTAGTTTAAAAAATACACAGTAAATGTACTTTCCAAACAGCATAATTTAACACCATGGAAATAATGTGACTTTAATTTAGAGTAGCTTCCAAAGAATTCTAAACACATACCTTTCTAAAAATATACCCAGCATGCTAGCTAAAGAAAAACGTTATGAAAGAACAAAAATATTTCAAAAATATGAGATTTTTAAAGTTTACTTTATTTATTTATTTACATATTAGAATACATCATTCAGAATACTGTACAGATACAAAGTGTATTTATAGAATGAATGATTAAATCCCTAAAAGAATAATTCTACCACTAAAAGATAATTTTTTTAATGTTTTGGGGCAAAAATAACCTTAATTACTTAAATAATGTAAAAGAAAACTGCTAGTGCATATCTCTGTAATGAAAGATTTGTAAGTTTCATAATATTCTGAATCTGTTTTGACATTGTAAATTCAGCAATTTGGATATTGGTTTGAAATGTTTTGTTCAATAATCATCCTTATGTAATATCAATTGGTATCTTTTATTTTCTTCTGTGTACATCACATATAATCTCTCCACTGGAAACATAGTGGTTTATATAATTAGTAAATTATGCAATCAATACTTATTAGACATACTCAATAACCATGGTTACATAAATAAGAAAAAATACTGTGAGATTTAATGTCAATTGGCATATATTATAATTCCGTATAAAAGCACATATAATAAAAAATGTAAGAATATAAATTAATTCACTTGATTATGAGTTTAGGTTTCAACAGAGTAGTAAGTCTTCGGCATCTGCAAGAGATATATACTGAGACTTTCTAAAATTCCTATGTTTTCCACTAGTACTAAAACAAATCCTTATGAGTTTTCTTATGTACTTTATGGGGTTTTTAGTAACGTGATTATATGCATTAAATGAAACTAATAAAGCCACATTGTTATTATGATTGATCAGATTTACTTACTTGTCCCATGACACTTGCAAATGCATCAAGCTTTCAGTAAAAACATTTCAAATTCTGGTAATTTGTATTCCCTTTCATTATTAGCATTTTTCCTTATATTTTTAGCAAAGGCAAGTCTTTTATATACTCATCTACCAATGTACATATAAATATAAATTAAAGCTACATATATAATTATTTGGGTGAGGTTGAGTTTTGAATTGAGAGGCATTCAAACTGAGGAGCCATGATTTTTAAAGATCAGGAAAAGTATCTGCCATGTTTCACACACAACAGCAAAAACATAGCCATTGTGACAGCAAAAATACTTTGAAGTACATCTTTATAATTTTTATAGATTTTTCACACACTAACTCAATAAATGATGTGTGGTGGGTGACATAAACATTTAGTTGGCTGGAACACAGAAGATGGTCTGGGATGGAATAAGAAATGAGATTGAAATATTTGTTAGAATTTGCAATATAAAAGCAATGGACTAATGTATATGAAAATGAAAAAATGTGTATACACACATTTTTGATGTTTTAGGCTTGAGATTATCTCAAATTCACAGATAAGAAATTTCCTATGCTCAAGTATGAATCTGGTTGTAAAATAAAGAAAAAGGATGACATAAATATAAGATTTTAAAATCTCCAATTCTGTTGTTTACATTTCATCATACTGCCATTCTGACAAGTTATAGGGACTAATAAAATATTCGTATTTATATGCAAAACACCTTGGATTTTAAGCAGCACATGATATGGTTTCCATACTAGGTCTCAAAGATATTATATGTTATAATATGGTCAAATAACATTGAATGATACTATGACATAAATATGTGGATTTGTTGTAAAAATAATGACAGTAGATCTACCTACAATACTTCAGTTATTGTCGAGAGAATGAAAATCATAAAATATATAAAAGTAATAAAAGAAAGAAAAAGAAAGGGATAGATGCATTAAAAATTAGCCAATGTGGTTATTGAGGTATAGAGAGTAACATACTTGTCAAAAATATTTACAAATCTGATTTTCCAAAAGAAATAGACAACAGTAAAAATGATGTTAATAGGGAAAGTGGGAAGTAGTTCCTATAAAGACACATATTTAACTAAGCTTGATTTATAGTATGTTACAGTTTATTTTTTAATAAAATATCCAGATAGCCCCTTTCTATTTTAATATATATTTAAGAGTATAAAATGTGGAAATATTAAGATTTAGGTTGGAAATTTCCTTTATTTTTCCAGGTAGTAGAGTGATAATGATGAAGTCAAATAAGAGAAAAGAGAGGATGATTAATGTAATATTTACCTTTCTTTGGTTTTCTTTAAGCTGATTTGGAGAATTACCAAGTGATTGAAGGTAAAAGAGAAAGAATGAGAAACAAAAAAAAAGGAAGTGGAAGTGTTTTCAAATACAATTTTTAAAATTCCAATTAGGAAAGTGTTTACAATGAATATTAATCTTGATCTCACAGCTTTCCATTTAATTAAATCATAAAATTTATCAAAATCAGAATGATCACCTGCAAAATTTAATCAGTGATCACATTATGAAATCTGTTGAATACCATTTAGAATTCCATTTTTCAAGACTGATGGTGGACACCTACAGATTAAAATGAGCATTCCTTTTACTGTGATCCAATTAAAATAAAGACTTGATGAGATTCTAATTGAAAATAACATCATTTTAGAAGGAAAGTTAAATGAAAATTGTATTACAAAATTTGTATGAAAAAGTACAACAAAGAAAGAAGGTAGAGTCTTGATGATGAGTGTGGATTAATTGGGACACCAATGACCCAACTAAGAAACCCAAAAGCCTTGTAAGAAGCTTAAGAATAGGAACTGTTGTCTTTTTAATGTTAGTATCACAAATACCTCACCTAATACCTGAACAACATAGATAATCAATAAGCACTTACTAATATAATTGGATAAATGAAAATAATAATGAAGACACAGCTTGTTTAAATACTGGGATTGAAAAATTTACATTTTCCACCAATTTGCAAATGTGTTTGATCACAAATTTTTAATCTCCTTAATATACATAGTTTCTTATGGTGAAAATATACTTCTTGGAATATATCTCCACTGATTCCTCTGAAAATCCATCTAATTTTTGACAAACCTGACAAAAACAAGCAATGAGGAAAGGATTCCCTATTCAATAAATGGTGTTGGGAAAACTGGCTAGCCATATGCAGAAAACTGAAACTGGACCCCTTCCTTACACCTTATACAAAAATTAACTCAAGATGGATTAAAGACTAAAACAATAAAAACCCTAGAAGAAAACCTAGGCAGTACCATAGACATGGGCAAAGACTTCATGACTAAAACATCAAAAGCAATGGCAACAAAAGCCAGAATTGACAAATAGTATCTAATTAAACTAAAGAGCTTCTGCACAGCAAAAGAAACTATCATCAGAGTGAACAGACAACCTACAGAATGGAAGAAAATTTTTGCAATCTATCTATCTGACAAAGAGCTAATATCCAGAATCTACAAAGAACTTAAACAAATATACAGGAAAAAAAAAAAAACTCCATCAAAAAGTGGGCAAAGGATATGAACAGGCACTTCTCAAAAGAAGACATTTATGTGGCCAACAAACATATGAAAAAAAGCTTATCATCACTGGTCATTAGAGAAATGAAAATCAAAACCACAATGAGATACCATCTCATGGCGATCATTAAAAAGTCAGGAAACAACAGATGCTGAAGAGGATGTGGAAAAATAGGAATACTTTTACACTGTTGGTGGGAGTGTAAATTAGTTCAGCCATTGTGGAAGACAGTATGGCAATTCCTCAAGGATCTAGAACCAGAAATACTATGTGACCCAGAAATCCCATTACAGGGTATATACCAAAAGGATTATAAATTTTTCTACTATAAAGACACGTGCACATGTGTGTTTATTGCAGCACTGTTCACAATAGCAGAGACTAGGAACCAGCCCAAATGCCCATCAGTGATAGACTTGATAAAGAAAATGTGGCACATATACACCATGGAATACTATGCAGCCATAAAAAAGGATGAGTTCATGTCCTTTGCAGGGACATGGATGAAGCTGGAAACCATCATTCTCAGCAAACTAACACAGGAACAGAAAACCCCAAACACCACATGTTCTCAATCCTAAGTGGGAGTTGAACAATGAGAACACATGGACACAGGGAAGGGAACATCACACACCGGGGCCTGTTGTGGGGTGGGGGGAGGGGGGAGGGATAGCATTAGGAGTTATACCTAATGCTAAATGACGAGTTAATGGGTGCAGCACACCAACATGGCACATGTATACATATGTAACAAACCTGCAAGTTGTGCACATGTACCCTAAAACTTAAAGTGTAATAAAAAAAAAGTTTATTAAGGTATACATACAAGAAGATGTGCATTCATATATTAATCAGCCTTTAGAAAAAGAAATGAGAAATTGTGACTTTAATATTAAATAAATCACGATTTAAAATAAACCATTAACTATTATATGTCTCATTATCTTAAGAAATATGTAGTTACTAATTAATTTAAGAAATTTATATTTGCATGTATCAGGTATTTGACATTTCCTTAATAAAATTAAGTTTAAACAAATTTAAGTATTAAATAGCATTGTGTAAATTACAATCGCACCAAAAAATATCAATGGTCAATCAAAAATTATTAATTTAATAACAAATGTTATAATACATGTGAAAGATATATAATGGAGAATTAAACATTCTTATAAAATAAATTCTTCTCTTTTTATAGTAGAAAACAATTCCAATCAAAAGCCCCACAAGATTTTTAAAAATTTAACAAAATTGGTGTATTCATTATTATTTGCTTTGTTCTTACAGAAGTCTACTTTATAGTACGTAGCAAGAAACAAAATAATGTTAATGTTTCTTGACATAGTAAATGATCCAAAAATTTTGGAACTCCAGTAGCATTATAAAAAATTAATAAATTTTATGGTAATATGTAAATAAATGTTCTCATATCTTTTTAATAATTATCAAATATCCTTAGAAACAAAGAAATTTTGATATACTTGTACTTGCTAAAATCAGAACGCAAATCAATTATATATTTTTCATATATATGATAATCACAATTTTGTAAAAAGTCATATATATGTAGAAAATTATATCTACTTATAAATTAATTCAGAATCATGAGATTATGAATATCAAATTGTTATTACTCCTGTATATTTTTGTTACTTTTAGAAGCATATTTCTCATATTTCCTTCTATTCTTTACCCTTAACCTATACTTCTAAAAACTGATAAAGCTAGCCCAAATGAAGAATTTAACGGATTTATATGTACATATATATGACTTAAAAAAATACAAAAAAACCTTGCCCATATTCGATGATTTTAACTATATTGTGGTTGGATACAAATAAATATTTGATAATTTACCACTTAATTTCAATAATGCTGGTTGTTAGATTATTAAGTAAAAAATGTAAAATTTGGAAATACACAATCACCATGGAACAATATTTTATCAAGTTAATTGTAAATTAGGCATTTGTGAAAGCAAATGTAAGAGGAAATACATGGCAATATTTATTATAAATGGCTGTGTTGAAAGTGAATGAATACATTTTTTTCTCTAATTTTCTGAAATGTCACAAGATTTTTTTAAGCATATTTAAGTAGCTACTTTATTAAAAACCCAAGCTGAATCAATACTCACAAATAAACACGTTTATATACCATCCCTAACAAGCAGTCAGAGAATGTGTGCTCTGTATAGAAGCAGAATACTGGTGAATTTATACACTAAATTTCTTGCAAGCATTGATGTTTTTGCGGTCCACAGAGGCAATGTAAAACAAAAAACCCCGAAATTATCCGAATATGTCTTACATAGGTAGTATGGAAATTATATAGAAAGAGAAAACACCGCTACATGGGGGAAAACTAACTATTTTAACCTAAAATTTTCATGGTGGTTGTGTGTGTGTGTGTGTGTGTGTGTGTGTATGTGTGTGTGTATACACATATATAATAGATTTTACAGATAATTGCTCACAATTCCACTTCACTTTGCCAATTGAGATGTCACTGATTATTGTTAGCGATCTAGTGTGCAACTGTAGAACTCCTGAACACAAGAACATAGGATATTTAATTCTAAATGTTAAGTACATTAATAACCTACACATTTTCAAAAGCATATGTGTATATATGTATACATACAAATGGGTATGTTATCAAATGGGTGTATAAATTTGAAAATAACTTCCCAAATAATGTATTATATTTTCATCCAGAATATAAATAAAATTGAAAATTTGAATACACACGCACACAGTTATCACTTTTGAAAGACTGAGAGTCTTACAGAAATATGTGACCCTCAGATTTAAGGCACCTAAAGTATAAGAATGTCATTAGACAGATAAGATTGGGTGGACTTTAGCGGTATGCTTAAGAGTGAATTACAGGACCCAAGGTGGTAGCTTATATGGGCAAATTGAATGGTGTGGAGGTGTGTGCATATCGTTAGCACTTGGCAAGCTAAAACTACTTTAAGGGAGGCCATTGGGAAAGTTCCTGAGTACTGAGCTTCAAATACATTTGCTGCCCATCTGCACAAAACAATGCACTTTGTATTGATGGAACCAGTGACAAACACGTACAGCTCTTAGGACTAAAAACAAAGTAGGAAACCTGAAGTTCTTGTATACTACAACATATTGTTTCTTTTCAACAGGATAAGCAATGGGCAAAGTAGGAATTTATTTTCTAGCATAGTGTACCTAAGGATTTGAGTTAGAATTAAATGTTATTGAACCAACAATGAAGACTATATCAAGTGAAGAGAGTATATTGCTAGTGATTGTGAGAAGATCCCCTTGCTCGTTCTTTCTTTGAAATCCAGTGATAATTCCTAGGGTTATATTCTTTCTCCTACAGAATTATTATTCTTGTTTCTTCCCCCTAGACATCACATATATAGGCCAAATACCAAATTATCTGCCAGTCTGAATAGAACCCAAAAAACAAAGTGATGACTACAAAGTTTTCTAATCTGCAAAATAATATAGCCAATTTTTCCATATTAAGAATTATTTGATTTATTTCAAGCTACCACATTACATTACTACTTAAACTTTCAAATAATCTTTAGGCTCTTTTTTTGATGTATGTGTTTATATTAATGACTCCTAAGGATGAGAGAAACAGCTTTTATGGAGTCTACATTGGAGAGAAATGGTTGTAATCACTTGACCAGATGGAAATGAATAAAATAACAATCTGGATAACCTCGAATGTGTAAAATCCAAAAGCACTGATGAATACCATTAAGCACCAAAATTCCAAACCACAGAAAATCTAAACATAAAATAAAAGAGAGAAGACAAACATTTGGATCACTCAGGAAGAAACCAATAGGTGAAAACAATTTTTGCTCAGTTTTGTAGCTTACTTTAAAAAATGTGTGAATTTTTGAAATAAATCATCTTATCATGATACTTATCTGTATATACATCAATCAATGTAATAAAAAATTATCATAGATCAAGTTTACCGCAACATTTATATAATTTTTTTAGGTTAATTATGAGAAATAATAATATTTAATGAGAATATATATTAATTTTATAGAAGCAACAATAATGTCCATCTTTTAGAAACACAAATTTTACTTTTTAGAAAGCTTTAAATCTCATCCGTTGCTTTTAAAAGCACTATTCAAAAAATTATTAAATATAATTGTCATTAGATGTAGCCAATTAACTAATATTTTAGCCTTATAGATTTATTATTAAAAAGTATGACATGGAATGCAAATATGTCACCAACTTCTGTCAGTGAGCTTACATTTTTATGGAAAAATAGTACAATAAAACAAGATTTGATAAATAATTTAGAGTATGCAACAAAAAATGAATTTATATATCATATTTTCCCTTTGAACTCACACTTCCTATCTAGTTATAGAATTATTCTCTGTATGGCATCTTCATTCTCTTTCTATGCAATAGATTATTTTCAGTAGATTATAAATATGTTCAAAATTGTCCATTGTCAAAAAAATATTCTTTTGTTGTTCTTTTGTTTTCAGTAAGCTTTATTAACTCTCCATCTAATTGGCCTCTAGCGTCTATAGCAAGTATTTTTCCCTATTTAAAAAATGAAAGATTACTACCTTGACTTTATAATGAGCCATACTATACATTTTTGCAATTTTAAATTTATTGTCATTATTAAGACTTTATTCAGTGATCTTCTAGTACTTCACGCTTTTATTGATGACTTGACCAAAAGTAGAACCCTCCCCGTTTTTGAAAATTTGATGGCTTCTAAAAGTAACATTATGCGGATGGTTTCTATATTTGCCAGTAGCTTGTCAAATACAAGTTGTGGTAACACAATTCAAATGGCTTAAATGTAAAAGAAAATGATGAGCCCATATAAAATAATGTTGGTACATTTATGGCTTCAGCCATGATTGGATCTAGGTGGTTTAATCAAGAGTTTATTCTTCTCCTCTCTAAGCTCTGCTTTGTATTTCATTTTAATAGTGTCTACCAATGTATTATCAAATAAAGTCACCAGTACAACCAGGTTTACATTGTAAGACTTAAAAAAAAAAAAAAAAACAAAACAGTGAAAAAGCAGACCATATTCAAAATGTATCCAGCAAATGGTTGAAGGTATTGAGTTTGGCTGGTGTGGCTTTGGTCATATGTCTATCCTTGCAACAATGCTGAATAGAATGCTATAGACCTGATGGCCAGCCCTTGGCAACATGATCCACTTCAAAGGCCAGTAAGGGCCACCTAAACCACATGGAAAGTATTTTGAAAAATCCACCAAAAAAGCAAAATCCACATACAAAGACTTTGTTCTTTGTTTTTCTTTTGAGGAAGATCATCTGTTTCTAAATGCCCGACAGCTATTTCTACTTCAGTGATCTGCCAGCATCTTAAAATCAGTATGTCTAGAGCGAGGCTTACCATTATCTTTTCCAAAACTCCAAATCAGTCATTATTTCTTCATTTAAAACCTGTAAAAATAAACAAACAAACAACCACAATAACAACAAAAAACTTCTCCCTGTGTTTAGATAAAGGCCCAACTTTTTTACATGTCTTAAAAGTATCTAAATTATCTAGTTGTATTTAAATGATTATCTTTGTAAAATGACCTGGAGGCCCACTCTCAGACTACACTTAGTGTCTTTCATTTCTCAAATACATGATATATTCTGGTATTTCTACAATCTACTTGTGGGTTTCCATATTCTGGTTACCTTTCTCCTTATCCCCAAAGCATATTGTGCCTCCTCTGCTATAAAAATAAAAGTCACTGTTTGATTATGGTCTTTGGAGTCTTACTCTTTACTTTTTGATCTCCACCTCAGCAATTTACAAGCTATTTAACCTGGGGCAAGATTCACAAATATTTTATGGTACATTTCTCTCACTTAAAAAAATGTGGTCATTACAGTTTATTTCATTTTTTAGTTTTGTTGTTGTTGTTGTTTGTTTATATGGGATTTTTTCAGGATTAAATGAAATAACTTGCGTAAGGTACTTCGGTCAGTGACAGCCACATAGTAAACAATTAGAAAGTGCTTACTATTTAATATTGCTGCTTTGTGAATTCTGTGAAAATAGGATCAATGTGGCTGTTATCCCAACACTTAGCTCAAGCTTGAAATAGAATAAGAAGTCCAATCAATTCTCACTATATAAATATTAATGCCAATCTTTATTGCCATTGCTGCCAGCAGGTTAGCCATTCAGGCTTAAAATATAAGCTTGTATGTGTCCTTGATTCCTTAATTTTCTTTGATGTTTCTCTTCTTTCAAATAATCTGCTAATTCCTAATGACACTTTCACGAGCCTTATGTTTAATTTATTCCAACTTCCACATTTCCACTAACATGAACCCAAGTTGGGTCATGTGAACCCCAAATATCTGAGATGGTCTCAGTTTATTTAGAAAGTTTATTTTGCCAAGGTTGGGGATGCACACCAGTGACACAGCCTCAGGAGGTCCTGATGACATGTGTCCAAGGTGGTCAGGGCACAGCTTGTCTCCTTTAAAACGTTTTAAGGAGACATAAGACAACATTATATGTAAGAAGTACATTGGTTCTGTCCAGAAAGGCAGGGACAACTCAAAGCAGGCAGGGGGCTTCCAGGACACAGGTAGGTGAGAGACAAAGGGTTGCATTCTTTTGAGTTTCTGATACAACTTTCCAAAGGAAGCAATCAAATAATGCATCTGTCTCAATGAGCAGAGGGATGACCTTGAATAGAATGGGAAACAGGTTTGACCTGAGCAGTCCCCAGCTTGACTTTTCCCTTTAGCTTAATAATTTGGGGGCCACAAGATTTTCCTTTTGCGGTCAGCATTGCCTTTCATCTGTTCTATTGTCGCTGAATGGATTCCATATAACAGTTTCAGTTTGTCTCACTTCCTATCAAATTAAAAAAAAAAAAAAAAGCCAGATCATCCCTCCAGAGGAAAAGCTTTCTCTGTGCAGTTCTCATACATAAAAAATCTTCAGTATGTAAAGCCCATACCATTTATCCACCAGTTAATACCATCCATAATCTAGAAATATTCCATCTCTCCAATACTATCTTTGCATAATACCTTCTATTTCAGATTCTTCTGTCTATATGCATGACCCCAAATTTTCATTTTCTATATCTTGCTTTTTGCCCATCCTAATTTCTCAGACAGAAATCCTTCTTTCTCTTCTTTCTGTATATTCAAAAGCCATCCAACCTTCCAATGCTTGCAAATCTATATATTCCACAAAGCCTTTTATTATAACAATTTTATACTTGCAATTTATATACAGTTACTTTATCTGAAATGCTCAAAGCACACAAAATGGAGCTTGATTTTAATATATAAAGATACATATTTTATCTTTCTTACTCTTCTAAGAACTTCATATTCCCATATCATCATGTTCTTCATCTGTGTATCTCCTTACAACTTTTTAATGCAATGCTCACAATAATATTTGTTCAATAAATAATAAAATTGTCATTTAAAAGTATTATTTCTTTAAAAATAAGAAACATTATAATGCTTGGGTCTGCTGAAGATGAGCTTACTGAGGCTCAAATTGACATTAAAAAAAACTTGACCTGTGATATTTAGCTTAAATGTTATGAATAATACAAAGCAAAGATGTTGCTATTTTTGCATTTTTTCTAATATCTAATAACTGTGTAGAAGAGCAAATGTGTTTCTCTTCTTTAATGTGTTTTATATTCCACATTGTATCCTACATGTATACATATCTTATATATTAATATGTACTATATATTCAATAGTCAGGCAAAACTATAGAACTTTTATTCATATTAAGTAGCCTAAATTCTTGCTAAATTATGAAATAATTACAGCACCTCAGAAATTTGTTTCACCTTTTCAAAGATTTAGTATCCTTATATCTACTCTAGGTATAATGACATCTGTACTGTCTACATTACAGTATTTTTACAAAAGTCAAGTCAAATTTAGAAGATTCACAGACAATTTGGCAGTAAAATTAACAGCATTGGATGTGGCCATTTTACAAGTCAGCTTAAAGACACTACACAATGTGTTAAATTAACCATTTGAACAATTCTACCTAACACTATAATATTAATTTGTATTGACTCCAAATATAAGTTCAACTCCATTTCATGTTAAGTATGCCTGGGATAGTTTTATCCTAAGCTAGACTTAACACAATTATTAGTGCATAAATAATTCAGAAATGTAAAAAAAGCTATTAAAATCCTTTTCCAGTTTTTGATATTGGCAAAGTATATCATGGGAAGATAGGAAAGTGTTTATGTAATACATAATAAAATTCAACTTTGAACAAATCAAATACCGGATCAGACTGAACTTTTAGCCTATACTATCTGCTGTCAAGTTTTGCCAAAGAATATTAGTGATTCATTATTGACTAAAATCCCTTATTTCAAAGCTAAGAGTTTCCTGTAAGTCTGCATACATTGCTTTGGCTAAATGCTTTGAGAGTTCTTAAAGAATGGGATCTGCCACATATGAGCCTAAAAGAAATTAGAATGTAATAACCTCTAATGACGAGAAAAGCTCATTTTGCCTCCAGTTTTGCATTACCTTTTTATTTCATTTTTAAAGTTTCTTCTATTGCTTTCATTATTAAATATGCAATTTCATTCTTTATTCATTCTCATGCTATTCCTTTCTTTTGTTTAGTTTCTTCTCTTTTGACCCATTGTGTTAAATAATTCTTGCAGAAGATAATTTGTCATCACTGTCATAATGAATCCAATTTTCCTTAACCCAGACCTGGCCATGGCTTGCTATATTGCAAAGGAAACTACCTAAAAGGCTAATGAGGGGCACTATTTGAGAAGTATGACTGAATTATTATAGCTTTAATTAGATCAGTCAAAATTCTTGGTGAATAATATTCAGCAAAGTATTCTTTAGTAGAGAAAATCATAGTCTTAAAAAACAATCCCTTATTCAAAAATACAATCCTATTACTTCTAAATATAAAAGTGCTGTAGTTCAAAGTATGTAATTGAGTTAGACTTTTTCTGCCACTTATAAAAATCGCCATTGCTAAATATTCTGAATCTTTTCCTAATTATCCATTCTAATATCTGACTATATTTGTAGAATCATCTTTTCTTTCATTCAGATCATGCAAAGCTATGTAAGTAGGGAAGATAAATGTGGAAGGGATACTTATTTTATTGAAAACCACTAAATAATGTGGGTATAGTATTTAATAATTTAATGACCATTTTTACATCAGATATCTTAGGAAATGCTTCTAACAGAACCCAGTGATTTAAAGATAATTCCTTGCTTCCAACCATAGAGTAGGAAAAATAATGTAAACTATTCTAACCAAATTGTTGAGAGTCAAATGTCAATCATGCTAAGAAATATTTACTTAATCTTCAGTTGAGAAAAAGATAGAAGCACTTGAATTTAGTTTGTATATCTGCATTTTCTTACAAAATATTGACAAGACCTCAGATTCAAATACCCAGGTATAGCCCAACACCAGTGTCTTAATCTTCCTATAGCTCTTTTATTATACCCATGTTTCCTTTAATATTGAATGTTGCTGTTTTTAATACGACAAATATGTTTAATCTTAATTTTCTCTTAACGTTTTATGTTACACTTACTGCTTCATGGGTTATTTGGGGTCAGTATTCCACTTTTAGTTCATTTTTGTGATTCTTTTTTTATCTATTTTTCATAATTATAATTTTTTGTTTTTATAAATAGAACTTGCATAATCTTTAACTATTTTAGTTGACCTATATTAATTTTCTAGTTTAGTAATGATACAATTAATTTAATGTTTCCTAGTTCTCTTCTACTTTTTCATTGTGAGGTACAGAGGGAATATATATAACAAAAAACAAATAATCAGTGGTACATGTAGTAATATTTAATGAAAATTAGATGTAATTATGATCCTAGAGGGAGAACTAAATCAGAATGAGGCATAAACCACAAACAAATATTGACATAAAGCTTTCCAAATATTATGAAAAATAGTAATTCAGAAATATAAGAAGCTCAATGAACCCCAAACAGGATAAACACAAAGTAAATACTCCAGAGCACATTATGGTCAAATTGATGAAAATAAATGTAAAGAAGAATTCCCAAAAAAATCCAGAGAGAAAAAAATAATAACATTGTACATGTAGGAACAATCATACGAATTACCACAGATTTTTTTCAAAAGCAATGAAAGCCCAAATGAATACCATTCAAATGGTGAAAAAAGACCACAAGAGGAGGAAGAGAAGGAGAAAAAGGTAATTATTTTTGAAATAGTTTAGCTATTAAAATACCTTTCAAAATTAAGAGAAAATAAAGACATTTTCAGATATACACAGGTTAAGAGAAATAAACAAAAGATTTGCAATTTAAAAATGTTAAAGGGAAAAAATGTTAATGAAAATTTCTCAGGCTTAAAGATAATGATGTAAGACAGAAGGACAAATTTGAAGACAGGATATATATACATATAATATATGGGTGAATCTAATAAATAAGTCTCATTTTTCAAATTCTTTAAAGGATAATGTTGCAGGACTTTTGCTTAGTTCAGCTAAAGATGGAATTCTTGTCCATCCCACGGCCATGAAAATTTAGGCTCGCAGATGGTCTAAAGGGTGAGTAAAGCAGCGTTTTATTGGGTGAAAGGGAATAAAAGTGGGAAACTGGGACTCTTGCAAGGTCAGAGTGCCTCCGCTAGACTGTTTCCCGCCAGGCCTTTGGAATCCCAGGTTACATACACAGGAAAAAGGGGGCCAGGCCCCTTCCTGCTGCAAAGGGAGTGAGATTCCTGAGGCTCCACCTCAGTGGGCAGGTGGTTGGAGTTTCTCCACCCAAGGACTCCCCTCACCTGGCTGTCTCAATAATTGTTTTGAAGAACATGTTCTCACTTGGTCACTAAATAAGTGGGACCTAAATGATAAAAACTTATGAACACAAAGAAGGAAACAACAGACACTGGCTCTGCTTCAGGGGATAGGGTGGGAGGCGGGACAGGAGCAGGAAGATAACATTGGGTATTGGGCTTAATACGTGGATGATGAAATAATGTGTACAACAAACCCCTGTGACATGTGTTTATCTGTGTAACAAACTTCACATGAACCCCCCCAACCAAAAATAAAAGAAAAAGTTCTAAGGAAACCTTAATAGTCACTTCAAAGAAAATTAAAATTATACACTGAATAAAATATGTATAAGACTTGTATGTTCAAAGTTTCAAGTTGTTGATAAAATAAAGAAGCCCTAAATACTAACCAATCACATTATTGAGTATTTGTTTACAGGAAATGAAATCAGTATGTTGAAGAGACATCTCATCTGCATACCCATGTTTGTTCTGGTGCTATTTACAATATCCAAGCTATGGAATCAAATTAAATGCTCATTTACAGTTGAATAGACATAGAAAATGCAATATATTTACACATATTTATATATATATATATTCACACACACATATACATGTACACTATTCAGCTATAAAATATGAAATCCTGTCATTTGTGGGAACATGAATGAACCTGGAAGTCTTTAGGTTAAGTGAAAGAGGCAGGCACAGAAAGAAAAACACTACTCGATCTCAATCATATGTCGAATCTAAAAAAGTTGATTTCATAGAAGTAGTGTGCAGAATAGTTGTTACCAGAGGCCAGGAATCATAGAGGATTGACAAGGAGACCAGGAGAGGTGGGTTAATGGGTTCCAAGTTACAGTTAGACAGGAAGAGTAAGTTTTGGTATTCTATTACAAAGTAGGGTGATGATAGCAAATAGCAATGCAATGTATGTTTTAAGATAGCTAGATGATTTTGAATGTTTTCACTACAAATAAATAATAAATGTTTAAAGTGATAGACATGGTAATTACCTAGATATTCTTACACTATATATGTATGCATTGGAACATCATATTATATCCCATAAATATGTACAATTATTGTATGTTATAAATACAGATTTTAAAAAGAAGACCTAAATGCATGCAGAAACACACCACGTTTATTGATGAGAATGCTCAATATAGTAAAGATGTCCAATGTCTTCAAATTGATCTACAGGTTTAATGTAATTGTATAAACACCTTAGCAATGTTTAAAATTTTGGTTAATTTTTCCCATATATTATATAAGCTTATTCTAAAAATTTTTATGAAAAAGTAGAGGATTTGGAATAGGTAAACAATTTTAGAAAAAAATGAAATAAAGTGGATGGAGTCATCCTACTCAAGTAATTAAAAAGACTTAACGAGCTTACTAAAGAGTTACAGCAGTCAAGGCAGTGTGGTACTGGCAGAGGGTTAAACACATAGATAAGTAGAACAAACCATTGGCCCAAGAAATATACCAAAAAATTAACTTTTTATTATTAAAAAAATGTTTTAGAGACAGACTCTCGCTATGTCACCCAGCCTGGAGTAGAGTGGCATGATCATAGCTCACTGTAACCTCACTCCTGGGCTAAATGATCCTCCTGCCTCAGCCTCCAGAGTAGCTAGGACTATTTTTAGTCCTAGCCAGGCTAATTTTAAAAGATAATTTTCTGTAGAAATGGGGTCTTGCTATGTTTTCCAGGCTGGACTTGAACTCCTGGCCTTAAGCGATACTCCCATCTTGGCCTCCCAAAGTGTTAGGATTACAGGTGTGAGCTACTGTGTCTGACCCAAAACTGACTTTTGACAAACATGCAAAAGAAATATAACAGATGATAGAAAGTCTGTTCAACAAATGATGCTGGAACATTTGGATGTATATAAGCAAAAATACAAACCACAAACTGAAACTCACATCTTATAAAATTTAACTCAAAAAAGATTATGAACAAAAGCATAAAGTTTTAAAAACCGTAAAACTTTTGGAAAAAAATGGGAAGAAACCTTTTGGGCAAAAGGTTAGGCAACTGGCATTTAGGATTGGTACAAAATTTATCATCCAGAAAAAGGCAAAATTGATAAATTGGACTAGCAAAATTATAAACTCCACAGAAGACCTTGTGAAGAGGATGCAAAGACAAGCTATATAACTGGGAGAAATTATTTGCAATCCACACATCTGACAAATGATGTATTTTCAGATCTTAAAAAAAAACTCAAAAGTTAACGATATATTGCAAACTATCCACTTAGAAAATGGGAGAAATACATGAATAGATATTTCACTAAGAGGACATATAGCTGCCAAACAAGCAAATAAAAAGAAGTTTAATGACATAAACTATGAGAAAGGTGAAAGTGAAATTACAATAAAATATCCCCACAAACAATTATAAATAAGTATTGATGGGACGTATCTCAAAATGATAAAAGCAATTTATGACAAATCCACAGCCAATATCATACTGAATGGGCAAAAACTGGAAGCATTCCCTTTGAAAACTGGCACAAGACAGTTTTCACTCCTACTCAACATAGTGTTGGAAGTTCTGGCCAGGGCAATCAGGCAGGAGAAAGAAATAAAGGATATTAAATTAGGAAAAGAGGAAGTCAAATTGTCCCTGTTTGCAGATGACATGATTGTATATTTAGAAAACCCCATCGTCTCAGCCCAAAATCCCCTTAAGCTGATAAGCAACTTCTGCAAAGTCTCAGGATACAAAATCAATGTGCAAAAATCATAAGCATTCCTATACACCAATAACAGACAGAGAGCCAAATCATGAGTGAACTCCCATTCACAATTGCTTCAAAGAAAATAAAATCCCTAGGAGTCCAACTTACAAGAGATGTGAAGGACCTCTTCAAGGAGAACTACGAAACACTGCTCAAGGAAATAAAAGAGGACACAAACAAATGGAATAACATTCCATGCTCATGGATAGGAAGAATCAATATCGTGAAAATGGCCATACTGACCAAGGTAATTTATAGATTCAATGCCATCCCCATCAAGCTACCAAAGACTTTCTTCACAGAATTGGAAAAAACCACTTTAATGTTCATATGGAACCAAAAAAGAGCCCACATTGCCAAGACAATCCTAGGCCAAAAGAACAAAGCTGGAGGCATCACGCTACCTGACTTCAAACTGTACTACAAGAATACAGTAACCAAAACAGCATGGTACTGGTACCAAAACAGAGATATAGATCAATGGAACAGAACAGGGCCCTCAGAAATAATACCATACATCTACAACTATCTGATCTTTGACAAACCTGACAAAAACAAGAAATGGGGAAAGGATTCCCTATTTAATAAATGGTACTGGGAAAACTGGCTAGCCATATGCAGAAAGCTGAAACTGGATCCCTTCCTTACACCTTATACAAAAATTAATTGAATATGGATTAAAGACTTAAATGTCAGACCTAAAACCATAAAAACTGTAGAAGAAAACCTAGGCAATACCATTCAGGACATAGGCATGGGCAAGGACTTCATGTCTAAAACACCAAAAGCAATGGCAACAGAAGCCAAAATTGACAAATGGGATCTAGTGTCAGTTTATGCATAAACTGAAGAGTTTCTGCATAGCAAAAGAAACTACCATCAGAGTGAATAGGCAACCTACAGAATGGGAGAAAATGTTTGCAATCTACCCATCTGACAAAGGGCTAATGTCCAGAATCTACAAAGAACTTAAACAAATTTACAAGAAAAAAACAACCCCATCAAAAAGTGGGCAAAGGATATGAACTGACACTTCTCAAAAGAAGACATTTATGCAGCCAACAGACACATGAAAAAATGCTCATCATCACTGGCCATCAGAGAAATGCAAATCAAAACTACAATGAGAAATCTCACACCAGTTAGAATGGCAATCATTAAAAAGTCAGGAAACAACAAGTGCTGGAGAGGATGTGGAGAAATCGGAACACTTTTACACTATTGGTGGGACTGTAAACTAGTTCAACCATTGTGGAAGTCAGTGTGGCAATTCCTCAAGGTTCTAGAACTAGAAATACCATTTGACCCAGCCATCCCATTACTGGGTATATATCCAAAGGATTATAAATCATGCTACTATAAAGACACATGCACACGTATGTTTATTGTGGCACTATTCACAATAGTAAAGACTTGGAACCAACCCAAATGTCCATCAATGATAGACTGGATTAAGAAAATGTGGCACATATACACCATGGAATACGATGCAGGCATAAAAAAGGATAAGTTCATGTCTTTTGTAGGGACATGGATGAAGCTGGAAACCATCATTCCGAGTAAACTATCGCAAGGACAGAAAACAAAACACCACATGTTCTCACACATTGGTGGGAATTGAACAATGAGAACACTTGGACACAGGGTGGGGAACACCACACCCCGCAGCCTGTCATAGGGTGGAGGGAGGGGGGAGGGATAGCATCACGAAATATACCTAACGTAAATGATGAGTTCATGGGTGCAGCACACCAATATGGCACATGAATACATATGTAACAAACCTGCATGTTGTGCACATGCACCCTAGAACTTAAAGTATAATAAAAAATAAATAATTAAAAACAGTGATAATGCAAAACGCTCATGAGATTTCATTGAAGCTGGTTCTCTCATATATTATTGGTGGGAAAGTAAAATATACAGTTATTTTGTAAAACTAAATATGCCTTTAAAATTGCTTTCCTGGACTTTTATCCTTGAGATATAAAAATTATTTTCACACAAAATATGTACAGGTATGTCCTTTACTTATAATAGACCCAAACTGGAAACAAATCAAATATCCTTAGATGGTCAAAAGGTTAAACAAAGAATGGCATGCAGCAAACCACAATGGCACACGTTTACCTACGTAACAAACCCGCACATCCTGCACATGTTCCGCGGAAGATAAAATAAATTATAATAAAATAAAAGTAAACTAAAAAAGCAAAGAATGAAACATCCAAACCACAGAATACTACTCACCAATAAAAAGGGACAAAGTCTTGATATATGCAACAACTTGGATGTATTTCAAGGATATTGTGTGAATGAAAAAGTCATTCACAGGATGGTTACATATTGTATGTTTCCATTTGTATACAGTTCTTGAAATTACAAAAGTACATAGACAAAGAACAGATTATGGGTTTCCAGGTATTATAGGGAAGAAAGATGGTGGCTGTTACTATAAAGTGGTCACATGAGGGATCTTTGTGATGGAACTGTTCTGTATCTTGACTATGGTGGTAGTCACATGAATCTACACATGTGATAAACTTCCATAGAAGAACTAAATACAGGCCGGGCACGGTGGCTTACGCCTGTAATCCCAGCACTTTGGGAGGCAGAGGCAGGCAGATCACAAGGTCAGGAGATCGAGACCATCCTGGCTAACACAGTGAAACCCTGTCTCTACTAAAGATGCAAAAAATTAGCCGGGCGTGGTGGCGGGCGCCTGTAGTCCCAGCTACTCGGGGGGCTGAGGCAGGAGAATGGCGTGAACCCAGGAGGCGGAGCTTGCAGTGAGCCGAGATTGCACCACTGCACTCCAGCCTGGGCGACAGAGCGAGACTCTGTCTCAAAAAAAAAAAAAAAAAAAAGAAGAACTAAATACAAACACACACACACACACACACACACACACACACACACACAAATGTATGAAAACTATTGAAATATGATTAAGATCAAAGGCTCTTATTCATGTCAATTTTCTGGTTGTGATATAATTATGCAAGGTGTTACCATTGGGGAAAACTTGGGGAATGATGGATGAAATTTTCTGTTTTAGTTTTTACAACCACATGTAAATCTATAACTATCTCAAAATAAAGAGATTAAAATACATTAATTGACTACTCTGATAAAGGCTCAAACTGACAAAACTGTCATGCTATATTAAAAAAAGAAACACCTAACCATATGTTGTCTGCAAGAAACAAACTTTGGGTAGTATGGACATTCTAATAATATTGATTTTTCCAACAGATGAATGCACAAGGAAAATGTTGTACATTTGCACATTGGAGTACACTTCAGCCATAAAAAGAATGAGATGCTGTCATTTGCAACAACAGGTATGGAACTGAAGGTTGTTATGTTAAGTGAAATAAGCCAGGCACAGAAAGGCAAACTTTGCATGTTCTCTGCTAAAAATTAAAACGATTGAATTCATGGAGATAAAGAGTAGAAGGATGGTTACCAGGGCCTAGGAAGAGTAGTGTAGGGGCTGACGTGGGGAGGAAATTGGGGTACAAAAAATAGAAAGAATGAATAAGATGTAGTATTTGATAGCAGGACAGGGTGACTATAGTCAATAATACTTGAATTATGTATTTTAAAATAAGTAAAAGAGTATAATTAGATTGTAACAGAGTATAACTGCTTGTGGTAATGGATATCCCATTTACCCTGAAGTGATTATTACATTGTATGTCTATATCAAAGTATCTCATGAAACTCATAAATATGTACACCTAATATGTACCCACGAAACTTAAATATAATTTAAAAAGAGACAAATTTTAAATATAATATTCTAAGATAAATACATACTTTGCTGATTTGATGTAAAAATGGTACATCATGCAATAGAAATTATCCAACAGTGACTACAAGACAAGAAACAAAGAGCAATATTACATAATGTTGAAAGTATCAATTCATCAATAAGTCAGGATTCTAACTGTGAATACACTTAATTAAAGAGTTTCCAGGCTGAGCGCGGTGGCTCACGCCTATAATCCCAGCACTTTGAGAGGCCCAGGTGGGTGGATCACCTGAGGTCAGGAGTTCGAGATCAGCCTAGCCAATATGGTGAAACCTCGTCTCTACTAAAATATACAAAAATTAGCTGGGCGTGATGGTGTGTGCCTGTAATCCCAGCTACTCAGGAGGCTGAGGCAGGAGAATCGCTTGAACCCAGGAGGTGGAGGTTACAGAGAGCTGTGATCTCACCACTCTACTCCAGCCTGGCCAGAGAGCGAGACTCTGTCTCAAAAAAAAGAAGAAATATATATCACTGCAAAATTAATTACTGAGAAAACGTATGTAGCTTTGGCTCTCAGTGTTCTTTTAAAATAGATATTTAATATTAGTTAGTGAATTTGTAAGATCCAGTTTGGGGAATAATCATATTAGAATAAATTTAAAAATTAATGCATGAGAAAGAAATTAGGAATAGCAGCATTAGAGTTTTATAATCTGCTATCTTAACAAAATTTGTACCTTGTGAATTGTATTGCACAATCATAATAAACTGCAGTGCCTACGATATGCTGAGATTGTGGTAGAATTCATTTTGATACAAAACATATCAGCTGATAAACTTTTGATGATTATTTTAAAGAAGTACACACATTATCATATTTTCACTGAAAAGTATATATTAGTCATAATATTAATAGATAATTTTCTTGACTTTTACAGATCAAAATATATCATAACCATGGGACATTAGAAAAGCACAATCTTCTATTGAAAGCAAAACCAATTACACAGAAACTAGAAAGAATAAAATAACAGTAGACATTTATTTCTATGCCTGTTTTTGCTCTTTAACTTTATGTTTCTTTTCAAAGTCACTCCAATTGATGGTGACTTTCTACTTGTAAACAGTGAAATACAATTTGTTTTTAATTTAGCACATTTAAAAAAATGAACAAAAAAATCTTATTGTTGCCAAATGCAAAATAAAATAAACATCCATAGACTGTTTGTAGGTGATATGGTAACATGAATGTGATTTTAAAATATTTTTTCTTTCAATTAACAAGTAACAAATGCAGAGAAGTAAGCAGTTAACAAAGCCATGCACATTATAATTTTAACTTAGTAAAAATGTGCTTGTTAAAGTAATTGCTTAAAATACATGACATGAGATACTTAGATTGACTTTGAACTGATCTTGTATTATACAGAAAACATAAAGTTTCCTCTTCATGTTTCATATAGAGTTGTGCAGTCATCAGTTATCTTCATGGGACGAGTATGTCCGGAGGGGAGGAAAATCTGATAAAAAATATTGAAATTCAATGAAGGCTTCCACTGCTTAACAAATGTTACATAGAATTCTTCACCGATGTGAGGAACATCAGTTTGCAAAAGAAACTCTGCACTTTCAGGGATAAAAAGACTGAGACTCCAAATGGTGCTCCTAGTATTGGTGAAGCTTAGGGAGAGAGCCCATTGTGTTTCTATCTAACTGCTCTCAGGAAAAGGTAGAAAATGTCTCAGATTCCACAAGAAAGATAGAATGTGTGATAAGATGACAATCAGGCCACAACAGAATATCCTAGTAGGGTACATAAATTAGCATCAACATGGACCAATTAGCAAGGAAGTGTCTTCATAATATTCCCGTAATTAGACTCTCATTAGCTTGATATTTGATGCTGGACTAACCCTATTTGAATGATATAAGCACTGGTACTTAGAATTTTCAGAGACTGGTGCCCCTAATGGAAAAATGCAGGATGAAATGCTAGTGAAGATTAACTGGGAGAAAAATAGGTAAATGTGAAAAAGAAAACGTGTGTCTGACTGTATACAGAGTTCTAATTGTAAAAAATTAATCGAATGTATAAAATATCGACAGCCCAAATAAATGTTATTTTCCTGAAGTACTTAATTATCTCCATGTGTTTCTGGTTTCACTATGTCAATCATTTTAAAAATAACAATTTAAGGAATTATGTATGTGATTGGTTGAGGTTTTCATTCTTTGAGATATTCTGAAAGATTTCAATTATATCCTAGGCTTTGCTGGATACCAAAGCTTTTACTAAAGCTTTCCTAAGGCTTTTCTAAAGGTTTCTTATAGTTCTAATATAATATTCCTCCCACGGTATCTAATGTCCTGGGCTATCTCCAATCTAATAATAGGATCTCTTCCTCATCCACCCCTCAGTCCTGTTTGTTTTTATGGAGCTCACCACTCTTCTTTCCTCTCTACCTCAAGCCACCACCACACCTGCTGGACCATTAGACTTATATTCTCATAGTTTTCACCTTCATCCGGCCTTCCAATCCCTAAAGAAAAAGTAGTAAAAGGGGTATTATCTCACACTAGATACTTTCTCCCAGATCACACATTGTATTATGAAGCATCAAGTTCACACTATTCTCCAAGTGATGGTTGGAATAAAATCACCTTCCCTATCATTATGTTTTTCAATATATTTTCTCAAAATGTATATGCCTCTGGTTATATGTTGTGTTCAATTCTGCTTTCCATGCAATTTCCCTTGCTTCCTCTGTCATGATGTTCCCACACACACCATGCCTCTCAAACTGCGGTGTGCTATCATCTGGAACTTCCCAACAACCACCATCAGTAGTCTGCTTTATGTCTGAATCTCTTTCATGAAAAATGTGTTAACTTCTCAGTTTTAAATAAAGCTCATCTCTTTTTAAAGATACCTCTTCTTACACAGTTGAAAGCAGTTCATTTTTCACAAACTATATTAAACGTTAGGCCTGTTACTTTTCTTGATTGTGAAAGAAATTTCCAAAACATACATTTTTCCTTTCATTACAAGCTATCGCTACAGAAAGACCTCCTCAGTACACATTATTAGATTTGGTGCCCTCTTTGACACTGTTCCTCATTCACCTGCATTTTATTATTGAGTTTAATCACATGTTTTTATATCTTGGACTTTTTACTCCATTTTCAACCTCTATGCCTCCTTTTCTGAGATCAACCAAGGTCTGCCCCTCTCATCTCAATACTCCTCCCCTCCCCTTGGGATGCTGAGAATTCATTTGTGATACTTACTCTTTTTTATGTAGTTTATTTTTATAGAAGTTAAGGAGGGGGTGGTGTAAGTAGGGAGAAAATGAGGATAAAATAAAGAGATCAAGAGTATTTTCATGTGAAGCATTTGGTTCCAAGCTATGGCTGTATTTTGCACAGCTTTTCTCCATTTCTGACATTGACATTAGCTTTTCAGGGTACTCAATGCAGTTGCTTGAAAAAAGTCATAGTGATGATTGGACATTAGGCTTGTTTTTGCCTCTGTGATGTTGCAGCCTTTTCTTTACCCAGCTATTTCTCATTGTTGAAAATCTTCCAGTTTGGTGGATTTTAAAGAATATCTTTTTGAGCCAGGCACGGTGGCTTACGTCTGTAATCCCAGCACTTTGGGAGGCCGAGGCTGGTGGATCACGAGGTCAGGAGATCGAGACCATCCTGACTAACACGGTGAAACCTTGTCTCTACTAAAAATACAAAAAATTAGCCAGGTGTGGTGGTGGGTGCCTGTAGTCCCAGCTACTTGGGAGGCTGAGGCAGGAGAATGGCATGAACCCGGGAGGCGGAGCTTGCAGTGAGCCGAGATGACCCCACTGCACTCCAGCCTGGGCAACAGAGAGAGACTCTGTCTCAAAAAAACAAAAAACAACAAAAAAAACTTTTTCCAAACCTCATTGAAGTTTATGGTTATTCTGTATCCAACATTTTTTCCAGCTTGACTATGCTTTATAATTTAAAGAAATTGAAATGGAAGACTGAACAAAATTTGTGCATACAGCACATGTTTAAAGTATTTATTGTTTGATGTATTATAGTGTTCTTTTCATGTTATTAGCAGTTATCTACCAATGAATTTAGAAATAAATGTAATGCATTATAATCAAGTTAAGAAAATTAAGTAGAAGAGAAAGGAAATAAAAGATAATATACCCAAGTGGTAAGAGTATTTAGTGAAACTTTTGTATTTATGTGCTGTATAAAGAGGTAAAATATATCTATGCACTACTACTTTGGGATCAGCATACATTGAAAGTATTATTTATATATCCTTTTAAAATTAATTTTATCTATTTAGAATCTAGATACATTTAATTAGAAACTAATTACCACTTAAGATCATGGGTGAAATATTCACGAGATCACTGGCAATGTCAAGTTTGCCATTTGTTGTTAAATAATAGTATAAAAGCTCTTAGTCTAGTAATTACATTTATTCATTTCATAATACATTTTTTATCTGCTGTTTAGAATACCTTTGGTTTAGCTTAAAAATTTTGTTTTGTGTTCTGAGGTATTACTTTTGTTGGGTTTTCTGGTCAAATAATTTAGATCTCAGAAATAACTGTAGTAATTTCATCTATGCATAATTTTTGTTGGAAAACATTGGTTTTTAGTCAGAAAAAACAGTATTGTGCTATTTGATTATTGTTAGAATTATTATTTTTATTGATGTTATTTTTTATGGTTATTGTATTATTATTAAAGTTATAAATATGTATATGTCTTTACTAATTATTTAGTGTGGTATGGATCATCTCAATTGTTATTTTGTGTTTTTTCTGATTCTTTGGTAATATTAAATTTTTCATATGAAACTTAGAATCAAATTGTGTGACTTCAAGATTAAAAATAATATTTAATTGGGATAACAAAATTAATAAGAAGAATTGATTTTTTTGAGGTTGATAATTTATTTCAAATATAAAGGATTTTTTAATACACTTTGATATCTTTAAGGATGAATTAAACATTTTATTCTAATAAGTTTTTGCTCCAATTATATTTTTCATATTTCTGAGCAAGTTTATGTCTTAACATTTTATCTTGTGCTACAAACATGAATGTTGATGGTATACTGTGCAGGTTTATCTTGCCTAAAGTTAATTTAATTAAATATTTAACTTTGGTCCTTTCTGATTCCTCAAACTTTTAATTCTACTCTTCAGAGCTCTGTCATATTTCCAAAATATTTCACAGAAAATGTAAAGATAGAGAAAAAAAGATTTATATTCACATATTACCTACAGACACAGAACATATTTTCTAGTTTTGTCATGCATATTTTCTTATTCTTGCTTTATTATGGGAGTGGTTCCCCATATTTTGTCTTAGATAATTAGGAAAAAAAATCTCCATTTGATGACACCTATTTATAAAGTTTTATATAAATACGTAATAGAATTAAGTTCCAGTAATATAGGGTACTTATGTTTATAAACCAACATCAGTGCTGCTGGGTTAAGTGCATGTTAACGGAATTTAATCAACAAATGCTCACAGCACACTGCCATTGGTATCACGCCATGATACTGATGGTTACCTCATGGTGGGTTCTAAACTTCAATACCATGAATCTTTAAAAATGCAGTTTTGGAGTAATATTAAGGAAAAGCATGCTGCATCATTCTTAAAAATTTATTTCAGGACAATTCAATTTTCTAAAACTGCATTACAGTACTTTAGAGCCCAACTGTTGTTTTATTGAAAAACAAGTGATTAACTTGGAAATGGTTTCTCCATAACTGCATCTCCCTGTTCTTCATAGTGAATACAACAATATAACTATCACAGGAACTCTGCAGAGGGTCAAATAACCACAGCAGGAAGTTTCCACCATTGAGAAACAACAATTCTAAGACTAGAAAATTACAAGGGCCTGTTAATATTTTCTAGTTATTTGATGGTAAATATCTCATCTAAAAACAATTCCTCGTGTCTGTCATGTTCAACTTAGTTATTGCAGGTAGAGAAAAATATATGCAGTTATACATATATTCATTGTCTAAATAAAGACATCATTCTTCAATGTTTTGATTCATAGTTACTTGGAAATGTGTAATTTTTCTCTAAGATTAATGAAGATATTCACATGAACTCAGAATAAATTATCAGTTTCTTTTTTTCATTTAGAATAATATTGACTACATATAGTACTGGCAATACAATATTGATCACTGCACATAAGGCCAGTAATCTCATTACAGAATGGCAATCCAGAAAGTAAGCCACTAAACTAGTAAATAGAAAAATCATGAACATCACGTTGTGACTTAATAACATTTTTTAATTTACAGAGATTAAAAATCTAAATAGAAAAGTTGAAAAGACTTAGAAAGTATTATATAACAAATGTGTACATAAAATATTATATAGTTTATAAATAACAGGAAATATAAGTAGGTTTGATTTAATAGCAATGTATTATTTCTGTCTGTGAAAAAACAGTGAAACAGAACAAACGTCAGGTTGGAAAATAAATGTAAACAACTCCTATGACAGAGAAAAATTTAACAATACTAAATATTAATAATTAAAATAAAACATCTACAATTTGATAAGAAAATTTATCCTAAAAGTGTTATGTATATGCCACCACCCCTATAACACCAGAATGTTCCTCATGCTGCTTTCTAATTAGTAAACACTCCCTGCCTAGCAAAAATAATTCTTCTTATTTTAACACCAGAGATTATTACATCTGTTCATCACTCAAGTTCATATAAATGAAATCACGCAGTTAAGTATTCTTTTGTTCCTCACTTCTTTTGTTCAATATATTTCTCTAAAACCCATCTATGTTGATGTGTTTATCTGTAGCTCATTCTTTGAATTTATTGCTTTGTACTAGCCATTATATAATGATATCAGAATGTTTATTAACAACATTCAGATATTTTGATTCTAAGGCTCTTATAAATAAATATGCTTTGAATATTCTTGTTTGTATCACTTTGTTGATATATGTATTCCATTACCTTGGACATATGCATAGGAGGAGAATTGTAGGTCTTGAGGTAGCTCTGTGTTAGAAGTGATAAGAAACTGCCTAAAGGTTTATGAAATAGTTGTACTGCATTTTATATTGAATTATTTTATGACATTTTTATTTATATATTTTTAGTTGACAAAAATATATATTTCTCACATGCAAGATGATGTTTTAAAATATGTATACATTGTGGAATGGGTAAGTTGAGTTCATTTACATATATGCATTACCTCACATATGTATCTTTTTGTGATAAGAGCACTGAAAATCTCCCTTAGCAATTTTTAAGAATATAATAAACAGTTATTAACTATAGTCACCATGTTCAATAGACCTATTGAACTCATTCCTCCTATCTAACTGAAGTTGTATGTCCTTTAACCAGCTTGTCCCAAACCCACACCCCCCAGCCCTTGTAACCCTCATTTTACACTCTCTTCTATGAATTCAATTGTTTTAGATTCTACATACAAATGATATCATGTATTATTTGTCTTTCTGTGCTTTATTTATCTCTCTTAATATAAGGTCCTCCAGGTTCATCTGTGTTGTTGCACTTAACAGGATTTCCTTCACTTTTAAAGCTGAATAGTATTTTATTGTACAAATAAACCACCATTCATCCATTGATAGACATTTAGGTTGAGTTGATTCCATATATTGGCTATTGTGAATAATGTTGCAATGAACATGGGAAGACAGATGTCTCTTTGACATACTGATTTCATTTCCTTTGGACATACACCCACTATTGGGATTTCTGCGTTGTATAGTGGTTCTATTTTTAATATTTTGGGAAACTGTCATACTGTTTTCCATAATGGCTGTACTAGTTTACATACCCACCATCACTATGGAGCATTCCCTTTTCTCCACAACCTCTTCAACACTTGTTATCATTCATCTTTTTCATAACAGCCATTCTAACAAGTATGAGGTGGTATTTAATTGTGGTTTTAATGAGCATTTCTCTGGTGACTTAAAGATGTTGAGCATGTTTTAACATACCAGTTGGCCACTTTTATGTCATTCTTTGACAAATGTCTCTTCGGGTCCTTTGTCCCACTTTTAATCAGTTTTTTTTTCTAATTGAGTTGAATTATTTTTATATTTTAGATATTAACAACTTATTAGATGTTTGGTTTGCAAATACCTGTAGATTGTCTCTTCACTCTGTTAATTATTTCCTTTGCTATTAACACCTCATTAGATATGCCAGTTTGCAATTATATGTAGATTTTCTCTTCACTCTGTTGATTATTTCCTTTGCTGTGCAGAAGCTTTTTTGTTTGAGGAAATCCCATTTGTCTATTCTTTTTTTCATTGCCTATGCTTTTGAGGTTGTGTCCAAAAAATCATTGTCCAGACAAATGTTATGGAGTTTTCCATATGTTTCTCCCCATAGTTCTATAGTTTTAAGTCTTATATTTAAGTCTTTAAACCAGGCGTAGTTGACTTTTGTATTTGATGTGAGATAAGGGTCTAATTTCATTTTCTGCATGTGAATATTTAGTTTTCCCAACTATTTTTGAAGAGACTGTCCTTATTCCATTGTATGTTCTTGACACATTTGTAGAAAATCAATTGACCATAAATGCATGGATTTATTTCTGGGTTCCCTATTCTGTTCCACTGGTCTATGTATCTGTTTCTATACCCATAACATGCTGTTTTAGTTACTATAGTGTATTTTGAAGTCAAATAATTTGATGATTTCGGCTTTCTTATTTTTGCTGATGATTGTTTTGACTATTTGTGGTCTTTTGTGGTTCCCCATGAACTTTAGAATTTTTGTTTCTATTTTTGTGAAAGGTGTCATTTGAATTTTGATAGAGATTGCCCTGAATTTGTAGATCAATTTGGGTAGTGTGGAAATTTTAATAATATTAATTATTTCAGTCCATGATCACAGTGTATCTATTTATTTCTGTTATCTTCAATTTCTTTCACTATTTTTATAGTTTTCAGAGTGGACATTGTTTATCTCCTTAGTTAAACTTATTTCTTTTTCTATTTTTGTTGCTATTACAAATGGAACTGCTTTATTGATATCTTCTTCAGATAGTGTGTTGTTATTGTATAGATATACTAGTGATTTTTGTATGTTGATTTTGTTTCTTGAAAATTTGCCGAATTGGTTTATTAATTCTAGTATTTTTGATGACGTTTTTAGGGTTTTTTACATATAATATTATGCCATCTGCAAACAGAGACAATTTAACTTTTTTTCTAATTACAATGCTTTTTATTTTTTTCTCTTTTCTAATAGCTGTGGCTAGGATTTCCAGTACTATATTGAAAAGAAATGGTAAGAATGGGCATCTTGATTTTGGAGGAAAAACTTTCCATTTTTGCTATGGACTATCATGTTAGCTGTGGGCTTTTTTTTTCATATAAAGCCTTTATTGTGTTGAGACACATTCTTTCTATACCAAATTTGTCAGTTTTTACGATGAAAGGATGTTGAATTTTCTGCATCTATTGAAATGATAATATAGTTTTTGTCCTTTTTTTTAATGCGGTGTATCACATTTAGAGATTTGTGTGTGATAAACTACTCTCTTATTCTGGGGAGAAATCATATTTTATCATAGTGAATAATCATTTTGATGAACTGTTGAATTCAGTTTGTTAGAATTTTGTTGAGGATTTGTGCCTATATGTTCATCTGGATATTGGTCTGTAATTTTCTTTTCTCATAATGTTCTAGTCTGGCTTTGATATCAAGGTACTGCTGGCCTTATAACATGAGTTTGGAATTGTTCCTTCCTCTTCAATTTTTTAAAAGAGTTTGAGAAGGATTGATAGTTATTCTTTAAATGTTTGTTTGAATTCAGTGGTGAAGCCATAAGAACCTGAGCTTTTTATTACTTTTTACTACTGATTCAATGTCCTTAATCATCTCTGGTCTGTTCATATTTTCTATTCCTTCATTATTTAGTCTTGGTCGGTTGCATACCTCTAGGAATTTCTCAGTCACTCGCTATATATTTTGTTTCAGAACTGCTTTTGCTGTATTCCATACGTTTTTGTGTGATGTGTTGCCATTTTCATTTGTATCTAGATATTTCTAAATTTTTCTTTTAATTTATGAATTGACTCACTGTTTATTCAGGAGCATGTTGTTTAATTTCTACATGCCTTAAAATTTTTAAAGTGCTTCCTGTTATTGATTTCTAATTTTATGCAATTGTAGTCAGAAAAGATACTTGATATAATTTCAATCTTTTAAAATGTATCAACTTATTTTTTCAGCCAACATATGATCTATCTGTGAAAATGTTCCCTGTACACTGGAGAAGCTGGGTTTTCTGATGCTATTGTATGTAATGGTCTGCATATGCCTCTCAGGTCCACTTGGTTTAAAGTGTAGTTTATGCTCAATGTTTTCCTATTACTTGTCTAGGTGATCTGCCCGTTGCTGAATGTGGGGTACTAAAATTCACAATTATTACATTACAGTCTATTTCTCCCTTCTGATTTATTAATACTTGCTGTATATATTTAGATGCTGTAATGCTGGATGCATATATATTAAAATTGTTATACCTTCTTGTTAAATTGACGGCTTTTTTATGCGTTAAATTCTGGGGTACAATGGCTTTAACTTCATTCAGATTGTCCCTGACTTACAGAGACTTGACTTACAGTTAGTTTATTGACTTTATCATGGTGTGAAAGTGATATGCATAAAGTACATCCCTTGACTTATGATGAGATTACACCTGGATAAACTCATCATAAGATGAAAATATCATAAGTTAAAAATGGACTTACAATGGATTTAATCAGAACATAATCCCACTATAAGTTGAGGAGTATCTGTATAATGTCCTTCTTGTTTTATAGTTTTTGGCTTGAAGCCTACTTTAAATATAGGTACTCCTGCTCTCTTTTGGTTTTCATTTGCATGAAATATCATTTTCTATCCCTCGCTCTCAGTCTATATGTATTCTTAAAGGTGAAGTAAATCTCTTGTAGGCAGCATATAGTTGAGTCTTTTATTTTTAATCCATTCTACCACTCTATGCCTTTCAGTTAAATAATTTATGGCATTTACATTCCAAGTAATTGTTGATAGATAAGGACTTACCACTGCCATTTTGTTGTTTTCTAGTTGTTTTATAGGTTCTTTGTTTCTTTCTTCCTTTTTTATTGTTTTCCTTTTTGATTAGGTGTTTCTCTCTAGCAGTATATCTTGATTCCTTCTTATCTTTTGCATATCTACTGTGGATTTTTTGTTTATGGTTATTATAAAATATCTTATAACAGACTATTTTAAGCTGATAACAACTTAACTATAATCAGATAAAACAACATTACACTTTTCTATACACCCTCGTTTTAAATTTTTGATGTCATGATTTACATATTTTTATATTGTTCATCCCTTTACAAATTATCATAACTATTGTGATTTTGAAGAATTTTACCATTTAACTTTCATACTAATAATATGAGTAATTTATATACCACCATTACAGTTCTAAAGTATTATGAATTTGACTATGTACTTATTTCTACCAGTGAGTTGTACTTTCTTATGTTTTTGTGTTACTAATTAGCATCTTTTCCTCTCAGCTTAATTTCCTTTAGCATTTCTTGTAAGACAGGACTCCTAGTGATGAGCTCCCTCAGCTTTTTCTCTCAGCTTAAATTCCTTTAGCATTTCTTATAAGAAAGGATTCCTGGTGATGAACTCCCTTAGCTTTGTTTGTATGTTTTAAATTTTTCTCTTTGTCATTTTTGAAGGGTAGATTTGCTGGGTGCAATATTCTTGGTTGTTAGGAGTTTTACTTTCAGTGTTTTGCAGATATCATCCTCTCTGTCAGCCTTTATGACTTCTGCTGAGAAATCTGTTGCCAGTGTTACTGAAGCACTCTTATATATTATTTGCTTCTATTCTCCTTGCTGCTTTTAAGATTACCTTTGTCTCTTTAAATTAGAGAATTCTCTGTTAAATTTCTCATTTTGTCACTTATTATTTTCCTAACTGTATTTTTTTGGGGGGATGTTCTTGAAGTTTGCTGAGTTTCCTTAAAGCAACTATTTTGAACTCTTCTCAATCATTTCATATATTTTCAGTTTTTGGGGATCACCTACTGAAAGATTATTATTTTAGTTGAATTACGTCTTTGTTTTATTTATTTATTTTTTTGCTTTATGTTGATGTTTGTGCATTTGAATTTGAGACTTATTCCAGTACTTGTGAACTGGGTTGTCCGAGAAAGCCTTTCAGCATTCAATTCATCCACAGATTTTGGGCAGGTTCTCAGTTGTAGTTTGGGGGAAGGTTTGCTGCTGAAGCTGTCTGTCAGGTTGTCCTGGTGCCACAGACAGCAGGTAGAACCTGGATCCTCAGGGCTTGTGCTGGAAACTGTATCCACCTGCTTGGGCCTATTGATTGAGCCTATGAATATCAGTTGGAGTCTGGGTTTTCAACTACAGGACTGAAATCTGTGTTGTGTGAGGAGAAGAGGAACAGCCTGATGCCTGGACCTACAGTGTCTGAACTGGTGCTGGAGTAGGGCATGAACTTGAGTCCACAGAAGATGGCCTGGCACTGGGATGGGCCCAGAGCCTGAATTCATGGGAGCAGGCCTGAAGCCTGAATTTGCAGGGGTTATCATAACTACTCAGCCCCTCAGGGCCAACCTGGGACCACTTGATTCACTTGGTGAACACAGACCTTGGCTCTATTAGCACATAGTTGGACTCTGTGTCCTCTGGAGACTATAACCACAAGGACTGATTGGATCCTGGAGCAAGCTTAGTGCTGAGGCAGGCATAAAACTTGTATTCACAGGAGCTGGTCTACAGCCTGAGATTGCAGGTGCTGGCCTGGTACTCAGAGCCACAGAGGGTTACCTGGAGCCCAGGGCTGTGGGTACAAGCCTAGCACTTGAATATGCAGTTGCTGGCCTGGAGACTGGGTCTGCAAGTGCTGCCCTGTGTCTGGGGGCCATGGTTGCTAGTCTGGAACCTGGGTCCATGGGGCCAGTCCAGCAATGGGGTGTACTGGAACAGGCCTGGACTCTGGGTCTGCTGGATTTTAAGGGCATAGGAAACAGCCTGGCATAGTGCAGGCCTGGAACTTGTATTTGCATGTGTCAGCTAGCTGCAGGTGTCACCTCCACTTGCCGGCTTGCCTAAAGGATGTTTCACAGATTCTGGATTTGATGACTAGGTCTGTATGAGCTTGGCTAGTGCTGGGGTGAGCCTGAAGTCTGGGGCTGTGGAGGCCAGCCAGGTGCTGGAAGTGGAAATATACTTATCCCTGTGGTTTTATAAAGACCCCGCTACTCACCCCAGGGCTATTGGGAACATCCTGAAGCCTTATTCTGTGGGGACTGGCCTCACAGAGGGACCTTGTCAGAAACCTGGGACTACTTGGGTCACCCTGGGTGGGTAGGTCCAGAGGCTAAGTCTGTTATGCAGGCATAGAGTCTGCATACTTTATAGTATCACTATTCCTATATTCTTACATTATCCCAATTCCTAAGATGAGGTATCTCTGGTGTCTCCTCTGAGTTTTGTTGGAATTAATGAAGTCTATCCACTCTGGTTAGGCCAGAATTTCAGCACTCAGAGAAATTCAGTAGTTCTTCCCACTTTTATCTTTTTAGAAGTCAATAGGAACCTAACTTGCACATGTGTTGTTCAACTCTTAGCCAAATAAGCCCTTGGAACCCCACCATACACACAGAGACTTCTGGGACCCTCTTCTGAATAGCTCCCTCCTTTCAAGAATGCTGCTCTGCAAATTTCAGTTACTTCAGTAGACCCATCTTGTTGCCTTTTTCACTCAGTGCTCAGTTTGGGCTCTACATCCTGTGACACACTCAGGAAATATTCAAAAGTTAGAGAGCCTGTATTAACTCAGTGTCCGCCTTGTCTCTTTAAATTCCTTCTGTTACTGAATTTTTTTGGGGGGTGAAGAGAACTTTCTTACTCAAGGTCATGCCTCCTTCAGAGACTTTCAGTTACTTTTCTCTGTGCTGTGGGCTTATGTATGTCCCACTACTCGCCCCAGGGAGACAATTATGAAATGTTATCACATCATTAAGCTCCCTACAGAAAATATTGAGCACCCTGGTTCAATTTCTCTCCTTATTCAATCCTGCCTCCTTTCTGTCCTCTTACAAGTTGTTTTCCCAAGAGCACTCTCTACTATACTTCCTACATGCTAATATCCTGGGAAACACTTCTGTGACAAGTATTTCCCTCAAATAATTCTTGTAAAGAATAAATAATGCATGCTAAGTACATACACTATCTGAGCTCATAAACTGCTCTCAATCATTACTTATCACAATTATTATTGAATTCTTATTACTTGAAATGTAACTCACCTTTCAGTTATGGACTATGTTAATTTTTAAATGCAGAAAACTTCGACTGCATCTTTGAGCATTACTTATTTGACTTAGATGCTTTACTATTTTGGATTCAAATTTTCAGGTTAAATGTATTTTTTAAAAAATAAAAATAAGGTAATAACATGGTAAGAGTTATTCTTTCAAAAGAAAAGTAATTCACTTGTGCTGTGAGTGATATAAATACTGTCAATTCATTAGTAAATAAATTATTCCATCAAGGAAGGTAATACTATGTATTCAATATAAACCTCTTGATATTAGAGGCTTATATATTTTATTCCAATGAGTAAAGAGTTTTGCCAATTTTTGTATACAATACTCTTTTCCCTTTACTTAATGTCTTTATTAGACTTTTTATTTGTATTTCTATAAAGAAATCTGGGTAATTTAGGAAGAAAAGAGGTTTAATTTTTCCATGGTTCTGGAGGTTGTACAAGCATGGCACCAGTATCTGCTTGGCTTTAGCTTATAACCATGGTGAAGTCAAAGGAAGAGCTGGCATATCACATGGCAATAAAGGAAGCAAGAGAGAGAGAAGATGGTGTCAGACTTCTTTAAACAACCAGCTCTCACATAAACCAATAGATTAAGAACTCACTTATTACCATGAGGACAGCACGAAGCCCTTCATGAGAGATCTGCTCCCATGACCCAAACACCTCTTACTAGGTCCATCTCTAACATTGGAGGTAACATTTCAACATAGGATTTGGAGGAGATAAAATATCCAAACCATATCACACTTCTCCTATAGGAATTAGTCAGTAAATGTGAATTTATTTTCTCCTTAATCATCAATTATAGTATATGACTTTGCTGCTGCTTGAAATGTTCTCCTTGAATATTACAAACAAATCTATTATTGGTAGCCTTCAGGATTCCACTTAAGTCTCTTTTCTCTCCAAGAAAACATTTTAGACTAATCTTAATTTAGGCAGATATTTATTCTATAATCTCACCAATACTTTTAGTTTCTCTTTTACCTACTTAATCTATAGGATTCTCAATTTCTTTCTCAATCAAATGAATATTTTCTCCTTATACTAACTTCTATCTCTAACAATTGAGAGTTCTACTTTCCCAATAGTAAGAAATTATATTATGAATATCTTTTAGGAGAATTCCATATCATTTTGTTGGCTGTGAGTTCTTTGGCGAGTGATAGCGCAGGGATAATTAGGTTAAGTTACAAATCGTTGGAGTCCTAGTCAATTGTTCTTTGCCGTAGACATAGACTACACCATCAACCCAGGATAAATCATGACAAAAATAAATATTTTGTTTATTAAGAAATGTGGCACTGGGAACAATGGTTCGTGTCTATAAACCTAGCACTTTGGGAGGCTGAGCCAGGAGGATCTCTTGAATCAACAAGGTCGAGGCTACAGTGAGCCATGTTTATACCACTGCACTCCAGCCTGGGTGACAGAGTGGGGCCCTGTCTGATAAAGCAAAAACAAAAACAAAACAAACAAACAAACAAACAAAAACTATGGGAGAGAGAGAAGAGAAATTACTAAGAAAATCTAAAATAAAAATGAAAAAAATTCAAAGATACACAGGGCACCTTTTTAGCCGACAAATAAGAACATTAATAATTTCATGTGTTTTTTTAATCACCTTTGTTCATCTTTCACTAACACTGTATTCATGCTTTCTAAAATAAAGTCATGTAACACAAATCATACATATTCTTTCTTTTTTAGTATGCATACATTTTATTTAGTTAAACAGTCATATATTTCAGTTAAAATCTCTGGGGAACTATAAAACTACAACAATCTTTTCAGAGTTAAAGAAAAATTATGTAGATATATTCCTTCACTACTTTTTGAAAAAAAAGAAGCAAAATGAGCTGTTTGTATTCATAATTTGATATTTACAAAATAACTCTCTTGTCCCCTAGGAGGATCTTGGGAAAAGATTCAGGATGATCAAATCTTTGGAAAGATAGAGGGTCAAAATGACATTTCCTTGAGGCCCAAAGCTGAGGAGTCCAGAGAGTCACTTCTATATTGAAAACTTTCAAATACCTATGAGTTGGCTGAAGTTCAATGATTCCAATGAGATTTTTCCAGTAAATGTGTCATATTCATTTGTTAGTTTAGATAAACAACTACTTTTCTTCATATCCTTGATAAAAGAAATATGGGACTATAGTGAAATAATAACAGCATTCTGTCGCCCTGGATGTTAGCCCAGAATGAGAGTGTAAGCCAATATATATTTCTGTGTAAGGATAAAATAAAAAAAAATCACAAATGCGTTATTGGAATACTAATTATTTTTATTGTGTGATAAGTTACAAACAATAAAGTTTACAAACATTAAGTGCACGGTTGAAAGTTTTTACATTTGTATATATCTATGTGCAACTACTACTTCAGTGAAGATATAGAACATTTCTGGCAACAAAAGGTTCCCAAACAGTAAATCCCACAAGAATAATGTTTCTTCTGACTTCCCCATAGGTTACATTAGCCTGTATTTGAGCTTAGTATAATGGAAATTACAAATTAAAAATTCATTTATAAATTGTTTCCATAAAAGTTGTATGTGATATTCATCTATGTTGCATACAATAATTATTTCTATTCCATGGTTCTGTAATAATGCAATGTACAAATATATCACAATATTTTTACCTATTTTATTATGGGCAGTTGTTTCTGAATTGTCACTATCACAAATGAGGCCATTATTAATATTTTTGAATTTTGGGAGTGAATATAAGCATTCATTTCTGATCCAGGTAAGAAATTGCTGAGTTATACATAGGCTCAACTTTAGTAAGTAAAGTCCACCAATATTTCAAAGCAATTATACTATTTTGCACTTTCAGTAGAATTGTAAGAGAATTCCACTTGCTCTAAATCGTCACTAACAATTGGATTTAAAATTCTTCTTAATTTTAAATATCCTGGTGAGTATTTCTTTCTCAGTGAATTTTAATTTGTATTTCTCTGAAGTTTATTTTGTTGTTGATAGTGTATACAATATACAATTGACTTTTGTACATTGATTTTAACAACCTTGCTAAAGTCACCTATTCTAATAATTTATAACCTTAGTATTTCTAGCTACACAATCATTGTCTGCAAACAATAATCACATATTTCTTCTTCTCTAATCTTATTCCACCTGTATTAGTTTGTTTTCATGTTGCTAATAAAGACATACCTGAGACAGGGCAATTTACAAAAGAAGAGGTTTAATAGACTTACAGTTCTATGTGGCTAGGAAGGCCTCACAATCATGGTGAAAGGTGAAAGGCATGGCTCACATGACAGCAGGCAAGAGAAGAGAGCTTGTGCCGGGAAATTCCCCTTTTTAAAATCATCAGATCTCATGAGACTTATTCACTACCAGGAAAACAGCAGGGGAAAAACTTGCCCCCATGGTTCAATTACCTCCCAATGGGCCCCTCCCACAACACGTGGGAATTCAAGATCATATTTTGGTGGGGGCATGGCCAAACCATATCATTCGGCCCCTGACCCCTCCCAAATCTCATGTCCTCAAATTTCAAAACCAACCAGGCCTTCCCAACAGTTCGGCGAAGTCTTAACTCATTTCAGCATTAACTCAAAGAACACAGTCCAAAATCTCATTTGAGACAAGGCAAGTCCCTTCCACCTGTGAGCCTGTAAAACCAAAAGCAGGTTAATTATTTCCTTGATACAATGAGGGTACAGGCATTGGATAAATATAGCCATTCCAAATGGGGGAAATTGGCCAGAATGAAGGGGCTGCAGGCCCCATGCAAGTCCAAAACCCAGCAGGGCAGTCAAATCTTAAAGTTCCATAATGATGTCTTTTGACTCATGTATCACATCCAGGTCATGCTGATGGAAAAGGTGGGTTCCCATGGTCTTGGACAGCTCTGCCCCTCTGGCTTTGCAAGGTGGAGCCTCCCTCCCAACTGCTTTCACAGGCTGGTGTTAAGTGTCTACAGCTTTTTCAGGCACATGGTGCAAGCTATTGGTGGATCGACCATTCCTGGGTCTAAAGGACGGTGGACCTCTTCTCACAGCTCCACTAGGCGGTGCCCCAGTAGGGACTCTGTGTGGGGTCTCCAATCTCACATTTCCCTTCCACACTGCCCTAGCAGAGGTTCTCCATGAGAGCCCCATCCTGGCAGCAAACTTCTGCCTAGATATCCAGGCATTTCCATACGTGTTCTGAAATCTAGGTGGAGGTTTCCAATCCTAAATTATTGACCTCTGTGCACCTGCAGGCTCAACACTATATGGAAGCTGCCAAGACTTGGGGCTTGTACCCTCTGAAGTCGCAGCCCAAGCTTTAACTTGGCCCCTTTCAGTCATGGCTGGAGCAGCTGGGACACAGGGAACCAAGTCCCTAGGCTGCACACAGCATGGGAACCCAGGTCCTGGCCCACAAAAGCATTTTTTCCTCCTAGGCCTCCAGGCCTGTGATGGCACTAAGTGAAGACCTCTGACATGCCCTGGAGACATTTTCCTCATTGTCTTGGGGAGTAACATTTGGCTCCTTATTCCTTATTCAGATTTCTGCAGACAGCTTGAATTTTTCCTCTGAAAATGGGATTTTCTTTTCTATCATATCGTAGGGTTGCGAACTTTCTGAACATTTATTCTCTGATTCCCTTATAAAACTGAATGCCTTTAACAGCACCAAAGTCACCTCTTGAATGCTTTGCTGCTAAGAGATTTCTTCTGCCACGTAGCCTAAATCACCTTTCTCAAGTTCAGAGTTCCACAAATCTCTAGGGCAGGGGCAAAGTGCCTCCAGTCTGTGCTAAAATATAGTAAGAGTCACTTTTGCTCCAGTTCCCGATAATTTCCTCATTTCCATCTGAGACCTCAGCCTGGACTTTATTTTCCGTATCACTATCAGCATTTTGGGCAAAGCCATTCAAGTCTCTAGAAACTTCCAAAATTTTCTACATTTTCCTGTTTTCTTCTGAGCCCTCCGAACTGTTCCAACCTCTGCTTGTTACAAAGTTCCAAAGTTGCTTCCAAATTTTCAGATATCTTTTCAGCAACATCAAACTATACTGGTGCCAATTTATTGTATTAGTCCATTTCCACCCTGCTGATAAAGATATACCCAAGACTGGGCAAGTTAAAAAAGAAAGAGGTTTAATGGAACTACAGTTACACGTGGCTGGGGAGGCCTCATAATTACAGTGGAAGGTGAATGGCACGTCTCACATGGCAGCAGGCAAGAGAAGAGAGCTTGTGCAGGGAACTTCTTCTTCTTATTTTATTTATTTATTTATTTATTGAGACGGAGTTTACTCTTGTTGCCCAGGCTGGAGTGCAATGGTGCAATCTCAGCTTGCTGGAACCCCCGCCTCCCAGGTTCAAGCGATTCTTCTGCCTCAGCCTCCCAAGTAGCTGATAATACAGGCATGCATCTCCATACCTGGCTAATTATATATATATATATATATATATATATATATATATATATAAATATATAAATATATATAAATATAAATATATATATATATATATTTTTTTTTTTCAGTAGAGATGAGGTTTCACCATGTTGTTCAGGCCGATCTTGAACTCCTGACCTCAGGTGATCCACTCGCTTCGGCCTCCCAAAGTGCTGAAATTACAGGCATGAACCATTGCACCCAGCCTGAAACTCCCCTTTGAAAAACCATCAGATCTCGTGAGACTTAGTCACTATCAGGAGAACAGCGTGGGATAGACTTGCCCCCATGATTCAATTACCTCCCACGGGGTCCTTCCCACAACATTTGGGAATTTAAGATGAGCTTTGGGTGCAGACACAGACAAACCAAATCACCGCCTATTCCACTTTTTGTGCTACTCCTCTTTCTTGAATCAGCTAGGATGTTAAATAAAGAAATGCTGAATATGAATATAGTGGATCTTATTTCTGTTCATGACTGCTGGTTTTCGTTGGGTGTCTTATAGTCTCACTGAGCATATGTGTGAACAAGTTAGGAGACAACTAATGACTCCAGAGGAATCTGAAGGCTGTTTTGGAGCTTGCTTCTCTGTGGTTTCTTCCTCTATCAGTTTGCTCAAGTTTAATTCACTGTGATTATCTGAAATTCTAACCTATGTTTTCCCTGTCAAATTAGTAAGCTATATTTAAGGTAATACTAAATGTTGGTAAATATGCTGTGTGACTCCTTCGTAATTGACTGGTGAGATTATAATTTGACATTCCCTTTCTGGGAGTAAAATTGAAAATGTGAATAAAAAGGTTACTTTTATTCATATCTTATAATCTGGAAATTTAATTTCTAGAACACCCTATGAAAATAATCAGAAGTATGGGTAAAGATTTATGTAATAAGACTTCATAAAGGTGACGTTAATGATGTTAAAAAATGAGGGCAAATTAAATATCTAAATGAGAGAGAAATAGGAAAATTGTGATACATCCCCCAATTCCAACATTTTGTAAAGTAATGTGCATCTATTGCTTTAATTTGATTAATAAAACTTTCTTGATTTCCTTCTTGTGGATACCATTATCTGTTTCTGGGATCTCCCTTTTTCCAGGAGAAGCTCTCATCTACTTAAATGGCTTTCCCTTTCCTTTTGTAGAGCAATGGAAATGGTGTCAATGTGAACCAATAGATTCTCAATACATGTTGAACTGCCATTAGTGGCAGGCAAAAAGAGGAATAAGAAAACTCTTTTTTTTTTTTTTTTTTTGGTAGAGGGTAGATAAATTGTGTAAATAAAGATTTCAAAGCTTACTGAAACATGTCCTCTACTCAGGGCCAGCGACATGGTGCTGAGTACCTAGGACAAAAGAGGGCTCAATGCTTAAATTTCCAGAGGGCAACAGGAGACTATCAAGCCAAATGAAGGATCCTTATGAGCACAGAGGCCTGTACAACTGCAAAGTTCTCATGCACATGACACTAGCCCTGCTTCTGTCATTTTGAGATAAACTGTCAATGGCAAAATTTATAGTCAACTTACAGAAAGATGTAAATATAATTAGTGGTTTAGAGAGTCTGGCTATGGATGGCCAAACTACAGTTCTGCCTTTCCAAGAAAATTAAGCAAATTCATTTGTTTTTACCTAGAGTAGTTACATTTCTGCTAATTGCAACCAGAAGAATCTGAGTATTACACATTATGTTTAGAAAGAGATTAAAATAACCTGGGGAATTGCTAATAATTTAATCTTCAGTAAAAAGAATAAGCAAACACATTCATTCAACAAATATTATTGAGTGTCTCATGTCTCTGACTCTGTTCTAGGCATTGAGGATATAAAAACAAACAAATAAAATTCTAGCCCTTAATATTCTAATAGTGGAACTTAGATAACGTGCAAAATGAATACGTAAGTATGCAGTATGTTAGTTGATAATACATTTTATGGAGAAGTATTAAATAAGAATAAGATACGAAAGGGGAGATTGAGAATTGTTAGAATTTTGTATACCTTTTACATTTTATTCTTTTAGTTCATTCAAAAAGTATTTAATAAGTGTTTAAGTGGTGAGTTAATTATATATAGATATAGAAGCATAAAGCAACAAGCATATTAAATAAATTGATATTTATTTTGACTATCATAGTTACAATATTCAATATTTGGGGTAGACACTAGTGTATGTAGGTATTTGTCTTACACAAAGAACTGCAGATTTTAATTGAAGAAAATGTCAAAAGCAAAAAGGGAAGACAATTTAGAAGGCAGGAGCTCAAATACTGAAAACTGTGGAACAAGAGCATTAGTTAAAAGTACGAACAAAATCAATTGAATAATTCAATAGTCAACCTAGCATTTAACATTTAAAACGACTTGGAGAAAGATCCCAACTCTGCCACTTTTCAGTATGTGGCTTTCAGAATATATTTATGTCTAAATAGTGGTTAGTGGAATGGATGTTCTATCCAAAATTAAAATGTATAATTCAGAAAGATGGAGGATAGAAATAATACATTTTATAGATATGGCAACTTGTCAATCTTATTAAGTCTCAGATTGATTCAGGCATGATTTTGTATCCTGGCTTTACTTTTTTTGAGTCAGTATAACTTTAAACTGACTACACAATTTCTTTAAAGATCCATCTCCTCATCCGTAAAATAAAAATTAAAATAGTACTTTCCACATAGAGTTGTTTGAAATAATTTTGACCTAAAAACTGTGTAAGACACTTTTTGTGTTATTGACACATAATAGACAGAATAAATATTATCAACTGCACCATTAATATTATTATCAATCACTTACATTCCAGATTCTATGATCTCTATTTTATAAAGGTCACTGTGAAGTTTTCAAACAACCATGTAGGACATGTAATATATTTTTGTTTTACAAATGAATACCCTGTAATAAAAAAAATTTGGCAAAGGCCTAATTAGGAAGTGGTGGAACCAAAAATTTAATTTACTTGTACAGTCACCCTTTCTCAAAATATTTTCTGCTGTACTATAAATATATCCAATGATTAGCTGAGATAGTCCTAATTTCAAAATGATTTCAAGTTTCCTCCAGGTTGACTTAAAATTTCAGATTTTGCTTAGCCAGTACTACTTTATGACTACGTTTATCATGTCCATAGTTCATGTACAAAATTGAGTTAAACATTGTGTATATGGGATTACTAATGTCCATGTTAGAGTAAATCTTGCATAGATGTACTATAATAAATATACTTTCCTATGAATTGTTGGGTTTATCTTTTTATAACATATATATGCAAATTATAATTATTTTCACATTCAAGCTGTGCACTCTAGATCACAATTAACCAATTTAACAGTTAGCTCTGTGACTCAGACTAATGCAATTTCTATTTATAATGCAGCAGCAGGAATAAAAATTTTGAAACCCCCATAAAATAAATGCTTTCCATAGCTATAAAACAAAAGTAAAATAAAAAAAAATCAGCTCATTACAAAGTTCTGTTTGAACAACACAACACCACATTTTTCCCAGCAAAGTGTCCTTTAGGACTGAGTAATGTATGTCAAACCTGAATTTTTATTTGGAGAAGCATCATGTAACAGACTGCTAAATGGCAGCAATAATAATGTACTTCACAAAAACCACCTAATGTCTTAGCAAATCTTACTGCAACTTTTATTTCTAATAAAACAAGTGTTTCCCAAGTTTTTTAAAAATTTAAACAAAGTTTAAAGGTCAATTAAAAATCATAATTTAATCCCTTTTGAATAGGCATGTAAATATCCCATTATTGTTAAACAACTATATTCCAAAAGACTTTTAAAATTATAAAACATTGTAGCTTCAGAGCTTTCATTGTTTTATGTGTATATGCAATTATTCTCACTGTGTACCATCAGTTCTTCACAATGTTTTTCTACTGTTTTCTCTTTCATTCCCACTGCAACCACTTAATTTACTTCATTTACAGGCTACATAATAATCCCCACCCTGTCACTAGTCTCTTCCCCTTTCAATCCATTATCTATATAACTGCCAGTTTAAACTTCCTGATTTATGTATCTTTGTCACATCACTTCTCAATTTAAAACTTAAACAGGCCAGGCACAGTGGTTTACGCCAGTAATCCCAGCACTTTGGGAGGCTGAGATGGTTGGATTGCTTGAGACCAAGAGTTTGAGACCAGCCTGGGGAACATGAAGAAACCTCCTCTACAAAAATTAACAAAGGTTAGCCAGGTACAGTTGGCATGCGCTAGTAGTCTCAGCTACTCGGGAGGCTGAGGTGGAAGAATTGGTTGAACCCAGGATGTGGAGGTTGTAGTGAGCTGTGATCATGCCGCTGCACTCCAGCCTGGGCAACAGAGGGAGAGCTGTCTAAAAAAAGAAAGAAAGAAAAAAATAAAGAAAGAAAAACAACTTTCACACTACCTAAAAGATGAAGCTGGAAATTTTGAACCTAGCATTTAAGCCCGAAATATCCTTTACCTACTTTGAATTACGTTAAAAAAAAAAAAAAACCTAATATGAGAAAAACTAACTCAGTAATAGTTTCTTAAAGGCTTTGTTATTCCTAATCTTCACATTATTTTTATTGCTTTTACCCCTTATGCAGGAAAATACCAAAACTGTTTTTTTTTTACCAGTCTCTACCAAGCACCTAACATCATGTGAGACACAATATGTCTTCAAAATTATTTTAGAATAGTAGAAAGTGTAGGGCAAGAAGAAACCTATCTATCTTTTTTGTTTGTTTGTTTGTTTGTTTTTGTTTTGTTTTGTTTGAGATGGAGTCTCGCCCTGTCGCCCAGGCTGGAGTGCAGTGGCGCAATCTAGGCTCACTGCAAGCTCCACCTCCCGGGTTCACGCCATTCTCCTGCCTCAGCCTCCCGAGTAGCTGGGACTACAGGCACCATCTTTCTATTAGTGAGAATCAAGTTGAAATCCACAATCGTGTGTGTTCCCGGTAAGACTCTTCTATCTTCTCCTATGTCAGTCCTCAGACTTTCTAACAATATCTGCCTTGAGGAATGATATGGTTTGGCTAAGTCCCCACCCAAATCTCACCTTGAATTGTAGTTCCCATAATCCCCACATGTCATGGGAGGGACCCCCGTGGGAGGTAATTCAATCATGGGTGTGCTTACCCTCATGCTGTTCTCGTGATGGTGAGTGAGTCCTCTTGACATCTGATGGTTTTATAAAGGGCTTTTTCCCCTTTTCCTTGGCACATCTTGTTGCTGTCATGTGAAAGATGTGTTTGCTTCCCTTTCCATTATGAGGTAAGTTTCCAGAGGCCTCCCCAGCCATGTTGAACTGTGAGTCTATTAAACCTCTTTCTTTTATAAATTACACAGTCTTGGGTATGTCTTTATTAGCCTTGTGACAACAGATTAATACAGTAAATTGATACTGGGAGTGGGGCACTGCTATTATAACACCTGAAAATGTGGAAGCAACTTTGGAACTGTGTAACAAGTAGAGATTGGAACAGTTTAGAGGGCTCAGAAGAAGACAGAGACATGTGGGAAAGTTTGAAACTTCCTAGAGACTTGTTGAATGGCCGTGACCAAAATGCTTATAGTGATATGGACAATAAAGTCCAGGCTGAGGTCATCTCAGATGGAAATGAAGAACTTGTTGGGAACATGAGCAAAGGTGACTATTGGTTATGCTTTAGCAAAGAGACTGGCAGCATTTTGCTCCTGCCCTAGAGATCTGTGGGACTTTGAACTTCAGAAATATGATTTAAGGTACCTGGTGGAAGAAATGTCTAAGTAGTAAAGCATTCAAGAGGAAGCAGAGCATAAAATTTGAAAAATTTGCACCTCGACCAAGCAATGGAAAAGTAAAACCCATTTTTTTCTGGGGAGAAATTCAAGCTGGCTGCAGACATTTGTTTATGTAACAAGGAGCTGAATGTTAATCACCAAGACAATGGGGAAAATGTCTCCAGGGCATATTGGAGAACTTTGTGGCAGCCCCTCCCATCACAGACCCAGAGGCCTAGTGGGGAAATTGTTTCATGGGCTGAGTCCCTTCTCATGTTGCTAACAAAGACATACAAGAGAGACTGAGTAATTTATAAAAGAAAGAGGTTTAATTGACTCACAGTTCAGCATGGCTGGGGAGGCCTCAGGAAATATACAATTATGACAGAAGGTGAAGTAAACACATCCTTCTTCACATAGTGGTAATAAGGAGAAGTACTGAGCAAAATGGGGGAAAGGCCCTTTTAAAACCATTAGATCTTGTGATAGCTCACTCACTATCATGAAAACAGCATGAGGGTAACTGCTGCCATGATTGAATTACCTCCAACTGGGTCACTCCCAGGATACATGGGGATTATGGGAACTACAACTCAAGATGAGATTTGGGTGGGGACACAGCCAAACCATATCAAGGATCATCAGTTTTAATCTATGCCCTCCATTTATGCTCACTTATAAGAATCTCTCAGAACTTCCAAGGCATATTCCACCCAACTCTAATCTTCATACTTTTTTTTTTAACATTTATTTTTGTCACAGTGAGCCTTAAACTTTCCTACTTTGCGTTCAGAATTAAGATTTTAGTCCTCCTCAATAAAGTGCTTATATCTCAAATCCTTCTACTAGTATTGTTTACTTTCTTCCTCCAACCTAACAGTATCTACACTAATGACATTAAATGCTCCTTGTAGACTATTAAGGCCATTTTGTTTCTGCCACAATATGCATTCCACTAGCACAGAGCGGTCAATATGTCCTACCTGTCTTCATTGCTGCATCTATTCCATGTTCCATTTCTCCTCCCTTAAATAACTCAGCTTATATCTTATATTACCAAATTGTATCACCTCATATTAATTTTACAGTCATTTGCCTCTCCTTAGAACAACCCTCCACCTTTCGTCACTCTAGTTATTAGAACACTGCTGCTCTCTTCCACATTATTTCTGTTATCATATGTTGTGATTCAACACCCATAAAATATAATCCTTTCAGAATCCAGCCTCTCAGTTCCAGACCTCCTCTTCTCCAATGATTGTGTTTTCCACTTTACCTGAGGCCCCTTACTTGTGGTCAGATACTCAAATTTGCTATTATTATATAGGTTAATGTTTCCACAATCTTAGTTTCAAGCATCCTACTCTCTGATTGCTTTCAACTCTATCCAATTTTCTCTAATATCTCAACTTTAGAAAATATTAAACCTTAATATTTTTACCCACCGTATCGTCCCTGACCCTAACCTCCACATTTTCTTACATTCCTCCATTTGAGTATGCAGCTTGTATACATGGTAGTGATTAATGTGGTAATTAATGATGTTTTAAAGGCAAAAAAGTAAAATTCAGATGCCAGAATGCAGTCAGCATTTTTATTAACTGTCTCTCTTTCCTTCTCTCTCTTTTCTCTCTCTCTAACTATATCTATATAATACAAATATGAAAATGCATATATGTATATTATACACATATGCATACATATGTATATAATTCCTAGCACAAAATACATACACATCATACAAATAGTGAAAAAAGAATCTCAACAATATAACTGACAAAAGGTTATCATTCTGAGTATATAATTTATTCAAAATAATAAGAGAAAGCACAATATTTTATCTTGTAAGCACTACAACAAAATGATCAGAAGCATAGGTCTAGGGGTTAGTTAGATTTCATATTCTAGTCAAAATCTGCCATTTGCTATATGATGTTACTTTAGAAAACTGTTTAAAGTCTCTTACCCTCAATTATTTTTAAACTTTCTTAACCTCAGTTTCTAATGATGATAATTGTACTTACTTAATGGAACCTTTTAAGGCACTATGCCAAATGGATAGTGCATGGTAATGGGTAACCACTCATTAAATATTTCTTCTACCATTGCTAAAATAAAAAAGTAACTTTATCTAAATATTGAATTAAAATAATTATTATCAATCTTCCATAAGTAATATATATTAATTTATTTTATTTTTATTGGTGGATAGTATTTAATTATAATGAGATTAAATTTTGTTTATTTATTACCCTATTGATGAGCATCAAGGTAGATTTTAATTGTATCCTGTAGCAAGTAATGGTATACATGTTTCCTAATGCATGTGTGAAAGATTGTCAGATTTTTTTTTTTTTGCAATAAAATTGCTGGGCAGTATAAATTGTACATGTTTACATTTGTTCAATATTAGCAAAACTATATCCAAAATGTTGGTTCTAATTTCTTCTATCAGCAACACACAAACATCTTCTTGCTCTACATATTCATAAATACTTTGTATTGTCAGCCTTTAAAACCACTGATAGTCTTATACAAGTGAATTGTTACCACATTCAACTTCTAATTTATAACTTTTTAAATCATCATTTTGAGCTTTTTATGGAATAATATATCTATTTTGATTAATCTTCTCTGAATTGCCTATTTATAATTTTTACATAATGTTCTCTTATCTTTTTTTGTTGTTGTTTATTTACCAAAGTTGAAGCCTAGTCAAGAAGAGGGCTCAGATAGTCTTATACAAGTGAATTGTTACCACATTCAACTTCTAATTTATAACTTTTTAAATCATCATTTTGAGCTTTTTATGGAATAATATATCTATTTTGATTAATCTTCTCTGAATTGCCTATTTATAATTTTTACATAATGTTCTCTTATCTTTTTTTGTTGTTGTTTATTTACCAAAGTTGAAGCCTAGTCAAGAAGAGGGCTCAGAGAAGCTTGACTAAAGTTTCATGAAGAGAGTCTCTGTCAGTGGTGGGTCTTTGATTCTCAAGGAAGCTGTCAGAAGCTTCATCTAACTTCTCTTCCACTCTACTTTCTTCTGGGGAAGAAGTGACCCAACAATTTGATCTAATATTTGTGAGTTTCTATTGTGTTCCTCATTGTGGTCTCATAAGTTTTTACTGCCTTGTTAGTTCTTTGCCTTCGAGCACTCATTTTACACTGTGTTGGCTTTCTAGTGGTTCTCAGAAGAACATACACAACAGTGCTCATTTTTGTAAGGCTAAGGGGAATGATGGGAGTGGAGGTAAAAGGTAAAGTAGAGCCAAGAACAACTAAAAAGGATAGCCTGGGGAGTCCCTTCTAGGAATAAAAATTGGGTATAGCCAAACAATATTCCTTAATCCCTTGCAGAAGTCCCTTATAAAAACTGTCCAGCAAGATCCCAGAATTTCTACAAATAATGAATGCAGTATGACTTCCATGTTACTCTTTCTGAATAGGGTAGGAGTGGGACGGTGTTACTTAGATTTTTCCTCTTCAACCATTAGGTATTAGTATGCAAAGCATCGGTAGTTTGTCACTTTATTGCAAATTCACTGCATTAGTAGTGTTCATATATGGTGTAAACCAGAGAATTCTGAACACCACTCAGAAAGTCTGGCCTTGAAGTCTAATGCTATGATGTGTGGTGCTTTGAATTAGCTCTCTCAGTAAGAGGGTAAGTGTATTTTGTTTTTGTGAAGAATAACTTAATCTTTATTGATATGAAAAAGAACTGTAATAGTAATTAAAATTATTTGTAAATATTCCCATTTTTTCTCTCCTTCTAGGCCTGATAATATTGAACATCCTTGCATCCATTAAAGTTTACTGTTCTAAGACTTACTTTAACCAAGGTGAGTTTAAGATTTTAGAGACAGTCCAAAATAGTGGAAATAGCAGCATACAGACTCTAAAAATTCTCTTTTCTGTTAAGCAAGTAATCTGACTCTCCCACACTCCCCCAAAAATCAGACTATTTAGAACTCTGGACATTTACCAAAGGCTTGCAGGAATCTGAAGATAGTTGTATATTGGTACAAACAGTGAGCTTTATTGTGTCCTAAATTGCCCTGGTCCCATCCCCCACAATCCAGCTCTTCAGTAGCCTTAAAAATTAGCAGCCTCCAATCACACTGAAAAAACAACAGCCTGACAAGCACTAGAGAGAGCAAAACAAGGTCATAGCTTCTTTAAAGCCATAGTTCAGAAAACTGACATTACTTGACCTCTCTGTTGGTTACCTGGAATACCCCATTTTCCAACCCGTCTGTATTTGACCGGTTTGGAGCTCACCCAGGGCAAAAAGTCTTTTCTACAGAGGAATTTGTTGAAAACAACTGTAGGAAATTGTTTCTTTGTGGCTGCCTGAGCAGTGCAGTTGGGACAATCAGTAGTCTAAACAAAAAGCTTAAAAGAAAAGGTGAGGAATTAGATATACATAGGGTCTTGGTAAAGCCCTACATATTCCTGGGATTCTGGAAGACTGCACACACATATAGGTTTGTAAACATGTTCAGAAACCTATGAGTTGCACACATATTCACAAAAGACCTGAGAAGGGCCTAAGATCTAACCTCTAGCAGACCTTGAGGTTCTGTGCAAGCAGGAACTGAAGGCTAAGGCAGAGTTGTCAACTGTCAATTTGAGTGACGAAGGCATGTCCCCAGCATGTACACAGAGGACCTTAGCAAAGACTGGGAAGTTTATTGGCTCCAGTCGATTAAAGAAATCTCTGTCTGATCATTATCTAAATATTAAGCTAACTGAGGAGAGACTTCATTGGCCACATTAGAGAAATAATATAGACCTTATATAATTAGATCAGCAAATTCAGAAAACAAACAACAATAATAGGGGAGGAGAATGGATCTGATTTCAAAATGGACACATAGAACCATTTTAAACATCGAGATTTCAGGAAGAAATTACAAGGTATACAAACAGAGTGGCAAATCACTCAGACTGCTTCACTGTTGAATTCTACTAAACATTTCAGCAAGTAATACCAATCCCTCATACGCTCTTCCAAAAAACAGAATAGGGGGGATTATTTCCCAACTAATTATATGACTCCATTATTACCCTGATACCAAACTAAACACTGACACCACAAAAATAGAGAGTGCATAATTTGCCCCAATTTCCTGCCCATGTCATTGTTCTGATTTTTGCTCTGTATGGTGGATACTGGGAGTGGAAATATACAAAAGATGCCTCCTCTCATACTGGCATACAATGAACTTGTACTGAGTAGAGAAAATAAAACTTTCTTTTTATTAGACAATAAGATAACAATGTTGTTTACATGGTAGCATTACTTTGATTATCTTGACTGCAAATAGTCATCTCCCCTTTTAATCTTATTTTTTTGTCATTTTATTTTTTAATTTCTCCATTTTATATATGTATATATTATATACATGTGTGTACATGTATGTGTGTATATATGCATATATGTGTGTATGTTTATATACACATACACATATACATGTTACACACACACACACACACACACACACACACACACACATACATCCTTTTTAAGCCTGTTTACCATAAGCTATGCTTTCCTGTGTTCCACTGAGGATGCCATTATTTCTTAAAATTTTCTTCTGGGTCCCATTAGAGAAATTCTTTTGAGGTATTCTTTCTTTGTATTTTATAAATATAATTTTCTTTTATCATTTCACCATAATTTTGCTATGAATCAATAGAATTTTTCTCTGTATTAAAACACTATAAAAGGTTGTTAACAAACATGTGATACTAGCTATCATTGAATCTAAATGAACTACCCTAAAACTCAGGCAACTTAAATAATTATTTATTATATGAGACAGCAATTACAGCATAACAAACCATTCCTAAACTTGGTGTCTTATAATCATAAGTCATGAGTTTGCAGGTCAGAGATCTAGGCTATTTTTTACTTGGTAGTTCTTCTGGCATCATCTGGGCTTTCCCATGTGTCTACATTTGAATTGTTAGATGAATGTCATGATCTTCCTTGCGCTCTCCTACTTTTCAAGGCTTCAGTTGGAATGCAATATATTCAGAACCACCTGATGCAATGTGAGAGACCAAAATAGATAACCTTTTATCAAGTAAAGAGGAACCCCCAAGGTTAAGGAAACAAAGGTTGTCTACAGTTTGAGGGTCCAGGATCCAGCTGAAAAGGCAAATTTCTAAATTCCTACGCCTACAAGAAAAACCACACCCTTTTTTTAACTCCCTCAAAACAGGAGCTGTCAGGCAAATTATCAGACCCCTTCTAACTTTGTTTTCAACCCAGACCACTGTGACACTAATTGGACAGACAATGGCCTTACAAATATTATTTTCTAATAAGTAACTGCAGATTTTAGCCAGTTTCAGCGAGCTTTTAGAGGCTGTACATAAACTGTCTTTGTTTCCAATAGTTCATCTTTTGATATAAAGAGCCAAATTTCACCTAATTTTAATGCTAAAACCTCACCCCAGAGTGAACATGCAATGTATGCTGCATATGTGTTTACCTATTGTGCATGCTGTCAGTTTCCTTCATTAACATGTGTAGCTTTTCCTCCAAACCTGCTGAATATGTAAGACTCTCTTGAGTTATGCTGGCCCTGTGAGGCATAAAACCCAACTTGCCCTTCCGCTCTTTGAAGAGAGAGCATCTTCTGTCCATGCCAGAGACTATTTCTTCCTTGTTTGCAAACTGATATCGCCAATAAAGTTGGTTTTCTACTATTTAGCCATCCTTAGTGTCTATGGACAATAGTGATTTTTTATTCTTTAGCAGGCTGCCCTTTGTTTGTCACATAATGTGGGAGGGCCTTCAGAGGATAAGCAAAAGTGATCTGGGCTGTCAGCAGGCACAATTTACTTCCGTCATGTCACATTATTGATCAAAGAAAACATTTAAGGAGTAAGAAAATATATTTTTTTGATAAAAGGAGTTGCAAACTCATTACAAAGGGATGTGGAACAAGGAAGAGTACGATTCAATTCATTTTTCTAAATAATGTACCAAATTTATCCTTATAGCTTACATAATTATGAGTTGATTGGGTGTCAGCTTATGTAAGCTGGGCTTGGGTGATTTTGGTTCATGCATCGTGTAACTAACACCTAAGAGCTGTTTTCTATTTCTCATCTTCCTTGTGGGACATAAGGACCGTCTCAGCATCTCTTCATTATAGTGAGGGTAAATACACAAGTGAAAATGTGCGAGAGATCTACAGGGCCTTGGATTGTAGTGAGGAAGTCGTAGCTTAGACTGACAGTGACCCCTATATAATATAAGCTGACTTGCATCTTTCTCATGTTCCCCTGGCCCTGGAGTCATGAATAAATACACTACTTGATCTCCTTTGCTCACTGTTTTCCACTCCAACACTGAAGCTGTGCTAAAGGGAGTAAGGGGTATCTGATAGTCCCCTATCCATGTAATGTTTATTTCCACTTCATGTAGAAGATGTGGAAAACAAGACTTAAACACAAACAAGTAATTTACATGTAAATATGTTACCCAATATGTAGCCTTGACTCCCAGAATAATTTTATGCAATATGAGTCTTTTTAATAGGACATGAATAAATGTTTTTACAAAGCAGAATAAATTTTGGCTATTTTATAATGAAATTATTGATTTTTATTTGATATTTCAGTTAGATTATGGATTAATATTTGAGTTTATGACAAGTTTTATAAACTGGTCTTCGATTTTTCAGAAGAAAAGACATATATGAATATGTTTGCAATGGCCCTATTTGACAACATTGAAAGGAAGTTTCAATTTTACTTTTCTTTGTGAGAGATGGACAAAATGCTTTAGGAACTTGGAAGATAATTTTATTTTTCTTCGCTACATTTTCAAGTAGTATAGATTTATAAAAATAATATTTTTGTTTGTTTATGTGGATCTCTCCATGGTCAATTAAGATGCACAGAAGCAGAAGTACTTTATTTTATTCACTGTGATCCACTCAGTCTTATTTCCAAACAGAATAGAATTATTAATATTCAATATTTTTTTACCCTTTCTTAAGACAGATAATAATGTTGTAAGTCCCTGATCTCCCGTTTTAGACTCTTTCCTCCCAAGAAAAAGATTATACCAAATAAGGCTATAACTAAGGCAGTATTTCTTTCTTATGCCTTCCTCCTTTCCTTCATTTCTTCTGTTGTTATTGCTGTTGTTTTTGTTGTCCTGTTGTTGCTTCTAAGAGTGTGTGGAGTAAAATAATATTAGAAAGAGCCATAGAATATGTTGGGGAGAAGTAGCCACAGGATCACAGTGTGGTTGAAGCCATGTAATTATAAGGTATTTTATTTTGTTACCTTGTCTCTCAATGTTGTGAAAATGGTATAGTAAGTAATACAGTAACCAACAAGGCAAGCATCCTAAACTCTTCTAAGTACTTAGCAATTGACATAACGCGTCAACTTACACAGATGAATTAAGCTTTCTCTAGGTATGCTTCTCCATCTGTGAAACGGGGGCTAAAATGTTTGTCATAAGGTCACCATAAAGTTTCAGACATTAATGAGATAATATTCTCAGGATCTTTTGAGATTTTAGATATTTATGGGAAAAGAAAAAGCAAACAAATAGAAAAATATTAAGGATATAATTTTCAGGCATATAATTTTTTTTACATAAACTTTAACATATTTTAAATTTTTAAAATTATAATGTTATATACATAAGTACTACTTGACCAGTGTTTATTCATTTAATTCAAACTTAGCAGAATAAATATAAAACAATGAATTAAAATTCATTGAAAATACATCATTCACCAAAGTTTTGAAAAGTTTTGACAAGTTATGACAAATTTTATGCATATAGATGTGAGACTCATTGAACTACTTCATGTTAAATGCCTACAGTGTATAGCATATAGTACATACCTAATAAATATCAGCTAATACAATGTTTATTATTGGTTTTATTATTTGTCACTACATTCATAAAAATTCAGCCTACCTGAATTTCACCAAGATTACCATGGAAATTTTTTTAACTAATTTTTTTTTTGTGTGTGTGACTGAGTCTCGCATTGTCACCTGGGCTGGAGTGCAGTGGCTTGATTTCAGCCCACTGCAACCTCCACCTCCCAGGTTCAAGCGATTTTCCTGCCTCAGCCTCCTGAGTAGCTGGGACTACAGGCACCCGCCACCATGCTCAGCTAATTTTTGCATTTTTAGTAGAGATGAGGTTTCACCATGTTGGCCAGTATGGTCTCAATCTCTTGACCTTGTGATCTGCCTGCCTCGGCCTCCCAAAGTGCTGGGATTACAGGTGTGAGCCACCGCGCCCAGCCTAAACTAATTTTTTTATTATTATATACTAACCTTTTAGTCTGCTTCTTCACATTATTTTCAGCCATTAATTTTTTAAAGCACTTTCTGTTTAAATTCAAAAATAGCTTAACATTTTTGTCAGTGGAAATGAACTCTATGGGACTAATGAAAATAAATAACACATACTTAATAATCATTATAACAGCGGCAGCTTTTGTGAATGGTTGAATAAGTTATGTACTGTCTTAGTCTGGGGAGCTACAACAAAATGCTATAAGTTGAGTGGCTTGTAGACAGAAATTAACTTCTCACAGTTCTGGAAGCTGGGAAGTTCAAGATCAAGCCAATGGAAGATTTGGTGTCTGATGAAGGCCCTCTTGTTAGCTCATAGTTGGCACCTATTTGCTGTGTCCTCACATGGTGGAAAGAACAAGACAGGTCTCTGGGACCTCTTTTAGAAGGGAACTAATCCCATTCATGAGGCTCTTTGGGAGGAGGACTCACCTCCCAAAAGCCCCACCTCCTAACACCATCACATTAGTGGTTAAGTTTCAACATATGAATTCTGAGGTGACATAACCATTCAGCCCATAGCACTTATTATGAAGCATATTTATCTACTTCCAGCACATATAAAATCAGTCATAAAAGTCTTGCATTGAGAAGTAGAATTTAATTGGGCTGGAAAGATGTAAAAAGAATTTGTTGTATTTGGCTTTTAAATTTATTATTTGTAATGATAGAATAAACACACTTTAACAAAAAAAATCTAATATATCTCTCAGTGAATGCGGTAATCACTTTTCTTCTTAAACTTGAAACATTTCTGTTTTTTTTTTCTTCCAAGATTAGATGAAAATCTATCCTTTCTACATATTTCTTAAGTTGGGGAACAACTACTTTACAACGATATAGACAACTTTCTCTCCAATTCATTCACAAGTACACAGGGAATAATATTTTTAAACTATTAAAACCAATATTTGCTTCTTGTGAAGTTTAGATTATTGACCATTTCAGTTTTTCTAGTATCTATTAGTCAATGGAAATATTCTGTTAAGAAAAATATATCTCTTGATAATATTGTTTCTCCACAAGTTGAGTATACTTGTGTTTACTTCTTGATAACTCTTAATTCTCATTCAAATGCTATTTTTACATCGTGAAGCACCTATGCATTGGCAGGAGCACTGAGTGTTACAGTTTTCTAATTCCTTATTGTTTTTTTTTCTGTGAAAGTACACAGCCATTTATTCACATCATATATTCATGCAGTTACTAATATAATATTCACCCTTTTATATTATACTCTTAGTTTACAAGCTAAAGGTTATTTGCACTGCACTTCATCTTATCATCAGTTTCTTCAGCCAAACAAGTGGTTGATTTCCTTTCAGGAAAATGTTGTTTCTAAAGCAAACATTTTTACGACTTGCTGGAGATTCTGGAAATGCAGCGGACTAACAGAGCCTGATTGCAATGCATATGCTGGGTAGTTTGCTAAGTTCAATCATTACATGACAAACTGCCTTGACAATTTTTAAGTATGTAAAACTGAATTCTATGCCTCAGCAAATATTGAACTTATTATATGCTATGAAATTTTGATGGCATTCTGGATTAGTTAAAATATTTAATGATAAATATGTGATGACACTGGCTTACTGCATAGGAAAGTTGAAGAGGTAAAAACTAAATATAGAAATAAACCAACTCCATGTACAATATAATGATTGTAAAAATAGAGAAAAAGATGAGAGATAAGTATTTGATTATTAAGGTTTCTAATACTTGCCTTTAAAATATTGTAAATTCAAGGCTCTTTTTTGTTGACTCAAGGAACCCATACTGCTGATTTTCTTTTCATCACTGAAATATTTTATTATAAAGAGTGCTTCACCACTCAAATATATGTCTCAACATCTCTATACAATATTTGAGACATCTCAACATTGTCTTAACATGTCTCTGTAATAAATACTACATTCCAACACATGTACATTACAGATATATCACTGAGTACATCAAAATAGAGCACATTAATTTCCATATTTCACATGGTCTTGATTCATGACTTTAGTTAAAATATTTGATCCAATGTGATTTATTGACCCTAGAGGGGTGGAAATACTTGGTTGTGCATGATAGAGTTATTTTCATGATCATAAACACATGTACTTGTACTAAGAAATCAAATATAAGTAAAGTTCGCAAATTGCCCTCAAAGAAGCAGACTGTGTATAGAGGAAAAAAAAGTTGGAAGTATCAGACTCCAGCTCAGAAGAATTAGTTTAAAAATAACCTTATTAACCATTATGAAAGTAATTTAATATTTAAAATCTAGTTGATATAGCATTAATATTTGTCTTTTTTTTTTTTTTTTTTTTTTTTGGGGGGACGAAGTCTTGCTCTGTCGCCCAGGCTGGAGTGCAGTGGCGCGATCTCTGCTCACTGCAAGCTCCGCCTCCCGGATTCACGCCATTCTCCCACCTCAGCCTCCCATGGAGCTGGAACTACAGGCGCCCGCCACCGCGCCTCCCTCTTTTTTTTTTTTTTTGTATTTTTAATAGAGACGGGGTTTCACCATGTAGCCAGGATGGCCTCGATCTCCTGACCTCATGATCCGCCCATCTCTGCCTCCCAAAGTGCTGGGATTACAGGCGTGAGCCACCGCGATGGATTGTTAGTCTGTCGCCAGGAGTGCATTGGTGTGATCTTGGCTCACTGCATCCTCCACCTCCCAGGTTCAAGCGATTCCCCTGCCTCAGCCTCCTGCCTCCCGATTAGCTGGGACTACAGGCGTGCACCACCACGCCCAGCTAATTTTTTTTTTTTTTTTTTTTTAGGAGTTTAGTAGAGGCGAGCTTTCAACATATTGGCCAGGATGGTCTCAATCTCCTGCCTCGGCCTCCCAAAAGTGCCTGCCTCGGCCTCCCAAAGTGCTGGGATTACAGGCATAAGCCGCTGCACCTGGCAATATTTGTCTTTCTTAATGTGATAGAAACTCTTTTAGTATGACTAAACATATCCATCATAATAATAGGCAAGCAATAACAGACTAATAATAGTAGACTCTGACATAAATAGAACTACCAAGAAAAAGTAGCAGTCTAATGGAAAATTACCAATGTGATCTGATTGGATTTCTTTCTTATTCCCTTCTTGCTTTTATATACTATTTTTTACTTTACTCAAGGAAATATATTTTCCCAAAAATATCAGTTAGAATTAATTTAATTTAATTTTCACTATCCACCTGGAGACAGTTTTCTTTTCATTTTATTTATCAGTTATAATTCAGTTCTAACCTTACTTTGTTATTGAATGCTCAGCCTAGTTAATCAGATAATCTTTCATAGAAATAGCCTGCCTTTAATCTTTTAAAGTGTGTCAGCTGAATTCTATTTATTTTCAGCTCTTGGAATATGCTTATAAATGATAAATGACCAATTTCCCTCCTATTTTTTACATTAGTTTTCTTAGTTGAGAAATGGTTCAGCTGTGGTGGCATTATCTATTTAAAGGATTAGATACTTTTTATTATCTATATAAATTAGTCTATTTATGTAGAGGTTTCAATATAACCATAAAATTCTGGGAAATTAAAGAACATTTAATTGCACATTAAACACAATATTGAACTGAGGTGCAGTAGAGACATGGCTAATATTGAATGTAAAAAGAACTAAAATTGGCCTCATCTCTGGTTATGATAGAAATGCACAAATTGACATCAATTCGAATTACATAAGTGAGGTTTTTATGTGTATGTATTCATGTGTAAGAGATATTGAAGAGCATACTTTGTCAATGTCATTAATCTAGTGCCTAGATCCACATAATAATAATAATAATAATAATAATCTAGTGCGGAGATCCACATATAGTAGTAAGAATGACATTTAGGACTAAAACAAAACTTCATATCTAATATGTCCCTTTCAAATAATGATTTATCCTTCCTTTTCCCAGTTGGTTTCTTCCTTCTGCCTGTCTTTCCTCTCTTGCTACTGTGTTGCATTGTCATGCTACATACTTCTTAAGTCAGCACATCAAATAACACACTATACACAAATGTATATTATTACTCACATTAATATTACTGTCCCTCTTTTTGGCAGAGCAATCCAGTATATTATGTCTTCAATTTCAGAGAATATGAATAAGTTTTGCTTCACTCAGATTTTCCATTCCTATAAACGTTAACAGAGAAGTACAAAAGTATGCTGGGTCTTACAGATTTTTTTTTTTTAAACTTCCAAACTACTGTATTATATGATATAGTATTGTTGCACTTGTTTTTTAGCTATCTCCAAAACAATATGGCTAAGTTCACAACGTAAGCTTAAATCTATAAATCTAAATGTAAATGTCCCAGTATAACGGCATATTCAATTACTAAATCCCCTTCTCAGTGTCTCTCTCAATGCTGTCACCACCGGAGTAATAACAAAATGAAACATATTTCTAGGTTGTTATTTAAGGTGCAAGTTCCAGCATCTCTGCTTCTCCTGATATCATGATACACTGAATATTTGGAGTCATGCAGAGCCATGTTATACATTATGTTCCTGTAATATGCTGTTGGAATGACTCAAGGGAAACATTCTTTTAGAATCTAATTTTCCTTATTGTTAAAAAACAAAAAGAAACAATGTGTGTCTTGTATCCTGTGTCTCCAGGATCATGTATTTTCAGTTGTGGGAGGATTTTCTGATCTCATTAGGCAGACAGTCAAGGATTATTTACTTTTATAGGTGATTTCTTATCAACCTAAAAATCAAAATGCATATTCTACGTATTCATTAACCTAATACAGTAATTAACTTTTCTTTCAAATTTTATTTCTCCAACCATAGAATCTGACTATCCCATTTGCTATTCTCTATTAAACAAGACAGATACATGGTGATTTTTTTCCCTAATGATCTTATGACTTTGCATCATTAAATAGTCTAAAAGTTTAGAATTATATCTAGAAAAATATTTCCATTAATTCATTGTATGTTAGAAAATTACTGCATTTGGTGACAGGATTTGCTTCTTCAATTCTGAACATCACCATTTTGACATTGTCCTAATTATTTAGCTTTTGTTAGCCTTAGTGCTTTCGTGTGAAATTGAGGTAATGTTGACCTAATGCTTTGTACATAATTATTGTAAGGTACATATAGCATATGATTAGCCCTCAATTGCTAATAATTAGCTATCAATTGTAACAATTTATTAGCAATTGATTTTTATAGCCTCCTGTGCATAATGAAAGAGAAATTTATTTTAAAATAATTTAAGGAATTACCAGATAATTTATCGTATTACACAACATACTCAAGGTATATTGAAATATTATCATTTCTCAGTCAACATTTTGCTTTGTTTTGACATTCAAATCTTATAATCTGCAGTTAGATAAGGAAGTATACTTAGCCAATATATTGGGTAGAATGTAGTTTGGCACTACAGTATACATGTATTTTCTTTCTTTTGTTTTTCCATTACCAAATCCTTTCTGGTATGATTTGATTATTACTTTTTTATATTTTCCAGCAAATAGGTACAACCATACCAAAACTATTTTGTCTCACATTACTATTCTGATATAATTGTCTGCATTTAAATTATAAATTCAGTTTTATTATATATGATCTACAAATTAATATTTTCCATGCTCAGTTTCAGTGTTTGAAAATAATTAATTTATTTTGCATTTTGTTAAAATTAACATCTGAGTGTACATTAATTGTTCCATGCCTGAAGTTTCTTTGCTATTGCCATGAAACTTACAGTACCTGTCCTTTACTATTTTATTTCAAGGTCATTGTCAACATTCACTATATCTGCTACTCTAGTTTTATTCAAGTACTTACTCCTATAATTCATTACTTAAAAGAAAATGTCACTAAGCATGTTGAATATGTTATAATACAAATTTCAAATAAGATGTATTCCATTATTTCTAGGCATCTCAGTTTTATAAGAATGTTTACACTAAATAGTATAATTAAATATATGTAATATTAGTTATATATACATATATATTTTACTCTTTCTACATATTTACTGACATATTTATATCTCATATGTGTATGTGTAGCACACACATACACACACACACACACACACAGAAACAGAGAGAGAGGCTTTTAATGTTAATCAGCTTACCCATGTTGCTGTTTCTTTTACTATTTCCCTCTATATTTTTCTTTCTCATTAAACTGATGCTGAATTACATAAAATTGCTTTGCTTAACTCTGTACAATGACTACCAAAGCTTTTAATAAAATTGTTTTTCTGTGTCTTTCTTAGTGTTAGATATTTGTTTTTACTTATGTAGTTACTGTGAGAGAATAAAAGAATGTAAATGTACTTTATCAAAGGGAAAACTTTGAAAATAATTTTTTAACATCAATGAAATTACTACTTCTACTTCTCCCTATCAGAAACTTTCAGGTTGTTCTTAGAAAAATGTCATAATGTTTCCCAAAAGTTACATAAAATAAATGAATTTATCATGCAATCACTGGACATTTTTTGTTCTACTCCATTACAGTATGGTTGCATGTGTCCAATTTGTCTGCCTGGATTAAAATATTCATTTTATATTTAAATTTTATATTTTATATTGTGACACTCTGTATTTACTTTTCATTTATCTTAATCCTTCATAATATCTTGTTAGATAATATCCAAATAAAGAGCTAAGTAAATGAATATTTAATCTGAGGTTATATATACAATTACAAATATTTGATTTTTTTGAAGAAACCCCTCACATTTTATTAAGCTTCTCCTCATCTAGGTTAATTCAACATATTGCCAAAGTTGTATTTAGTGGCAATTAAAGTAGCTGAGACCACATGGAACGTGTGGGAATGGAGGATGCTCTGACAGCAAATGGGCCCTTCTGTATTTTTTTTTTTTTTTTTTTACTTTAAGTTCTGGGATACATGTGCTGAACGTGCAGTTTTGTTACATAGGCATCCATGTGCTGTGGTGGTTTGCTGCACCTATCAACCCATCATCTAGGTTTTGTTATTTCTTTGTTTTTGTTTTCGTTTTTGTTTTTGAGATGAAGTCTAGCTCTTGTCGCTCAGGCTCAGGCTGGAGTGCAATAGCATGATCTCAGCTCACTGCAACTCTGCCTCCTGGGTTCAAGCGATTCTCCTGCCTCAGCCTCCCCAGTAGCTGGGATTACAGGTACCTGCCAAAACGCCTGGCTAATTTTTGTATTTTTAGTAGAGACAGGGTTTCACCATGTTGGCCAGGCTGGTCTCAACCTCCTGACCTCAGGCGATCCTCCCGCCTTGGCCTCCCAAAGTGCTGGGATTACAGGCGTGAGCCACCGCGCCTGTCCCTTCATCTAAGTTTTAAGTTCTACATGCATTAGATATTTGTCCTAATGTTCTCCCTCCCCTTTCCCCACACCACCTGAAAGGCCATGGTGTGTAATGTTCCCCTCCCTGTGTTCCATGTGTTCTCACTGTTCAGTTCTCACTTATGAGTGAGAACATACCATGTTTGATTTTCTGTTCCTGTGTTAAATTACTGAGGATGATGGTTTCCAACTTCATCCATGTCCCTGCAAAGGACATAAACTCATTCTTTTTTATGGTTGCATAGTATTCTATGGTGTATATGTGCCACATTTTCTTTATCCAGTCTATCTTTGATGGGCATTTAGGTTGGTTCCAAGTCTTTGCTATTGTAAATAGTGCTGCAATAAACATACGTGTGCATGTGTTTTATAGCAGCATGATTTATAATCATATGGGATATACAGTAATGGGATTGCTGGGTCAAATGGTATTTCTTGTTCGTGAGAAATCACCACACTGTCTTCCACAATGGTTGAATTAATTTACACTCCCACTAAGAGAGTGAAAGAGTTCCTATTTTGCTGCATCCTTGCCAGCATCTGTTGTTTTCAGACTTTTTAATGATCGCCATTCTAACTGGCTTGAGATAGTATCTCATTGTGGTTTTAATTTGCATTTTTCTAATGACCAGTGATGATGAGCTTTTTTTCATATATTTGTTGGCTGCATAAATGTCTTCTTTTGAGAAGTATCTGTTCATATCCTTTGCCCATTTTTTGATGTGGTCATTTGTTTTTTTCTTGTAAATTTTTAAAGTTCCTGAGCAGAAGCTCTTTAGGTTAATTAGGTCCCATTTGTGAATTTTGGCTTTTGTTGCAATTGGTTTTGTTGTTTTTTGTCATGAAGTCTTTGCCCATGCCTATGTTCTGAATGATATTGCCTAGGTTTTCTTCCAGGATTTTTATAGTTTTAAGTTTTATGTTTAAGTCTTTAATCCATCCTGAGTTAATTTTTGTATAAGGTGTAAGGAAGGGGTCCAGTTTCAGTTTTCTGCTTATGGTTAGCCAGTTTTCCCAGCACCGTTTATTAAATAGGGAATCCTTTCCCCATTGCTTCTTTTTGTCAGGTTTGTCAGAGATCAGATGGTTCTAGTTGTGTGGTGTTATTTTTGAGGCCTCTGTTCCATTCCATTGGTCTATATATCTGTTTTGATACCAGAACCATGCTGTTTTGGTTACTGTAGCCTTGTAGTATAGTTTGAAGTCAGGTAGCATGATGCCTCCAGCTTTATTCTTTTTGCTTAGGATTGTCTTGACTATATAGGCTCTTTTTTGGTTTCATATGAAATTTAAAGTAGTTTTTTCTAGTTCTGTGAAGAAAGCCAATGGTAGCTTGATGGGCGTAGCACTGAATCTATAAATTACTTTGGGCATTATGGCCATTTTCAGGATATTGATTCTTCCTATCCATGAATATGGAATGTTTTTCCATTTGTTTGTGTTCTTTCTTATTTCCTTGAGTAGTGGTTTGTAGTTATCCTTGAAGAGGTCCTTCACATCCCTTGTAAGTTGTATTCGTAGGTATTTTATTTTCTTTGTAGCAATTTTGAATGGGAGTTCACTCATGATTTGGCTCTCTGCTTGTCTATTATTGGTGTATAGAATGCTTGTGATTTTTGCACATTGATTTTGTATCCTGAGACTTTGCTGAGTTGTTTATCAGCTTAAGGAATTTTGGGGCTGAGACCATGGGATTTTCTAAATATACAATCAAGTCATCTGCAAATAGAGACAATATTTGATCTTAACAACAATTTATCAGGAAAACTGCACAAAAAACTTGAAGAGATTTTGCAATGTCTAGAGTAATTTAATTAGTACAATGGTAGCTTTCAGGATCTTGCCTCAATGTTTCCTTTGGTTGTGTGGTATTGTTTAAGAAATTAGAAATGAAGCCAATAAAGAGTCACAGTAGTTAATTTATGAGAGCTCAGTCACCCCAACACACATGACTAAACACACTGAAAATTCTATTTCATTGTGATATGAAGATAAATGTATAAATTATTACTTAACCAGTAGCATATGTAGTCCATTTTAATTTTGTCCATATTTTAACTTAACTCTACTACTTCAAAAAAGCCATTATAATGGATCTACTATAATTATTCTTATGATTCATTATATTACTGTAACATCAGAATGACAGTGTTTTTTGATGTATTACAATAATACAATAGTAGTACAATAGCTACTTGATGATGTATTGCCATAATATATCATCAAAGTGATTCCACCAGAGAATTCAGGAGAATGATAGTATTTATAAGTTTTTGGATAAAAAATACAACTTTGTGGACTATTTGAGAAAGAAAGAAATGAAAAAAGTAATAAAAATGAACAAAAATTATTCAAAGATTAAAAAGGTGTGACAATAAATCATAAAGCAAGAAAGACATTTAGAAAAAAATAAAATACTTTCACTCAATAGTTTTTCCCATATTAATAAGATTTTGTAGAAATCTATGAGTCCATGATATAAATATATATTCACGTGTGTATATTTATTTTGAGATAAGATTTTGCAGATTGCATGTGTATTTATCTATCAGATATCATGATCCAAATTTTACATCAATAAATTATGTTTATACAAAATATAAATCTGAAAAAATTCTCTTTATACAGTCTTTTGTCTTATAATTTTGTAGTGGTATTAGAATTTAGATACTGAAATGTGGAATGATGGCAGTTGTTGTCAGGTACAATGTGCATTATTTCAGTGATGGATGCCCTGAAAGATGTCACTTCTCCACTCTGCAATGTGTCAATGTAGCAAAATTGCACTTGAACCCCATGAATATATGTAATTTAAAAAAATTAAAATGCATTACCACATTTATTCCATTATTATAATTGATATTTTTAGTTTTAGCTTATGCTGTTTTACTTTTTAAAATGTATTAATGTTTCTGGGGACAATTAAAATAATGTAAATTATCTATGCTATGAAATAGATTACCTAATAGTTAGCAAATCACTTATCTTGTAGCAAAGTATTATTAAAATGAGAAAATGTGAACTTTCTGCTTTGCTGTGAAAAGTTTATATCAATAAATTATTCATAATCATGATTGCATTTTGACAAACACTTTATAGCTCCTATGTGACAGATCTTTAAATCAATCTTGTTAACTCATCCTGAAATAAAGGTCACTGAGATCATAATCCTTCAATCTAGGCAAATAATATAGGCAAAGTATGTATAATATGACAGTAGCTTCAGAAATAAAACAAAGGTTTATGTAAAACATCCAACTAGGATTTTATTGATTCTGATGTTCTCATTTGGCAGTAAATATCCCAATCCACAAAATAATTTACTTTTTTATTCATGGAAATGCACCTATTGCCCGAATTTTATTAATAAAAGGCAGCAAAGTTTTGTATAAATATTAATGACTATCCATAGACTAATAAACAGAAAGGATCCAAAGTCATCATCTACTTCAACAATAAAAACAAAAAATAAAGTGTCACTTTGATTAATGTTCATATGTATTCTTAAAATGAGAGATCATATAAACTAATTACTGCTATTTAATATTATAAATTATTTATAATTTATTTATATCTTTGACATGAAATACATTTACTTCTACTCTTGACACTTATTTTGTTAACCTAAATGATATTTCCTGACACACAATAGCATTCAGACAATTTAGTTTTGTGCATTATCTTGATATAATTTAATGTGTAACATAAGACCTCTGCTTTTTCTCAAATGTTTTCTTTATATCTAATAAAATTTTTCTGAAAAATGTATGTGGTAATGTGTATATAAGTTAGATTAGGATATATATATATGGAAATTATTTATAAATGAAAATAAGAAAAATTATAATTGAGTCTAAAAAAAAGAAGCAAGTTATATAAAATTAAAGTGGAAATATATTTTTGTAACAAAAATGAGTATAGAGTTCAACCATAATGTGTGGTTTCTAAACAAAGCATCCTTACATTACAAGTCACTAATCATAGCAGTGTTTTCACAGCATGATATGAAAAATACGAAGATTTTAAGATACTTCAAATCATAGGTTTTCCTTTTTGTCTCTTGTGTCCTCAACATTGATGTTTATTGATTTCCTTTTATCACTATTACAGATATGTTACTCCTTTCTTAAAAAAAGGTATAATACAGCAAAAAGAAAATGTCCAAGGAATTCTTTAGTATATGTCAACTTCCACTGCTACCTTGTCTTTTTCTTTTGTTTTAAAGTCATCAATACTTTTCCACACTTTCCCATTATTCCTCACTCTTGTGAATATGATTCTTCTGCTTTCACCAAATTCTGCAATAATCTGCCTGTTGTTAAGCAATAAACACAGAATTTAATTCTTATATCCCTGACCTCTTATTGCTGTTTGATCAAATTCTTCTTCCACGACAGAATGTTTTTATTTTCTTTCTGTGCCTCTAGCTTACCTCTATGTTTTTCTTGGACTCATTTTCTGTGCCCATTTGAAAAATATTGCTATTCATCAAAACTCCATCCTAGGCTTTCTTCCCCATTCAGTCCATATATGTTCATTCTCATACAAATCTCTCTCAAGAAATTCCTTGTTACAACCGTTGTACTTGAAGAAGCCCAAGCAAAATGGTTATCATCGATGGCTGAGCTCACAGCCTTCAGCTAACATCAATTATCAGCTATGTAGGTGAATCATCTGGACAGCTAGCCCTTTTAAGCCTTCAAATGAGTGTGTCTCTAGCTGACATCTAATTACAACCTCATGAAAATCCAAAGAAAAAACTACACAACTGAGCTCAATTAACCTCCAGAGCCCACTACATTTGAGAACTTGTTTATTACATAATGATGTATAACCAAAACAATCACTAAGAAAATACATCAGGATGGTCCCATACCAATACCAGCTATAGATTTTATTATTTATTAGGTAATTATGAAGGTTGATAGATTGGTAGTATTGAAGTTGTTTGTTGAAAATTATTTATATAAACTAGTTTTTAATGGAAAATTCCCAAATGATTGGTTAGTGCATAATAAAATAATTCATTGTAATAAAAATGTGGATACTTCTTTCAAGCACTTAACTATGTGGCAGACAGACTTTTTAATTAAATACTGCATGTTCTTACTTGCAAGTGGGAGCTAAACGATGGGTACACATAGTCACACAGAGGGAATTAATAGACACTGGTGACTCCCAAAGGGAGAAGGGCGAGAGGAAGTAGAGGTTGGAAAAATTATTTATAGGCACAATGTTCACTATTTGGGTGATGGATACACCAAAAACCCAAACTCCACCACAGTGCAATATATCCATGTGAACAAACCTAAAAATTTACTACCTGAATCTATAAAAAAATAATAATTTTATATTTTTGTTACGAGAACTTCTAAACCTGTCTACTGCTGTTACTAAGTGGATAATTTTTCATAATCTTTTTCATTTATTTCTCAACTTCCTTTAACTATGACCATGGCTATGATTTAGCTACTTCTTAGTTGTCTAATGTATAGAAAGGAAATTTTTGAGTAATAGAAATTAATGTAAATCTAAAGATCTGAGGTATTATTTTAATTTTGAGCAAATAAATCTATCTTCTGTATTAGTATAGCTGGAAAATCATTAATTGACAATAAAAAGCATAACATATGGCATTCTTGTATCTCTTTGCAACCTTATTTATTGAAATAACATTGGTTAAGAAGTTTAGCCAGCTCTACTAGAAACCTCCAGCTGTTAATTTTCTTTTTTATCTTTAAAATTGTCTGTGTATGGTTAAAAAAGTCAATTCTACATTGTCTTTTTTTAGGAGGGTAAATTGAGCAGCAAACCACAAAAGAATGTATTTGACAGATTTACTCTTTCTGCTCTTTTTAATCTCATTTCCCCAATCACTTTATGAACTGGCATCTTGTCTCATGTAGAATGTGAGTAATAATTATGGAAGCCTGCTCTTAAGGTACGTTTTAAATTGAATGGCAGCTCAGCCCTCCCCTTAGCTTTTATTGTGTTATATTCTATGGAAAGGTATTGCTGGGAACACCGGGCCTGAAAGATATTGATGTTGAAATTACATGAGCCCAGCTTCTGAGCAAAGGAGGTAATTTTATTTTATCACATTTTAAGTGGATTTTCTCAGTCAGGGAATCAAAGTGAAAGTAGTACATAATTTGTGTCAAAATTGTATTTATTATCCAACCATTTTCCCCAAGATATTGATTGCATTCCTTATCCTAGAGTTATTATAAAAAATAAAAAGTAATTTGCAGGATGATCTCTTTAGGATTATGTAAATCTGTGTGTGCACACACACATGCATAAAAATACAATTTCTTAAGTAATGTGATCTCTTTTTAACATACTTGATGTCAGCAAAAAATTAGATATATAATAAGTGATTAGAAGTAAAAATGGCTTATTCATACACCTTATTGTGGTGAATCCATCTTTAGTTAATATGTTTGAAAAAGTAACATGCAATCACTAATTAAAAAGTAGTTACTGGCTGGTCGCGGTGACTCACACCGGTAATCCCAGCACTTCGGGAGGCCGAGGTGGGCAGATCATGAGGTCAGGAGATCGAGACCATCCTGGTTAACACAGTGAAACCCTGTCTCTACTAAAAATACTAAAAATACAAAAAATTAGCCGGGCGTGGTGGCAGGCGCCTGTAGTCGCAGCTACTAGGGAGGCTGACGCAGGAGAATTGCTTGAACCTGGGAGGCGGAGGTTGCAGTGAGCCGAGATCATGCCACCGTACTCCAGCCTGGGCGACAGAGCGAGACTCTGTCTCAAAAAAAAAAAAAAAAAAAAAAGAAAAGAAAAGGTAGTTACTTTTCAGGAGGGATCCTAAAAGTGATGGAACTGTTCTGTATTTGACTGGTGGTAGTTACAAAAACCTACACATATGATAAAATTGGATAGAACTAAATACAGACAGCCAGATACAAACCAGTAAAGATAAGACTAGAGAAATCTGAAAAAGATAAGTATATGGTATAAATGTCTAACCCTGGTGTGATCTTGTAATATAGTTTTGCGAGAAGTTACCTTTGGGAAACACTGGGTATAGGATACAGTGAGTATTTCTGTGTTATTTCTTATTATTACATGTGGATCTATAATCATCTCTATATAATTTTCAATTAAAAAGAAATTGTTGCTTACTGCCCAAAAATTTCCTTTAATTTATATTATATAAATTATATAATTATATATATTATATAAGTAAAATAACTTATAGAGAAAAGCTATTTTTAATTTTCTATTGCTCAGGTGTTGTCATCTGATCACTATATAGCACTGTTTTAATTTTATAAACTTTTAATAAATCCTGATTATGCAATGTTTCTCATGAAATTCCTTTATTCCTCTGCCATTTCACAAACATTATAAATTGATTGCTACATGCCAGGCAATGTGGGAGGCTAACCCAGGGCTGTGTCAAATAACGCATAGCCCATTTTATGGGGGCTTACAATATTGACTGAGAATGTCTAAAACACACATGCATATCAAATGTCAGTGAAAGAAGAGAGGATGATGTTGTTTCAGATAATAGAGTCAATTTTCACATATGAGATAAACATATGGTGCAAATAATTTTAAAAAATTAAATGGTTGTGGGAAGAAATGGTTTAAATATATGCCTATAATCTATTTCCTTCTTTTACCAAGGATAACTAAAATAGAAAGTGGATATTATATGACCAAATACCTTTGTAAACATTGGTATTTGATAAAGTTCTAGGCAAATTTCTATTAAGATTTATAATTTAGAGACTAGATTCCTATCAGATACATAACTTATGAATATTTTGTCTCTGGTAGTTTGTCTTATCACTCTGTTGATGGTATTTTTTAATGCACAAACATGTTAAATTTTAAAAATGTCGAACTTGTATACTTTGTTTTTGTTGATTGTGCTTTGTGTGTCATATCTAAGAAATAATTGCCAAATCTAAAGTCCTGAAGATGTATCCGTATGTTTTATTCTATCAGTTTTATACTTTTAGCTTTGATATTTAGGCTTTTGATTGATTTTGAATTGTTCTATATTTGGTGTGAGGTAAAAGTCTAACTTAATTTTTTTCATGAAGATATCAAATTTTTCCATCACCATTTGTTAAAGAGACTATTGTTTCCCCCCGACAAGGCAATGGTGTTGGTGTGTTGGTACCATTGCCAAAAACCAACTGATTACATATCGATATCACATATCTATGGGTTTACTTACAGACTATTAATTAATTCTATTTATCTATTTATGTCTATACTTATACCAATATCAAACTCTTTTGACTACCGAAGCTTCTATATTGATTGAGACGTGTCTCAGATACTTTTGGTTTACAGAGTTTTCTCTGAGCATATTTCCAACCGTGGGCATGTGCATGACCTTATAGATTTTCTAGAATTTGTGGAAATTCTTTTTTATGGGAAATTCTTTTTCACTTATGTATTTCCTTCCTTAGCTTCTTCCTTCCCGGGCCTCCAGTCTGTCTGCTGCTTGTCTCAGGGTGGTGGGGCCAGTATTTTTGCCTTTGGATGTTTTCAAGAAACTTCACCCAAAAGGCTGCCTCAGCCCTGATAAAGTTTAAAGATAGGTGATGAAACCATGCCAAGCCTCTGTACTGGTCTTCTATGGAGCAGAAAGGTCATAACACATAAACACAAAATGTTAAGAACAAGGTTCATATTTACCTCTCTGGCACCACCAAGCTGCACGAGGAATGTGGATCCCTTTCCCCAAGGTCACCCCTGGGCTTTGGAGTGGATGATAATAGGTGGGAAAGTGTTGCCATGCTCTCTCACCAAACTTTAGCAGCTTCTTTTTTCACTGAGAATTTCCTTGGTTGTTGCAAATCTCTCTTTATTTTTCAGATTCCAGAATTCTGAAAAAGTTGTTTGACAGTTTTTGTCAACTTAAATCATTGGTTTTATAGGTAGATGAAATATTTCAATTTGTTGCTTTATTATTGATCTAGATTTAATTATTCAAAAAATATATATTGAAAATGCCTAGAATGGGCTTCTGTCTGTGTGGGTGTATGTGAGTGTGTGTGTGTATATTCTTATAATTATTTTTAAAAGGACTTATTAAAAAGTCTGAAATTAAATTAAATTACAGTAAAGACTTCATGCATGTCAATATTTACTGAACAAATATTGTCATAGCATTATATTTTTTAAAGTTAAATTAAGACTAGAAAGAGCCTCCAACAGATCAAATACTAGGAAGTACTTCTTTGGGTTTTAAAATATCTCCACTTATTTAAATAATCTAAAAATTCTGAAGTGTTCCTTAGTCCAAAAATGATAATTTCCCTGGCCTCAATTTTTTTTCTTCTCTAAAAATCTGTGAAGCCCTAAAGTTTCTGAGGCAACTATTATTGATCCTTGCTGCTACATTGCACAGAGGAGGATCATGGGGCATGGAAATCTTACTATAAAGAGTGGGAATTTGAACTATCTTCAAGGTTAATGTTCACAACTACCATTATCTTCTGAAGCAGAACGATTTCATGGGAAATTCCCATGAACACTTAGTTTTGCTAAGTTTAGTTAGTGTGCTTCATACTGTGTTATCCAAACTAAAGCCCTACCTTTTTCAGCATTTTCAGACTCCTCAGTTAGACTGCTCTGATAAGATTACTCAAGACCACAATGTCCACCAACCTGTACCCCAGCATAAAAATCAGTCTAGAGTTCCAATGGTTCCAATGATGGAGCTAGATTATTTTTTTTCTTCTTTTAAAATAAGAAATATTAGACCTTGAATATCTCTAAAGAGAACTAATTTTTAACAACAAAGCCAGAGTACTGTAAACCAAAAATAAAACTCTATGCCTTTCAACTCACTGATGGACCCTCCCCTTGGCCAAGGGCATTCCAAAATTAAACTTAAAAATTAGTTTAGGTTATAATGGGAAGTGGGGGTTGGACATGCCTCCTTATGCCCTCCTTCCTTGGAATTCAAGCACAGCTGAACAGCATTAACATTAAAACTGAGGCCTTAAGATTAATAGCACATACTCTTTAAATTGATAAGAAACATTCCCTTCTATTGATTCTATCTGCATAATGGGAAACTTGGTCTCCACAAGCCCTTATATTAACTTAGACATTCCCTTCTGTTGTCTTTTGACAATAAAGTAACTCTCTCAACCAATTGCCAATTAGAAAACTTTTGAATTCACCCTATTATCTGGAAGACCCCCTGCCCTCTTTCGAGTTGTCCTGCTTTTCCAGCTGAACCAATATGCATCTTAAGTGTATTGATGGATGTCTTTTGTCTCCTGAAAATGTACGTAATCAAGCTGTAGTCTGACCAACTTAGGCACATGTTCTCAGGATCTCCTGGGGCCATGTCACAGGCCATTGGTGAGTCATATTTGGCTTAGGATAAATCTCTTAAATATTTTACAGAGTTTGACTCTTTTCTTCAACAGTATATTTGCCATATTTATGTTTTGTTTTGTTTTGAATGCAAGTGGGTTGGAAATGGAGGCCTAAGTTTCCTCTGTGTCCTATTGATGAGGAACTAAGCCAAACAAACAAAATAAATTTGTTTTGTCTCTTTGTAAATCATGAATTAAAAGACAATACCAGTAGTAACATCTTAGGAATTACAAACTTAACATACCTCTGTATATGTGGTAGATACTGAGGTATCAAATTTCTCTGCAAATTTCTAGAGATTGAAACTTCCATATGTTGAAATGTTTTAGGTCAACAACAAAATATGTTACATTAGCTTATGTTATTCTAAACTAAATTTTATCATTGCACATTCCTGCATTGTGTAACTAAAAAAACCCCTTATATCCATGCATTTCAACATCACTCCCAAAAGAAAGAACATAATATTGATTATGTGATTAAAAATATTTAGGCCATGCATGGTGGCTCATGTCTGTAATCCCAGTACATTGGGAGGTTGAGGCAGGTGGACCATGAGGTCAGGAGATTGAGACCATCCTGGCCAACATGTTGAAACCCTGTCTCTACTAAAAATACAAAAATTAGCCGGGTGTGGTGGCAGGCAACTGTAATCCCAGCTACTTGGGAGGCTGAGGCAGGAGAATCGCTTCAACCCGGGAGGCGGAGGTTGCAGTGAGCCAAGATCGCACCACTGCACTCCAGCCTGGCAACAGAGGGAGACTCCTTCCCCTACCCCTACAAAAAAAAATTTTAACAAGATCCTTTAGTCATTCATAGAGAGGTAATTATGAAATAACTGCTGACACTTTCAGGTCTGGAAAATTTCTGCCTCTGGTGACCCACATGAAAAAAAGAGAACAATAAAAGATCTGAGATGGCTTGGTGCAGTGGCTCACATCTGTAACCCCAGCATTTTGGGAGGTCGAGGCTGGTGGATCACCTGAGGTCAGGAGTTTGAGACCAGCCTGGCCAACATGGAGAAACCCCATCTCTAATAAAAATACAAAAAATAGCTGGGCCTGGTGGTGGGCGCCTGTAATCCCAGTGACTCAGGAGGCTGAGGCAGGAGAATTGCTTGAATCCAAGAGACAGAGTTTGTAGTGAGCCAAGATTGTGCCATTGCACTCCAGGCTGGGTGACAAAAACGAAATTCTGTCTCAAACAAAAAAAAGAAAATCTGAAATGAGGAAAATGGGAGATTATTTTGTGGGGTGGCTTGTTTGTAAGGAGGCCAGAAGTATCATTTCTCTTATGTTATGAGGACTCCAAAAACATTCATCTCTCTTCCAGGAAGAATAAAATGTCCCTGTTGAACATCAGAGTTGGAAGATGGAGCTTGGGATAAAGCTCTCTGAATTTTTATATTGACTTAGGCCCTCTCGTTTTAGACCTTTTCACAGTTTACCCTTCCTAGCACAGTGTAAACAATTGGGTGGATGGATGAATGAATGAATATAACAACAGTTTGGTGGATGGATTAATGAATGAAAAGGTGAATGAAGATGAAGACTAGTTTATTTTAAAGCTATAAAATATGAAATTAAAACTTTAAATACAAAAGAAGATAAGAACAAGAAACCTCATTAATTAGCTCACTAATGACATATTTGATGCACCTATGGTTTTGACATTCTACTAGGTAGGACCTATTAGAATATAAATGTGATAGACTCTGTGACCTGTGGTCTTAGAGAGCTAGTCAAAGGCTGTTATTCTTGCAGGAATTGCCATTAAGCCATTGCAGTTCATTACTACAAACAATGATCAGCTGAGACAAACCAGGAACGTGTGGCATCTATCATGATTTTTCTCTAGTTGAATGAGAAAAACAATTCAGAAAGTAGAAATTTAATAGAAATTGATAAGTAAAATATATAGAAACATGAATGCAGTTAGATAAGAATTAGACAATTTTATTCTCTATATAATTTTCCTTTTTGAAAAAGTATAATTCTAGTATATTTAATTTTTAGAGAATCAACTGAATCTTAGAAAAATAAATACAAAAAAGGGATAAATCAAAGTACTTATGGGAAAATGAGGAGTTTCTAAGGAGTTGTGTAAAATTAGGTTTATATGGCATTTATAAAATAATTTTTGTTTTTGTAGTTTTTTCTCTTTTTCACCAAAGTAAAAACAATAAATACAGAGCACAAATTTTGAACAAAGCACACACATGTTTTAAAAAATCGTATCCATCAATTTTCAAAGTATTTAAATATGCTTTGCTTAAATATGTCATTTCTTTCTTTTATAGCTAAATAATACTTTTTTGGGTCTTATAATTTGAAATAAGATAATCCCTGGAATCCAGGGTTACATTTTGTATATAAGATACATTATAAAGTAGCTGTATTTTAGGTAATTTACTATCCAGAATCATTTTATAATCAATAATACATCACAGAATTATGGGAACATTCAATGACCATGTTTTCTTGGAATTTAATTTTGAGCACAGTATGAGAATGAAATTGGGAACAATGTTTTAAAGATAACAGTGAATCTTAACTTGGTATCTTTATCAAAACCTGATTAAGTATACCTTGATGAGAATGTAAAGAAAATCATTTTAGGGTCTATGTTTTGGCCAGGCACTATGTATTTGTAACAAATTGAATATTTACATTTTTAAATTTGTATTTAAGCATAAATTCAAGAAGTTAACAGCTAAGTGGATGGTTTTCATTAAATAAAGTAGATTTCTAATAGTCACAATATATTCAATTTAAAAAATATGTGATAATTTTCTTATCAATTCAGTATTAATATATGGTACATATAGGTAGGTGCTACCCAAAGGGCATTAGACTTATATAACATGAACATTCAGATTTTTGTAACTATTTGTGTTTTCTGCAGTAAGGTGTAGAATTACCTGAAGCCACCGTTACACCATTTGTAATGTTTGACCTCCCATAAAATGTCTTTTTGCTATAAAATACTTTCTTACAATTTTATGAAATTTTTAGAAAAAATATATGTCTATGTGCATGGACTTGTGTGTGTATGTGCACTGAAAAGAGCTTACAGTCAGCACATTGACAGAAAAACAAAATGTGCTACAAGCAGGGCAACACTCTTCTTCAAATATGTGAATTTCAAACACAACCACATAAACCTCTAGCACTATTGCTTATTGTACTCAGTGGAATAGACTCATATGATTAACATCAATTATGAACTCAGGACCAGTTGATACAATGAATACTGTAGATTACTATACTAACCCTCCATTGTAAGTTTTATTTTAGAAATTGTAGACCCAATGCAGGCCTTGAGAGAATCTTAGCAATGCAAAAAGTGGCACATAGCAGATTTCATTTATGCCCACGCTTGTTGCTTTTTTCCACATTAATGTACTTGCAACTTTGGTAAACTGTTCCCAGTTTGTTGACATTTCCAACCTGTGCACCCAATTTCTCTCTTCTCTGATTGAGAGTCTTCTCCAGGACCAAGTGAGTTGACTAACTCCACACAGGCATAACCTGTACTCCGGAGGCAATCCTTAACTAATGTGCAATGGGAATCAGTAGATAAATGTCTTGCTTTTCCTACTTTCCTCAGTGGGATAATTTTGAGGAATGCTTCCTACGGGTTTTAAGAGCCCCACCCCTCTACTACATTGAACTGAGTTCCACTTGCCTACAAGGGTAATGTAGTCACAAATGCACACTGTATTGGCTTTTCTCCTTCTACTTCCCATTAGTTTTCTATTACTACAGAAAAAAATTACCAAAAGTTTAGAGTCTTAAAACAACATGCATTTGTTATATGTTTCCATATCACAGTTTTTTAAGATAAAAATTGGGGCACAATTTAACTGGGTTTTCTTTTCAGTGTCTCAGATGCCTGTAATCAAGATGTCAGCTGGAATCCGTTCTCTCTGGAGTTCAAGGTTCTATTTCACACTTACGTGGTTGTTGGCAGAATTCATTTCGTTGTGGTTTTAAGACTGAGATTTTATCATGGTTTTCATGCTGGCTACCAGCCAGGGATGATCACGACTCCTAGAAGCTTCCTGAAGCTCCTTGCCACATGTCCCTCTCCATGGGCACTCTGCCAATATGGCAGCTCACTTCTTCAAAACCAAGAAAGGAGAAAGTCTTTTGCTTGAGTCTGCTAGCATGATGAAGCCTTTAAAAACATAACATAATCCCCAGAGGGATATCCCATCACCATTACCATATAACATAATTATGGTGTAACATCTCACTGCCTTTGCCATATTCTGTTGGTCAGAAGCAAGTTGAAAGTACCGTTCACACATGCAAGGAAAGTGATCACATAAAATGTAACTGTAAGGTGTGGAGATCAGAGATTAAGGGGCCCTCAAATATCTCTACTTATTTTTCTTTGTCTCATTTTCCGCACATCTTTTTCTTTCATGTTTTTTGGGAATATCTCCCAATAATCTAACTATATATAAATCTTTGTGTCAAAGTCTGCTTTTCATGGAGTTCAAATTAAGACAATATATTTAATTTACTTTATAGTAACTTCATGCTACTCTCATTTGTTATTTTTTCCAAGCAAATTTCTAAATAGGTGCTAATTTATTTGTTCAATCATTTTATTAATTTGACAACTGTTTGTTTTAGGCCTATTTTATTCTAGACCTGTTTTAGGCTCTGATGCTTCATCAGTGGATAAGAAAAAGTTGCTGCCGCTAGATTTAATATGTTTACCCTTTAAACACTACAATCTATTGCAATCTGCTTTTTGACCCAATCACCCCTATAACTTTTCTAGTCCCATTACATTTGACAAATAAAATGGTCACATAAAAACTCATCATCCTGTAAGATATAATGGTATTTGAAATTATTGCTGAGTTTTGTTTTCTTCAATTATTTTAGTGTCTGCTTTTCTCCTGATGCTTTTCTACTACATAGACAAAATGTTCCATGTTTTTAATTTGTTTTTTAAATTATATCAATATATTTTGATAGTAAAAGCTATGCATATTCTTGTACAAATAAATTAGAAATAAATTTAAGCATGCAAAAGAAAGTTGATAGTCCCACCACCTATACAGAACTTGAAACCAAGCTGTCCATATTGTTTTAATTTTTTCCTTTTAAAAATATATTGAAAATATTTTGCTGCCAGTAAAACTTGTTATGCATGTCCTGTATTACTGAATAATATTTCCTTATGAATATACTGTAAGTACTCTCTTAACATTGGTCATTTATGTTTTCTAAAGTTTATTATATGGTTATAATGAATGGTGCCATTGTATACAAAGATTTATAAGCATCTAATTTCTATTATGATATTTATTTAAATTATTGGTGACATCAATTTGCTTTGCACATCTGTGGTATTCACTTGTTTTTCTTCTTTATGAGGTATTTTTATACATAAATTTCATTTCTAAATGTCAGTCTTTTTGTTATTTCCATTATTGATTACTAAATTCTATTAATTATTATTGTGTACATTTTAACCAGATCCATGCTTTAAGTTGTGATTTTGATATAGGAAGCTTTTTGACTCCTTTATACATAAAAATAAATAATATTTTATTTTATAAATAATTATTTTGTTTGTGTTAAGAAGGCCCCTAAAATAGTCACCTATACTAGCAGTCCCCATTACATTTATTGTGCACTTTATTTCTATTATTATTACATTGTAGTATATAATGAAATAATTATACAACCCACCATAATGTAGAATCATGGAGAAATAACATTTTGCTGAGACATAAGCAATAAATATGAATTTACAAATTCGGCAATGAAATGAAGACTCTGTGGTAGAATGAATAACATAAAGGCAATAAGGCAAAAAAAAAAAAAAAAAAGAAACCCAAAACAAAATAAGAAAAACAACAAAAATACACCGTTTTGGAAACTATCAGCAGTTTATAAATGTTGAAGTATAACTAAGGGTCTAAACTGTGAAGGTTCTGTAACATCATGCAGACTTTTTGTTTTTTTGCCTTCTGGCGTTTATGTTATTCATTCTACCAGAAAAAGTCTTCATTTCATTACTTACTTAGTAAATTCATATTTATTGTTTATGTCTCAGCAAAACATTATTTCTCCATGAGCAATTTCCTGACTCCTCTAGGCAAACTCGGTCATATTTTCTCTTATGCTTCCATGGCAGTTTTTAGAAACATCCATTAAACAATTATTTTATGTATTTGATATTTTAAAATTTTCTTTTCTTAGGAAGGCAAACTTTATGAGAAGAAGAATAATAAATTTGTATCTTTAAATCTGTAACTTCTACCATAGCACCTGGTCGTAGGAGGCACTCTACATACACTTTTTTTTTGAGATGAAGTCTTGCTCTGTCACCCAGGCCAGAGTTCAGTGGCGTGATCTTGGCTCACTGCAACCTCCGCCTCCTGGGTTCAAACAATTCTCCTGCCTCAGCCTCCTGAGAAGCTGAGACTACAGGCACATGCCACCACACCCAGCTAATTTTTGTATTTTTAGTAGAGATGGGGTTTCACCATGTTGGTCAGGCTGGTCTCGAACTCCTGACCTTGTGATCCACCCGCCTTGAACTCCCAAAGTGCTGGGATTACAGGTGCAAATCACCATGCCCAGCCTGCATATACTTTTTAGAAGAAATAGACTGTACATACCTAAAGAAACCATATTATTCCTAAGTAATGGATATAATGAAAAGAGCAAAGATTCTATTATTCTAAATTAGGAGTCCTCTGGTTTCATATTCAGCTTTACTGACACCAGAGGTCCAAATAATTCTGCTTAGTTGCAAACCATGGTAACTGTAATTTTTTCCAAGATCTAACCATAGTGGATTGTTTAATGACTGTTCAATACATTTTCAACTAATTTGTTCCATCATCAGCTATTAAAATTGAAAGACTTTCTAAAACGAAAATATATGCCCAAACAGAAACATGTAAATAAATATTTATGGCAGCAATATTAACCATAGCCAGAAGTTGGAAACAGTCCAAATGATTATCAACAAATAAATGGATAAACAAATTGTGGTACATACACACAGTAGAATACTATATAGTATAAAAAGGAATTAAATGTTGCCACTTAACAGAACTTTGATAAACCTGGAAACATTATGATAAGTGAAAGAAGCCAGACACAAATATCATATATTGTGATTTCTTTTATATGGGTTATCTAGATTAGGGAGATACTTACAGACAGAAACAAGCTTCATGGTTACCCCTTTATACAGAGAAGGGAAGAATGAGGAGTAGTTAAAACATATGAGGTTCTCTTAAGGGATGATGAAAATTTTTGAAACTAAAGAGAGATGATAACTCGATGTTGCGAATACATTAAAATCTATTTTAAAGCACACTTTAGAATAATTAATTCTATATTATTTAAATTTAATCTCAATTAAAAAATAGATTGCCTGGGGTCAGGTATAGGCACCTGCATTTTCTCTCTGTGTGACCTCAGACAAATTACAAATTATGCTTTATTTTTGTAAAGAATAAATATATTTTTTGAAGTTGCTTTAATACTTAAGAGCACATATATTGGCCTACATACAGTGAATAGAGAATTGTTAACCATCACTATAAAGCATTTTAATGAATGAATAAAAATTATAATAATTAGAGAAGATCTTTTTTTAATTATTATTATTTTTTGAGATGGAGTTTTGCTCTTGTTGCCCAGGCTGGAGTGCAATGGCCCAATCTCGGCTCACCACAACCTACCCCTCCCGGGTTCAAGCAATTCTCCTGCCTCAGCCTCTCAAGTAGCTGGGATTACAGACATGCGCTACCATGCCTGGCTAATTTTTGCATTTTTAGTAGAGACGGGGTTTCTCCATTTTGGTCAGGCTGGTCTCAAACTCCCTACCACAGGTGATCTGCACACCTCGGGATCCCAAAGTGCTGGGATTACAGGCATAAGCCATCGCACCCTGCCTAGAGCAGATCCTTTTAAATTAAAACAAGAAGTCATTAAAAGTCATGGTGGTTGTGGTGGCAATTGATGGCAAAGATCATATTCTAAGAACATAATATGGTATAGGAAAGGTATTTCCTGTAAACATTTAAGGTATATTTCCTATACCTTAAAACAGATGTCAAATAAAGCAGTCTTGGAAGAAACTAAAAAGTTAAAACTGACAAATAGGGAATGGGTTATTACTATTGATGAAAACAAAGCATTCAAAAGACAGCAAAAAAAAAAAGGCTTTTTTGTTAGTTTCAGAAAACTGAAATTTAAAATTCAATTGGTAAGTCACCTAGACCTCTAAATCAGCCAGTTGGAAATGCAGTATGGCTTTAGAAGAGAGGACAGCAAAGACCAAGTTATGCAGAATATTTTCATGAAAATCATAGTTAACACTACAGAAAGACGGGAAGAGTTCAGGGTACAAACTCTTTGGCAACCTATGTTCTTAAGATGAAAAATCTGCAGATGATCGGGCTGGTGGGGGAAAAAGGATTATAGAAAAAAAAATAAATGCAACATGATGGAAAGCAACAGCTAAAAGCATTTAGGATGAACATTCAGAAAATTGACAATATAACACTTAAAAATAATCATACAATGTCTTTTTAATCATTTTGTTGGTAGTTATACTTTATGTGCAAAATGCTGAACATATTTAAAAAGTAAAATTTCCAAAATGTGACAGATGCATACATCTAGGAAGAGAATACACAATCAATACACAGAATATTTCCTTCAGCCAGAAATTTCCTCTTGTTCCTTTTTAATCCATCATTCCCTTCACACTGACCCAGGCAACTGGTGATAGTCTACTTTCTGTCACTACCGATATATTAGCATTTTCTAGAATTTTATATTAATGAATTGGTACAGTGTGACTTTTTGTATATCTTTGTTATTGCTTTCTGTGCAACTCAGATTTATCATGCTGCTGTGTTCATCAGTTTTTTTTTTACAGATCGAACTTGTTTTATTTTTATTTATATTTATTTATTTAATTATTTTTATTATACTTTAAGTTCTAGGATACATGTGCACAATGTATAGGTTTGTTACATATGTATACATGTGCCATGTTGGTGTGCTGCACCCATGAACTCGTCTTTTACATTAGGTATATCTCCTAATGCTATCCCTCCCCCTACCCCTACCCCACGACAGGCCCCAGTGTGTGATGTTCCCCTTCCTGTGTCCAGGTGTTCTCAATGTTCAATTCCCACCTATGAGTGAGAACATGCAGTGTTTGGTTTTTTGTCCTTGTGATAGTTTGCTAAGAATGATGGTTTCCTGCTTCATCCATGTCCCTAAAAAGGACATGAACTCATCCTTTTTGTGGCTGCATAGTATTCCATGGTGTATATGTGCCACATTTTCTTAATCTAGTCTATCATTGTTGGACATTTAGCTTGGTTCCAAGTCTTTGCTATTGTGAATAGTGCTGCATAAACATACGTGTGCATGTGTCTTTATAGCAGCATGATTTATAATCCTTTGGGTATATATCCAGTAATGGGATGGCTGGGTCAAATGGTATTTCTAGTTCTAGATCCTTGAGGAATTGCCGCACTGTCTTCCACAATGGTTGAACTAGTTTACAGTCCCACCAACAGTATAAAAGTGTTCCTATTTCTCCACATCCTCTCCAGAGCCTATTGTTTCCTGACATTTTAATGTTCGCCATTCTAACTGGTGTGAGATGGTATCTCATTGTGGTTTTGATTTGCATCTCTCTGATGGCCAGTGATGATGAGCATTTTTTCAAGTGTCTATTGGCTGTATAAATGTCTTCTATCTTGGGCGAAGGATATGAACAGACACTTCTCATCAGTAATTATTTTTTTGGTAAACAGTATTCTTGTAGATGGATATAACTAAATTTCTTTGTCTCTTCATCAGTTGATACCTTTTTTTGTCCAGTTTTTGAATATCATGAATAAAGCTGCTCTGAATATTTTTAGAAAAGGTCTTTAGGTAGATGGATGTTATCATTTCCGTTGGACAGAACACAGTGGAAACACTGTGTCTTATGGCAGGTGTATATTCAATAATTTAAGAAACTACACACATTCTCCCAAAATAGTGTGCAATTTTACATTCTTACCAGCACATAGAATTACAGTTCTCTAAATGCTCATTAACACATAGTATTGTCAATGTTTGTCATTTTGATCATTCTAATATTTTGATTTTAGTTTCTACTAAACTACCATAGTTAATAAGAGTATAGTGGTTTTCAAATTTTTTACCCTTTTTAAAATGTTTTCTCATGGTTGAAGTTTATAAATTCTTTATATATTTTGGATACAAATTCTCTATCTGCTATACATGCTATGAAAATATTCCTGCAATCTGTGGCTTGTTTTTTCTCAGCTATGTTTTCCACAGAACAAACACTTTAATTGTATAAATTACAAATTACCAATTTGTTACAGTCCATGCTTTTCTGTTGTTTTTACAAGAATACTTTTAAGTTAGGTTTTTGTATGATACATGGTAAAAAGATAATATTCTTTAATTTTCCATATGGATATTCAGTTTTCAAAAAGACTTTGTGTTAAATTTTTTATTATTTTACCATTTCTTTGTTGCAACAGCTAGATCTTCAAGCATAATGTGGAACAGAAGTTGTCAGAGTGGCTGTCCTTATCAGGAAAGTGATTTTATTTTTACTATTGTATATGATTCAGCTTTATCAGACTGATGCCATTTCATTCTATTTCTAGTTTACTGGAGATTTCTTATCATTAATTTTGTCAAATACTGTTTCTCCATCTATTAAAGTGCTGTCTGTTTTTCTCTTTGTACAATAAAAAATTTGGCTGGCCTTTGTTTCCTCTTCCTGGGAAGTAACCTCCAAATCCCTGCAATTTCTCAAGTGATTTGGAAGCCTCCCTGTCCTCACCCCCTTTGCCTGAGTTCTATTATATTTCTCAGAAAAAATAAAGTTAATATTTTCATTTTGAACGAGCAGTTAACCTGGTTATACTATGAGCTCTCTCATCTTCAGTAGATGCAGGCTTAAATATCAGTGTAATTTCTTAAGTCTTTATTGTTCTACTGTGCGTCTGTCTCATGCATTCGTAATTCATCAGTCTGCCAGAGATTTACATAAGGCCCATACCCAAAATTAAGAAATCCCCTTCTCTCCTCTCTCCTCTCTGGGATTCCTCTTTACTCTCTGTAGTTTCACCTGCACAGACTCCTTTTCCTGGTTCCTCTAGCCAGAAATATGGCAAGTTTTAATCAGATTTATTCATCTACACTTTACTGATTTGAGTCCCTGGTACACCATCAAGAAAAAGCCAAAAAACAATGGAAAGTTTCAAGTTTTAACTCCCCCAACAATATGCTTGCATTTGTTTACTATTCTGAATTTTCCACTAGTTCTTCCCTATATTTCTTCTTGAGTATGTAGCAGTTATCAGTAGAAGGGCTAGACTATAGAGGACCTACACTGATATGTTAGAAGAAAATCTCAATTAATGAATTTAGTGATTAGGAATCCATGAAGATATCTGAAAATTTTAGTAGATGGATAACTCAATAAGCAAGAACTTCTTAAAACCAATGAATGGTCTAGTTCATGAAATTCAAATCACGTGAAACCAATGTCTTGGTGTATTTATGGATGTTGCAAACCCTAATTATCTTGATTGCTATTACACATTCAGCTCACTTGAAAAATCTGATGTCCAATAAATGAATTTGTGCCCATCCATTGCAAGTACATGTTGTGAAATACACGGCAATAATTTTGCATAATAATTCATTTACAGTAAATTTTACTTTCAGTAACAGTAATAGAAAACATATTTGTGAACCAATATGTATTAATAGAAGCCAAAACTTTTCTTGGTATTATTCAGACAACTAAGTTATCTCTGAGTTATATACATTTTTGGTCTGTTTGTTACTTTATGCACTAATAAATCTAGTAATTATGGATAGATTCCAGCAACATAATTCAAGTGTCCTAGAGATATATTGAGATTTCTTGGAATATTCTCCCTTGAGGGTGAAAAATTATGAGAATCTTCATGCTTCTTTCAAAATTGGCAGTCCATAAAATTACTATGCTTGTTTTTTGCTCTTGTTTCTACAAATGCTTACAGAACTATGAATCAGGCTTTATGAGAGATACTAGGGATAAAATGAGTTCCTCTAGTTTCAGAGAAGCTAATATGTAAAGTATGCATTCAAAGTAAAGAATTTCTAGTTGTTATTATTTTCATTGCTTTTATATATGGAATTTTAATTATATATTCACAAAAGTAGTCCCCTCCTTTTTGAAAATTTTCTCTAAATTGATCTACAAGATAATCAATGTGCAAGACAATCTTCACAATCTTACACCTCTACTTTTCATAACTGAGCTATGCTTTTTTTTCTTTTTTTGTTCTGACAAGGTCTTGTTTTGCCCAGTCTGGAGTGCAGTGGCATGATCTCTGCTCACTATAGCCTCTGCCACCCGCTAGGCTCAAGCAATACTCCCACCTCAGCCTCCTGAGTAGCTGGGACCACAGGCATGCACCACCATGCCTGGCTTTTTTTTTTTTTTTTTTTTTTTTTTTTTTAGTATAGACAAGCTCTCGCCATATTGCCTAAGCTGGTGTTGAACTTCTGGGTTCTAGCAATCTGCCCACCTTGGCCTCCCAAAATTCTGGGATTACAGGTGTGAGTCACCATGCCCAGCTCGAGATATGCTTTTTAAATACATTCATTTTACTTGTGTTCTCGAACTATTTACAAAAACATTATTGTAAAGTACTAATATTATCCTTAATTTATTCTGTGAAATATTAGGATTTAAGAAAATGAAGTACAAAAATTCAAGATTTAACCTGAGTATGAGATATCAAAGTGGCATCAGATTTTGAGCAGCTGATGTTAGCTATATGAGATAGGTTCAACAAAATAATATTCAACAGCCTCAAATAGAGTTTCTGAGTCACATTCTGCCCAGCCAATATTCATGTATGATAGGAGACTTATCAGTAGTCTGGATTCAACTTTGTGCTTTTTAATAATGGAGATCCAATGCTTCTTGAGGATCATTAGTATTTACTAATGGCTCATGTCCTATTTTCTGTTCCAACTGTGCTATTTTCTTACTTCCTCAAAGTGAAGAGGGGTCCTTCTTGTAAAAGATGGTTGTTAGTGAGAGGAATGAGATCTTGAGATCCATTGTGCTCACAGTGATTATATAGTAATGTATTGTATATTTCAAAATTGCCAAGAGAATAAATTTTAAATGTTCTCACCACAAAAACTAATAAGGGTGCAAGGTGATGAAAATGTTAATTATCCTGATCTATCATTCCACAATGTATACATGCATCAAATAATCACATTGTACCCCATAAATATATACAATAGTCAATAAAAATAGAAATTATACAGTTTAAAAATACAAAAAACAAAAACAAAATTTAAGCTAGAATTTTTCCTTTTTTGGAATTGATTATGAAAAATTAGTACAATGAAAAGGATGCCACTATTTAATATTAAATATATGCTGTATGACACACTGACTCAAAGAACTCAAGGAATGGGAAATGATTAGATCTCCTTTTTGTGAGAAAGAAATCTCAAAGAAAATGAATCAAACAAAAAACTAGCAATTTGTGTAGATAATAGAAAATAGAGAATTCTTTGCTAAGTACCTAATTCCTCTTGGTTTCTTATAGTATTCATTGATTATCAAAGCTATTGTTCTTGCCAGGTGAGGTGGCTCACGCCTGCAATCCCAGCACTTTGGGATGCCGAGGCGGGTGGATCACCTGAGGTAAGGAGTTCAAAATCAGCCAGGCTAACATGGTAAAACCCTTCTCTACTGAAAATACAATAATTATCCAGGTACAGTGGTGCACAACTGTAGTGCCAGCTACTCGGGAGGCTGAGGCAGGAGAATGGCTTGAACCTGGGAGGCTGAGGTTGCAGTCAGCTGAGATCGCACCACTGCACTCCAGACTGGGAGACAGAGTGAGACTCCTCAAACAAACAAACAAAGCATATTGTTCTGTATTTGTCAATATCAGTGCCACTGTGGTAGAGAGGGATACATTTAAATTCTAGAATAGTTATTTAATTTCAGTAATGTTGTCTTAAGTAGGGAAGAGGTTATTTCTTTTTTCTCTCAGCTGTCTTCTACTTCTTCTGAGGTTGATATAAATTAATAGCATGGATTAGTGTAGCACTGGGATTTGGCCTATGCCCTAGTGCTGGCATGATAGAAACACTGTTCAAAATGTCATTCATGGGTTGTCACTTTTATTTTCTTAAAAAGAAACTTTATTGTGAGTAATTTACATAAGCACACTTTACTTAAAGTGTACAAATGACACGTGATATTTGAATACATCTGTGAAACTAACAGCATATTCAAGTTAAAGATGTATTTAAGGCTGGGCACGGTGGCTCACGCCTGTAATCCCAGCACTTTGGGAGTCTGAGGCAGGCGGATCACGAGGTCAGGAGATAGAGACCATCCTGGCTAACACGGTGAAACCCCGCCTCTACTAAACAAAATATAAAAAATTAGCCGGGAGTGGTAGCGGGCGCCTGTAGTCCCAGCTACTCGGGAGGCTGAGGCAGCAGAATGGCGTGAACCGGGGAGGTGGAGCTTGCAGTGAGCTGAGATCGCGCCACTGCACTCCAGCCTGGGCGACAGAGCGAGACTCCATCTCAAAAAAAAAAAAAAAAAAAGAAAAAGAAATTGTATTTACAACCCCCGGAAAATTCTTCCTATTTCTAATTAGTTTATTCCTCTTTTTGTCCACTGAGCTCTTCTCTGTCAATCCATCAGTCTAGGTTCTTCAGAAAGACTTCAGAGAAATAGAGCAAATGGGAGACTATACACACACACACACGCACGCACACACACCCCATGTAAGTTGTAAGCTGTAAGATTTCTTTACATAAATTCAACAGGAGTAATTTGTTGTATGTATAATTTAAAAATATGGGGATGTGTGTGTCTATATATGCACACACACGTATAAACGTGGTGTGTGTGGGGGGGTGTAAAGTCATTTGCTCTATTTCTACACAAAAAAGTATATATTATTTGTTATAAGGAATTCACTCACACAACTGTAAAAGATATATATGTGTGTGTATGTATACAAATATATATATACATATATATTTTTTCCAAATTAACTGTTTGTTACATAGGCAAATGTGTGGCATGGAGGTTTCTGCACATATCAACCCATCACCTAGGTATTAAGCCCAGCATGCATTAGTGATTTATCCAGTTGCTCTCCCTCCCATTGCCTCTCTGACAGGCCCCGGTGTGTGTTGTTCCCCTCCCTCTGTCCATGTGTTCTTGTTGTTCAGCTCCCAATAATGAGTGAGAACATGGTGGTGTTTGGTTTTCTGTTCCTGTGTTAGTTTGCTGAAAATGATGGCTTCCAAATTCATCCATGTCCCTGCAAAGGACATGATCTTGCTCCTTTTTTTGGCTGCATAGTATTCCATAGTGCATATGTACCACATTTTCTTTATCTAGTCTATTGCTGATGGGCATTTTGGTTGATTCCATGTCTTTGCTATTGTGAATAGTGCTGGAATAAACATATGCATGCATATATCTTTATAATAGAATGATTTATATTTCCTTGGGTATATAAACTATAATGGGATTGCTGGGTCAAATGGTATTTCTGGTTCTACATATTTGAGGAATCCCTACACTGTCTTCCACAATGGTTTAACTACTTTACATTCCCACCAACAGTGTAAAAGTGTTCCTATTTCTCCACAGCTCTGCCAGCATCTATTCTTTCCTGACTTTTTAATAATCACCATTCTGACTGGCATGAGTTGATATCTCATTGTGGTTTTGATTTGCATTTCTCTAATTATCAGTGATGTTGAGCTTTTTTTCACATGTTTGTTGGCTGCATATATGTCTTCTTTTGAGAAGTGTCTGTTCATGTCCTTTGCCCATTTTTTGATGAGGTTGTTTGTTTTTCCCTTGCAAATTTTTTAAGTTCCTTGTAAATTCTGAATATTAGACCTTTGTCAGATGGGTAGATTGCAAAAATTTTCTCCCATTCTGTAAGTTGCCTGTTCACATTGATGATAATTTCTTTTTCTGTGCAGAAGCTCTTTAGTTTAATTAGATCCCATTTGTCAATTTTGGCATGTGCTGCCATTGTTTTTGGTGATTTCATCATAAAATCTCTGCCCATGCCTATGTCCTGAGTGGTATTGCCCAGGTTTTCTTCTAGGGTTTTTATAGTTTTGGGTTTTACATTTAAGTCTTTAATCCATCTTGAGTTAATTTTTATATAAGGTGTAAGGAAGGGGTCCAGTTTCAGTTTTCTGCATATGACTAGCTAGTTTTCTCAGCACCACTTATTAAATAGAGAATCCTTTCCCCATTGCTTGTTTTTGTTAGGTTTGTTGAAGATCAGATGGCTGTAGATATGTGGTCTTATTTCTGAGATTTCTATTCTGTTCCATTGGTCAGTGTGTCTGTTTTGGTACCAGTACCATGCTGTTTTGGTTACTGTAGCCTTGTAGTATAGTTTGAAGTCATGTAGTGTGATGCCTCCAGCTTTGTTCTTTTTGCTTACGATTGTCTTGGCTATATGGGCTCTTTTATGGTTCTACATGAATTTTAAAGTAGTTTTTTCTAGTTCTGGGAAGAAAGTCAGTGGTAGTTTGATGGGAATAGCATTGAATCTATAAATTACTTTGGGCAGTATGGCCATTTTTAAGATACTGATTCTTCCTATCCACAAGAGTGGAATGTTTTCCCATTTGTTTGTGTCCTCTCTTACGCCTTTGAGCAGTGGGTTGTATAAGGAGAATAATTTTTGATAATGTTCAATATCAATTAATCAAGTTTTTCTTTTATAACTCATGGTTTTGGTTTGCTTTCTAGCATCTTTTCCTAACCCAAGTTCTTAAAGAGTTTTTTCCCAGGATTTCTCATGATTTTATAGTTTTCCCTTTTACACTTAGGCTAGAATCTATTGAAAGTTAATTTTTGAGCATAATTTGATGTACTGGTGAGTTCCCCTTCCCACACAATATGGGTATCCAGTTGTTTCAGGACCATTTGTTGAAAAGTGTTTCCTTTCCTTAGTTGACTTTATTTTGCATCTTTGCCAAAAAATAATTTAACCTGAAGTGTGAAGATTTAATTCCTGGACTCTCTATTATTGAGTAATTTATATATCTACATTTTGGTCAATATTACAGTGTCTTGATTATATGTCTTTAGAATAAATCTTTAAGCAGGCTTATGCAAGCCTTCCAACATTGCTCTTCTTTTGGGAAATTATTTTCTTTGTTCTTTGTTCTAAGTTTTTTTTTTTTTAATGTAACACTTTAGTTTGTCAGTTTTTGGGATTTTGTGGGTGTTGCATTAATACTACATATAAGTCTGTGCAAACAAATATGAATCCTCAAATTCATAAGAGTAGTATACTTATACATTTATATAGGTTTTACTTATGAAACCTATACAAAAGGTGTGATGCAATTTTCTTAAATGTATGCATAATACATTTATATTAAAATTATTTAGTAATAATGTTGATGTTATTGTAAATTAACTTAAAAATTATTTTTTAAATGATTACTGGTTGCATGAAATCACATAATTTTTTTATGCTGACATGTGTCCTACTGCTTTAGTTGACTACATTCCTTGGGATTTTCTGTGTAAACAATCATCTGCAAATAGGGAATCTTTTCATTCCTTTTCAATTATTATGTGTTTCTTTTTTCTTTCCTTCTTTTCATCCTTATTTTACCTTATTGTAATGACTAGGCCCTTCAGTACAATAGTGAATAGAGGTATTGAAACTAGGCATCCTTCTTGCATCTTTGTTGAACTTAGGTAGACCACATTAAATATTTCAACATTAAGTATGATTTTAGTTGTAGGCAGGTAGTTGCTCTTTTCTTTGGATTATTTAATTAGACTTCCATAATCCCCAGAAAATAAAAAAAAACTAATAAATGATCTAACTGTTTGCTTTTATGGGAAAGGGCTAAGGAATCTCTTTCCATCTTCTTCTGTCTCTTCTCACTTAAGTGTCAGCACTCAGGCTTTCCTTACCTCTTCTGTTCCCCCAAATGTCTGCATTTTTCTTTCCCTTCATTGGATCTCATAATTTTGACCTTGGGTCCAATCAAACCTCTAAATTCACATTTGAGAATTAGGAAGTAGAGAGTATTATCCTGATATCTCACTTTTTCTCTTTATATTCAGGCTTACTTTATGTGTGGGAGGATACATTTTACTATATGGCACAATACAGCTTAACAGAATTTGACATTACTGTTTGGAATTAAATTTTGAGTTTACAAAAAGTCATATGTGATTTTTCTCTGCCTGCTTTCTGAAAATATGTATCTCTGGAACCTTGTTTGCAATGATGATGGATAGAAACTTATAAAAATGACAATTTTTGTGTCAGTAGAGAAAAATACTACGTTGGTATCAAATCTTAAGATAAACTACATGTTTTGCTTTTAACTATATTTTGTTATGTGGTTTAAAAAGCAATTTTGATGGCACACAAATGCAGAAGAAGCTGGAGAATGGTTATTTCATATGAGAAATGCATTTCAATGAGAAAAAAATGAGAATCTGGGTGAGGAGGAGTGTATGTTTTGAAAGTTACTAGACTAAGGCTATTCAAAGAAACAGTTAATGGAGAAAATTCATTCTTTTACAAGAAAGCTTTGCATAATTGCATTGGTTCCAGCTACAAACCAAGAACAGCTGGACATCAACAGATATATTATGCTCTGCTATCTAATGGTAGCAGCTGATAAGACATCAGGGGAGTCTACTGTGATGATTATCTCACCATGAGTGAACTGTAATGTGCCCAGAAACTCAAAACAGCCACCCCAAGGAAACATTAAAACCACTCTGAAATCTATGCCTATAAGGGAAGATTTGTACAAATCCTTAGATCTTCATAAGAGACGTTATATGCCATTTTTAGAGGACACCCGATAGAAAATAAAGCAAGAAGAGTTGACTCACAGGATCCACTACTCTGAATCCATAGTAAATATGAATTACATGCATGAGAAAGGAATACAAGTGAGAGTGAGTAAAGAGTTTGAAAATTATGTTAGTAATTTATTTTTCAGAAAATAAATCATGTATTTATGGTTGATTTTTTTCCTTCTTCCAGATTTATTTATCCTTCCAGAAGTTTCACATTACTTAGGACCATATGTTTTATTATCATTGTACTTGTTTGTAATAGAGATTCTACTTTCAAGAGTCTATAATACACTAAAATTACGGTAATAGAATGTTTGCTCTTAGAGTGTGTGCTAACTGAAATAATATGTCAAGTATCATTTCACACTGTGATACAAAGAACAATTAATTTGCTACCAACTACTTTTTATAACATCTGTACAACACTACCTCAGACTTTTAGCCATCTGATGTTGTTCTTTCTGAAATATAGTACTTATTTATGATTTTCATGTGCTGACTTATTTCCAGGCGATACATATTCAACAGATGTTGGCAGCTATCTCCTCACATTATTGTGGTTTCCTTAAAATGTGTAATTACTCAACCCATTAGCAATTGTATCACTTTAATTCACTGTACATTGTCCCTCAAGTATCTTTTAGTAATGGACACTATGGTTTGTCTACCAAGTATCCATTCTCCCCTTTTCCACTTATACTAGAAACAGATTTGTTTAGCTATCTCACCTTCCCCTCTTTATCTTTGTGCCTTGGGGGAAGTTCTAACCCAGTTTCAGCAATGTGTTTCATTGTCCAAGGATACTTCATTTGTCATGACAATAATTGGTTCAGAGATGGGCAGATAATCAAGTTCTGGCCAATAAGATGTAAGAGAGACTCAAAGAAAGAGACATTCTCTATTCTTCCCTAGTTAGTGTCAAGCATGGTATGATTGCTGAAAGTGCTGTAGCCATCTTGATATGAATCCAGAACTAAAGATAGCGAAATGGCAAGAAAGCATGAACCCAGGTCCTGGATAACATTGTTGATCTATTACATCAAACAATCATGGAGACCACACTACCACTATAATTGTAGGTATGTGATAACAAAGGTCCTTTTCGGGTGGATTTTATTTTATTTTTAGCTGCAAGTATCAAAATATTTAACCATCTGTCATCCAATTGCTCATTTGTAACATCAGGGAAATAACACTGAAGTCAGTTTTTCCTTCATAATAATAAACTTTCTAGGATCCCTGTATATTTAATTTCAAGCAGATAAACTATATATAAGGAAGGAATTTGCCATAAAGTTGAACTATGTATATAAAGCAAGCTGAAGTCTCGAGGCCATCTTATTTAAAAGATTTTTTTTTAAACCTGACATAAATCTTTCATGGTCTCTGAATCTTCAGTCCTGTATCCATCCTATCAATCATAAAGTTTACAAAATTATGCTTTATTCAAAGAGGTAAATATGCTTCATCTGTGAACTTAAAATTATAATTTTTACACCTATAGTATCTAAAAAATTGCCAAAATATAAAGAGTAAGTTGAACACACAAACTACAATCTATGTATATATCAGTGCATACCTATGTATAGTTCATGTGTACATATCTTGTACACACATGGACACACATATACATAACACTAGCCTCAAGTAAATTTATAGAATTATAATTGTTATTTCAGAAGTCCTCCTAGTATACCTTTAACCAAAAAGTAAATTTATCTCCTAAACTAAAAAAAGAAAAGAAATTGTTAGTGCCATCAGTTTTTTAATTATGAATTTTCTCTAGAGTTACGAATTTATGGCAGGCATTTCCACAATATATAGTAATGCATAACAGAATAAGATTTGTTCTTCAATCCCTTAGTAACCACTCAAATTCACACTCAGATGGTTTAATAACCAAAACCTTTTTCTTAGTCAGAATAATACTGAGCTCAGTATATCCCCAGCAATCACTTGCTTTTCTTTTTTGCTTATTAGGTCAGGCAGATTTATTACTCCTGAGGAATTCAGTCTCTCAAACTTTCTTCTTTACAGTTTTTCTAAGCTATTATTTTAAGGAAAGTTTTGTTTTCTGTCTTAACAGATTTACCCCTATTAATAGCTTATGTAAATGAAAATAATATATGAAGGACAAAATATAAAATACATTTTTAAATGTGGACATATTATTTTAAAAGCCAAGAAATATTAAATCATAAAGTATTCATATATCCCAGTTAATCTTAAGATTACCATATCAATCTTTAACACAAAGAAAGAACATAAATATACATTAAATAGTACAGTATATTCATTGGAATTACTAAAATATATAAATTATAGTTTACAAAAATTATTATGTAAGCATATTTGAATTAATATAAAGTAATCATAATATTTTAACTAACCAAATACTTCACTTTCATGAGATTAAAAACAAAAATCTATGTTACAGTGTTATAATTCTTCAACAGTCTTATTTAAACTATTAACATTTTTAGTAGATATTTGACATATAGTACAAAGTTAACATTTCACCTTAGTTCCGATCTGATAATCTCATATGTAGGAAAGAGTTGATGAATATCCAATTGTTTAAGATTTGGTATTTAACATAGTATAAGTTTGTTAATTAGACTTGTAGGAAATAAAATTTTTACTATCTAGCTCTGCAAATCAGTAAGTTTATATTCTTTGGTCTAGTGGCTGAGTTATGTTGTATTTTTCTTTCTTTAATACACTACTTGTGCTTTTTGAAAAATGTCCACTTTACCAAAGCAGATATTCTTTCCACATAAAAAAGAACTGAACCATTCTTAAATCAAATTTATCCCTAAGTTTAGTTTTCAGGATTGGTGTCATTTAGTGAGAGATATTATTATTGAACTATTTTATTTTTATATTATGGATCTGCACTTACAGTATATTCTAGACTACTTAAGGACTCAAATTCTCAGTTCAAAAGATAGATGCTATCTGCAGAAATATATAATTTTCACTTAAAAAATGTACCTCAAAGAAGTTTGTCCTCTATGTAGTAGTGATAAAGGCAAATCTGAGTCTAAAACTTCAGCTCTGGGTTTGTGATTAAAGCTTTTTAACAACATAATTTGAGCCTAAGAGTGGAACAAACATATCACTCTCTTGTACTACGTACTTAGAGAATATAGACAGTATAGCTCTCGCTCTACTTTTAATTTCAGCTTTTATTTTAGACACAGGAGGTACATACATAGGATTATTACATGGGTTTATTGGACCCAGGTAAGGAGCATAGCACCCTGTAGATAACTTTGAAACCCACACTTCATTTCTCCCTCCCTCTCTAGTAGCGTTCAATGTTGGTTATTCCCATGTTTATGCCCATGTGTGCTCAATGTTTAGCTCCAACTTATAAGAAATAGATGTGGTACTTGGTTTTCTGTTCCTTCATTAGTTCACTTAGAATTATGTCCTCCAGCTTCATCCATGTTGCAGCAAAGAACATGATTCTATTATTTTTTATGGCTGCATAGTATTCCATGGTGTTTATGTACCACATTTTCTTTATCTAGTCAATGGGAACGTAGGTTGATTCCATGTCTTCGCTATTGTAAATAACATGGCAATGTACATACAAGCATGTGTTGCTTGATATATTGATCTATATTCCTTTGGGTATATATCCAGTAATGGGATTGCTTGGTTGAATGTTAGCTCTGTTTTAAGTTCTTTGAGAAACTTCAAATTGCTTTTCACAGTGGCTGAACTAATTTACATTCTCATCAACAGTGTATAAGTGTTCCCTTTTCTTCATAGCCTAGCCAGTATCTGTTATTTTTGACTTTTTAGTAATAGCCATTATGACTGGTGTGAGATGGTATCTCATTTTGGTTTTGACTTGCATTTTTCTGATGATTAGTGATGATGAGCCCTTTTTAATGTGGTTTGGCTGCTTATATGTCTTCTTCTGAGACATTTTGTTCATGTCTTTTGCCCACTTTTTAATGGAGTTGTTTGCTTTTTGCTTGTTGATTTGTTTAAATTCATTATAGATTCTGGATATTAGACCTTTGTTGGATGGATAGTTTGTGAATATTTTCTCCCATTTTGTAGGCTGTCTGTTTACTCTGTTGATGATTTCTTTTGCTGTACAGAAACTCTTTAGTTAGGTAAGTAGAGAGGAAAGCAGGTGGTGAGAAAAATTAAAAGGCTAAATCATTTTTTATTTTGTTTTCTTTTTTTGAATTGTTAACTACTTACACATAATTTTCTTCACAGTGTTTTATGTGATCTTCTGAGCCAACAATAACTTATCCACCCTTTGAACTATCTTATACTTTATTAAAAATCATTTGTCATAATTATCACCTTTTTTATTTTTTTTGAGAAAGGGTCTCACTCTTTACCCAGGCTGGAGTGCAGTGGCACAATCTCTGCTCACTGCAACCTTTGCCTCCTGGGCACAAGGGATCTTCCTACTTCAGTTTCCCTAGTAGCTGGGACTAGAGGTGTGTGCCACCACACAGGGACAATTTTCATATTTTTTGTAGAGATGGAGTTTTACTAGGTTGCCCAGGCTGGTCTCAAATTCCTCGGCTAAAGGAAATCTGCCCCCACTCCGCATTCCAAAGTGCTGGAACTACAGGTGTGAGGCACTGCACCTGGCCCAATTATCACTTTCTAATTTATATTTTAGTTATTTATGTATATGACTAAAATATATTGTATCATTTTGTTTTGCTAAATATGAAAAGTTTCACATTTTGTTTTTAACACTTTTAATATTACTTTGCAAAGATAGAGGACTCATTGAGCCTGATACTTAATGTGTTTTACTGCTTAATTTAGCTTGTATTTATGTAAGTATATAAAACAAATAAATCTGCTTTCTAAAAAAAGTTCATTACAGAGATTACCTGTCATTGTTGAAACTATTTAAAATTAAGAACTGATCACACAGACATCTTCAGTGGCATACCTAAATTCACTTGCACCTGCTTTAGTACTTTTTTCCTGCCTGAGACTGGAAGAAAGAAAACATCCTGATTTCAGAGTGTTATGTGTCTATGAAAGGGTTAATTAATTATTCCACTTTATTTAAACTAGAAAGTTCTACAACGATAGCTAATGCAGTTGAATAAAAATTTTAAAAAGTAACTGAATTAGTCTAATACTTGATTTTCATTGATATTAATAATTATCTCTCTATTTAAAATATGAAACAGTATGGATTCCATGATGAAGACAAAAGTATATTTCCTAGATAAAGAATCAGTTGTAAAAGAAAGAAATGTTGCTTAGCAGTAAAACAAATTTAAAGAATTACAGAAGTCTCAGTGAATGCTTTTTAAAGCCAAGAAAGTTAGTTGTTACATTATATTTTATGAAGTGTTCTGGTGCACCATTATAATAACAAATGCTTTGTGGTCGATTTAGCTATTTGAAGAAAAAAGTCTCCTAGATAACAGTGATAAAATCACCTCAAAACTGAATAAAGATCAAATAAACCTCATATCAAAATTTCCAGTATTCTAGATAGCTTAATTTTACCCTGTAAGATCAAACCAGGATGTATAATGCTGGCTAAATGCAAACACTTAAAATTCTGAAACATCACTTCCCTACGTACAGGTTTTCTTCAGAATGATCATCTTATAACAAGTCAGAGGTAGGGGAAGTTAATGGTCAAAGAAATTTTTAAAATACTCCATAAAATCAATGCAGGTGTCTATCAATGATGGATTGGATAAATAAATGTGGTACATATATGCACCATGGAATATTAGGCAGACATAAAAAGAATGAACTCGTGTCCTTTGCAGTAACACGGATGCAGCTGGAAACCATTATGCTAAGTGAACTCATGTAGAAACAGAAAACCAGATACCACATATTCTCACGTATAAGTGGGAGCTAAACATTTAGTACATATGGTCATAAAAACGGGAACAATAGGCTGGGCACAGTGGCTCACGCCTGTAATCCCAGCATTTTGGGAGGCTGAGGCAGGCGGATTACCTGAGATCAGGAGTTAAGAGACCAGCCTGCCAACATGATGAAACCCCGTCTCTACTAAAAATACAAAAAAAAAAATTAGCTGGGAGTGGTGGTGGGTGCCTGTAATCCCAGCTATTCGGGAGCCTGAGACAGGAGAATCGCTTGAACCTAGGAGGCGGAGGTGGCAGTGAGCAGAGATTGCGCCATTGCACTCCAGCCTGGGCAACAAGAGCAAAACTCCGTCTCGCGGTGGGGGGTGGGGTGGGGGAAGGAACAATAGACACTGCGGAATACAAGAAAGAGACGGGAGGCGGGGAGCAGGGTAAAGGTTGAAAAAAAAAAAGAAAAGAAACTACCTATTTTGGGGATTATTTTTACTACTGGGTGACAGATTTATTTGTACTCCAAACTTCAGCACCACACAGTATACCTATGTAACAAACGTGCACATATACCCTCGATTCCAAAAATTATCCGTAAGATACCCAAATAGTACTTTTTGAAGATTTATATTAAACATTAGCATACAAAATCCCATAGTGGTCCAGCTTTTAAAAAACAGCTTAACTTTGTTTAAACCAACCTAGAAATATGTTTAACCACAGGAATTGTTTAATTGATTTAAAACCTATTTTTGTCCTACAGCTTCAGTGTTGCAAAACGCATCGGTTTGGGAAATGTCTTTAAAGGCAATTTCATTAAAGACAAATAATTAGCTTTTACAAACATTACTTCAGAGAAAATTCTACTCATGCAGATGCTTAAGTAAAATCCACTATGCTGCCTGGAAACAGTAAAAATAACAGTCATGGAGAACTAACTATGCATCAGGTATTTGCAAAATATATGCAAGCAACATCTTTTATATTTCCTTTACACACACTTGCTTTTTCCACTGCATACTCCACACAGCTAAAATAATGACCTACAGATTAATTTGGTATTTTAACAACATTGTTTAAATTATTGTGATTATCTGTCCTTGAACAAAAAGGAATATTCTAGACTCCTTCCTCAGAATATCTTAATGTATCCTAAAAAAATACGATGCACCTCATAATTTATTTGCATTTCATTTTAATCAATTTTTTCATAAAATACAGTGTACTAGAATTTTTTTCTAGGTTATTAGGTATTATGTCTCAGGTATTTTTTTGTTCATATATTAACAGCATAATGCATATGTAATATTACAGACTGAGTGATCCTTTCAGAAAGTATAATCATGGAGAGTACCATGCTTTCTAAATACAGTTATTATTGTTCTTTTCAAGCTGTAGCTTGAAAGCATTTCCAGCTTTATTTTTTTAGAAGGAATAATTCTTGCTCAATTGAGTTTCTTTTTTCTTTTTTTTTTTTGAGATGATGGAGCCTCACTTTGTTGCCCAGGCTGGAGTGCAGTGGTGGGACTTGGCTCACTGCAAGCTCTGCCTCCTGGGTTCAGGCCATTCTCCTGCCTCAGCCTCCCGAGTAGCTGGGACTACAGGTGTCTGCCACCACACCTGGCTAATTTTTTTTGTATGTTTAGCAGAGACAGGGTTTCACTGTGTTAGCCAGGATGGTCTCAATCTCTTGACCTTGTGATCCACCCACCTCCGCTTCCCAAAGTGCTGGGATTACAGGCGTGAGCCACCACACCCGGCCGAGTTTCTTGAATTATATTTTCAACAGTTTCTATTCCAGAGTAAATAGCCTGAATACAGCTGTATTCAGATAGTCCTTGAATATAGCTATACAATTCTGGATAGACCACTGAAGCAAATATTAGAAATGATAAGTAAATAAGCCTAAGTAAGTTGGGGAAGAAGACAAAAATTTTTAGTAACAACAGCTGGTAGTGAGTTCGTCATATTTTTCCTCTGGTTCTCATGCTCCTGGCCCCAGAATAAAGAAAGGCCATATATTTTCACAGAGTGGAATAACTAAAGACCCACCTTTCTGGCCATATGATTGAAAAGGGGGCAGCAAGAAATCAGAAATTATCTTAGAGATCACTGAAAGAGAGGAGCTTGGAAAATAAATCCATTTGTTTAGTTTATTAGGTTATTTTTTAAAATAACTTTTGGGTTTAGCCATGAGGTGCATATTTGTGGATCTCATCCTAATCAGCACACCAAATATTTTAAGTACTGTGCTAACAGATAAAAGAAACAGCTGGGCACTATAGCTCACACATGTAACCCCAACACTTGGGGAGGCTAAGGTGGGTGGATTGCCTGAACTCAGGAGTTTGAGACCAGACCAGGGAACATGGTGAAACTGTGTCTGGAATTGGTTCTTTCTAGTGGGTTCCTGGTCTTGCTGACTTCAAGTGAGTGTTACAGTTCTTAAAGATGGTGTGTCTGGAGTTTGTTCCTTCCAATGTTCAGATGTGTCCAGAGTTTCTTCCTTCCGGTGGGTTCGTGGTCTCACTTGACTTCAGGAGTGAAGCCACAGACCTTCGCGGTGAATGTTGCAGCTCTTAAAGGTGGCGCGTCCAGAGTTGTTTCTTCCTCCTGGTGGGTTCATGGTCTCGCTGGCTTCAGGAGTGAAGCTGCAGACCTTCGCCGTGAGTGTTACAGCTCATAAAGGTAGTAGGGAACCAAAGAGGGGGCAGCAGCAAGATTTATTGTGAAGAGCAAAAGAACAAAGCTTCCACAGCAGGTAAGGGGACGTGAGGTGGTTGCTGCTGCAGGCTCGGGTGGCCAGCTTTTATTCTTTTATTTGGCCCCACCCACATCCTGCTCATTGGTCCATTTTATAGAACGCTGATTGGTCCATTTTTACAGATTGTTCATTGGTGTGTTTACAAATCTTTAGCTAGACACAGAGCGCTGATTGGTGCATTTACAAACCTTTAGCTAGACAGAAAAGGCTACATGAGTAAGTTCTTTAGTGTTGATTTGTAAGATTTTGTTGCATCCATCACCCAAGCAGTATCCACTGCACCTTATTTGTAGGTTTTTATCCCTCATCCCATTCCCACCCTTCCCTCCAAGTCCCAAAAGTCCATTGTATCATTCTTATACCTCTGCATTCTCATAGCTTAGCTCCCACATATCAGTGAGAACATACGATGTTTGGTTTTCCATTCCTGAGTTACTTCACTTAGAATAATAGACTTCAATGTCACCCAGGTCAGTGCAAATGCCATTAATTCATTCCTTTTTATGGCTGAGTAGTATTCCATCATACACATACACACACACACACACACACACACACACACACACCACAGTTTCTTTATTCACTTGTTGATTAATGGGCATTTGTGTTGGTTCCATGATTTTGGAATTGTGAATTGTGCTGCTGTAAACATACATGTGCAAGTATCTTTTCCATATAACAATTTCTCTTCCTCTGGGTAGATATCCAGTAGTGGGATTGATGGATCAAATGGTAGTTCTACTTTTAGTTCTTTAAGGAATCTCCACACTATTTAACCTAGTGGCTGTACTAGTTTACATTCCCACCAGCAGTGTAGAAGTGTTCCCTGATCACTGCATCCAGGCCAACATGTACTGTTTTCTTGATTTTTTTCATTATGGCCATTCTTGCAGGAGTAAGGTTGTATCACATTGTAGTTTTGATTTGCATTTCCCTGATCACTAGTGATGTTGAGCATTTTTTCATATATTTGTTGGCCACTTGTATATCTTCTTTTGAGAATTGTCTATGGATGTCCTTAGTCAACTTTTTGATAGAATTGTTTTTCTTCTTGTTAATTTGAGTACGTTGTGGATTCTGGATATTAGTCCTTGTCAGATGTATAGATTGTAAAGATTTTCTTCCACTATGTGAGTTGTCTGTTTACTCTGCTGTTCCTTTTGCAGTGCAAAACTTTTTAGTTTAATAAAGCCCCAGCTATTTATCTTGGTTTTTATTGCATTTTCTTTTGCAATAACTGACTTTTGGGTTCTTGGTCATGAAATCCTTGCTTAAGCTGGTGTCTATAACTGTTTTTCCAATGTTACCTTCTAGAGTTTTTATAGTTTCAGGTCTTAGATTTAAGTCCTTAATCCATCTTGAGTTGATTTTTGTATATGGTGAGAGATGAGGATCCAGGTTCATTCTCCTGCATGGGCAGGTAAAATGGGAAAGCTATTCTGAAAAACAGATAGTCAATTTCTCATTTAACTAAACATGCAACTCATAATAGCAAGGAATTCAATTCCTGGGCATTTATCTCAAATAAATGATGACTTCTGTTCACACAAATACATGTAATTTCCATAGCTGCTTTATTCATAATTGCCTCAAACCAGAAACAATTCTGATGTCTCTAAATCGGTTAATGGATCAACAAACTATGGCACATCTATACCATGGAATAGTCCTCAGCAATAAAAAGAAGCAACATCTGAGTAATTTCCAGGGAATTATGCTGAGTAAACAAAACAAAATCAAACACAAAAACAACACAAAACAAGACCTGAAGGTTACAAACTGCATAATCCCATTTATATGACACTCTTGAAATTATAAAATTACAGAAATGGGGAAAAAACTTGTAGTTTCCAGAATACATAGATTTGTCTGGAGACACAGAACTAATGGGATATATCTGTATCTCTCTTTATATCTTTATCTATCTATCTATCTATAGATTTATGTAACTATGTATCTACTGATCAATCACTCAACTAATCAATCTGTGTATGTATGTATGTATGTATGTATGTATGTATGTATGTATGTATCTAGCTAGCTAGAATTAGAAGAGAGTTTTATTTTGAAGAATTGGCTCACACAGTTGTAAGGAATGCCGAGTCCAAAATCTGTAGGGCAAGCTGAACTGGCAAGCTGGAAACTCAGACAGAGGTGATTTTTCCACCTTGAGTTTAAAATTTGCAGTGCCAGACATTGGCTGAAAGCTCAGGCAGGATTTCTTATCCAGGAAACCTCAATTTTTGTTCTTAAGGTCTTCATTGATTTGATGAGGTCCACCCACATTATGGAGTGTAAGTTTTACTTGAAGTCACTAATTGTAAATGTTAACCATGTCTACAAAATACCTGCACAGCAACACATAGATTAGAGCTTGATTAAATTGCTGACACATAATAATACTAGCCATCACACAGGAGTATGCTGCATGAGTTCTAACAAAAATTGCCCAAAAAATAGAGATCTAATGATTTATATGCAATATTTTGACCTTAGTTAAAACCAATTAATTACACTTTATTTTAGGTGTAGAAACGAGAAGTACATTAACATTTGGAATTCAAACCCTGATTATGGATTGTATGCCATTTTAAAGACTACCCGATATAAAGATATTTTCATAAGAGGCAAATATAACTAATACATATTGATATCCTGAGATTTGCCACAGAACCATTTAAATTGCTGCAGGAAAATACACATTTTCCCGAAGGATCCTTTGAAGAGTTGCTTAAACTGTGAACTTGTTTAGTGCACTTAATATATAGTTTAATTTGTAAAATTGAATAAAGATAAAAATATTAAAACCGAAAGTTTTATAAAATAGTCCTAGAGTCCTGGAGGTTAATTAAAGAGAGTTTCAGACCTTCATAAAGCTGAACTTCAGAAGGTTTCCTGCTGTTAAGTAATAATAAACTAATTGTGACTTCCAAGTAGGAAACCACAGGGAAGACAGCACTTCCACAAGAAATTTAAATCTGACATTAGAATACAGCTTCTTCTTATAGTTATTAGCCTTCATTCAGTTAACATTTTTCTCTTTTAAGACCGTCTGGAATCTATTGTGACATTGCACATAGATTTTGCTTTTTTTATTTGTACCCAGGGCTATTGCTATTTTACAATTAAGTTATATAGTTCAAAATCATTTTTACTAAACTATATGTGATAGAACAAATATTACATTAAGTATGGAGATCATGATCATTTTTACTATTGATTTTTAAGAATGATTTGAGAAATATTCTATCATATCACTCATGTAGGTACCAATTTTTACATTTGGAAGTGATATATATTTATTTCCTGATGCTTTAATATGTTTTCAGGAATTTACATACTTTATTTTTATTTTGTCATCTCTCCTTCCTAATAGCATCTATTCCATTACACGAGGTGGTTGTGGTTATTACTTTAAATATGTGGCACAGAACAAATACAATCCACTGAAACAGATTGTTCTCAACTTCATTATTATTTACTGTTTTCAAAGTATTGGCTCACATAACATTTCATATACAATAATCTTATAATTTACATAAAGGCAAAAAAAGAAGAAGCACTAGTGAAAAACATTGAAAAGTTAGTCTACCACTTATACTTTTCTTTTGTCTCATATACTGCTTCGTTAAAGTGAACAACTACTTTAAAAGAGAAGTTGCATGGATAATACTTAGAGTTGTCTAAGCGCTAACTAAGTATCAGTCATAGTGACCATACAAATATATTTTGAAAGAACAGTAAAACAAGCTTGACTCTTAACTGCGAATCTGTTTTCATGTGGATTGTGGTATGTGAATAGAAATTTCACTGAAATTGAAGGATTGAAGGATTACCATTTATTTATTTATATTGATGCTGTTTACAACGGTCTCCAACATGTATCTTTATGACTTTTAAAGCTTCTAAAACTTGGGCATGGTGGTGTGTACCTGTAGTCTTCACTACTCAGGAAGCTGAAATAAAAGGATCATTTGAGGCCAGGGTTTGAGAGCAGCTTGGGCAACATAGCAAGATCCTGCTCTAAATTTTTTTTTTTTTGGTAAGAAGCTTCAAAAACTTTCAAAAGTTTAAACTATTTTATATTACCTTTCAAAAGTATTTTGCTATTGACTGTGCAGCTTAAGAAATCTTCAAGTGAAAAATTGAAGCAAATTAAGATCCCTACAAACTAATTTATTTAGCAAGAAATAGTAAAAGAACTGTTTGGCAGTATCTTTTTCTAATTTATGAATATATTCACAATCTGAAGTTCAAATAAAATTATTAAAATATCTGAGGAAAAATGTTTATTCAAAAAATTTACTTAAGTTATAAATTAAAAATTTACTTGAAGTTTCTTAGCAGAGAGCTATCCAAATGAGACACAATCTCATTAACATACTTTCTGGAATATTGACTATGAATATGGACAAAATAATTACGTCTAAAATCTGCAGAAAGTTTTCATTTCTTAAGAAATGCCTCTACTTCTGTCAGTTACTAGCCTGTGTTATTAAACAAATGATGGGTATGCATTCCTGCATAAAAAACAAACTCATTCTTAAATTCCCTTCCACAGGAATCTGATTATGTTATTAAGATAATACAGGTACTACCCTCACTACAAGAATAATGTGAAATTCTAAGATATAGGTAGAATAATATTTTAAGTGAAATAAAATGAATAAATGCAACTTAACTGCAATAAATACAAAATAATTGCATACTTGAAATACTCCAAAACTCTTCTTCCAATGTAGAAAGAATGTATTCAATTACACATAATGTTTATCTAAAATTAATATTTTAAACAAACATATTTAAAAGGTTGGTATATATAAAAAGAGTTTAATATTCTCAACACAGAAAAATCAGTGAATGTAACCATGATTTTAAAATTAGTGAAGAGAATGTCAGAGTGGCTACAGTTTAGAAATTAATTAATTACTACAAGATGAGGTAGATTGTTAGGCAAGAAGCAGTTAATCTAGAACTTTATTAACTGGAAAAGCATTGGAGGGTTTATGATTTTATGTTTTGAAAGGATCATTTCCACTTTTCTGTAGAAAACAGACTATAGATTTTTGTATGTATGGGAAATAAATTATATAAAAAATAGAGTCAATCAATGTCATTGTGTGTGAGGACACCTAAATAAAGCATTGTTGTGTCGGACTTGCTATAATCTCCTCTTCCCACTTCTGCTTTTCTAAAAATATCCAGCCTCATTTATATGCCTCAACTTTATGTAATAGGAGCTTAAATATTTTATAAGAAAATGGAAATTAAATCACAAAATATGAAAAATATTGACAGGTGTACATCTCAGTAAGAAGATATCTATATTATATATAGATATATTATATATAGATTATATATATAATATAGATAGATAAAAGATATCTATCTTCTTACTGATACTATATTCTTACTGAGAGGAATGAAAAGGGCATTAAAAAATTCAAACAAATATCTTAGGTATTATTTTATATAGAGTTTGTAGAAGCTACAATAAATTAAAGATGACTAACAATTATAATAATGTTTATATATATTGATTGGCTTCTCGTCCTGAATTTAAGAGGATTGTTTCTCACTTTAGCTGTTTTGCTTAAGTCAGTCTACAAACTGCCACTTCACTATAGTGGGCAATCTTATGTTTTCCGTAACACAGTAAGGAGCAAATACAAATAGCCATTGAAGATTTAATCCTAACAAGACTTTAAGGGAACTCATGGGGATTCTCCTTTTAATTGGTAATTGAATGGCAAACTGAAGTGTCTTGTTTAACAAAATGCACTAAGTTACCCTAGTCCACTGGTGAGAGACAAAACTTTATTTCACTGTTAGGAAAGCCTGATTTTGTTTCAATGGTTCAATATATTTCTCTTGTTTTAACTGTGAGAGAAAATTGACAATGTACTTTCTCAGGCAAAGCTGAAGAATCCATATTCTCTAAATTCAAACTTAAACTAACCAAGCCAAAGAATAAGTCATTTAGTAGGAATGAAACTCTGTTAGATAATGCAACATTCCTTCTCTGTTCATAATCTTCATTTCTCCTATTAGCATCCATTTCTCCCAGTAGCCAGCTAGAAAAAAACATAATTTCAGAACACTGTGTTTCTATAATTACAGCTCTCTGCTATACTTTTGTCACCCAAGTCAGGTCTTGGGAGATTCTAAGATCTTGTCTTCTCATCAGGTTCTACTTGCAGTGAGGGTATAGCTTGTATTTGTCAAATGAATTAGTGCCTATTGCTGCTGTAACAAATTCTAACTAATTTATTAGATTAAAACAAAAATTTATTACCTTAGAATTCTGGAGGTGAGAAATCTAAAACCAAACTGTTAAAGGGGCTCAGTTCCTTCTAAAGGCTTCAGGAGAGAATCATTGCCTGGCTCATGGCCGATTCCTTCAACTGCAGCTTCTTGCTTCTATCCCCACATCTCCTACTATGGTTATTCTACTGCCTCCCTCTTACAAGGATTCTTGTGATTACATTGGGCCTCTACAGATAGCCTAGGACAATCTCACTACCTCAATATCTGCAATTTAATTACATCTACAAAGCTTCTTTTGCCATGTAAAATAACATATTCACAAGCACCAGGGATTAAGACACGGACATCTTTGGGGCGGACATTAATCATTTTACCACACCAAATTAACTGAGATTTTTGTTCTCCTTCCTGGAATTCAGCTCAAACATCATACGGTGGTGGGCGATTGGAAGAATCTTTCTTAGGCATATACTCTCTTGGTTTATCTCCATGTGCCAACTCCGCCCTCTGATTATACAGATTCTTCCCTTGCCTGAGAACAAGTTAATCCTGCTCTTTTATTCTTTCAGGCATTATGCCTTAAACCCAGCATTTTAAATGTCCAGGGTAAGAATTGGTATCTTCATAGTTTTTAGCCTCATGTATTATATACCGTAAGAGCCAGTATGTGTAAAACACCATACTAATTTCCTCCATAACAGATATTAGTATGAACTAATACTACATATAGAAAAATGTTACTATTGGTATACAGCAATGTTTACCTTGTATATCACATTTGTACATAGCAAGGGGAAGAAAGAAGAAATCCCTGCTTAAGGAATATACATACTGTATTTCAGAGATGTATTAGTCCATTCTCACACTGCTATAAAGGACTACATGAGACTGGGTAATTTATGAAGAAAATAGGCTTAATAGACTCACTGTTCCACAGGCTTTACTGAAACCATGACTAAGAGGCCACAAGAAACTTACAATCATGGCAGAAGGGTGAAGGGGATGCAAGCATCTCATCACATGGTGGCAGGAGAGAGAGAGCAAGCAGAGGGCGAAGTGCTACACACTTTTAAACAACCAGATATTGTGAGAACTCACCCACTATCATGAGAACAGCAAAGGACAAATTCACCCCCATGATCCAATCACCTCCCACCAGGTCCCTCCTCCAACACTGGAAATTAGAACTGGATATGAGATTTGGATAGGGACACAGAGCCAAACTATATAAAGAGGTATCACCTGCTGATATAAAATTGTGTGTGTCTCCTTTTGCAGTTATGAATCAGGTTAGAATAAACATCAAGGACATCTTTAAAAAGGAGAAATGCTAGAGGAAAAAAGGTAAAACATATAACTAGTGAAGAACTAAACATGATAATGTCTGAGAGAGAATTATAACTGCTAAAACCCATAGCCATATTCCAGAATACTTTAATATTCCCCACTGTCTCAAGACATAATATTCTCCAGGCCAGCATTAGATAATAAGGGAGCAAAATCTTGATGGTACAAAATGTCAGTTATAAAAGGACATATTGTACCAATGTAATTGAGTTTATACATAACTCTCTTCCACGGTATAATGCTATTCTCTTTGTTCCTAGAAATATGTGAAGTGTAAACAATCAATGGTTTGGCCAGTGTTTCAGCTAATCAGAGCCTTTTGGAGTAACCAGAGATCAATTTGGCTTTACTGCCCAGGAGATATTCTAAAATCTTTGGACCTGGAAAATCCGATGCTTTACGGAGAGCAAAAGTGAGCATCAGGCCTGTAATAAAGCCTTAAATAGAATGTCTAGAAGTATGTGAGCAAAATTGGTCTCACATTGATTAAAATATTTTACCAATAGAAAGGAATGTTTAACTGTAATAAAATTAAAAGCAATCATGCACACAAACAAAATGTCATTTCAAATAAAAGTTTATATTAGGATTTATATAAGATGCATAAGTTTCTCTAAGTAGTAATTTAAAATAAGCCAAGCATGTGGAGACTTATCAAAATACCTAGATAATGTATAGAATAATGAGGCTCTGAGTCCGTCTTCTCATTTCCTTCCTTCTTTAAAGAAATGGAAATTGTTCAGTGAGAGAAATATGATTTCGAGGGCAGCCCACAACAGGGCATTTTGACAGTTCATTTTAAAAATAAAACATTGAAATGCTTTACATTCAAGATGCCAAAAGATCAGAAAGCTCCGGACACGAAAGATATGAAGCTATGACCTGGAAACACAACCAGGGCCAAAATAGACAAGGAGGGGAGGAGAGACAAAGTTGGCAAAAATGTAGTGGTGATAATTTCAGATCACTTGAAACCCTGTGATGATGACCACACCTTTAATTAGTCTTTGCCATGAGATGGTATCCAACTGAGAAATTATACTGGCACGATGCTCAATTCATAATTCTTTTTTTGTGCTTAATAGAAATGTGAAGATATTTGGGGCCCTTGGAGCTCAAAACATTTTAAAAATCTATCCTTTACTTTGGTGCCTAGAATGAGATGTTTTTTCCCATCTGTGCCAGACTCTGAATTCCTTGATTTCCTGTGACATCTTTAATTTCTACTTGCAACAGCAAATTCTTTCTGAGCTTTTCTTTTTTTTTTCCTTTCTTTTTATCATGAAATGCCTTGACAACAGATACTAAAGCTCTGACCTTTGCTGAAATCTCAACTAGAGCTAAAAGTTTAGAAGACCAATAATCCACTTTCCAAGTTACTAAATATTACCAATTTGCCACCACATGTAACAAATCATTATGATTTAAGACTCTAAATTTTATTTTCTCTTTTTGTCATATGTATATAACTATCAAAACAACTATCATGTATTTACTTATTTATTATTATTATTGTTCGATTTCAAAAGAACTTCAGCAGTGCCCAATTTCTATTGCAAGTTCTATATTAGCCTAGAGGAAAAAAATTGCTTTATGAATAAAAAACAAAAGCAAAAACAGATATTTCGCTGGCTTAGCTCATTAAATATTTATCACTTGCTAATGGTCAATTTTGTATGAACCATTGGTCCTCCTTTTTACTTTATCTGTACCATGTGGTCTCCAAAGTCACCAAGACCTAGAAAGGTGAGAGAAGGAAGAGGTTCTTTAGTTCCTGTAAGACTCAGCTATGAAATAATGCTGATGTTTCTATTCCTATTTCATTGGTCATACATCAAACCACCAGCAAGGGAGTCTGTGACATGTCAAGAAGCAAATGAATATTTGGAGAGTACTAACAGTCTCTGCCACACTAAAACCTGTTCAATACAGTTGTTATATAGAACATGGCATGCAATAGATATTTAGTAGGAACCCTAAAAATAAAGAATGCAGGCCTCTCTCTGGAATAATGAAGCAGCGTCATTGTCTGGGGTAAATACCCGGGGTTCATCATCTGGCACCAAGGAGATTAAGGACACAGACACACACTAGGAGTGAGTTTAGGAGCAGAGGTTTATTAAGCAAAAGAAAGAGAAAGGAGCTCTTACAAGCTCTCTCCCTTGCAAGAGAGAGGGGCTCCCCAGAGAGAAAAGCCAGCCCGTGGCCGACTGCGCCAGATATTATAGGTAGGTTTGAGGAGGCGGTCTGATGGACGTAGGGCCAGCAAATTGGCTGACTAGGTGTGACATTTACATAGCGTGGGGAAGGCTGGTCTCCCACCCTAACCTTATTATGAAAACAGAGTATTTGCGTGTCCAGCGCCATATTGTCCTCTCCTTCCTCTACATGTGGATTGGCAAAGGGAAGGGAAGATGGAGTTGCCATTTTGAACATGCCTAGTCCCAGGCAGCCTTTTCCTATTGGCACAGCTGCTGGCATTCACCTGTGCAAGCTTCCTGTTTGCTTGCCTATGTCTGCAGCTGCATTTTACAAGCTTCTCTTTGTTAGAAAAGAAAATGATTTGGGGACTGCTTTTCATAAAAAGGAAAACCTTTCCAAGGACTCCTGTACCCTCACTATCTGCCTAAATTATTTCTTCTCATCTCCTATATCAGTAATAAACAGTGTTTTTTTGTTTGAAAGTGGAGTTAACATTCTGCAATCCCTTTCCCAAATATAAAAGATTCAGAACCCTGTTCTCAAAGTGCATTATTAAGAGCTATCAATTGGATCACTTTAAAAAATTATTTTTGAGAACTACAAATAGTATGACCTTTTCTAGTTGCTTATGATATAGAGGTAAACAACAAAGAAAAAAGCTCCTGTCCTCATGTAGCTTACTTTGTAGAAGCATGAGATAGAAAAATAAATTGAAACATTTAGATATTGGTAAGTGCTTGAGTGGTAAGTGGGGTGAGAGTTAGTGGGTGACTTGAGGAAAGGGGTTTGAATTTAGAACAGAATTGTCAGAAAGTGTCTGTGAAAAGTTGACATTTGAACGAAGACATGAAAGTGTCAAATTACCATTGCCTTGGCCAAAAACAAAACAAAACAAAACAAAAAACTCATGCTTACATTACTAAAAACATGATGAGAATTTTTATATTTGGGCTTGGTGAAATTAATAGCATTATCTATTATTTTTGAGTGCACAGTATGCTAGAGCCTACATCTATGCATACTGGATTTCTGTGTCTTTAAAGGTTGTTTTCAGAGAGAAATCTTAATGAGATTATTTGTGTGTGGCTGACCTTAGAAATTATACTTGGTAAAATATGAAATTGAGTATCAGACATCTGTCTTTTTAGAGATCCCTCCCTGATCCTCTTCTTCAATCTTTTTCCATGTCTTTAGGCCCCTCAACCAGTCTCTCTTCCCTGTTAACATTCTCCTACAATTTCTTTTTCTTTTTCCTAAAACTATTGGTCAGAATTTTGGCTATCTCCTAAAGAAGACTTATTTCATCATTAGAAACACCACTTTCTATCACTTTCAACATCATTCTCTTCTTCATTTTCATCTTATTCCTCTGGCAAAACTCTGGCTGTGTTTACATAGAATTATCCATTCCTCTGAACCTGAACTTGAACACCTGAATCAGTTGAAGAAAATGCATACTCTGAAGGTTGCTCTCCTGCTGAATTCAAAATTCCTAAGTCAATTTGATTGTTACGCTCTCTAGAAACTATTATATTTTCCCACCTCTTTTCTCTTTCCTCAGAACATTTTTTCTGTGTACTTATTGCTGAGAAAATTGAGCCACAAGCTACCACAACCACATTTATCCACTTATATCTATAGCCAAATACTCTCTCTTACCTCCTGTTACTTTGAATAAAATATGTGCTACAAAGGCCAACCTCCCTCGAGTAAACTAGATTCTCATCCCCTTTTTCTCACTCAGTGATTGTGTTGTAACAGTTTCTCCTCTCTCAGTCGTTTATCATCAAATTTTCTCTCATATGGATTATTCCAATAAGCACACAAATGGATTCAGAATCAATATCCTAAAAAGAAGAAAAAAATCATTTTACCGTACATGGCCCTTTAGTTCCTCTTTATTTTCAGGAAAATTCCTTGAAAGAGGTATCTTTTCCTACCGTCTCCACTTCCTCTACTTATGATCTCAGGCTTTCTCTCTTATTTCACAGCACTGTTCTTGGCAGTTACCTTCTCGATACTGACAAATCCAATTTTCAGTCATCAGTCATCTCAACTGATCAATTAGTAGCATTTGACACAGGTGGCCACTTCTTCTATTTTAATATACTCTCCGCACTTGGCTTTTAACACCACTGTCTCTTATTTTCACCCCTTATTATTCCTTCTCAGATACTTCACTGCTTTTTTTTTAACTTTTACCTTATTTATTTTTGTTTTTTAATTGTAAATTGACAAATTTTTGTTGTATATATTTATGGGTTACAAAGCGAGGTTATGATTTCTGAATATAATTGAAATAATTAAATCAAGATAATTTTTAGTAACATATTCATCATTTCAAGCACCATTTCTTGTGAGAACATTTGAAATTTACCTCTGAGAAATTTTGAAATGTACAGTACATTACCATTTACTATATTTACCACATTCTGCAGTATAGCTAAAAGGAAGTAAAACATTCCATCAGTGGATAAATAGCTTTAAAAACACAGTATGTGTGTACATACATATAGTATTCCATTGTGTGTGTATGTATATATCTATATATACAAATATAGATACACACACACATATATAAATAGTATTCCATTGTGTATGTGTGTGTGTGTGTGTGTGTGTGTGTATATATATATATATATATATATAAACTTGAGACTCATGAGCCACCACTTAACTTATACTTGACCTATTTGTCTGTCTCTGTCTTCTCCTATGGGCTTAGAAACTGTGTAAATAGGTATTTGTTTAATTTAAAGATCTATTTCTATTGCTTAGAAGAGTACTTAAGTCATTTGTAGTGGCTCAAAAATATTTGCTAAAGGAATAAATGAGTCTGCCTTAAGACATGTAATATTTTAAAGGATATATCACAAATGTAATTTGTAATAAACAGTTTATCCATATCTGCTTATTCTTTAACATTTTTTCTTCTACTCAGCTATGTGCTGTAATTTACTGGAGATAGCATGTGGTGTGATTGTATCAAAGTAAATACTCTGCTTCTACGGAAGCTCTGTGAACACTTTTGTGTCTTGTAATTTCTGTAAGATTGTTGTCCTTTCTGTCATAATCGTTGCTCTGAGTTGGAGTGATGATAAGGTACATTAAAGCCATTTCGAGAAAAGGTGTCTTTTGAGACTAAAATGGAAATGGATTCCTCATTGCACAACAGTATGACATACACTGTTATTTTTCCCTCTAGGCAATATTCTTTACCTATTTCCGACTGAATATTTTGAAGTTAGTAAATGAGAGTTCAAATATAAAAGAACAAAAATGGAAAAATGAACATAATTTTCAGTAATTTCTAGCAGTTTTATAACTAGCACCTGGCATCGTTTGGATACAGGAATATGAAAAATATAAAATACAACTTTTTGTTTTGTAGAAAGAGTCCTAGTATACCTGAAATCTAAAGTAAGAAAGAATTTAATTCAGTATTACACCTGTAAACCTTTAAGCATCCTGTTCATGGAAGCATTGTCCTTATTTTTAAAATTGATCCGTCACTTCCAGTTTGATTCTGGATAACCTAAGCATGTCACTTTTGTATTATTTATGTTTATTCACTTTAAATTTGATATATCCTATTAAATATCTGATACTTACAAAATTTCTTAGTTGCTAATTAGATGCTATTCTCTGTATGACTCAAAATGTGCAGTGACGTGCTTAGACATGTCTCTCTAATTACCTTTAACAAATTTAATAGTCCCTGCTGCTTTCTAGTATTGGTAATTTTAGAACTGGTGGAAATTAAGAAAACCAACATTATAATATAGTAGGAGAAGAAGAAGAAGATATAGGGACACACCCAAATCTCAAATAGAAATTATTTAAATAAAAAGTTATTTAAATAAACAATCCTGTCATAAGTTGGGTTGTTTCCCACATAAGAAATATATTTGCTTCTAAACCAGTAGACTAACAAATTTTTGGAGAAATATCTCAATGAACATCGACTTTGCTTTTAAGTAATTAAAAACTAACTAAAACTCGCCCAAAGAGCTTAAATCTAGACACATGAGATGATTCTGAACATGCTTCAAAGGGCTTACTAATTCACTGGAAATAAAAGGAATTAAGTATAGAAGTTGGGAAGACAGAAACATTACTACCTATTTTAATCATAATCTAGAATATGTGAACACTACAACTCTATAGATATAGCAGAGGTCATCTCAAAAGAAAAGAAAAATAATATGAATGCAGATACTTATGGCTCCTAATTGGTTTAGTGATCTGTTTATATTCTATATTCTACATTTTGGTAATGGATTATGCAAATTGTGAAAGTATAGATCAACACCATATAAAATTGGATTAATAGTGGGAAGCCAGGCACTTCTCTTCTATTATTTTACTTTTCACTTCCTTAAAAGAGATATCATTTGCATACCATAAAATTCACCCATTTTAAATGTATCATTTTCAATTTCTTTGTGTTGGGAACATTCAATATCCTCCTTCTAGATACTTGAAACTGTATAAGAATATTTTATAGTTAACTACAGGCATAGCTACCAGAGTGACATAGTGGAAATATGCTGGGTTCATAACCCACAGGTCGATAGAAAGAGAAATAATTTTAATGATAAAAGCATAAGGAATTAGTAAGCTGAAACACATAACCTTTATATACCTAACAACACCCTCAGTGAAATATATACAGTCAAAACATAAAAAATAAAGAGAATTTGCTAAAAACTATATCAGTAACCTTTATGTATCTTTCAAACAATTTGAAAGTATATGATTAATCTCTATTACATATACATCATATTTTTCTTGTTTAGAAGGCAAAGTCAATTATGTGTCTTGCTTTATTTTAATAAAAGTGAGAATTTTAATAATCAAATGGTAAATGTTTTATTTCTATGAAAATAATATATATTATTCCTTTTTGTTCACAAACAAATATGTCACAAATAACATTTGGTTTTAGGCAGATTGGGTTGCTTTAGCAAAATTCCATAGACTGGATTACTGGATTCCTTAAACAACATACATTTCTTTCTTTTTCTTTTTTTTTTTTTTGTTTTTTTTTTTTGGAGACGCGAGTCTGGCTCTGTCGCCCAGGCTGGAGTGCAGTGGCGCCATCTCCACTCACTGCAAGCTCCGCCTCTCGGGTTCACGCCATTCTCCCCCTTCAGCCTCCTGAGTAGCTGGGACTACAGGACCCTGCCACCACGCCCAGCTCATTTTGTTTTTGTATGTTTAGTGGAGATGGGGTTTCACCGGGTTAGCCAGGATGGTCTGGATCTCCTGACCTCGTGCCTCCCAAAGTGATGGGATTGCAGGCAACAACAACATTTATTTCTTACGGTTCTGGAAGCTGGATAGTCTAAGATCAAGATGCCAGCAGATTCAGTGTTTGGTGAAGGCCTTCTTCCTCACTCACCTTCTCATTGTATTCTCACATGGTGAAGTGAGGGAGAGAAAGTTCTTGTGTCTCCTCATCATTTTACATGGGCACTAATCCCATCATAAGGCCTCACTCTACCTCCCAAAGGGCTCATCTCCTAAAACCATCACATTAGTGATTAGAACTTCAATATTTAAATTTGGGGAGAGAGAGAAACACTCTAGTCCATATCACATTTAATTCAGAAAAACGTGCAAACATAGTACACATGGTCTCCCAGGCCTTGGCACTGCCTAGCTCTGTGTCAGATGTAGGGAGCCACTTCATAGCACAAGAAACCTGCAGCCCACTACTTGTATCATGTACATCTTCCAGAAGCCATCAGTCTGACGCTGCATGGGACAGGCTGTCAAATATAGAGTAACCTATCAACTTAATGACAATATTTTTATGATGCCCATACTACAGGATGGAATTCACACTAAGAACCAGGGACCATTCAATAATACTATGTCCCCAGTGGGTATATTTTTGGATCTAGAAATCAAGGGGGAAGCAGAATGTCTCCACTCATGATCTCCCTCAGAAGGGACTCACCTGGGCTCCACTTGACCTAGGTTCCCACATTTCTACCTCTGGGCTTTGAGTGTTCGGAAGTCCTGGTCCTGAGGGAGATGCTTCTGCCAGAGCACATTAGGAGCCCCTTGAATTAAAGCTTCAGTTGCCACATAAGCACCTGGACTCTTCATGTCAAAGGTCAGTGGCCAGTAAGAGTCATTTCCAGCCTGATTCCCCAAAGGAGGTAAACTGCTGTAGCCCAGTGGAGGCATCTGGAATGGGTGTGAGACCACATGTTTCTCTTGGACACCCCTGGGACCACTTAGCTTCCCAATTCTGACAGTGCTTGTACAAATGTAGTGACCAGCCTGAGGAAGCATGATGACTGAATGCTACTGTGGCCAAATGAGCCTCTGGAACCAGCAGAGCAGTGAACTGATGGTGAGGGGGATTGGGGTGGTCGTGGAGGAAAGAAACAGGGGCTGAAATTATCCCACTAGCCTTCTTTTTGTAAGGAAACATTGATTCATGAGAATCCAGGAAGAGCTGCTCCTACAACATATACAAAGAAGTGGATCCAGCCCTGCAAGGTGTACTGTGTTGTATACAGTTTTATACCAGTAGGATTTCCCCTTTGGCAGGCTACTACTAACCAGTGACAGTAGCCTTTACTGCCAGTCCTTTTGGGGGACTTTGCTGAAGTGATCACATCTTTCTGGGGAGTGGACTACATCTAATGACTCAATGTAAGTTTTATAATCCCAGCCCTTTTGTCTAAACTCAGGACAACTCTGAAGGGCATCCTAGCTTCAAAACTCCTTGCAGGGTAGTGCAAGCCTCCCTTGCCCAATCTGCTATCTTCCCTTCTCTTCTGCAGGGTTGATCCCAAGAGCACTTCAGGAGGCTGAGGCAGGAGAATGGTGTGAATCCAGGAGGCAGAGCTTGCAGTGAATGGAGATGCGCCACTGCACTCCAGCCTGGGCGACAGAGCGAGACTCCACCTCAAAAAACAAAAACAAAAACAAAAACAAAGCCTATGGAATTTTGTTCATTTTTGCAATGAATTTATAAATCTATGAAGAGATAACTGACTTCTTAACATTATTGAATCTTATAATTTATTAACATGTTATATATGTCTTCATTCAGTTAGATCACCATTAGTTTCTCTCAACAAGAGTATTTTAGTTTTCAGTTTATAGGTCTTCAATGTTTCACTAAAATTTCCCTTAAATGTGCTATGCTTTTAGATGCTAAAATATGTGGTATTAAAATGATCATAAGTAGGATTTAGTTAATTTGAATTTCTAATTTTTCATTAGTAGCATATTAAAATTAAATTGACGTTTGCTTACTTATGATCTTACTAAATTCACTTTTTATTTCTAGTAACTTTTGGTAAGATTATTCAGAATATTCTGAATAAGCAAACATATATGTGAATATAGAACATTTACTTCTTCTTTTTTAACGTGTATGAGTGTTTTTTTCCCTCCCCTTAAAACAATGGCTAGGACTCCTAGTATAATGTAGGATAGAAGTCGTAAGAATAGAAGTTTTTACATTTTCTATCACGACACCTTCAAATTCATTGATCTTTTATTTTGCTGTGTTTAATTTACTTGTTATTATAACATGCATTTTTGGAATTTCAATTATTGTATTTTGTAACCCCAGTGTGTTATACAAGGATCACCTATATATACATGTGTGTTTATATATAGTTTTGAGATTCTTATTTACTAATTCCATCATCTCTATCCTTTGTGGCTCTATTGTTTAAGCTTCGTTTTGACTCTATCCAGAGACTTATAATATGAGATCTCTTCGTTGCAGGTAGAGTGATCATGATGCATTTCCCATCCTTTGTGAGATCTTGAAAAACAAATTCTATTTTTACTAGCTTCAGATAATTTCCTCTCATCCATCCACAAATCAATAATCAGCCAAACATGTACACTCTCTTTCTCTCTACGTGCAACTTCTCTTCTCCCATATTATGAATTATAAATTCTTTCTGCCCTGACTTTCCCACGATCTAATCTTTATTTCCCCTATCCCATGCTCTGTAGCCTGGAAAATGACACCCAGTGAATAAACAATGACATTGTTAGTGTCACAGGATCCTCTGGGTGTCAGTTTGCTAGCCAGAAACCTCTGTGGCCAGTAACGCCTCTGCTTGAGTTTTAGTTGTGCCTGCTGGTCTTATTCTGCCTACTTGGCATGGCAGGCTGCGGTTGGATTGTGCTACCAGCCTGAATCCCACACCTGCCGAGGGCAAGCCAGGCGGGGAGTGGTGAGGTATGTGGGAATGAGTGAGTCCAGGGTCCAGCCACTTTGCACAGCTAGGTGCCCTGGCTGCTGCAGCAAAGCAGGCAGCTCCAGGAGCCAGCACAGGCCCTGGCTTCTTGCAAGGCTGTGGCTACACCGGGCATACTGTAAGCAGCTCTCACTGCAGGCACCAGGGTCTGGACAAGGAGAACACAGTGGCACGTGAAAACTTGAAGATGCCAGCAACTGCAGAGGCACAAGGTGTAGGGCAGTGTGCTACAGCTCTCTCATTCTTGCCGCCCACAGCTTGGCAAATGGGTGGTGGGTGCGTTTGAGCTCATTTAGTCCCACCCTTTCGACCCAGCCTGCAGCCCCTGGGCTGGCCCAGCTCCACTGCAACTTCCCTCATATGGGGCAGCTGCCTGATGCCGGCAGAGGGAGGGAGGGCTGTAGTGTTACAGCTAGGGCTCAGGGAATCCAGAGGTCTGGGACCCCAGAAGAGTCACCGTTCTTCACTCCTGCCATCCAGCAAACAGAAGTGTGTCACTGCCCGCAGCTTGGTGAGCAGGCCAGGAACATGTTACAAGCCTTTTTGATCCTGCCCACAGCTTGGCAAGCCAGCCAGGAACATGTTACAGCCCTTTTCATACCCACTGTTCAGCAAGTCCTGAGTTCTTGTACTGTGTCCAGGAAGAATGAGGTTACATGGACAACAGGAGGGGCTGAGCAACAGTGGGGAGCAAAGAGAAAAGTTTTATTGAGGAACAGAACAGTGTTCAGAGGAAAGGAGACCTGATATGGGTAGCTCCTACCTGCAGGCAGGTAGTTCTGAGTGTGGCTGAGTCTTTGGTTTTTATGGGCAAGAATGGAGGACATGCATGCTGATTGATCCATAGATGGGCCTGGAAAAAGCACCATTTGATGACTGAAAGGCATCAAGCAAGTTCTCACACCAGGTCATGGATTCTACCCAGAACTGGCAGCCTGGTTTTCAGACTTCAGACTGTCTTTGTTTCAAAGGTCAGGTTTCACTGGAGACCCACCCCTATCTTCCTAGGAATTTTTCTGGCTCCTGCTGTTATCACTAGGACTTACCTCATTTATTGTGCGTCTTTATCAGGCAACAAATCCTCTGCTGCCTGTTGTTCAATATCTGAAAACTGTTGTTCATCTGCATGTGTCCTGTTTCTTATTGTACACAGCTGGAGGAAAAGACTAACAGATGTCAATATTCTATTAGGAGAATTAGAAATCATAAAAAGGGCTGGGCGTGGTGGTTCACACCTGTAATCCCAGCCCTTTGGGAGGCTGAGGCAGGCAGAACATGAGGTCAGGAGTTGGAGACCAGCCTGGCCAACATGGTGAAACCCTGTTTCTACTAAAGGTGCAAAAATTAGCCGAGCGTGGTGGTGCACTCCTGTAATCCCAGCTACTTGGGAGGCTAAGGCAGGAGAATCGCTTGAACTTAGGAGGCAGAGGTTGCAGTGAGCTGAGATCGTGCCATTGCACTCCAGCCTGGGCAACAGGGTGAGACTCTGTCTCAAAAAAAAAAAAAAAAAAAAGAAATCATAAAAAGATTAGACTTATTGATTCATTGTGCTTAGTTTTAAAAGCAGCTTTGAATTGCTATAATATTAAAGTTTATATAAGTATTTATCATTTTGTCAAAAACATTTTTATACCAGATGAGTAACACAAAATTATCAAAAATCAAGTACAGGCTCAGAGTGTACTGCCTGTCCTCTGTCATTCTTTCCACCCCATATTGGGCTTTAATTTAAAGCAGACAATTGCATATGCACATATTGTGCTGATATGCCAATGATTTTCAAGGGAATTACCAATTTCAAATGTTGGGAGTCTGAATTTCAGATATTGTTTTCATACCTTTTGGATTGATTCATTGTAATCATAAAGGCATATAAACATCTTCACATCTACACATGTTAATATAGACTGTTTCATATCTTCCTATGTTTTATATGGCTGTTTGGATTTCTGGTTAAATTTATATAGATTTTCAGTAATTTTTGATTCACAAAATAAAAATGTAATTATTATGTGTCAGCTGCCTTGTTTTTTGTCTACTGTTCTAATTAGAATTGATCTCAATATCTCACATTCTAAATAGAATTGATCTCAACATCTCACACTACTTCTTATTTTACTCTGCATCCAAATGAACAATCAATAGAAACCATTCTACAAATATTTTATTGTAAATATAGAGAATGGTTACCTGAAAAGATAGATTAATTCAAATATTACTAAACAAACTACAACATGAAACACTTTAAAAATAACACACCTAGTGTTTTATTCTGCAGAAATGTTTTCTGCAGAGCATCAGTCTGGGAATGCTGATTAAGTAAAAATTCCATAAACTCACTGTTTGCATTAGATGCAAAATGAGTAAAAATTCTCAAAATTAAAGCAGGTTAAAACTGAAAATATCTTATAATAAGTACCTATAATTTTAAAAAATGTATTTCTTAACTTCTGATTATGGGGAATAGATCAGTGTTATTCAGAGGTTGTAGGGTAAGCAGTTGACTAGAAAAGACAACATGACAGGATTATTTGGGGTATACAGTAGTTCTGCATTAAGTTTCTGATGGTGGTAGCATAGCTTTATCTGCATTTCTCTGGACTTAAAGAACTGTATTCTAAAAATAGTAAATTTCATAGTTTATAAGTTATAAATACATAAATAAATGTGATTTTTTTTTTTTTTAGAAAAAAATACTTTCTTTGGATTTGATAGTTTTAGCTGTGCCCCCATCCAAAATCTCCTCTTGAATTGTAATCCCCATAATCTCCACATGTCTATAGTGGGACCAAATGGAGGTAATTGAATCACGGGAGCAGTTTCCCTGATGCTGTTTTTGTGATGTGAATCTCATGAGATTTGAGGGTTTTATAAGCGTCTCATTTCCCCTGCTTGCACTCACTCCATCCTGCCCTGTGAAGAAGGTTCCTGCTTCTTCTTCACCTTCTGCCATGATTGTAAGTTTCCTGAGGTCTCCCCAGCAATGCAGAACTGTGGGTCAATTAAACCTCTTCCTTTAGGAATTACCCAGTATGGGTATTTCTTCATAGCAGTGTGAGACTGGACTAATACAGATTGCATTTAGTTACAGGAGTGAAGGCATAGCTATTTTAAAGTCTCACATAACCCACCAGATATATTCCGCATGAACAGGAAGGACAATGTTATAGTGTTTAGAGTTTTCTTGCATATAAAATAGCCTGAAGATATTGGGGGGGAAATAGTGATTATTTCCTATATGCATAATATTACTTAGCTAAAGGAAGCATGTAAATCTCTGTCTGTTTTTTACCTCAAGTATATGTTCTCATATTTGGAAAACAAGTGGGGGGTAGACAAAGGCTAAATTATTAGTATTTTATTTGTGTAGCAGCATTAAAAGAAATGCTATTAGTTTAAATTAAAGCACAGCAAGGCACTTCTGCATAATTCAACAAACAATTTAACAAACTCCAGCCTCCTCATTACTGCTTCCTAAATAGCCAGGCAGCTTGAGGACAATGAGAAAAATATTCTATAATGAAGGGTGATCGTAAGAGGGCAGAGGTGAAAATCCAGGAAAGCTTGCTTTCTAGAAAACAGATGGGAAGATGCAACCAAACGCCTAATTCTCATGACAGACTTTAAGTGCTGTAATTATAGAATAAAATGCAAAAACGTATTTTGTAAGAGGAATTTAATTAAAAGAAAAGTCTTTCTGAATTCTTTTATTTTCATTTGTGTTCTTTGTTAATGTTTGAAGCAAGCAAAATAACCACAGAAAGGTGGTGTTTAGGTAATACAAACAATGAACACATAGGTCACTTATAAAAATCTGCTGCCAGAGCCATACTTGTAACAATCACACAGAAACCAATTTTTTATGCAGCAGAAGACCTAGTAAACACATTGTTTATTCAGATGTCCTTATTCCTGTATAAGACATGTTTGCCCTCTGAACTTTTACAGTAAACTGAATTGGCCAGAAAAACTGGATGTGCACCTTTTCTCTCTCCTAAATGTCTACCTGTACTACAAAGCATTCAAATAATAATAACTACCATTTATGTGAGATGTTTACATTTATTTCTCCAATTCTCATCACATCAGATTTGCATATGAGAAAAATGGGAATACCGAATGGGAATCATTTATATAGGATCCAAATTTAGTGAAAGATATAATAGATTTTCATACTCAGATTCATCTGACATTAAAGTCTGTGCTCTCTAATTTATTGATAAATTTCTTAAATAAATATTTATTGAATACCCTCCATGGTCCAGGAATTCTATAACAGGGATCCAAACAGACACAGTCTCTGTCCTTATTTACAACCAATTAGGGAAAAATAAAATAAAGATTAACCAAGTATTTATACAAATCATTTTATTATTACATTTGTGATTGCTGACATAAAGGAGAAATGAACCACTGTTCATTTTTGATGTATTGCAGAGGGTGATAAACAACTTGGTGACAGTGTGTAGGCTGGAGTTATCCAGACAAATGTCATTTAAAATATATAAAATTATAGTATTCCAGACAGTAACAACATAAATTGTAAACTGATTTACGGAAATGCTACATTATATGAAATATAAAAGTGAACTATTTTGCAAGATCAGGTTTTCATTTTAAAAGCACAGACAGTACACTTTTTTGTATTACCCATCACTACACTGATGATTGCTATGGAAGTCTTTTCTCAAAGCCTTTTTCAAACTTGCTACCAATGTAATTTAAGGTACCAATCAATAAATGTTCATACTCCATTACACTGATTGAATTGACAAATATAAATATAAGGTAAGGAGCTAAGCAATTTAGTCCAAAGGTCAACTTATGTTTGAAGGTCTAGGTGAAATGCCATCACCTCTTTCATGCCTTGCTTAACACTTTCCACTAATGGCAGAATTAATCTCTTCCATTTGATTGTTCCAATATATCTTAGTAAGCTATTCTTGCAATGATGTTGTGAAACAAATTACTCCCACACACTACAGCTTTTAACAATATGTACTACTGGCCCTCTGTATCTGCAGGTTTCACATCCATGGTTTCAGCCAACTGCAAATAAAATATATTTCAAAAATAAAAAATAATATAAAATTTGAAAACAATATATTATAATGACTATTTACATAGCATTTACACTGTGAAGGGTATTATAAGTAATCTAGAGATAATTTAAAGTGTTTAACAGAATGTGCATATGTTATATGCAAATACTATGCCATTTTTATATAGGGACTTGAGCATCTGAGGATTTTGGACTCTTGAGCATGGAAGGGTTGGAACCAATTCCCTGCAGATACCAAGGGACAACTCTATTTATTTTTCCTTCATGACTCTGTTGGTTAGTACTCTGATGGGCTTGCCTGAACTCCAGACTGTGGATCTAATTTAATTCCTCTTAACTATTCCCACACTGTCCTCAGGTCAACAGCAATCTGAGACACACTCTTCTCATGGCAGATTATGGGACCATAAAGCAGGTAAGTAGTTAAGTTTTTGGCTCAGAACTAATAGACTGATATTTCTTTCTACATTTCTTTCACCAAAATAAGTCATGGCTAAGAGCAACATTAATAGTGCAAGGAAATATTCTACGCATCTTCTGCCACAAGGTAGGAGGAATTGAACAGCGGAAAACAATAACCCAAGCTAACACACCAGGACATTTAATATGTATAGCTTTCATTATAATATATTCAAATATATATTAAATAATTGTGAATATTTGCTTCTCCTGGTTTAACAAAAGGTATGCCAAAATTCACTTATTCTGACATCATGGACTCTATTGCAGAAAATTTAATTAAATAAAATAATAATTAGATAAATATTTTAATTCATCGTTTTGTTTAAAGGATATTTAATTAATAGTCCATAAATAAAACAGTTCTAAATTAAAACACAAGAAACAGTTCAAAAATTATAAATCAACTCTATCGAGAATATTGTAGAAGATTCTCTGTATGCCCAACTCATAACATTTTTTTCAGTGCCAAGTCAGCCAATATCCCCATTTTTGTCATATTTATACTATTGTTTTAGTTTAGAGTTAAGAACCTATGGATTCAGTTTTAAACAATATAGTTTAACTGTGACCCTTTAAAATGTTAGACAATTAAAAACACTCTTTATACATGTTTGTGACCTGATTTTTTCACTAAATACGATATTTTAGATTTTTCCATGTTGACATATGCAGCTACAGTCTGTTGATTTACATTATTGTGTAGTATTTTTGTATGAACATACCAATTTACTTTTTATATTTTCATTATGGCTTATAGGAGTTCTTTTCCAACGTTTATACTTCCCTTATTATGCATTTTTGGAAGCAAATATCTTCTTCGATTTGTGGCTTGTCTTTCTAATTTTAATGGTGTCTTTCAATTAATAACAGTTCTTAATTTCTCAAAAATTAAAATTTTTCTTTATTGTAGTTTTGTGTCTTTTAAAAGACATTCTTAACCAGAATACACAAACCATTTTTCAATATTTTAAAGGTGGTTTTCCTTTATAAATTATGTCTTCACTTCACCTGAAATTGATCTTACTTGCAGTATGAGGTAATGTGCCCAGCATCATTTTTTTTCTCACAGATGCAAAGCTGTTTCAACAATATTTATTGAGAAATTGTTTCTCTATCTATTGATCTGATGTGTTCATATAATGACTGGGTATATTTTAGGTTTTCTATTTTATTCCTATAGTGCTACTATCTTACTTTTATTCAAGAAAGATATTAGAAGCTCATTATCAATGTCTACAAAACTACCTGAAGGGGTTATTATTGTGATTATTTGTTATTATTACTGTTTATTGTTCTTCCAGTCTTTGGTCATGGTATATCTATTAATTGATTGATTTCTTTTCAATTTATTATGTATTATAATAATGTATGATTATATGTTATGTAATTAATTTTTTCAGCATATCACATTTGTATGCTATTGTAAATAGTATATGGTATATTTTATTTCACTTTCCAATGGAATTTTTCTTATATAAAGTATGTTGATTTTCATTACTTCTACTGTACAGTATAAAACTTGAATAATTATAATTCTTGTTTCATTACCTCTAATCTCTGCTTGATCCTTTTATTTTTGTTTCTTTATCTTTTTTATCTTATTTATTTTTAATTTTACTTTTAAAATAATGTATATTTATGTCCATCAACAACGGAGCAATAATTTTTCATATAGTTAATATGCCTTTTGATATGTGAAAATGTTTATCTCATGTTTATGTCTTCCCATTTGTATTTCACACCTTCCTGCTTGGATCACTCTCCTCTGCCTAAAGTAGACCCTTTAGAATTCCTCTGGTGAGGTCTGAAGATTTTATTCTTTAATGTTATGTTTTTACCTGAAAATGTGTTTAGTACACACTTGTTCTTGAAATATATTTTTACAGTGTGTAGGATTCCACCTTGCCATTTAGTCTCTTTAGTAGTTTGAAGATATTGCCTTCCAGATAAGGATGGAGAATGTGTTTATTGCTGGTTAGACATCATATTGAAAGTATAGACTTTTGGAGTCCAGAGCTTTATGGAAGATGGCTTCCTATAAAACTCCACATCTGAGGCAGTGCCTAGACACTGTGTTCTACTAAATCAGAGCTCAAAGCTCAAGATTAGCAAGTTCTACAACCACCATCAGAGCGACAGCAGCTTTAGTACTCTGCAGACCACTGTGTTCAGTCCTGTCCTGTCCTCCCTGTGTTCCAGCTTTCACTGACTCTCAAGCCAGCTCTTTTATGTTCCTGTCAAAATTGCATAAAATATTTTAGCCAGAATTTTGGGATACTTTTCAGATACAGAATGTCTTAAGTAATCCAGCTAGGCATGTTACTGGAAACAAAATGTTCTAATATTTACAGGTTGCAAATATTAAAAAATTCTTCCAATATTTAGTACATTTTTATCTACTTTCTGCCAATTAAGACTTGTATTAATATAGTTTTGAACTTGTGTTCTTAAACATTATTCCTCAGTTTTATTTGTTCCTTGACCAGTAACATGGAATCTATCTGGAATCCCTTTCTTGCTTCATAATTGGGACAGTTTAATTCTTACCTGCAAGTCACAAGCCTGTCTCGGAGCCCAAGCCTACACCAAAGGGCTAATTAAGCACATCTTGCACAATGCTTTTGCACTTAATCATCCTTTATACTCATTTGGTCCTGATTTTTTTTCTAATTAATTTTTAATACTAATGGGTTTTACATAAAAAAGATTATTCAGAACATATTTTCAGCATTGTATATCTAAATTACCTATATAATCTGTGATATCTTCATATTAATTTAAAATCAAAAGAGTTTATGAGAACTATGGAGGAAAGGAATTTTATGAGAAACCTACAGGGAATAATGCATTTATCACTAATTTAACTTAAAACATAGTAATTTAATTACTATTCTTTACATAGATCAGTTTCAAACTAGATCAAGTCTACTTACTTCATTCTGAACATTTCAAGGCCTCAATAAAATTATCAGATTTCTTAAAATACCTTAAATCAGGAGAAAAAAAAATCCTTATTTATTCAAGGATGACAGTGTAAATATTTTACAATTTTTTTTTTTTGTCAAAGAAAAACAAGGATATCTTCAACAGATGCAACTATCACCAGTTAAATATGACGTTGGAGGACTGTTGGAAACAGAACTTCATGATTAATTTGACATGATTTTGTGTAATTTAGGTTTCATGCTTTTTATTTCAAGATTATACATTTGAATCAATTTTGCTTGACTATATTGTCCAGTAGCTAACTACTCAAATGGGAATGCTTGTGTACTTTTAAATTAAGAGTGTTTAGTGAGAGCAATTTTGAAGACAAAGGTAAACAAAATAGAGTATTAGCTTATCTCTACAGTTCAGTGGTACAAGTATAAAGATTTTTTTGCAATGTAATTTCTATCAAAGCTTATGTCTTATTAAATTGCTGCACTTTGAGCTTATTTTTTGCAGTATTAAAATTTTATGAATAAAACCTAAAAATTACCCTTGATTTATCTTACTTTAATTTCTACAACATGATTCTAACTCCAAAACATATCATTAATTATTAATAAGTTTTTCATCTCCAATTCCCTGATCCTAACTTAAATTAACATCATATGTCACAAGAAATATTATATTTTCCTAATGATATTGTTTACTTCATTTTTGCTCATACTGCCAACACCCCATGCCCTTCTCAGCATAGCAACAGCAAGGTTGACTTAATTTTATTTTGTTGATTGGTGGTTTTTTTTTGCAGGGTTAGGCAGAATATGACCTTTATTTGAGCTTACCCACCACAGTGGAAATACAGTCTGTACACCATATGTTTGTTACTGTAACTTCTGTATCACAATTAAAATCAAAACAGTTTTTAAAAAGTAAACCCAATCAAAACCCACTACTTAGGAATCAATAAGGTCTTTGAAGCCACAGCAACAATTAAATATGGTTAAGACCCATACGTAGAAAGATGGTTGGTTGGAAAATGAATTAAACTTCCAACTTGCTCACATAAAATTACAACAAGGCAAAACTGTTTTTCATAGAGATACAGTCCACTGGAATCACCAACACCAGACAACTTTTGTTTTCTAGTCCTGGGATAATAATGAATCCAGACATCTTTTAGACAGTTTTCTGTTTTCTTTCTAATCAGAGATTTATGGATGTATGCAATGACACTACCATTAGTAATTGTAATCTTGATAAGATAGTCCAATTCTTCATCACCATGAACAGCAAGTTGCAAGTGACAAAGAGTAATATGCTTTACCTTTAAGCCTTTGGATGCCCTTCCTACCAGTTCTAGTACCTTTGTGGTGTGTACTCCAGGATGGCTGCATGGTACTCAGTGGCAGTTGTGCCCACATGTCCATGGCTGTGTTCCTGGATTCAGGCGTTGATGAAGACAGACCAGCAAGAACTGCAAGCACACTCTCTGTTAGTAGGAAACCACCGTTGTCTTGGCCTTTTCTAAGTCCTTTATCATGCACAACACGATGTTTTAAGGTATAGGTACCTTGTGGAATGACTAAATTGATTTAATTAATATGTGCATTTCCTGACATAGTTATCAGTTTTGTGGTGAAAGCACTTTACATCCACTGTCTTGGCATTTTTCAAGAACACAATAGATTAACTGTAATCACCATGGTGTACAATATATTTCTAGAACTTACTCCTCCTATCTAACAGATTTTTCAAATCTTTTGACCAACATCCTCTTCCCACCCAAAATACTCCAGTTTCTGGCAACCACTATTTTGCTCTTTAGTTCTATACAATTTTTTTTTTTAGATTCCACATGTGAGTGAGATTATGTAGTATTTGTTTCTTTGTGCTTAGCCTATTTCACAATATTTATATCCTTTTAGTTAATCTTTATTGTTGCAAATGACAGAATTGTATTCTTTTTATAGCTGAATAGTATTTTATTGTGTATATATATATATATATCACATTTCCTTTATGCATTCATCCATGGACACTCCAGTTGAGTCCATGTCTTGGCAATTGTGAATAATGCTGCAATAAACATGAGAGTGCAGGTGTCTCTTTGGCATACTGATATTATTTCCTTTGGATATATACTCAGTTGTGGAATTGTTGAAACATATGGTAGTCCTATTTCTATTTTTTCTAGGAATCTCCATATTGTGTTCTATAATAGCTGTACTAATTTACATTCCCACCAACATTTTGTGAAAGTTCCCTTTTCTCTACATCCTCACCAATACTTGATGTATTTTATCTTTTTTACAATAGTCATTTTTATTGGGGTGAAGTAGTTATCTCACAATGCTTTTTATTTGCATTTTTCTGATGATTAGGGATGTTAGACATTTTTTATATACCTGCTGGCTACTGGTATGTCTTCTTTTAAGAAATGTCTATTCAGGATTTTGCCCATTTTCTAATTGGGTTGCTTTCCTGTTATTAATTTGAGTTTTTAAATATGTATCATATATTAACCCCTTAGATGTAAAGTTTGCATATATTATTCCACTCTGTAAGTGTCTCTTTACTCTGTAGAGTATTTCCTTTGTTGTGCAGAAACTTTTCAGTTTGATGTAACCCATTTGCCTATTTTCTCTTTTGTTGCCTGTGCTTTTGGGGTCATATTAAAAAAATTAATTGCTTAGACCAATGTCAAGGAGCTTTTTCCTGTGTTTTCTTCCATCAGTTCCATAGTTTTTGGATGGAGTCCTTAGGGCTTTCTATGTATAAGTTATGTAATCTTCAAACAGGCAAAATTTAACTTCTTATTTTCCAATGTGGATACCTTTTATTTCTTCCTCTTGTCTAATTTGTCTGGTTTAAACCAGTACTTATGTTGAAGAGAAGTGGAGACAGTATGTGTGCTGTCCTGCTCAGGATATTACAGTGAAAACTTTCAACGTTTCCTCATTGAGTATAATGTTAGCTATGGGATTGTTAACACATGGCCTTTATTATGTTCAGGTACATTACTTCTACTCCTAATTTGTTGAAAGTTTCACAATGAAAGGATGTTGAATTTCATCAAACGCTATCTTAGTTCATTTTCTATTGCTTTCAACAAGAGCTGAAACTGAGTAAGTTATAAGAAACACAACTTATTTCTGTCTGGGCGTGGTGGCTCACACCTGTAATCCCAGCACTTTGGGAGGCCAAGGCGCGTGGATCAGGAGGTCAGGAGTTCAAGACCAGCCTGACCATCATGGTGAAACCCCGTCTCTACTAAAAATACAAAAATTAGCTGGGTGTGGTGGCAAGCACCTGTAATCCCAGCTACTCGGGAGGCTGAGGAAGGAGAATTGCTTGAACCTGGGAGGTGGAGGTTGTAGTAAGCCAAGATCGTGCTACTGCACTCCAGCCTGGGCAACAGAGCAAGACTCTGTCTCAAAAAAATAATAAAAAAATTAAAAAAAACTTATTTCATATGGTTATAGAGGCTGAGAAGTCCACGGTTGAGGGAACCACATCTTATAAGAGCCTTCTTGTTTGTGGGGACTCTCTACAGAGTCCTGAGCCAGTGCAAGGTGTCACATGGCAATGAAACAGGAAAGGTTCCCTTGTCCCCCCTCGCAGGGCATGCGATGGGGGTGTGGCTCGCCTCTTCAGTGCCCCCATGCTCAAACCTCTAGGGGAGCACACAGACAGGCAGGCTATGGGGCTCTGACCCCACAGGCAGTGTCTAGGGGTGAATGTTTACAGCTCCTGAAGCTCCAGTGGGCATGTGTTACAAGGTGTTCTGCTAGTTTGCCATCTATAGGCGGCTTGTGTTAAGCAGCTCAATTATACCCTCTAACTTGCCACAAGCACAGAGGTCTTTCTGTATCTCAGGGTTTCTTGCCTTGGTGTACCAGAAGAATCGGATCACAAGTGGGCTTGGAGAATAAGTGCAAAGTTTTATTGAGTGGAAGTAGCTCTCAGCAGATGGGGAAGCCAGAAGGAAGATGGTTTTCCCCTGGAGTTAGCCCGCTAAGTGGCCCCGGCTCTTCTCCGACTGCTGCAGTCAAACTCTACCTCCTCGGCAGGTGGATGGCCTACCGCTGTTCTGGAGTCTGTGGGCGTGCTCTTCCACGGGCGTGCTCTTCCACGGGCGTGCTCTTCCACGGGCGTGCTCTTCTGTTGGCATGCTCCCTCGATGTCCTTCCGCTGTCCAGCCACTTGTGTCTTCTTCCGCTGATGTGCTCCTCTAGACATCTGGCCACTTGTATGTCTGCCGGCTAGGGTCTCAGGATTTTTTTTGTTTTTGTTTTTGTTTTTTTGAGATGGAGTCTTGCTGTGTTGCCCAGACTGGAGTGCAGTGGCATGATCTCGGTTCACTGCAACCTTGGCCTCCGGGGTTCTAGCGATTCTCCTGCCTCACCCTCCTGAGTACCTGGGATTACAGGCAGGCGCAGCCACACCTGGTTAATGTTTTGTATTTTAGTAAACACGAGGTTTCACCATGTTGGCCAGGATGGTATCCTGATCTCCTGACCTTGTGATCTGCCCGCCTCCGCTTCACAAAGTGGTGGGAATACAGGTCTGAGCCACCGCACTGGGCGGGGTCTCATGTTTTTATAGGCCCAGGATGGGGAGTGGCCAGCCAGTATGGTCTTGGAAAATGCAACATTTGGGCGTGAAAGCAGTAGCGCCTGTCTTTTCCTAGGTCCCTGCAGGTGGAGCCCTAGCCAGGGATCCACCTCTCTCTACCTAGCACTTCCCTGTCCCCCTCCCATATCAGTGAGGAGGCTAAGAATGCTAACATAGTTTCTCAGATCTCTCTCTTCTTATAAAGCCCCCAATTCCACTTCCAGGACAATCCATTAATTCATTAATCCATGAATTCGTTAATCCTTGAATGGATGAATCCATTTATGAGGTCAGAGTCCTCATGATCCAGTCAGTTCTTAAAGGCCTCACCTTTCAATACTGCCACATCAGGGATTAAGTTTTCAACACATGAAATTTGGGGGACAAATTCAAACCATAGGCAATGATCATATGGTTATTGACATTCATTCTGTTAATGTGGTATATTACATTAATTTATTTACATATGTTGAACGAACCTTGCATCTCTAAGATGAATCCTGCTTGATCATGGTGAATGATCTTTTAAATGTGCTGATGAATTCAGTTTGCTTGTATTTTGTTGAGGATATTAGCATCTAGGCTCATCAGGGATAATGATGTGTAGTATTATTTTTTTGTTGTGTCTTGTAGGACCTTGGTATCAGGATAATGTTGGCCTCATAAAATGAGTTTGCCAGCATTCTCTTTTAAAGCATTTTTTGGAAGAGTTTGAGAAGAACTGATATTAATTCTTATTTCACCAATTGAGAAAATTCAGTAGTGAAGCCATCAGGTCCTGAGCTTTTCTTTGATGGGAGATTTTTTATTACTAATTCAGTCTCTTGACTTGTTATTAGTCTATTCAGATTCTACATTTCTTCATAATTCAATCTTGTTTGGTTGTATGTGTCAAAATATTTATCCCTTTCTTCTAGGTTATTCAATTGGCTGGCAAATAATTGTAGTCTTCTACAATCCTTTATATTTTTCTTTTACTAGTTGTAATGTCTCCTCCTTCATTTCTGATTATATTTATTTGAGCCTTCTTTTTTTCCTAGTCTAGTTAAAGAATTGCTGATTTTATTTCTTTTTCCAAGAATCAACTCTTTGTTTTATTGATATTTTCTTTTTTTTTAAAGTTCCCTTTTTATTTCTACTCTGATTTTTCTTATTTTCTTCCTTCTGCAAATTTTGGGCTTAGTTTGTTCTTTCTTTTCTAATCTTTTGAGGTGCAAAGTTGGGTAGTTTATTTTATTTAAAATCTTTCTGCTTTTTTTGATGTAGGCATTTATTGCTATAAACTTCCCTTTTAAAGATGCTTTAGCTGTATCCCATAAGTTTATGTTGTGTTTCCATTTTTGTCTCAAGAAAATGTTTAATACCCTTTTAATTTTTTTAATTGACTTATTGTTTATGAGCATGTAGTTTAATTTCTATGTATTTGGGAATTTTCTAAAGTTTCTCCTGTCATTAATTTATAGTTTTATACCATTGTGGTCTAAACAGGTAGTTGATATGATTTTAGCCTTTTAACATTTGTTAAGACTTTTTTTTTTGGCCTAATATTTAAACTATCCTGGAGAATATTCCATATGCAGTTGAGAACAATGTGTATTTAGCAGCTGTTGCATGAAATGTTTTGTATATGTCTGCTAGGTCCATTTGATCTAGAGTATAGTTTAAATTCAATGTTTCCTTGTTGATGTTCTGTCTGGATGAACTGTTTCTTCATTAAATGCAATGTTGAAGTATCCTACTATTATTGTATTGCAGACAATTATTGTATTGCAGTCTATCCCTTCAAAACTATAAATATTTGCTTTTCATACATTAATGCTCCAAAGTCAGGGGCACATACAGTATATTTACAATTATAATTTCTTAATGAATTGACCCCATTATCAATATATATCAATATTCTCAATCTTTTTTTTTTTTTTTACTTAAAATTAATTTTACTTGATATAAGTGTAGCTACCACTGTCTGCTTTTGGTTTCCATTTGTATGGAATGTATTTTTCCATCTCTTTTGTTTCATATGTGTGGTTTAACAGGTGCAGTGAATATCTTCTAGGTAGCATATATTTCGGATTTGTTTTATTATCGATTTAGCCACTTTATGTCTTTTGATTGGAGAATGTAACCATTAACATTCAAGGTAGTTATTGATAGGTAGGGACTTTTTATTTCCATTTTTAAATCGTTTTCTAGTGTTGTGTAAATCCTTTGCTATTTTTTTGCTGTGTTTATTTGTGGTTAAGAATTTTTTTAGTGGTATATTTTGATTCCTGGCTCTTTGTGTGTGTATATCTACTATAGTTTTTTGTTTTGTGTTTACCACGAGGCTTACAGAAAACATCTTACAGTTAAAGCATGTTATTTTAAGTTGATAACAACTTAACTTTTATCACAAAAATAAATTTATTTTTAAGGGTGGCTTAACTTTTTTACAGGAATCACATTATGACATTCACCTGTATACAAACTCACTATGAATCACATAACACTTTAAATAAAAACAAAACTATATCTGCAATATCTTATTAGCTCTCACCAAACCTACCACTTTTTTTTCTTCTTCTACCACTTTTCTCTTAGTTTATTCTGTTGTAGCCACACTGACCATTTTGTTTTTTCTTTTTAGAAAAGTTTCTCAAAACCTTAGTAATTGCTATTTTCCCTTCCTAGGATATACTTCTTTGAAAATTTATCTGATTTGTACCTTTTTTTTTGGTCTTAGTTCAAATGTCAAGCATAGGCAAAGATGTGGTATTTAATATTACACTCCTCTCCACATTGACCTGTCCCTTTCTGCCAGATTACCTTATTTAAAATATAAATGGTTTTATTTGTGAATTTGGATTTATGTTTTATCTATTTTCTTTACTCAATTTTGTAGGCTTTATGAAATTATGGGCTTTACCATTTTGTTGATCTCTCTTTTCTCCACAATTAGAAAAAAAACTGGCACATAATAGATAGTATTATTGAGTAAATTAATGAGCAGATTGATATTAATTATCACGTTTCTAAAAGACAAAACTCTAAAGCATAAATAATAGATTAGAAAACTAAGGATTAATAACTTTCTCCAGATTAAATAGAATTAAGTATATAAAAAGTTATTTTAGCTCCTAGCCCAGGGCTTTTCTGAATGCAGCACATTAATATTTTAAGAATCTGACCACATATTATTTAATTTAATAAATAATTATTTTTGTATAAGGTGAGAGATGAGGATCCAGTTTCATTCTCCTACCTGTGGCTTCAATTATCCAAGCACCATTTGTTGAATAGGGTGTCCTTCTCCACTTTATGTTTTTGTTTGGACTCAAATCTAAGAGCTGAAACTATAAAAATTCTAGAACCAAACATCGGAAAAACGCTTTTAGACATTGGCTTAGGCAAAGATTTAATGACCAAGAACCCAAAAGCAAATGCAACAAAAATAAAGATAAATAGGTGAGACTTAATTACACTGAAGAGCTTTTGCACAGCAAAAGAAACAGTCGGCAGAATAAACAGACAACCCACAGAATGGGAGAAAATCTATACGTCCAACAGAGGATTAATATCCAGAATCTATAACTAACTCAAACAAATTAGCAAGAAAAATGAAACAATACCAACAAAATGTTGGCTAAGGACATAAATAGGCAATCTCAAAAGGAGATATACAAGTGGTCAACAAACATATGAGAAAATGCTCAACATCACTAACTATCAGGGAAATGCAAATCAAAACCAGAATGTGATACTACCTGACTCCCAAAGAATGGCCATATTCAAAATATAATAGATGTTGGTATGGATGCCATTAAAAGAGAACACTTCTACACTGCTGGTGAGAATTGTATACTAGTACAACCGCTATGGAAAACAGTGTGGAGATTCCTTAAAGAACTAAAACTAGAACTACCATTTGACCCAGCAATCCCACTACTGGGCGTCTACCTTGAGGAAAAGAAGTCATTATATGAAAAAGTTACTTGCACATGCATGTTTATGGCAGCACAATTCACAATCGCAAAAATGTGGAACCAGCCCAAATGCCCATCAATCAATAAGTGGATAAAGAAATTGTGATATATATATATATATGATGGAAAACTACTTAACCATAAAAACAAATGAATTAATGGCATTTGCAGGAACGTGGGTGGAACTGGAGACTATTTTTTCAAGTGAAGAAACTCAGGAATGGAAAATCAAACATCGTATGTTATCACTCATAAGTGGGAGCTAAGCTATGAGGATGCAAAAGTGTAAGAATGATACAATGGACTTTGGGAATTCAGGGGCAAAGGATGGGAAGGAGGTGAGGAATAAAAAACTACAAATTGGGTTCATTGTATACTGCTTGGGTGATGAATGAACCAAAATCTCACAAATCAACACTAAAGAACTTACTCATGTAACCAAAGACCACCTATTCCCAAGAAACCTAAGGAAATAAGAATAAATAAATAATAAATAAAAAATAAAAAGAAATGAGATACATCTAAGTTTCAATTTAGTTCCCAGCAACAGAACATCATATATCTCCCAAATTAATATTTTCATAAATGCTATTATTTGTCTTATTCCCTTTCTGTGTGTAGTTACTTTTCTAGTAATTGAAATGTACATAAACTAGTTTACAGAAAGGAATTTCAATGCCAACCATAAGTAAGTAGCTTACATTGAACTAACCTCTTAAGAGAAAAGACAAAATACAAGCAGCAAATATTTGAAAGCAGTGGAAAGAAACCACCACAGGATAAGTGGGAGAGGCTGCAATCCCTCTAATTTCAGAAGGCGAGCTCTACATTTACCCTGGCTTTTTCCCTAAGGAAAGTTTTTGATACTTAATGTAGAGAAATTAGTTATAAAAAGAAGCTTCAGTCTGAGTAAGCTAAGGACAAAGAGATTGGAGTGCAGGGCTGCTAGTTTGACATTTGAGAGATAACATCACAGAGAAGAGGAAATTTCAGCAACATGTGCCCCAAAACCTGGGTGCAAGTTCCTCTCAAGGTTTTCACTGATCTGTAAAGTGCTAATATGCAGGACTACAGTGAGAGAAATGCAGCAGAAAGTGACATTTTAAAGGTTACAGTGCTGGGCAGAAATTTTAGCAGACATATGGTGCTAAGAAGGCAAAGTTTGAATTCAGAGCCTGAAAAGGTGGAGGTCTTGATCAACTCTGTCAGTTGAAACACAAGAAGGGCCACATTTTAGAAGTAATAGTTATGACATAGAATTAATGGTTAAAACAGATATTATGAATTTTAAAAGGTATAAAGCCAGCCCTCAGCAGAAAGAAATGGCCTGCCTATGCTCTTTCTGCTTTAAAAATCAATCCTCTGTGCTGGAAGATAGCATCTTCCAGAATCTCAACCAAATTTCGGATTCAATATTTGAATGCAATTCAAAATTATATGGCATGCTAAAAAATGTTCCAAATGACTCACAAACATGAAATAATTGACACTACAAATAAATCCAAAAGGGATTAAGGTAGAGATGCTTTATACAGACATTGCTAGTGTCCACCAGCCCCTACCTAGTGGATGAATTCTGATGCCTGACCACTTGACTTGTAAATTCTACTACTTGTCCAAGCAGGTTTTCTTCTATTAAATTTCTTTGTATCTCATATGTGAAATGAGAAGGATATTCCCTATTTCTCAGAGAGGTAGTTGGAAATCAATGAAATGTTTTAGAATACTGAAATATATTGCAACTCCCTATGTTAGTTTCTGGCACATAATATGATTTCAACAAATTCATGTTTGTTTGCTTTGCTTTGGTTTTCTTTCTTTCCTAAAATATAAGAGTTCTAGGTTAGGAGTAATTGGTTTCCCAATGTGAAGTAAATGCTCTCATAAAGACGTTTTTACTCTTTTTTTCAATAAAAAGCTTTCCTCTGTATTATGTCAACTACTTTGCAGTGGCCACTCACTCACTTTTCCATCTTTTGTACTTCCTACATGAACTAAATAAGTTAACAAATAAGAATTCATCTGAGGCCAACTATCTTCAGAAATAATGCCATGAAAATCCTCCAATGTTAACTGAACATCATTCTCAATTCACATTCAAAACTGATTAGTGTGTTTGTTCTGCCTATCTGAACAAACAAATACAAAACCAACTTTAAAATCGCTCAGATGAAAGACAAAATTAAATAGTGTTGGAAAAGAGTGTCAATATTCCCATCAAGTATGGTTTTGAGACAGAGCCAGCCAAATGCACATGCATAAAGTCACTTGCATAAAATTCACAAATATTTATATCTAATGCAAAAAGAACACACAGGATTTAAACATAGAAAAAAGCAAAATAAAAGAAAACATAAAATGAATTAATGTTCCATATTTTGGGGCATTGAGGGGCATTTTTTGTATAAATTGATAATTCCAATAACCTATGTTCAGTACAACTAACTCTCTCATCATAAACATTTCAGAGTTTTTTTATTTCCATAAGTTTAGATAATAAATTTTGTACATTATACATAGTCTAAACTGCTTCACAAATTAATACTCATTATTGTTCTTCAAAGCAATATTTTGCTTTTCTACTTACATACCAGCCTACATCTTGAACCTCCTATATTCAACTTGAGTATCATCACCTCTGTGAAGTGTTTTCTGATTACCCTCTGTCTATCCCTTCTTCCTTCATATTCACACTGTACTCATAACTTTCTTTTGTCATTGCCTTGTATTGGTTTTCTATATTAGAATAGACTGTCACCTTTCAAGAGAGCCATATTCTGAGATCTTTAAGTTTCCCCAAGTATACAAATACAGTATGTTTGAACAAGATCTACTCTTTCTTCCAAGTCAGATTTTTGTAAAATAATGAGTTTTGCTGTGTCTACTTTCATCTGGTGAACACTTGTTATTTCACCTCCCAGTACAAGTTTACCTTTCACTCTCTGAACATTTTCAAACATAAGTATTTCTGTTTCTCCATGATCTTTTATGTATATATAAGGGTAGGAAGAACATAACAGAGACAGGTGAAGTATTAATGTCTATGGTTAGGATGATTGCTTAAGTCAGTGAGTTGGTCCATCAAATAAACTTTACTATTTTTAAAATTTAAATAGGGGCTTCCTTAATCATATAAATTGCCCTGTGTCATTAACCAACAAGTTTGCTTGTGATTAGATAACATAGTAACTAAACCCATCAGTTCCAAAGTTCTACTCTACTTTTCACACTCTAGAAAATTTACCTTACTTCCTGAAGGAAGCACTAAACAAGGAAAGGAACAATCAGTACCAGCCACTGCAAAATCATGCCAAATTGTAAAGACCATCGAGGCTAGGAAGAAACTGCATCAACTAACGAGCAAAATAACCAGCTAACATCATAATGACAGGATCAAGTTCACACATAACAATATTAACTTTAAATGTAAATGGACTAAATGCCCCAATTAAAAGACACAGACTGGTAAATTGGATAAAGAGTCAAGACCCATCAGCGTGCTGTATTCGGGAAAACCATCTCACGTGCAGAGACACACATAGGCTCAAAATAAAAGGATGGAGGAAGATATACCAAGCAAATGGAAAACAAAAAAAGGCAGGGGTTGCAATCCTAGTCTCTGATAAAACAGACTTTAAACCAACAAAGATCAAAAGAGACAAAGAAGGCCATTACATAATGGTAAAGGGATCAATTCAACAAGAAGAGCTAACTATCCTAAATATATATGCACCCAATACAGGAGCACCCAGATTCATAAAGCAAGTCCTGAGTGACCTACAAAGAGACTTAGACTCCCACACAATAATAATGGGTGACTTTAACACCCCACTGTCAACATTAGACAGATCAACGAGACAGAAAGTTAACTAGGATACCCAGGAATTGAACTCAGCTCTGCACCAAGCAGACCTAATAGACATCTACAGAACTCTCCACCCCAAATCAACACAATATACATTTTTTTCAGCACCACACCACACCTATTCCAAAACTGACCACATAGTTGGAAATAAAGCGCTCCTCAGCAAATGTAAAAGAACAGAAATTATAACAAACTGTCTCTCAGACCACAGTGCAATCAAACTAGAACTCAGGATTAAGAAACTCACTCAAAACCGCTCAACTACATGGAAACTGAACAACCTGCTCCTGAATGACTACTGGGTACATAACAAAATGAAGGCAGAAATAAAGATGTTCTTTGAAACCAACGAGAACAAAGACACAACATACCACAATCTCTGGGACACATTCAAAGCAGCGTGTAGAGGGAAATTTATAGCACTAAGTGCCCACAAGAGAAAGCAGGAAAGATCCAAAATTGACACCCTAACATCACAATTAAAAGAACTAGAAAAGCAAGAGCAAACACATTCAAAAGCTAGCAGAAGGCAAGAAATAACTAAAATCAGAGCAGAACTGAAGGAAATACAGACACAAAAATCCCTTCAAAAAATTAAAGACTCCAGAAGCTGAATTTTTGAAAGGATCAACAAAATTGATAGACCGCTAGCAAGACTAATAAAGAAGAAAAGAGAGAAGAATCAAATAGACGCAATAAAAAATGATAAAGGGGATATCACCACCAATCCCACAGAAATACAAACTACCATCAGAGAATACTACAAACACCTCTACGCAAATAAACTAGAAAATCTAGAAGAGATGGATAAATTCCTCGACACATACACTCTCCCAAGACTAAACCAGGAAGAAGTTGAATCTCTGAACAGACCAATAACAGGCTATGAAATTGTGGCAATAATCAATAGCTTACCAACCAAAAGGAGTCCAGGACCAGATGGATTCACAGCCGAATTATACCAGAGGTACAAGGAGGAACTGGTACCATTCCTTGTGAAACTATTCCAATCAACAGAAAAAGAGGGAATCCTCCCTAACTCATTTTATGAGGCCAGCATCATCCTGATACCAAAGCCAGGCAGAGACACAACGAAAAAAGAGAATTTTAGACCAATATCCTTCATGAATATTGATGCAAAAATCCTCAGTAAAATACTGGCAAACCGAATCCAGCAGCACATCAAAAAGCTTATCCACCATGATCAAGTGGGCTTCATCCCTGGGATGCAAGGCTGGTTCAATATATGCAAATCAATAAATGTAATCCAGCATATAAACAGAACCAAAGACAAAAACCACATGATTATCTCAATAGATGCAGAAAAGGCCTTTGACAAAATTCAACAACCCTTCATGCTAAAAACTCTCAATAAATTAGGTATTGATGGGATGTATCTCAAAATAATAAGAGCTATCTATGACAAACCCACAGTCAAAATCATACTGAATGGGCAAAAACTGGAAGCATTCCCTTTGAAAACTGGCACAAGACAGGGATGCCCTCTCTCACCACTCCTATTCAACATAGTGTTGGAAGTTCTGGCCAGGGCAATTAGGCAGGAGAAGGAAATAAAGGGTTTTCAGTTAGGAAAAGAGGAAGTCAAATTGTCCCTGTTTGCAGATGAAATGATTGTATATCTAGAAAACCCCATCGTCTCAGCCCAAAATCTCCTTAAGCTGATAAGCAACTTCAGCAAAGTCTCAGGATACAAAATCAATGTACAAAAATCACAAGCATTCTTATACACCAATAACAGACAAACAGAGAGCCAAATCATGAGTGAACTCCCATTCACAATTGCTTCAAAAAGAATGAAATACCTAGGAATCCAACTTACAAGGGATGTGAAGGACCTCTTCAAGGAGAATTACAAACCACTGCTCAATGAAATAAAAGAGGATACAAACAAATGGAAGAATATTCCATGCTCATGGGTAGGAAGAATCAATATCGTGAAAATGGCCATACTGCCCAAGGTAATTTACAGATTCAATGCCATCCCCATCAAGCTACCAATGACTTTCTTCACAGAATTGGAAACAACTACTTTAAAGTTCATATGGAACCAAAAAAGAGCCCGCATCGCCAAGTCAATCCTAAGCCAAAAGAACAAAGCTGGAGGCATCACACTACCTGACTTCAAACTATACTACAAGGCTACAGTAACCAAAACAGCATGGTACTGGTACCAAAACAGAGATATAGATCAATGGAACAGAACAGAGCCCTCAGAAATAATGCTGCATATCTACAACTATCTGATCTTTGACAAACCTGAGAAAAACAAGCAATGGGGAAAGGATTCCCTATTTAATAAATGGTGCTGGGAAAACTGGCTAGCCATATGTAGAAAGCTGAAACTGGATCCCTTCCTTACACCTTATATAAAAATTAATTCAAGATGGATTAAAGACTTAAACGTTAGACCTAAAACCACAAAAACCCTAGAAGACCTAGGCATTACCATTCAGGACATAGGCATGGGCAAGGACTTCATGTCTAAAACACCAAAAGCAATGGCAACAAAAGCCAAAATTGACAAATGGGATTTAATTAAACTAAAGAGCTTCTGCACAGCAAAAGAAACTACCATCAGAGTGAACAGGCAACCTACAAAATGGGAGAAAATGTTCGCAACCTACTCATCTGACAAAGGGCTAATACCCAGAATCTACAATGAACTCAAACAAATTCACAAGAAAAAAACAAACAACCCCATCAAAAAGCGGGCGAAGGACATGAGCAGACACTTCTCAAAAGAAGACATTTATGCAGCCAAAAAACACATGAAAAAATGCTCATCATCACTGGCCATCAGAGAAATGCAAATCAAAACCACAATGAGATACCATCTCACACCAGTTAAATGGCAATCATTAAAAAGTCTGGAAACAACAGGTGCTGGAGAGGATGTGGAGAAATAGGAACACTTTTACACTGTTGGTGGGACTGTAAACTAGTCCAACCATTGTGGAAGTCAGTGTGGTGATTCCTCAGTGATCTAGAACTAGAAATACCATTTGACCCAGCCATCCCATTACTGGGTATATACCCAAAGGACTATAAATCATGCTGCTATAAAGACACATGCACACGTATGTTTATTGCAGCACTATTCACAATAGCAAAGACTTGGAACCAACCCAAATGTCCAACAATGATAGACTGGATTAAGAAAATGTGGCACATATACACCATGGAATACTATGCAGCCATAAAAAATGATGAGTTCATGTCCTTTGTAGGGACATGGATGAAATTGGAAATCATCATTCTCAGTAAACTATCGCAAGGACAAAAAACCAAACACCACATGTTCTCACTCATAGATGGGAGGTGAACAATGAGAACACATGGACACAGGAAGGGGAACATCACACTCTGGGGACAGTTTTGGGGTGCGTGTAGGGGGGAGGGATAGCATTAGGAGATATACCTAATGCTAAATGACGAGTTAATGGGTGCAGCACACCAGCATGGCACATGTATACATATGTAACTAACCTGCACATTGTGCACATGTACCCTAAAACTTGAAGTATAATAATAATAAAATAAAATAAAAAGAAAATTTACATTACTTCTCTCTACAGTCTTTTCAGCTCTTAGATGGTAAGGGCTTATCTGAGAAACTGTATGGCTTGCTATCCCAATCTGTACCAAATTAAAAGGTAAGTTTGGCCCAAATACAGTATTATTGTATATATTTTGCATGGTTAAAATTACATTGATAAAGCACAAAATCTTAAGTAAACCACTTGATGAAATTTTACACATATAAGCACCCTTATAAACTGACATCCAGATGAACATACAGGTCTTTCCCATCATGCCATTCTCTCTGTCCCCTAGTTGCACATTGTATAGACTTTTTGATGTTGTCTCATTTCTCTTATCTGTTTAAAAATTTTTGTTCCTTAAATGGTTCTGCTTAGACATTTTCTATTGTGTAACATTGTTTTTACTAATTTTCCACCCTCTTTGTTTAGTCTCTTGATAATTACATCCAATAATTTCACATTGGATTATTTATGGAATACTTACTTTATTGTTTTTTATAGATTTTAATCATCTGTTGAAATTCCCCATAATTTTATCTTTCTTTTTAGTGCTCTTCCTTTCAGCAGCTTCTTTTTTCTGGAGGACCTGCTAGAATCACACTCTTATCATGTGCCTGGATTGCAAAATCAGCCAAGCATCTGGCATAATTTTTTACACCAAACCATGGTGCTGTTTAACTGCATCTTTCTTTACTTTCATATCACAGCCTCCTTAGCAACTCAAATTCTGATTCCTGCTTTTCCTTCACCTAATGCTGGCATTTAGTGCTTAAGCTCTACATCCCTCTGTTGCAGTTCTGAAGATGTCTTGAAAAGGCTGAAGGAGAGACTGCTGTCTTACCTAAGCTTCCCTTTTCTCAAATATGCAAGTTTCCTATTGGTTGCTGTCCAATGCCTGTAACCTCATTTTATAGCTTTCATATAGTAATTTGGCCAGTTTTTTAAAATGGAATCATGCATTATGTATGTTTGTGTTTGCCTTCACTTCTTATTTATTGTGTGTTAAATGTTGTATATTTATTCATTCCACTTTCTGAATACACCACTTTTGCCACTATTGGTATTAACATTTTTTTTCTAATTTTATCTCTCTGGCATGATATAATTTGCATTTAGATTTTGTTCGCATTTTCCTGAATATTAATGGGATTGATGTATTTTCATTTGTTTACTAGACATTTGCGTATTTTTTTCTGGGATGCTTATTGAAGTCTCTTGCTTACTTTTCTATTGCATTCCCTTCTTACAGATTTGTAATAGATCTTCATATATACTGAATACTTTGTGCTTTTGTATTTTGCATATATGTTCTTACACTCAAAAATTTAATAGTGTGTCTTAATAAACAGAATTACTTAATTTTAATGTAGTCCATTTTGTTTCAATGTAGACCATTTTATCAGGGTCTTTACAGATAATTACAACTTTTTGAATCCCACATAAGAAATGTTTTCTTACCTCAACATAATCAAAGTATTCTCCTATATACTCTTACATAAAGTTTACTGTTCTGTTGTTTAGATTTATCCTAACAGTCCACCTGCAATAAATTTTATATACACATTAAAAGGAGGTAAAGTTTCATTTTTATCACCAATTTGTTCCAAATAACATCTTTATCCACTATGATGTAGTGAAACCTTTATAATATATATAAGCTATCTGAAATTGTTTCAGACATTATTTGTCTCTATTTAGATAATACTATACTCCGTTAATTACATAAGATGCAAAGGCTACATTAACAAATTATAAGAAAAACCCCTACATTATATTATTTTGCTTTTCCATCAAGGGTGTTTTAAAAATTATTAGTTGTTTTATTTTTCACATAAATTTTGGAATTAGCTTGTCTCCCTTTATTTTAAAAAAATAGACTGCTATATAATAATAGCAAGAGACTTCAACACACAGTTTTTAGCAATAGAAATATCACCCAGAAAGAAAATCAACAAAGAAACATCAGATTCAAACTGCACTGTAGACCAAATGTACCTAATAGACATTTAGAGAAAATTCCATCAAATACTACAGAACACACATTTTTCTGGATCAGTCTCTCAGAAATAGGTCATGAATAACCACAACACAAGTCTTAAATGTATAATTGAAACAATTTTAAGAAATAATATCAAGCATCTTTTCTGATTACAATGATTTCAAACTAGAAATAATAACAAAATAAAGTTTAGAAACTTCACAAATACCTTGAAATGAGGCAACATGCTCCTGAATAACTAATAGGTTAATAAATTTTTTTTAAAGTTAAGAAATTTATTGAGACAAATAAAAATAGAAATAAAACCTGCCAAAAACGATGGACACAGCTAAAGTGGTTCTAAGAGGAAAGCATATAACAATAAATGCCTACATTAAAAAAAAAAAAATCTCAAAAAAGCAACTTAACATTGCATCACAAGAAACAAACAACAACAACAAAAAAACAAGAACAAACGAAACTTAAAATTAGAAGAAAAAATAGTAAAGATCAGAGAAAAATACATGAAATAGAGACTAAAAAGACATAAAAGCATCAATAACACATGGGCTTTTTAAAACAAAAAAGGATAAACTTTGTAAACATTTAGCTAGGCTAAGAGAAAAAAGAGAAAATATTCAAGTAAATAAAATACCATTTCATATTTATGAAGATGGCAGTAATAAGAAGAAGAAGAAAAACATTAGCATGGATGTGGAGGAATTGTAACACTTGTGCATTGCTAGTGGGAATGTAACATTTTGTACCATTATAGAAAACAGTCTGATGGTTGTTCAAATAGTTAAACATAAAATTACCATATAGTCCATCAATTCCTCTCCTAGGTGTGTACATAAAGAATTGCAAGCATGGAATTGAACAGATACTTGTATGTCAATATTTATTGCAGATTATTTACAATGGCCAAAAGGTTAGATGCAATCCAACAGATGGATGGATGAACAAAATGTGGTATATACATGCAGTGGAATATTATTTGGCCTGACACATGCCATAACATGGATGAATGTTGAGGACACAAAGGGACAAATATTCTATGATTCCACTTATGTGAGCTGCCTTGACCAGGCACATCCATAGAGACAGGGAATAAATGATTAAAGGGTAACGAGTGTTAAGAAGTCATATTTCCTAATGTTTAAAGAGTTTCTAACAAAAAAATTGTAAATAAATAATGGTGATTCTTCACCACATTATGGATGTAAGTAATGCCTCTTAATTGTACACTAAAATTGGTTACAATGGTAAGTTTAATGTTACGCATATTTTACCTCAATATTTTTTTAAATGTTCCCTATGATATATGATTATATTTGATATCAAACAGCCCATTTTTTTCTAGAGCCACTAGAGAGTGACTTCACACTAACACTATGTCCTTATGCTTAACGTAAATTTTGTGGTTTGGATAGTTGAATTTTCACTTCACGTATCCAGACCTTGCCATTCTCAAATAATGGTTAAGTTCCAGGTCTTCGGTGAAGATTTTTCTTCATCTGCTAAACTTTTTTTTTTTTTGATAGAGATGTGGATTTCTATTGTTCAAGCTGGAGAGCAGTGGCTACTCACAGTGTGATCATCGTGCACTATAGCCTTGAACTCCTGGGCTCAAGCCTTTCTCCTGCCTCAGCCATACACGCAGCTAGAATTGCTGATGTGCACCACCGTGCCCTGCTTCTTTTTGTTTTTTTAAAATAATTTATCAATCCTAATTTCAAAATCTAGCCCTAAATTATGCCTTTTATTATTTCATATTTCCTCTCCAACAATATCTATGATGTTTGATTTATACTATAAAAGCTAATGTTAGTAGGAATATAAGTAGTAGTAGAAGTAATAGTACTTGTAAAATTATTTGTGTATTTATCACATCACAGGCACTTTCTACACAGTATTTCTGACCTCACACTTCCCATTTCTCAGGTAAGGCAATGAGGCTCATGTATATTTGCAACTTAACCCGAGTTACTTGGCTACAAAATGACTGACCTAAGGTTTGAAATCAAATCTGTCTGCTCTTTCAGTTTGTTTAATATTATAGCCTCTAGAAAATGTTTTGAATATGGTAATCTCAGAGACTAAGTACTCATTAATGTTTGTTAATTGATTGATCTCATTTAAATGCTATTTTGAGGACGAGGCGGGCGATCACCTGAGGTCGGGAGTTCAAGACCAGCCTGACCAACATGGAGAAACACTGTCTCTACTAAAAATACAAAATTAGCCGGGCGTGGTGGCACATGCCTGTAATCCCAGCTACACGGGAGGCTGAGGCAGGAGAATCACTTGAACCCGGTAGGCAGAGGTTGCGGTGGGCCAAAATCACGCCATTGCACTCCAGTCTGGGCAACAAGACTGAAACTCCATCTCAAAAAAAAAAAAAATGCTATTGTGTTTTCCAATTTAAAATTGCCAGGAGTTATTCTAAATTATGTCATATAATTACTCCTTAAAAATATTGTCTTTAAATAAAATAAAACTACCTGTTTTCCTGTTATTCATATAATATTAATAATTTCCCTTTGTCTTTTGACCAAATAAAATCCTCGATTTTTCAAATATACTTTCTTCAGCTTTATGGGGTAGCATTGGCAAATAAAAATTGTATATATTTAAAGTGTATAATGCAGTGATTGTGAAATGATTATCAGAAGCTAATTAATATATTCATCATCTCACATTTACCGGTTTCTGTGGTTGAGAACACTTAAGATCTACTCTCTTAACAAATTTGTTTTGAGATAAAATTACACATTGGTTATTTGGAACATATTAAAACTTATATCAATAATTATACTTTTTAGTGTATATGATTAGTGCTGTCAATGATTGCTGAATGGAAAGTTTGTTACATAGAGGAATTTCTTGTTTCATTAAGCACATGAGAAAGCTATTTGCCATTTCCTCTAATATCACGTATTTTCTTATTTAGTCTTTGATGCTCTTCCCACTGCTATGTAATTCTGCATAAAATAGAGATCTTATGTAAGAAATGGAGGTCTCAGTAAAGTCTATTGGTAAAATGAGAGCCTTAACTAAATAATTGTTGGTCAAATGTTCTCTGATTATTTGATGTTATTGAATGGCAAATATCTCAATAATCCTGAGATTTCTCTTATCATTATAATTTGCTTATCTTACTTTTCTTATGAAATAGAAAACTGTCATTTTTCCATTTCATTGAACTGCTTAGCCAAGAAAAGTAAGCTAAATGAAATAAGTTCATGTACACAGTGCACCAATATTTATATGACATTATAACTTTTTTGAGTTGTTAATGCTATTACAAACTGAAATTTATATCAAACATATTTTTTGAAATCATGCAGTATATTCAAAGTTCCTTTTACTTAATTATAAATGAATTTAATTTAAACTCTAATAGTCTTCAGTAAATGATTTATTACAGTGTCTAATGTACAATCTTTTCAATAGTATAATTATTTTCCAGTTCATTGCTGCCATTTCAAAATTACATAAAAGCTTGGTTCATTTAAAATATTTTCTTGTTGCTAATGATTCGTTGTCATTCTTCCTACATATACCAAATAGTTAATAAAATTTTATTTATCACTACAGCATTTTTCCTAAAAAGATTTTATGAATTTCAGTTCACTGCATTAATCATTTTTGTAAAAAGAAATCATTTTTAATTGATCATATTTTATAATATATTCAAAAAGAACAAAGGTAGAGAGATGCATTAGTCCGTTTTCATGATGCTGATAAAGACATGCCCAAGACTGAGCAAGTCATAAAAGAAAGAGTTTTAACTGTACTCACAGTTCTATGTGGCTGGGGAGGCCTCACAATCAGGGCAGAAGGCAAGGAGGAGCAAGTCATATCTTACATAGATGGCGTCAGGCAAAGAGAGCTTATGCGGGGAAACCCCCCCTTACAATACTGTCAGATCTTGTACGATTTATTTGCTATCATCAGAACAGCATGAGAAAGACCCGCCCCATAATTCAGTCATCTCCCACTGGGTCCCTCCCACAACACACGGGAATTATGGGAGCTACAAGATGAGGTTCCGATGGGCACACGGAACCAAATCATATCATTCTGCCCCATCACATTGTTTTTGTAAAAAGAAATATCTTTTAATAGATCATATTTCATAGTATCTACATAAAGAACAAAGGTAGAGAGATGATAGAGAGACAAATGGAGACAAAGAGAAAGAGAGGTTGAAATTAAGTATCTATTATATGCCAGGCATTGCTCTAGGTACCTTGAATGTAGAAGTGGAGAGAACACACAGATTCTGCCTTTATGGAGCTTAATTCTAGCAGATTAAAAAATCAAAGGACTTTTATTAATTCCCATATCCTTAAAAGTCCCCAGGCTTAGTGATAGTAAATTATTATGCCATTTTAATAAAAGGAGCTAGAGGTTGTCTTTCCTTTACAACTCTTAACGAGAGGTGACAGTGTGCTGGCAGCCCTCGCAGCCCTCGCTCGCTCTCAGTGTCCACTCCGGCGGTGCTTGAGGAGCCCTTCAGCCCCCTGCTACACTGTGGGAGCCCCTTTCTGCACTGTCCGAGGCCAGAGCCAGCTCCCTCAGCTTGCGGGGACTTGTGGAGGGAGAGGCACGGGCGGGAACTGGGGCTGCGCGGGTTGCTTGTGGGCCAGTGCAAGTTCCGGGTGGGCATGCGCTCGGCTGGCCCCGCTGGCCCCGGGCAGTGAGGGGCTTAGCACCCAGGCCAGCAGCTGCGGAGAGGCGCCAGGTCCCCCCAGCAGTGCCGGCCCACCAGCACTGCGTTCGATTTCTCAGGGGGCCTCAGCTGCCTCCCTGCGGGGCAGGGCTTGGGACCTGCAGCCTGCCATGTGTGAGCCTCCCCCCACTGCCCTAGGCTCCTGTGCAGCAGGAGCCTCCCCGACGAGCACCGCCCCCTGCTCCATGGCACCCGGTCCCATCGACTGTGGAACGGCTGAGGAGCGTGGGCACAAGGCATGGGACTGGCAGGCAGCTTTGCCTGCGGCCCCGTGTGGGATCCACTAGGTGAAGCCAGCTGGGCTCCTGCGTCTAGTGGGGACTTGGATGAACCTTTATGTCTAGCTAAGGGATTGTAAATACACCAATCAGCACTCTGTATCTAGCTCAAGGTTTGTAAACACACCAATCAGCACCCTGAGTCTAGCTCAGGGTTTGTGGATGTGCCAATTGGCACTCTGTATCTAGCTAATCTGGTGGGAACTTGGAGAATCTTTATGTGTAGATAAGGGATTGTGAATACACCTATTGGCACTCTGTATCTAGCTCAAGGTTTGTAAATGCACCAATCAGCACTCTGTATCTAGCTCAGGGCTTGTAAATACACCAATCAGCACTCTGTATCTACCTAATTTAGTGGGGACCTGGAGAACTTTGGTGTCTAGCTCAGGGATTGTAAATGCACCAATCAGCACCCTGTCAAAACGGACCAATCAGCTCTCTGTAAAACAGACCAATCAGCTCTCTGTAAAATGGACCAATCAGCAGGATGTGGGTGGGGCCAGATAAGAGAATAAAAGCATGCTGCCTCAGCCAGCAGTGGCAACCCCCTCAGGTCTCCTTCATGGTATGGAAGCCTTGTTCTTTCACACTTTGCACTAAATCTTGCTGCTATTCACCATTTGGGTCCGCACTGCTTTTATGAGCTGTAACACTCATGGTGAAGGTCTGCAGCTTCTCTCCTGAGGTCCGCGAGACCACGAACCTACCGAGAGGAACGAACAACTCCAGACTTGCTGCCTTAAGAGCTGTAACACTTATCATGAAGGTCTGCAGCTTCACTCCTGAAGCCAGCAAGACCACGAAACCACCAGAAGAAAGAAACTCCAAACATGTCAGAACATCAGAAGGAACAAACTCCGGACACATCACTTTTAAAAACTGTAACACTCACCAGGAGGGTCCGTGGCTTCATTCTTGAAGTAATTAGACCAAGAGCCCATCAATTCTGGACATGTTAACATATATTAAATCAGTCTTCAGATTTTTACGGATCATTAGTACTTTTTGTTTTGCTTTTCAGTGGAAACTTAATTCCTTATAGGTCGTGTAAGACAATTTTATGTTGTATTTTACTCCATTTAGCAAAATTACGTCATATTAAATCCAATCTGTATGAGACTCACAGAAGTTATTTTATGATTAAAATTCCTGACACCTGTCTTAAACTGTAGCTGGGAGAAGTATGTATTATGCGTACATATATAGGCATACAACATGGGCAAGAATATAATTAATATTTCTAAACACGTACACACTTTTACTTTAAGTATTTAAAGCAATATCAGACCATAGTAACACCCACAGAAATCATGAAGAATTACAACTACAAAGTGATTATGATGCAACGTATGATAGATGACTTCCTAAGACATTTCATGGTTGAGATAATTGACCTGTTGGACGTACCAAATATTCATTTCTCTTTGTTCTTGTAAGTTCCCTTCATGAATTTTGTTTTAATTAAAATATCAGAAAATAATACATCTAATTTAGCTTCCTGCAAAGATTTCTTTACTAAATTTCAATTTATTCATAGGCATTCATCTTTAATAGAAAACCAATATGAGAATTTTAGATTGAAAAATGTGTCTCTGAGCCTATTGCACATCTGTTGTTGAAGACATTAGCATTTAGATAAAACTCCAGATAATAAATTCCACTTTCAATTGTGACTGAAAAAAGTTTGTCAACTCAGATAAACATATTTAGTTTCTTTCATTAGACTGGGAAAACTTATAATGAAACATAATTCAATTTAAGCCTTAGTTGCTAGGAACTGCAGCACGAACTCCTTGTTTAAACAATAGTAAATCATCAAAATTCAGCAAACAGTTTTATCTGTCTTTTTCCTTTTACTGTTTTATTTTGCTTATTTTTGCTTTATAAAAAATAAATTTCAATTAAGTATAAGTGACTTACAATAAACTGCAAATTCAGAATTTAATAAATTTATATATAATTCATATATATATATAAACATCACCACAATCAAAATAAGGAACATATTAATCACCCCAAATAAGTTTTCTTGTGCCTACTTGTCATCCTTCTCTTTCTTCTACTGCTGGCACCACAACATCTATTTCATCCACAGGCAACCACTATTCTCCTTGATTTCTACATAAATCACTTTGTGTTTTCTACAATTTAATATTAATAGAATAATACAGTATACAGTCTTTTTTGTTTGGATTTGTTCATTCTAAATAATGACTTTAAGATTCAACCATGTTGTAGTATACCAACAATTAATTTTTTATTGTGTGAATAAGATTACACCGTATAAATATACCATAACTGTTTATGCATCAACCTGTAAATGAATATTTAGTTTGTTCCAGTTTTGTGATATTACAGAAAGAGCTGCTATGGACATTCATATAAAAAATGTTTGTATGGATATATGGTTTTGTTTCTCTTGGTTTGATACCTAGTAGAGATATAACTGTTTCATATGGCTTTTTGTTTAACTTTTAAAAAATCGGTTGAATAGGTGTTCAAAATGATTCTACCACTTTACATCCTCCCCAGAAGTTTATGAGAATTCCAGTTTCACAACATCCTCATGAGCACTTGGTTTGTTTGGTCTTTAATTTTAATCATCCTAATAGGTATGTAATGGCGTTACACTGAGGTTTTATTTTCTAATTCCTTAATGGCTAATTGAGTATCCTCTTATGTTCATATATACCACCCATATATCTTATTTGGTGCAGAGCCTGTTCAAATACTTTTCACATATATTAAATGTGTCATTTGTATTGCTATTACAGTAGTCCCCACGTATCCTTGAGCGACACAAAAGCAATAGAAATGACACATATCAAGACCCTCGTTGGATGCCTAAAATATTGGATAGTACCAAACCATATATATACAATGTTTTTTCTATATATATACATACCTATGATAAAGTTTAATTTATAAATTAGGCCCAGTAAGATATTAACAAAAAATTAATAAAAAAGAATTATAACAGTAGACTGTCACAAAGATTATGTGAATGTGGTCTCTCTGTATCTGTCTCTCTGTCTTTCTATTGTATTGCACCATACTCACCCTTCTTCTGGGGAACTGTTGATCTGATAACTCAGACAGCTAATAAGTGTCTCATAGGCAGGTTATGTATACAGCATGAATATGCCAGATGAAACAATGATTCACGCCCCAGCTGGGACAGAGCAAGATGGCTCAAGGATTCACCATGCTACTCAGAATGGCACACAATTTAAAATTTATGTATTGTTTATTTCTGGAATTTTCCATTTAATATTTTTGGACCAAGGGTAAATACAGGTAAATGAAATCAGAAAGTGAAACCAAGGATAAGGGGGTGGGGGAACTACAGTATTTAATTTTGAGTTATTTATATGGTGTGGATACAATCCCTTCAGCAGACACAGTACTTGCAAATATGTTGACTCACTCTGTGGCTTGTCTTTTCATTGGCTTAACAGTGTCTTTTAAAGAGCAGAAGTTTCAGATTATAATAAAGTCTGATTTATAATTGTATTACTTTACTAATTAAAGCTTGGGGTTGGATAGATTTAAATATTATGAGGCTATTCAGTGATGACTAAAGATGTTTTATATCTTAGTTCAAATCAACTAAGCAAATATGTATTAATAATTTACATGGTAATCTCATCTCTGTAAAGGTTTCCAGGGTGACCAGGTGAACACATATTAATTTAAAAAAATAAAAAAATAACCAAAAAAGAAGACAGATCAAATATGATTTTTTTAAAGAAAACGAAAAACAGTCACTGATGGATTGTGCCTTGATAAGGTTGGAGGATTTAGGACTTGAGTCTCTAATTTGTACCTTAGTAGGTCTTTCTTTTCAATTCTATATGAATTTAGCAGCTAGCTTTCAGTTTTGATTATCCAGTATGCAGTTTATCTATAAAGTCTTATTTCCACTGTCAAAAAAGCTCTCTAATTTTGCTAAGCATATTACATAAATTAATACATCTAGCTACACGGAGGCAAACCTGATTTGGATGACCTTTATAAATACTGAATAATATGATAAGTCATTTATTTAATCCATTAAACATATTTCTATAGTGCTTCCTATAAGGTAGGTACTTTTACAGGGAGTACAGATCATGCAATAAACAAACAGACATATTTCCCTTTTCCTTAAGAAATTTACATTCTAGTGAAAAAAAATCAGTGAGTAAACAAATCAACATATAAGGTTAAGAGGTAACATGTCTGATGAAATAAAGTAGGATAAAAATGAAAGAATTATAGGCATTATTACTTTTATAAAAGATGTCAGTGAAGACTTGTCTTATAAAATATTTAAGCAAGACTTCAAATAAAACAAATGAGGATTCAAGTGGTTACTAGGAGGAAAGACAGCATCAACTACAGCTGCCCTAGGATGAGTTTTCTTATTAAGTCAAAACACATATAATACTCCAAAACTGAACATTTTTCACCTATCCAACCACTTGTTTCATGTAGTTCAACCTTACTTGTCAAGGAACTGTGCAGAGTCCAATGAGTGTGAACAATGGTAAATGCAGTGTTCTGAAAGGTGTGGTTATGGACTAGACTGCTTAGCACTTTGTGAATCCTGAGAAGCATATTAGAGTTCACTCTGAAGGGGGTGGGAAGCTCTTGGAGAATTTGGGGGAGTAGAATAATGTTACATGGTTTGGATTTTAAAAAGGTCACTGAATCTATCCTGTTGAATCTAGGTAAGCAGCAGGGTAAAGGGAAAGCAAGAAGACAAATTTGTAAACTACTCCAGTAAAAATCTCTGGACTTTGGACCAGGGTAGATGCTGTAAATGTGTTGAGAAGTACTTGGATCCAAGAAATAACTTCAGAGAAATTGTCCACAATATTTCTGGGAAGTTTAAACAGGAATGGATAAAAAACAAGGAAACCAATTATGCCTCCAAAGTCATCTGTCTAACCAAATTGAAGAATAGAGATACTATTTACTAATGTGGGGAAAAATGCAAGAGGACCAGGTTTCATCCAGAAATTGAAATGCATGTTACGTGAATTACGTTTTAGACACATTTGATAAGTCTCTTAGTCATCTACCTAGATAGCTCAAGAAAGTATCTGAGTATAACAATATAATTCAGGGACTGTATTTGGACTAGGTATGTAAACTGGGGAAATTCACAGAATATATAATATGTTTAATAAATTTAGATGAAATCATTGAGAAAATAAACACATAAAATAATACTTACAACACAACCAAAAACAAATATATCTGGGCTTGGAAAACAGGAAATTCAGTGTTTGAGTTACCAGAAATAAAGGGAGAAAACAATATCATAATTCTAAGCATTATTTAGTTCTAAAGCAGCCAATTGAAGTTTCAGATCCTGATGTAGACTCTAAGAATTAAGAATTGAGGTTGTCAGCATCCACATTTGAACATTACATGAGTTCCTAGACATGTGCATTACCTCACATACTTACCATATTTTATGGTGGGAAATCTTAAAATCTGCTCTCAGGACTTTCAAATATACAATATATTGTTAGTTAAAATCATAGAAATAAAGTAGAATGGTGGATACCAGACACTAGGTGTGGGGAGATGGAATAGATGTTGATCAAAGGACACAAAATTTCAGTTAGACAGAAGGAATGAGTTCAAGAGACCTATTGTACACACATTATGGAGACTACAGTTGATAAACAGGCTTTTAATAAATGAGTTAATAATACTTTCTGACTCATGCTAGAATGGCCAAAGGTTTTTTTTTTTCATTTTTTTCCCTTGAATTCACTGAAATGTTTTATCAGCTATTTATCACAATCAAGTAACGACTTAAAGGAATGAATGATAGATTATGTGAGTAAAAACTTTAGCACTAAGGTTAAGTTCTACTTATTGCTACAACAAAACAAAGCAAAACCAAACAACATTCATTGTCACATTTATTTTCAAAAAATTTATTAACAAAAATAGTTATCATTTTTCTACATAATTATTAGGATAGGAACTTAGTGCTCTATCCATTTTCTATCTGAAATCTAGAGGATTCTTATTCTATTTTCTGAAAATTAAGTTTCTGACATTGCCTGATTAGATTATTACATTTCACTATGCAGGCGTCTAAATGTTATTGTCTCATGTTGCCCCATCAACTATAGATTATATGTAATCTAGATTATACCAGATTATAAATCTACTTTAACAGATAATCCTGCTATCTCCAAGCAATATCGTATATGCCTATAAAACAGCAGAGTACAATCTTTCTTCATAGGTTCTGCCGCATTTGCTATTTCCAGTCTTAGACAATGCCGCATATTTCACTGACAATTCCATGCTACAGATTTTTGCCCCTCACCCACAGGTTGCTACCAATGCACAATACTAGGTTTTGGAGAAAAAAAAATAAACAAAACTACTTACTCTCTAATTTTCCAAACCTAACTGCACACACACACACAAAACCTACAGAACTCATGAAACTATTTTCCAGATTTAATAATTCAATAAAAAAACTAATGAAAACAGAAAAACTTCAAAGTGCAGAACATGGCTTTTCATAGAGCCTCTTGCACTGATCCTACCCTGTGGGTTCCATTATGTTGCCTTTGCTTTTAAACATAACTGTGTTCATATCCACCTCTTAGCCTGTATTGTTGTAAAAGTAACTAATTTTCTCTGACATCCCAATCTCCATTGTTGAGTTTTCAACAACTCTTAGTAGAATACTAATAATAGCCACATTTTTGTGTTGCCAGAGTGAATCCAATTCTATTTAGTGATTCTTTCTCAAGCATCAGAGAAAGATCATGTCCTGCCTTTTGTTGCCATAGCTGTATGTTAAATAAGTAAATACGAAGGTGTGAACTTAAACACTTCACCAAGAATAAACAATTATATAGTGCGTATCATTGTGTGAGTCTACACATACAGACACATATATAAATTTAACATATATACATATATTCTATATATAATAGAAAAAATTCTACAGAAAGAAATCATTTGTAGTTTTAATTTTTATGATATACGTGGTATTTGCAATAATGACACAGAGAAATTTTTCCCTTCAAAGGCAGTATCCTATATAATTTTTTACACCTTGGTTAACTTATTCACTTCACTTCATAGCCCTTTAGGTATCAAGTTGTGATACCTACTTTCCAGTTTTGTAACATCTCTTTTTTTTTTTTTTTTTTTGGAGACGGAGTCTTGCTCTGTCACCCAGGCTGGAATGCAGTTGCGTGATCTCGGCCTCACTGCAATCTCTGCCTCCCGGGTTCAAGTGATTCTCCTGTCTCAGCCTCCTGAGTAGCTGGGATTATAGGAACATGCCACCACACCAGGCTAATTTTTTGTATGTTAGTAGAGATGGGGTTTCACCGTGTTGCCCAGGCTGGTCTCGAACTCCTGAGCTCAGGCAATCCGCCCGCCTCGGCCTCCCAAAGTACTAGGATTACAGGCGTGAGCCACTGCCCCCGGCCTACATCTCTTTCTTTCTAATTTCTTTTATTCCCATCAAAGTTTCAAAGATCATAAGTCCAAGTTGCTCAGTTACAAGTACCACATCATTCTTTTACCTCTGCTGTCTCTAAAAAAATTTCAGCAGTCGGCCGGGAGCGGTGGCTCATGCCTGTAATACCAGCACTTTGGGAGGCCAAGGTGGGCGGATCACAAGGTAAGGAGATCCAGACCATCTTGGCTAACACGGTGAAACCCTGTCTCTACTAAAAAAAGAATACAAAAAATTAGCCGGGCGTCGTGGCGGAAGCCTGTGTAGTCCCAGCTACTCGGGAGGCTGAGGCAGGAGGATGGCTGAACCCAGGAGGCGGAGCTTGCAGTGAGCCGAGATTGAGCCACTGCGCTCCAGCCTGGGCAACAGCGGGAGACTCCGACTCAAAAAAATAATAATAATAAAATTCAGCAGTCACATGATCTAGGTATATTTGATCAACTCTGCTATTTATTCCTTCCTCTCATATTTTTTTATTCAGGGCCCTCACAAGTGGATTTACTTGTGAGGTTAATAATTAAGCTTTCTTCCAAGCACCAACTAGTGTTGTCTTAAGCTTGGTGAGAAAACTCTGATTTATACAGTATTTTAATTATTTTTGAAATACTATTTTCTTTCTATCTTAATTAATGAAGTCAATGGCCAAGCCTTTAAGTCTGTGGAGTCAGAACAGCTGGCTTGAATTCTTTCTAGGGAGGGATAATTATGGGATTTGGGACAAGTTACCTGACTTACGTCTGTCCTGATTTCATCATCTGTAAAGCAACCATAAAAAGGACACCTATCTCAAACTTTTGTCATAAATAATAAATGAGGCAATGCATATGAAAGGCTTAAAATGACCTGGCATGGAATTAGTATTCAATCATTTTTTATTACTTTGATGATATTATATAAAAAAATCACCAATCACTGGTTAGACCTTCATAAATAGCTCTTACAATCCTATGTATACCAATCAGGGAGAGGCACATATTGGACATATAATAGGAAGGTTTTTAAATATTAGGTTGAGGAAAAAGTAATTGCAGTTTTTGCCGTTACTTTTAATACTAGAAAGCACAAATTTATTTGCTTAGAGATTTTTCAAAAATGAATCATTAGTACAATGCAGCTACAGTTTGAAGGTTTTTGTATACAATAATGAAGACTTTTTTCACTTTCATTTACTGCAAATGAGATACACTGATAGATTTCCCTTTGTGTGTCAAAAGAAAGCCTCTCAGATACTTACTGAACACATTTAATGTGGCTTTAAAATTAAAGTAGAAAAAATAAATATTTTAACTTCAAGATAGATACTTCAAATATTTATCCTAGGAAACTAAGCCTTGTAAAATTAGATGTGTTATTATCTTGGCAGTAAGCATTAGCAAACACTTTAGATTCCACTAGAATCAACCATCTTTCAATATATTAAAATTGTGTTGGGTCCTAAATGTCTTTGTCCTAAAAAGTATAATAAGCACATTAAGTCAATTTTGAATTTAATTGAATTCTTGCTACTTATTAAAATACCACAAATAATAAGTACTTTTGTGGATTTCTAAATATGCATATGCTACTGATGTCATAAAAATTGTAAAGGAAAAATATACAATATTCTGGTAAAAGGAAGACAGATGAATCTTATAATTAATTTAATTGATTAATGTATTTATAAACAGAACTTATCCATCACATTAAACCATATTAAAACATCAAATAAATAAATTGCAGTATAAATATACATAGTTAACAATTAAGTTATTTCATATTACTACAACAAACATTTGTGTTAATAAATAGTCTTTATTATGTTTATTATTATGTTTTCTTTTTCCTTTTCTTTTTTTTTTTTTTGTTTTTTTGTTTTTTGAAACAGGGTCTCATTCTGTGGCCCAGGCTACAGTGCAAGGGCACAATCTTGACTCACTGCAGCCTCCACCTCCTGGGCTCAAGCAATCCTCCCAACTCAGCCTCTGGAGTAGCTGGGTCTACAGGCTCAGGCTACCAAGCCCAACTAATTTTTGTATTTTTTGTAAAGACAGTGCTTTGCCAAGTTACCCAGGCCGGTTTTGAACTCCTGAGCTCAAGCAATCTGCCCGCCTTGGCTTCCCAAAATGCTGGGGTTACAGGTGTGAGCAACCACTCTCGGATGGTAGTAAATATTCTTATCTCAATTTGTATATTAGAAAATTGAAACTTGATTAATTCGAAATGGATAGTAAGCGGTAGAGGAAGATTAAAATCCAGATCTGTAGGACTCCAGATTGAAATTGTCTCTACAAGCTGACATGCCTCCTCATCACTCACGATGCTAAAGTAACTAAAACTGATGATATTTAGTTATTTTAGTTTCCTGAGAAAGTTTCAAATAAAATGGTTTATGGTAACTTATTTTCCCTAGTAAATATGATTACAGTATAATTCAAATGTTTTGTAAATCCCCAAAACAGACTTGTTAGATAGTTAGACAGACATTAGCAGCTGGAAGGGGATGAAAGGAGAGAGCAGAACGGCTGTCACTAAGACAGCTCCTGGCCCGCCTAAGCCCTAAGACCACCCTAACTCCACCCTAACAGATGGAATTAGTGGTAAAGTCTATGGCCAGCACATCCTGGAGAAGGAGGAACTAGGACAGAGGTGAAAATCTCCTAAAGTGACATATGCACAGTAACACAAAGCTGTGTCCTCAGGTTAACCCTGAGATTATTATACAGTCATTATAATAGAAGCCACATGTGGTTTTATCCTCCCCCCACCCCCTGAGCTTTTCTGTATGAATTATGGGTAGGTACATGCACAGTTGAATTTTAGTTATACAACCATAAATTGCAAATCAAATGACATTATCCCATCACTCAGACACAGCCCAAACTTCAACTCCTCCTCCCTACAAACCTCGTAAAAGCACCTTGAGCTCTGTAAAGGGGGCCTAATTTCATTTCGCAGAAGTCAACCCACTCTCTCTGAGAGTGTAAACTTGGCTTTGTATTTGCATTTTGGTATTAGTTTGCAATTCTTTGCTCATTATTACAAAAACTGAGATTGCTGGTCCAGAGCTCCAACTCTATGATTTCCTCAGTTAAAGGATCCATGCCGATGCAGAATTTCTGGTAACAGACTCACCATAAATTCAGAAAATTAAGTGCTGTAAGGAGAACTCAAAAGGGAAGCCAATCAACACCCTGAATGTATCTGATATGTAGACATAACTGATTTCATACCAGATTTGGGTTGGAACTTTCTAACATTAGGATAAAAATGCCTGGGCTTTCTGATTTATCGTTCTCCATTCTGAGAATGAAAGAAAAAGATAGACAAGAAAATAAAAACTAAAATGACTTATATTTTTATATACACTCAATTTCAAAAGTTTATAGTAAACAAATATATTAAAATATTCAAATATAGAAACAGATGAAGAGAGAACTGAGATACTTTGTTCGTAATCACAAACATTATTTTAAAGCTGCCCTGTTCACAAGCATAAAAATTATTTTAAGATCTTTCTAAGTGTATTAATAAATTATAATTTCAGAGCACCTCTCTGCAAGAAAAATAAATGATGTCACACTAATCCATTTCTATTTTAATAGATTTGCTATTCTGGAAAGCGTCATAGTCATAACATATACTAATATCGATTAAAATACAATGGTAAAACTGTTATGAACATTGTTAAAATAAAGAGAACATGATGGCTATTATTGCAGTCTTATAGGTTTGTCTAATATTTTTCTTATACACTTCAATAGTAAGTAAAAATAGGATAAGCATGAAAAAGAATAAAAATAATTCTAAATAAAGAAAAATGTATTAAATATTAAAACAGTGGAAATATTTAACAATTTCTGATTCGAGTTTTTAGATTGAAACAATTCCCTACAGTCCTACTTTCTCTGACTCTCATTGAAATAAATATATTTCTTTTGTAAAACATTAAACTCATAACAATACAAAAATAAAATGTGAGTATAGCAACGGAACTAAGATTTAACCATTGTGGAAGACAGTGTGGCCATTCCTCAGGGATCTAGAACCAGAAATACCATTTGACCCAGCCATCCCATTACTGGGTATATACCTAAAGGATTATAAATCATGCTGCTATAAAGACACATGCACACGTATGATTATTGCGGCACTATTCACAATAGCAAAGACTTGGAACCAACCCAAATGTCCATCAGTGATAGACTGGATTAAGAAAATGTGGCACATATACACCATGGAATACTATGCAGCCATAAAAAGGATGAGTTCATGTCCTTTGTAGGGACATGGATGAAGCTGGAAACCATCATTCTCAGCAAACTATGGCAAGGACAAAAAACCAAATACCGCATGTTCTCACTCATAGGTGGGAATTGAACAATGAGAACACTTGGACACAGGAAGGGGAACATCACACACACCGGGGCCTGTCACGGGGTGGGGGGAGGGGGGAGGGATACCATTAGGAGATATACCTAATGTAAATGATGAGTTAATGGGTGCAGCACACCAACATGGCACATGTATACATATGTAACAAACCTGCACGTTGTGCACATGTACCCTAGAACTTAAAGTATAATTTTAAAAAAAAGAAAAGCAACAAAGAGAAAAAAAAAGAAATCTTAGAAAACATAGAGCAGATTTTGCATAGGTTGACATACAAGAATAGGCAGGCCTGTAGCCTAAAATAACCAGAGAAAACAGCAGTCTTTCTTAAAGAATTCACAGAGAAGACCTAGTTTGGAGTAAAATTTATGAAACAGCAGGTATAGGTCATGGAGAAAACAGCAGAGTGTTCATTAATTCCATTAAGAACAGCAGAGTAGTCAATTTCCTCCCTTATTCACTTAACCTACTTTATGTGTACAGGTCATATACTGGCTAAAACTTGAAAATGTGCTCCTGAAAAAAATGAGGTATATGTTAGACATATTTCAGATATCTGAGCCTACCAGAGAATCTGAAAGGCCCTTGAGGTAATCATGCACCTTTACAGTAGGCTGTGAGGCAGGAAAAATATACACGGTGTCCAAGATTCACTTATTATAAATGGCTTTCTCCTCTTCAATCAAGAAATGACTTATTTTGTCAATTCAACATAAATCAGAAATATGCATTCAGAAGCTTAAATCTGGTTTAAACTTGTGATTCAGAAATTCTGCTTCGAGAAGGAATCAGCTCTAAGAATAAAGCAAGAATATATTTAAGATTTATTTCCTGGGGTAGTTGTGACAATAATGCTCAAAACAGGAAATGATGCTTTCACAGTAAAGTATTATGTAATTATAAAAATAGTGTTCATTAAAAATGTTCAGTGGCACTGAAAAGAACCATAAATGGCACCAGTATGTTAGCAGTAGTTTTCTCTGTGCTGGAAAATTGTGAGAGTTATTTTTCTTTATGACTCTTAATTTTCCAAAATCTTTCCAAATATAATTGATATATTTCAAAAAGAAAAGTTTAAAAACTTTATTTAAAAATAAAATATACTCTAGTTAGTCCAAAGCAATAGGTAATAAATGTGAGTAGTATTGCCTCAGAGGAGAAGAGTGCTGAGACTCCCTGGGACTACTCAGTGGATACACAGAATGCTGAAGGCCTTGTATTTGTACCACATTTTTGGAAAGATATAAGGTCAAATAAACATGACTATCATAAATGATGAAAAAGAAATGATGATACATAAACACTGAGTATTAACAGAGTATTCATAAATGGACTAATTTGAAAAATATGCCATTGATATGAATCTTATTTTATGTATTTCAGCAATTTTAGAAGTTTATTCTGGCACTTGTTCCTCTGAGAGTCTTTTTTATTATTATGGCATATAAAATTTAACAAGTTAAATTAACACTTTGTTATTACTGCAGTAAGGCAATTTACAGAACACATTGATTTCCTACATGACAGTACATGTGTTTTTGTGAGCAAATAGCATTGAGGTGTCAATTTTTTCTTAATTTTACATGGCAAACACAAAACTGGATAGTATGTAAATAAGAATCATAATTGATCACACTGAACATAGCACATAGAGAACACCCATTTTGCTCAGGACAAACTCTATAGTCATAAATAACCCAGGATCAATGAGATTAACTGAGAATATAAATTTATTAGGCTTCATATGTTTTCTGCTTCAATACGTATTATTATCATTTTATCAATAACTTTAAGGTCTACTGTACACAAACACCAAGTTCATCACAACATATGACAAACAAAAACTATAAAATATAAGCAACCATTTTGTAAACTGTACTTCACATGAATGATTAAAACACAATTTCATAAAGCCAAGGTCTAGGTTTCAGAATTAAAAATATGAATATGCTTTATAAAAAAGAAAGTAGGGTTTTTTTGGTATAATTGTGCTAGTAAGAGTCCAATATCCCTGCTGCCCAAACATAATATCCCTAAGCCACCAAAGCGCCAAAAATAAATCAAAGTCTACAGGGCCACTTCTCTTATGCACTAATCATTTTCCTGGTTAAACTATCATACAGTTCTTGCTTGAAAATAACAATTTTACCAAAATTATTATCATCACTATTTTTATGAAACATTTGTATAATCTGACAGTGTAATTAGCACTTCACAGAGCATATGATGTCAGTGACTGGGAGCCAACTAAATAATGATTAAGACTGGAAACTCAAAAAGGAAAAATAAAAATTAAAAGTTTTTTTTTTAAATGTAGAGAGTAAACGTTCTGTTAAAAAAAAATGGAAGGTGGGAATGGATATGTTCTCTATGTCAAGAGTAAAATTTTAAATTCTGACCCTTTCAATTTAAGGAAAGTACAAAATATAAAATTCATCTGGCTATTTCAAGGAAAAAATACTAACTTTTAAACCAACTATTTTGAAGTTTGAGGTAAAGATTTTGGGGTCTTCTTTTTTATGTTTCATTTCTGTAGATAAATTGTTTAGTTTTGTCTTTTACTTTACCAGTGTCACAGCATATTTTTATTTCAACTCAAATTTTCCAACTTAAAATGCATTCAGTTTTCCAATTGCCAAAGGATTCACAAACAGCATTGGGAGCACCTTGCAGGCATCAAAAGAAATATATAACAATCCTTGAAAGATTTCAGAGGGACTGCTTAGGGTTTTGAAGTACTCCTTATTTAACCCTACGACTAAAAATCATTCATCATAAAATATCTCTTTATACAGTATAGAAAAGTTTTTGATCAGTCATCAATTAACTAGTTTTTTAAAAAATGTATTTAAATATATAGTATTAAATTGTAAGCTTTATCAATTCTTGAAAATTATGTGAAAGAATGACAGGAAAAGTGGAGAAGCATTAATGCACCTCACTAATTCATTCATTCTTTTAACTGTGAGAAAGAAATATCTACTCTATTGCAGGCACTCTTCTAGGTATTGAGAATAACAGTAAAAAAAAAAAAAAGAGAAAACACAAGAACAAAAAGTATTGCTTTCACAGAGTGAACAGTTCTCTTGAGCAGATAATAATAGGTAATAATTATTGAGCACTTGCTGTGTGCTACCTAATTTTATGTATACATTTCTTAACACATTTAATCCTTAGAGTACCCTTGAAAAAATGAGGAGTCTGAGTTAAAGAGAGGCTAAGTATTTTTTTTTTCCAACAGCTGGTCAGTTGTAGTATCAAAAACATAAGAAATATTTAGTTTTATAAAAATAATATTAGCTTTGTGGATAGGATTCTTGTCTGTAATCCATTATAGCACCTGGTCCCCAAGGAAGACTTGCAGAGCATGAAGTCCGAAATAGTCTTGTAGTGAACTAAGCTGGGACACATGAAGTTAAGAAGTATTCTATGGCCTGTGCTAAATGTAGATCCAAAGGACACAAAAAACATATGCTCAGGGAATGCCCCCTTTTTAAATTAGACCTATGTCTTAATCTCAGCCTTTCAAAACTCACTATGATAGAAAAAAAAATTATGAACTAAGAAGAAAACATTAAAAAAAAAGAAATTTTTTACTTGCTCCCTCCCTCCCTCCCTCCCTTCCTTCCTTCCTTCTTGCCTGCCTTCCTTCCTTCCTTCCTTCCTTCCTTCCTTCCTTCCTTCCTTCCTTCCTTCCTTCCTTCCTTTCTTCCTTTTTTCTAAAGATAACTGTGTTACTTCATTGAACACATTGGAAAAAAGAGAAGAGTTACTATTTTTTTTAAAAAAGTTCATTAATCCAGATGTCCTAAAAGTGACCCCCATAGAAATTTTAGCTTATAAAATTGAGAACTCTATCCATTAACACTATAGTCTAGTAAATGTGTTTTGGACTAGCCTCTATTATATCAACACTTTGCCTTCCAAGAGATGTTTAACAGCAATTAGAAGATTTCTCTGAAACTAGTATAGTCTTTCATATTTTTGTCTTCATCATTCATTTTGCCAAACTAGTATATTTTTAATAAATACTTGCCCCTTCCAGAGAAGAATCCAAAAAGGTTTAACTGTACATTTATTATGTTCATTTCTGATTTTGAGGCTGTTCAATTTGACCTATGTAGAATCAACTGTTTCATTAATTTAGTACTTCAAAATCTTTATACGTATGTCTTTGTTATTTGTATGAGTTAGGTTACATTAGAGTGTGCAAAATACAGATTATGTCCCACAAAATGAACCAAACACACCTCTCCTAGGCTATCAGAAATATAGCATTTCTTCCTGGTACCTCTTACAGAAGTTCAAAACAGCATGTTTACTGGCAAATAGTTTTTTATGATTTATTTGTTGATGCTGGCACAAGTATGCACAAACCTTTTGATTAATGTCTGTGCCAAGTAACATGAGATTTGGTAATTGGATTAAATCAATTGGTAAGCACCTCAAGAACTGGCACTATGACAAATTACTCAAATTAAACTCTGAGACACTTGGAATTTAGGAAATTACAAGGACAATAACTTGCTGTTATTGTCACCAGAAGTGTCTTAAATATATCAGTAAATCATATTAGGACAAACTATGTACTAAAAAGTTACATATATATATGTATGTCTAAGTATATATATATATATATATATACAAGTATTAAAAATATATAAATATGATCACAATATAAATACACCTAAATCTTTATATCTTATAGTAGAAAATACCCTAATTAATAACTTAAGGATTAAAATGAAAAATTAATTTATGTGAAGTTGCATCACTTTGAAATATATTTGGTAGATGGTATAAAATACAGATTTGTAAAATGTGGATTTTTTATTGTTTAGAAAAGTATTAATTTTTCTATGACAGTATATAAGTAACTGCTATGATATGTAGTGAGTTAAGAATGTTTGAAGCACATAGTACTTATTTCACCAAAAATCACCTTAATGATTGATAATAATTTTCATCCATCTCGGCAGCCTTTGCAGAAAGAATAAAAACCAAAGATGTGTAGCAATAGAACTGTGCTGTTACTTATACCAGCAGTCACCTGAAAAGAGTCTGGTTCAATATTGACAGGGAAAGTCACTGTCTTGGCTTTAACAGCCCACTAGTCCCACTGAGACATTTTTGTAAGGATAGATAAATAATCTTTTTCGGGAGACAGTTAACAATCATACACTTTGCCCCTAATTCTAAAATTAGCTGATTCTCTTCCTAACCGGAGTCTCTAGCTCTACCATATAATGAACTATGAAAGATAATAGATGATATTACAGATTGGACCTCAGTATTCCAGAAAGACAGAAAGGAGAAGGATTCTAACACTAATAGGTCTAAACATAAGTATGTATCTATGAAAAACTTAGTAGCTAGGAAAGACATATTGCCGTTAATCAAGGACATATAGTGAAGCCAGTGGAATTAAATTAATCTGCTTGTCCTTTTTCTTTTACATGCCCTCTAGCAACATTTTAACTTTCGGGTTATGTGGCATGATTCATCTTGCAGTTTAGCAGATATCTTCCAAACAAAACAAGAAACAATTGAAGTAATTTTCACAAAAAAAAAAGGAAAATGGCTTGCAATGAACTTTGACCACTTGTAAATTTCAGATTTTGATGTGACTGGCAATATTAGGCCATTATGTATATCCATTATGGTCCATTCAGAAAACAGAATTTCCAGTAACTACTTTTTAAAAGAGAAAATACATAAAATGATTAACCAGGATTACATAACTGCTAATTATGCAATTGAAAAGACAAAAAACATCGAGATGCGATAGAATTAGCAATCATAGAAAATAGTTCGCCAATTGGATTGTAAAACCATTGTCAAATCAAGGTTGAGTTGCAATAATACGTTGAGTACAGATACAGAGCACAGCAAAAATCAATAAAAGTATTATGGGAGCATTAATGGCTATACAAAATTTCTGATAGAAATCTATTGCATATTTTTACTCATATTTATAAGTGTATTACATATTCTTTATAGCAGCAAAATTTATAATAAATTTGTATACATTTATATATATTTTTCTCAGAAAGGAAATATTTACCAGCACATGACAGTCTCACATATGAGAGACTTATTTTTTAAGGTTTTCATTGAAAATTTTTTGTAAATAATAAAAATAAATATCACATATATATTTAAAGAACTATTACCCATTAATTATATATTTATAAACAACTTTCATGTGGAGTAAGACAACATTCAAGTGAATCTTCTTTGGGCTATCAGTCATTTTAAAAATGAAACTACTCAGAAAGGATAGCAAAAAATGACGGTGAATGCACTTATATCCAAAGTATGGAAATTTGACCTAAATAATGACTAAAATGTTCCTGTTTATTGATGTGGGTTATTAAAAATAATATTCTAAAATTTGATTCCAAAAAACATATGGTAAGATTTGATGTCAATATGGGGACATCATATTTAAATTGTATAAATGGTATAGAATGGTTATAAGAAATATTTTCCACTCAGGAATTTTGATCCACTTCAAGAATGAAGGTCTCACTGACTTTTGGAAACTAAGCAAGACTTAGAGAAAATAAATCACTCAAAATATATAACAAATCTTTGACTGCTCACTCTAACATTACATACTAGGTCACAAGACTCCTTGCTCAAATTTGTTCAGTGACATCTCTTAATACTTTATTCTGACCTGTAATCCCTAGTACGACCTATGACACTCTGATGATTTTGCCAGTCCTGGCTCTGTGTGGCCCCCACCGTCTTTCTCAGCATTTCTCTTGCAATACTGGCTTCCTTGCTGTTCCTAGAAAGCATTAGATATTCCTAGCCAAGGGCTCCTACCCTTGGCTTTACCCTCCATCTGGCATAATAATGCCCTAGATATCATGTCCCTCTGCTCAAAGGGCATTTCTTTGTTAGAAGGCACCCTCTAAATACTATTACTGTCCCATATATTTTCCTGTCCTATTTCCCTAACTTATTTTTACTTGTTTCACATATCACAAATAGACATTATTTTGTTTATTTGTTAAGTTAACTATTATTTTTCCTTTTCCACTAGAATTCTTATCTAGTTTTGTTCTCCAGGGATTTGTAACTGTTTTGTTAATGACAGTATCCTTCATGTTTAAGGAGTGCTTGGAAAGTAATAGCTGCTCAACAAATATTTGTTGAAAAAAGAAAAAATGGGAGGGAAGGAGAGAGGAAGTGAAGGATAAAAGGAAGAAAAGAGGGAAAGAAGAAGAGAGGGAGAAAAATATTGCCATGAATGTGATCTGCAAAATGATTTTTAGCCAACAAATGTCTATCGATAACCCAGACACATTCTGATGCATATTTTTTCTCTCATTTTTACATTTTCTCTGTGTCTCATGCTGAGACTTTCATTATTTGCACTCTTGAAGCTGGGATGTTTTTTCATAGTCTCTGATTTTGATGGGAAAACCTGTTACTTGCCTAATTTGAAGCCGAAAGAACACTCTTTTGTCTGCTAACCCCCTCTGCATTAGATAAAGACATGCACTCTAAAATAATTCCATGTGACACAAAAATTTTACCCTTTTGGAGTACTCAAGTTGATTTTCCTATTATTTATGCTGACTATCATAAAACCTCTAATAATATTGACTATAAAACATAATATTAACAACAATCATTACTGAAACATTCCTTCTGTCGCTTTTTAAATAGTGTGGTTTGCCTACCCGAAAGCAAAAGTGTATATCATGTTAATCATCAAAGTCCCACTGATCCAGGGAAGCTAATTCTTTGGCAACATCTGTGTCACAATTTCTTGTTTAATGTCAGGAAGTTGCTCATATCTGTGACAAATTTTAAATTAAAATAATTATCCTGGGTAGATTTTCTTCCTTTTACATTAGTTTGGAAAATATAAAGATGTGGGCATTAATTCATTTATCCCCCAGGTACACTTAATGTTATATTCTTCTAACACAATCTCACAAATTTAAATTGCATGCCTAATATTAGGTGTTTTGTTAGACATTGGGTAGTTTAATGGTGAAAAAACATAAAAATAATAGCCAAAATTTATTGAGTATTTACTATATGCCAATCACTGTTCTAAGTGCTTGGCTTGTATTAACTGATTCAATCCTCAGAGAAGAAAGAAAGCTTTTCTTTGCTTATTGCCTCTTTTAAATTTAAAGTTATTGAACTATCTCAAAATTTAATATTATTCACCATCCAAATTAGAATGGCTATACCCTGATCCTGGATATCAGAAAACACTCACAGCTATACTCATTGCTCTCAACATTATATATCATTATTGTTATTCAGGAATTACTGTTTTAATAATTTCAAGGTTATTCTAATTTTATGGCTTTAAAATTGGTCTTAAATTGTTTGTCTTAAATAGCATTAAAATTCTGTTGTTATTATTATCTTCATTAAGCAAGCTGTATAAGAAAATTAAGACTCAAAGAGGAAGATTAGAATAATAGTAACACCTACATATAACACTTAACTATGCTCCATTCAGAGTTCTACATTCTTTACATATATTCACTCGATCTTCACTGAATATGAGCCTCAAAGAAACTGTATGAGGTAATACTATCATTATCATCCCCATTTTAGAGATGATGAGCCTGAGACTGCAAAGAAGTAAAGTAAATTGTCCAAGGTCACACGACAAGGAAGGTCATACAAAGCAGACTGTTGAACCCAGATATTCTGATTCCAAGATGAATTGCTTAAGAAAATTGTTTAAATGCACACAGATAATGAGAAGGTAGAGTGATAAGGAAGAAAGATAGAGACTTTAGTGGTTATACATAACTTGGTTTGAATATCATTCAGGAATTTTCAAGCTGTGACTGTGAGGAACACAGCAAGTTAATTAAGCATGACAAAACTTAATGTCCTCATCTGTGAAAGAGCGATAAATTAGGGTTATGGTGAAAATTAGAAATCACATCTGATATCTAATATATGACCTAAATTAGGGTAGTATCCAGGATCCAGGGCTATTTTTATCAGAAATTTTTTTTGGAGCCTTAAGGGCATTTGATATTTCCCTAGTGTGATAATATTATTTTAGTATTTCTCTTGGCCTTATCCTGTAATAAAAAGATGTTTTGGCTTAAAAAGAGAAGGCGAAGTTGACTTCCTGCAGAAATTTCCAGGATAGATAAATAATTTCAGAATTATATTTATATTTCTCCCTAACCCTTTTCCTTTCTGTCTCAGGAATAAGAACCACAGCGTGATATTCTTGGGGAATATGCTGAATAGTCATATTTTTCCATGTAAGTCATGATTGTAAAAAAGAAATTCATCAGAATGTATTCACACTATTATTTATATTCTATAGCATAATAAATACTGTTCCAGTAATTGCCATTTCCTTTTTATGGATTTTCCTTTTAATCAGAGGAGATTTGATTTTATAGCAATAAGCAGATTTTCCTTCTGAATTATCTTTAGTTATTTTTTAAAAAGTTAAAAAAACAGAATTTTTAATTTTTCAATTACAAATGAAAGCACCAAGATAGTATATTTCCTACCAATTTTAATAAAGTTAAAACATGTAAAGAATTCTTACAGAACTCCTTTTAATTAAAAGCAATATTTCTCAACTATTAGAAATTACTATGTACATTTCTCACTTTAGATTGTCTTTTCCATTGTGAATAATATTGAGCTAGCTAACCTCAGAACTATCCCTTAGAACTACTTGGAAAAGGCCGGGCGCGGTGGCTCACGCCTGTAATCCCAGCACTTTGGGAGGCCGAGGCGGGCGGATCACGAGGTCAGGAGATCGAGACCATCCCGGCTAAAACGGTGAAACCCCGTCTCTACTAAAAAAAAAATACAAAAAATTAGCCGGGCATAGTGGCGGGCGCCTGTAATCCCAGCTACTTGGGAGGCTGAGGCAGGAGAATGGCGTGAACCCAGGAGGCGGAGCTTGCAGTGAGCCGAGATCCCGCCACTGCACTCCAGCCTGGGTGACAGAGCGAGACTCCGTCTCAAAAACAAAACAAAAAAAAAAAAAAAAAAAAAGAACTACTTGGAAAATACCCTAAATTGATGAAAACCCACCAGCAATTTACTTCAACTTTTATACATTTTTTTTATTACTGCCTATAGCTAATTTTCTCTCACAGGATATTGAGTATTTACTCCAAGTAGTTTAAGCAGCCAAAAAAAAAAAGAGAGAATTATTCGTAAAGTTCAATTATGGTTTTTAAAGGAGAATGCAGCTACATATAAGCAAAGAGAAAAAGTGAGGAGATGATATGTGTTAAGTGTTTAATCCAACTTAATTAAATTTTTAAAAATATCTATATTTTCCATCATCTTCTTCTGCAGTGGCAGAAATTTAGAACATGTTGGTTTCATTTTCTCATTCTGTATTTTTTTTTCACATTTGGAGATAATGCAAAGGTCATATGCCAGGTAAGTTCCAAATGCTGTCCACTTAGAGTGGTGGAATGTGCAGCTTTCATCTCACTGTGTTTGTCTCTACTACACATACAATATCAGGATGAAACCAGCCAAAATTTCCTAAGTACCTTCTGTATCTAATATTTCAAAAATTGAGGCTTGCTTTTCTAAGGGAATAAACTTTATTTTAAATATGAGTAATAAAGCACATTAAAATACATTATGTAACTTAAATTTCTTTTAAGTTGAGAATACTAAGTAAAATTTAGCCTTTCCTTGTTCATTTTTGAGCTTTGACAAAGACTCTCACTTTAACCAAACTTTAGTCAGTATCGGGGGAACCCGCCCCCAATATTTCAACGTAGGTTCTTTCTATTTTCCATAAGTGTCGGCCAGCTGAGAAATAAAGAGTACCAAGAGAGAAATTTTACAGCTGGGCCTCTGGGGGTAACATTACATATCAGTAGGACCGTGATGTCCACCTGAGCCTTAAAGCCAGCAAGTTTTATTAAGGATTTCAAAAGGGGAGGGGGTGCAAGAACAGGGAGTAGGTCACAAAGATCACACGCTTCAAAGGGCAAAAAGGAGAACAAAGATCATATGCTTCTAAGGGCAAAATCAGAAACTCCTGATAAGGGTCTATGTTCAGCTGTGCACATATTGTCTTGATAAACATCTTAAACAACAGAAAACAGGGTTCGAAAGCAGAGAACCAGTCTGACCTCCAATTTACCAGGGTGGGGTTTCTTCCCCACCCTAATATGCCTGAGGGTACTGCAGGAGACCAGGGCGTATTTCAGTCCTTATCTCAACTGCATAAGACAGACACTCCCAGAGCGGCCGTTTATAGACCTCCCCCCAGGAATGCAATTCTTTTCCTAGGGTCTTAATATTAATATTCCTTGCTAGGAAAAGAATTTAGTGATATCTCTCCTACTTGGATGTCCAATTATAGGCTCTCTGCAAGAAGAAAAATATGGCTCTTTTTACCTGACCCTGCAGGCAGTCAGACCTTATGGTTGTCTTCCCTTGTTCCCTAAAAATCGCTGTTATTCTGTTCTTTTTCAAGGTGCACTGATTTCAGATTGTTCAAACACACATGTTTTACAATCAATTTGGACAGTTAGCACAATTATAGTGGTCCTGAGGTGATGTACATCCTCAGCTTATGAAGACAACAGAATTAAGAGATTAAAATAAATACAGGCATAAGAAATTATGAAAGTATTATTAGGGAAGTGATAAATGTCCATGAAATCTTCACAATTTATGTTCCTCTGCCGTGGCTCCAGCCGGTCCCTCCGTTCGGGGTCCCTGACTTCCTGCAACACGTCAGGCTGCTGTGAATCTTTTCCTCAACCAGATCTTGACTTTTGGATGTTTTGTCTTTGCCTCACCTAGTTTTAGCAAAACTTTTGGAAGTCAGTTTAGCAAGAATCCTCACCCTTGATATCTAATCACCCTTGGTATAAGATCCAATTCCAAATCCCCCACAGTTGGTATCTTATCACCCTGGCCTGCCTTCAGCCAGAATCCTGTCAAGTTGATTTAGCTAAAATCAACCCTATTCCTAACCCTCAAACTACCTCTTAGTAATTTTTTATTTGTTAACCACTGAACACTGCTATAAATCACCACTTGTCTATGCTATATTCAGAATTTAGCTCAATTTGATACTGGAATCTCATTTCCCCTATTGTAAAACTTATTTTTTTAATAAAATTTATTTTCACTGCTTTAGTGTCCATCTTTGGTTTTCTTTGACACTTTTATCATTGTACTGTAGTAAGCTAGAAAAATTTCAACAACAGTAGGCTCAGTTGAGTTTAATGACCTCATCTATTCCCTAAAGGTAAAATGTTAAATTGTATGGATGTGGATTTAGATATTTTCTTAAAAAACTTAAACAATTCATTTCACAACACATAAAGTGAGTGAAAACTTTTATTCAAGCAATTTTTTAAAATAAGTCAAGTGCCATTATTTTGCAGAATACCAGGATCTGGCCTCCATTTTAACATAGCCTCTTTACTGATTTTTGGTTGATTTCCATGATTATAATAAACAACTCATCACTTAATATATACCATTATTCCAAAAACCAAAGACATTATTTTAAGATAACGTATTGCATTGATTTATTTTGTCTATCATAATCTCCAAATTGGAATATTACATAGTAATGTGATTTATCCTTTAATGATGATTAACTTTCACTAGATTCTATAGTGAACACACTAACAGCAGCAACAAGAATAACAATAAAAGCTGCTTGACCCCATGATAACTAATTGATTTTTCAATATTATTTTTGATTGTTAACAGTTCAACAACACTGTTAATTAAATCTTTATATATAACAAAGGAAAATTGTTTTACCAGTGACTTCTTAATATCCATATGCTTTTATTAGGATATCAAGCCAACACTCATGCATATTATTTAATATATTTTGAGTTTTACTGCTAAAAAGTCTGTCTTTTACATATGAATTGACTAATAATCTGAATGCTTGAAGATCATGTGTCATAGTCCATTTGTGCTACTATAGAAAAATACCACAGACTGAGTAATTTATAAACAACAGAAATTTATTTACTTATAGTTCTGGAGGCTATGAAGTCCAATGCCAAAGCACAGGCAGGTCTGTCAATTCTGATTCCAAGATGACACCATGAATGCTTCGTTCTCAAATGGTGGAAAGGAAAAGAGACAAAAGGGGGCTGAACTTGCCCTTTTATAAAGGAATTAAACCTACTCACGAAGGCAAGTGCTAATGGCAGAATTGTCTCTTAATATTGTTACAATGGCAATTCAATTTCAACATATGTTTTGAAGGGAACAAACATTCAAACAATAGTGTCATGTTTTAAACATGCTTCTTTGATTAAGTATCAATGTGAACAATTTAAAAGACAATTTAACTTTAAGTAGAAAATTTACACCTTGAGATAAAGTGGGACTGAAGCTCCTCTATTCAAAATATATTTTAAAATTCTATAGCTAAAAATATCTTCAAATGTATGTTTGCTTGTATACTGACTGAAGCAAATCACCTCATATAGTTCAACATAGTAGAAATCCTATCAATTTTACTGAAACTTACTAACCAGTCAGCTGTAATCTTTTCTTATCAGTTTAAAACAATTTCATCATTGAAAACATTATGTTAAATTAAGTTTAGCTTAAAGCTGCCTCCTTACATATTCTAAGTTGGGCCTAAAGCCTTCTCTATATAATGTGAACTAAAACCAAACAACAGACTCTAACCTTCCCTTGTAGCAATCAGCGTTTCAGACAATCACAGGTGGCCAACTATTCAAACCATGTTCAGATAAGGCAAACACCATGCTATAACCAATCCAGCTGTTTCTGCACCTCACTTTCATTTTCTGTATGTCAGATTTTTTTTTTCTGTCCATAAATAGCATCCAAAGATGGCAGCCTGTAACTTCTCTGAACCTATTCTGTTTCTGGGGGCTGCTCAATTCACATATCGTTCTGTGCTCAGTAAAATTCTGTTAAATTGAATTTCTTCTAAGTTTTTCTTTTAACAGATGGTGTCACAAGTGAGATCAATGTAAAGCTTCTTGTGATCCCCAGGGGCATTGAGTGACCAAGCAAGATATCTGCTGGACCCATTGTGTCCATTGCTGTCTTGCAGCACCTGGAAATTGTAGGTTGTCTCTTGGATTCTAAAGCTTCATAGATTTGTGTTTTCAGTTATCCTAATTTGTTTGAGCAAATTTTTTTATCTAAACTGGGTTAAGAAGTTGTGAAAGAAAGTGGACTGGTTCCAGAAGATAATCGGATTGGGTAATTAACTGGAATGGATCCAGTTAGAGGGCTCAGGTGTGTGATCGGGTCAGACAGAAACTGTCAGTGAATGGCAATACTAAAGAGGGTATGAACTCAAGCTTTTGGAATCTTGAAGGGATTTTTCGGTTCTATACTCTGTTTCTTTTTTTTGTGTGTGCACTTAGTTAGAAAAAAAATATTGGCCAAGTTAATAGAGGGTATCTGCGATCCAAAGCCAACATTCAACATAAAAATAGGATCCTTAATTTTGAAGAACTGAGTACTTTAACTTCCAGCTCTGCCTACATTTAGATGTATAAATATTAGGTCCTGGAAGCAGCGAAAACTTAAAAAAAATGGTAAGATCTTATGAAAGATAATTTAAAATTACAGCGGAATGCCAAAATGAATAATGCTGCACTTTAAGAAGTGAATTTAAAAATTAGCACCTCAATATTAGGTTCACTAGGGATGCTTATTGATGTGCAGAAGTTTCTAAAAAGATGTCAGTATTATTACTGCATTTTTCAAAAGGATTTAGGAAGGCAAATAAAAACACCTAAGTGACTAAACGATAAGAAAAACTGAGTCTTCTATCCTTTCGGTTAAGTTACTATCCTACACAAAAGGCTAAGAGAAAGCTGAATAAAGTGTTTACAAAAGGTAGACCCTCAGCTAAAGTGGCCTTGCTTCTTTTTTAGAGGTATTAATGCTGAATCTATGCATAGAGAATTCTTTATTTGCCCTATTAGTTAGTGGGCTCTATCTTAACTTCAGTAATTTTAGCTAAGAAATAGAATATAAGTTTAAAAGACCACCTACTGAACTAAAACTGGTCTTCAAAATCCATCTTTCTAGCATTTCATTGCCTACTTTGAAACCCTTTTATAAAACAAACTTACATCTATAAAAGAAGTCACCATTTGTAAGGCATTTTGTTAAAAAATTATTTCTACTTTTTGTGGATTATAAGGATTTGAGCATTGTAAACTGGGAAGAGAGGAAAGATTGAGTCAGTAGAAACTCTTAAGCATTGCTTTAAATGTATGTAACAAGCCTTACCTTTGTTTAATATGCTTGTCTGGCTATCTTGTCTTAACTGGGCCTTTATCTGCACCCTCCTTTCTTGGTTTAGGCAAAAAAATGTTAATATTTAGGGCTGAAGTCTCATGTCTGTGTTTTGAGATATACATTTCCTACCTAATTTTAACTAACAGTCATTCCTTTAGAAGTTCAGATTTAGGGTTGCCTAGCTAACAGTTGCTTAGGACAATAAAACAGGTAATTGGAAGATTGATAGTATGAATTTAGAAAACAAAGACTATTTGGAAGCTGACAAACAAAAAATCTTAATGACGGTGGAAAAATCTGCTTCTGTCCTGTGTCTGCATGCCTATATGTATTATGTGTATGTGATACTTCTATGTGACATAAGATGTTTGGTAAATGAGGCTAGTTTTGAGTTTTTTGGTAAAATAAAGCAGGTATGTCTTCAGAATTATCAATATTAAATATAATTTAGACATTTTTTGTCCGATGCTACAGGTCAGAAAAGTTTATGCTATCTTTGATACATATTTCAAGGTTATAAAACTGCTGCTTCTGTAATACTTTTGACACTTACTTGATTTGTCTGAGCTAAATTCTAAAGCCTGGATGCTGGCCTCCAGTGATCCGTCTGCCTTAGCCTCCCAAAGTGCTAGGATTACAGGCATGTGCCACCGCACCCGGCCTCTCAGGTGTTTGATGGCTTAGAAAACTGAGTTTGTTTCTAACAAAAAATAAATATTTTTGCTTTTAAAAATGTTTTAAATATCACTTTAGCTAAATGATTATTTATTTTACAGTGGCTTGTAATCTTATCATGATCAAGTGTTTTACACATTTGACATATTTGATAGGCTTCTCAAAATCAAATTTCAAATTTTAAAATTAAGTCTTTTTAATCTCAAACTTTTAGATGTGACAGATGGCTTAAGCATCCAAAAGAAAATTAATTTATTTTATTAATAATTTTATACATTAAAATATTATTTTATATGTTAAATTATGTGGGAAGCATTTTCAAATAAGAAATAACTTTAAAATTTTGAGTTATATTTTTATGGATATGTTATTAATATGTGTTCCAAACTAAGGTTCCTAAGATTCTGATATGTCATGGTATATGTTATCAGTTATAATTATGATTATCATGTTAAATTATTATAGGCTACTGAGAAAACAAAATTGCATCTATAGCCATCACCATATGCAGTCTTGTCCATAGTTAATTGCTTAATTCTGAAGCATCTTCTGAAAGCTCTTTATAAGCAAGTAAAGTCCTAAAGTGTGTGTCTTCAAGGCGGTTCATAAAAACGATGAAAAGGACCCTGACAAGCACTCTTGAATACAGGTTTCTAATAAATTTAAAATCATATCTCTTAGACTGGGTAAGAATTTCCAGAAATCCAATGAAGAGATTGACTCATATATAAAACTGTTAACCCAAGCAGGACAAGAATTAATTGAATACCACAGAAATACTTCGCCAGATTTTTATGCTAAATCAGCCAGTACTGAAATTGACAAGATATACAATTAGAATGAATTCAGTGGCTCAGGTCAAATTACCTATGGTAACCCATTTAATAAGTATCATGCATGTGAATTGGAGAAAATAATAATGGTATTTAAGAGGATATAAATCCACTGCTAAGCATGGATTCATAGAGGGCCTGGAAGGCTGCTTGGTCTTTCCTTAGTCCTTAAAGTTTCTGTTATTAAAAACTCTGCACTTTATAACACATCATGGAAGAGGTAAAATGATTCAAGTCTTAGATAGATAGATGGATAGGTGGATAGATCAATAGATAGACAGACAAATAGATTGTGTGTGTGTGTGTGTGTGTGTGTGTGTGTGTAGTGACTGTTCTAAATTGCTAAAATGGTTTATCACCAATGTTTGATTTGTCCAATTTATAATCCTAGGAAAACAATCAAAACTTTGGGTATATGTCTACTATTTGCTGTGTCATTTGAACATTTATACAGGGATTTCATTCAATTGGTATTTTCAATACATGTTTTCTGGTTATTTAAAAGCTTTCCTATGCAAGAAAGCCAATGCTATAACAGTAACTAAAAGTTTATTAGGAAATGTGTTTTCCTCATGGGGCATTCCTGGAGAAATCCCCAGCAATAGAGCTATTTGTTTCACTGGACAACTTGTAAAACAATTAAATAAGGTATTACAGATTCAATAGCATTAGCAAATCTAAATGAATTGACTGGATTGCCTTGATCAAAGATGTTTCAGATTGGTGACAATCAGATCCACTTCCAGGAGAAAACATAAGTTGACTCCTTATAAAACAGTCACTGTAAGGCCTATGACCCTAATGATAAAACTTAATGTATCTTCCACTCCTAAACTCTGACATAACTAAATGCTGTGAGGCTTTAATGCATTGTGCCAAAATGAATTTTTGCCAGGTAAAGAAAGCATTTCATGATCCACCCAATGAAGACAATTAAACCCTTCATGATCTAGAACCTGGAGCTTAGGTCCTCTGTAAATGGTGTAAAAGAAAGACTGTCCTTGCTGCCCACACTGCAGCAAAATGTCAGAACCTTGGGTCATAGGTCCTCTCACAACTCAGAAGGGCCCTGTCAGATTCTTGAACTGTACACCCATTGGAAAGCTTAAGGTAAAGCTAGCCAAGGAAGTTTCTCCCTAGAAGCTGACAGCCTCCTAGATGTGGACAGCTTTCCCAATATTATGGAGAAAGACTTTTCTGCCATCATGAGATTCTTAACTCTCTTATTTTTTTTTCTTATGCCTCTAGGAACAATAGAACTGGAAAAGGAGCCTTGTGTGCTCTCATGGGGTGTATCTTTAATTGTGGTAGATTTTACAGACAACTTTATACATAGACAAACTTACGTCTCTCTTTTCTTTTTAAATTTAAGTTCCAGGATACCTGTGCAGAATGTTCAGGTTTGTTACACAGGTATACATATACAATGGTTGTTTGCTGCATCTATCAACCCATTATCTAGGTTTTAAGCCCTGCGTATATTAGGTATTTGTCCTAATGTTCTCCCTCCCCTTGCCCCCAACACCCTGACAGGCCCCAGCGTGTGATGTTCCCCTCCCTGTGCCCATGAGTTCTCATTGTTCAACTCCCACTTATGAGTGAGAACATGCAGTGTTTGGTTTTCTGTTCTTGTGTTAGTTTGCTGAGGATGATGGCTTCCAGCTTCATCCACGTGCCTACTAAGGACACGATCTCATTCTCATTTATGGCTGCAGAGTAATCTATGATGTATATGTGCCACATTTTCTTTATCCAGTTCTATCTTTGATGGGCAAATGGGTTAGTTACCTGTCTTTGCTATTGTAAATAGTGCTGCAATAAACATATGTGTGTGTGTGTGCCTTTATAGTAGAATTATTTATATCCTTTTGGGTATATATCCAGTAATGCGATTGCTGGGTCAAATGGTATTTCTGGTTCTAGATCCTTGAGGAATCGCCACACTGTCTTCCACAATAGCTGAACTAATTTACATTCCCACCAATAGTGTAAAAGTGTTCCTGTTTCTTCACAGCCTCACCAGCATCTATTGTTTATTGACTTTTTAATAAATTGCCATTCTGACTGGCATGACGTGGTATCTCATTGTGGTTTTGATTTGCATTTCTCTAATGATCAGTGATGATGAGCTTTTTTTCCAATGTTTGTTGGCCACAAAAATGTCTTCTTTCAAGAAGTATCTGTTCATACCCTTCACCCACTTTTTGACAGGGGTGTTTGTTTTTTTCTTGTAAATTTGTTTAAGTTCCTTGTAGATTCTGGATATTAGATCTTTGTCAGATGGATAGATTGCAAAAATTTTCTCCCATTCTGTAGGTTTCTTGTTCACTCTGATGCAAGTTTCTTTTGCTTTGCAGAAGCTCTTTAGTTTAATTAGATCCCATTCGTCAATTCTGGCTTTTGTTGCAATTGCCTTTGGTGTTTTTTTGTCATGAAGTCTTTGCCCATGCCTATGTCCTGAATGGTATTGCCTAGGTTTTCTCCTAGGGTTTTTTATGGTTTCAGGTTTTACATTTAAGCCTTTAATCCATCTTGAGTTAATTTTTGTGTAAGGTGTAAGGAAGGGGTCCAGTTTCAGTTTTCTGCATATGGCTAGCCAGTTTTCCCAGAACCATTTATTAAATAGGGAATCCTTTCCCCATTGCTAGTTTTTGTCAGGTTCTTTGCAGATTAGATGGTTGTAGATGTGCAGTGTTATTTCTGAGGTCTCTGTTCTGTTCCATTGGTCTATATGTCTGTTTTGGTACATGTACCATGCTGTTTTGGTTACTGTAGCCTTGTAGTATAGTTTAAAGTCAGGTAGCATGATGCCTCCAGCTTTCTTCTTTTTGCTTAGGATTGTCTTGGCTATATGGCCACTTTTTTTGGTTCCATATAAAATTTAAAAGAATTTTTTTTCTAATTCTGTGAAGAAAGTCAATGGTAGTTTGATGGGAATAGCATTGAATCTATAAATTACTTTGGGCAGTATGGCTATTTTCATGATATTGATTCTTCCTATCCATGAGCATGGAATATTTTCCCATTTGTTTGTGTCCTCTCCTACTCCTTTAAGCAGTGGTTTGTAGTTCTCCTTGAAGAGGTCCTTCATGTCCCTTGTAAGCTGTATTCCAAGGTATTTTATTGTCTTTGTAGCAATTGTGAATGGGAGTTCATTCATTATTTGGTTCTCTGCTTGTCTACTGTTGGTGTATAGGGATGCTTGTGATTTTTGCACATTGATTTTATATCCTGAGACATTGCTGAAGTTGCTTATTAGCTTAAGGAGTTTGGGGGTTTTCTATTATAGAATAATGTCATCTGCAAACAGACAAATATGACTTCCTCTCTTCCTATTTGAATACCCTTTATTTATTTATCTTGCCTGATTGCCCTGGCCATAACTTCCAATACTATTTTGAATAGGAGTGGTGAGAAAGGGCATCCTTGTCTTGTGCCAGTTTTCAAAGGCAATGCCTCCTGTTTTTGTCCGTTCAGTATGATATTGGCTATGGATTTGCCATAAATAGCTTTTTTTCGAGATATGTTCCATCAATACCTAGTTTATTGAGAGTTTTTAACATGAAGCGATGTTGAATTTTATTGAAGGCCTTTTCTGCATCTATTTAGATAATCATTTTTTTTCATTGATTCTGTTTATATGGTGGATTACGTTTATTGATTTGCATATGCTGAACCAGCCTTGCATTCCAGGAATGAGGCTGACTTGATCGTGGTGCATATGTTTTTTGATGTGTTACTGGATTTGGTTTGACAGTGTTTTATTGAGGATTTTTGCATCAATGTTCATCAGGGATATTGGCCTGAAGTTTTCATTTTTTATTGTGCCTCTGCCAAGTTTTGGTATCAGGATGATACTGGCCTCATAAAATAAGTTAGGGAGGAGTGCCTCCTTTTCAATTGTTTGGAATAGTTTCAGATGGAATGGTACTAGCTCCTCTTTGTAACTCTGGTAGAATTTGGGTGTAAATCCATCTAGTCCTGGGCCTTTTTTGGCAACCTTACGTCTTGATGGATAGAAGACAAAGGGCCAGAGTAAGTGAGATATTTTTAATAGTACCTTTGCTCCTCCATAATTGCTCAGAAACAGAATATCAGTCCACTCCTCTTAACTACATCATAGGGTAAAGCAAACATTTCCAGGAGGTCTTCACCCTTCTTTATGGGCATCATTTGCTCGGTCTATTTTTCCGTGGGTTAGAGTAAATGAGGCAATGATTAGAAATGTGTCTCCTATAATAGGCTCTATAGCAGATTCTACAACAAGGGCTGTGACTGCAGAGCAGACTTTTAAACATTATCTTGCTAATGTTGTGCTAGATATTAAAATTTCTCCTGATTACTTATGGCTGAACAGGAAAAAAATCTGACTCTTCTTGATACATGTGGATAAATACTTTAGGCAATATAAAGACTCAGGTGCATGGAATTGACAACTAGGTTCCTAGTTAAAACAAGACAACTTTTTTTCTGGCTCATTCTTTGATCTATTTGATTTTAGGTGGTTTGGTTAATGCAGTGCTAAGGAGCATACTCTGAACTCTTGATATTATGTCCCATATAATGGTAGTAGTAGTCTCCCTGCCACACTGTATTCTCTCTAAAGTTTTAAATGTTTGCTTGCAGCCATCTGTAGAATATGAAATGGTTTCTCTTTGACTGGAATAAAGTTCTATTTCCCAGTAGGACTTGAGACCAAATAAATCCATTTGTAATAGTAACCAAGTAACACTAATGCCAAAATTGAGAGATTGACCAAAAGAGGAAAAATTGTTAAATTAAGTTAAAGCTGCTCCCTTACATATTTTAACTTTAGCCTAAAGGTTTCTCCGTATATAATGGTCTGTAACCTATTTGAATATGTAAATAGACTAAAATATAATTTTGTACCAGTAATAGAGTTGCAGCCAACTGTTAAAACCATGTTCAAATAAGGCAAACACTGAGCTGTAACCAGTCCTGTGATTTCTGTACCTTACATCCATTTTCTATATGTCACTTTCCTTTTACTGTCCATAAATATTATCTAACCCTGTGGTAGCCCTGGCATCACTCTGAACCTATTTTTGCTTGACAGGCTGCCAGATTCTCAAATCATTCTTTGCACAATTAAACTTCATTTAATTGAATTTGTTTTAAGTTGTTTTTTTTTAACAATTACTACAAACTCTAATTAACATAATTATGCCAGATTTTGCCTGGTTTGATACACCGAAGAGTTCCATTCAGGAAATACTACACAATCTAAGTAGTCACTGATTTTTATGATATGGTTTTTTTAATGTTTCAAATGATGTTATAATTTTTTTTCTTTTTTCCAGAGTATAACATTTTCTCTTATTCATTCTTCACAGTGTTTATTTTCTTAAAAGATATCTCTTAGATGGTTATTAGCTACATTGTTACCATGAAACACAATTAATTTTTACTATCAACTTGCAACAAAGCTGGTATACATCACTGGTATTTTCATTATTTGTGTCAATGAAACTTATTTTAAACTAAACTGACATAGAATGAAATAATTAACATTTAACACATATGCCAAATAAAGTCCATCCTACAAAAAACTAATACCTTATAGGTGCAGAAATAATGGAAGACAAGTACAAGAAAATGCTCAAATTTACAGAAAGAGAGGGGATGTCTCTCTGTAATAATTTAAATTTTTTTAATTAAAATTTTCTCAGGCAATAAGATGACAAGAATTCATGTCATATTGACTGAGACCAAAAAACCATTGAGGAAGAAAATTATAAATTATCCTTTTTTCACTAAAGTAAACAGGAAGAGTTAAGAGAAAATAATAATCAAAAACAATTTTAGTATACCCAATTTAAATCAGATGGAATGTTTAAAACAGAAATGTGTGTGGTTACAAGGACTTTGACATGAAGCTTTAATCTACAATAACCTGTACTTCTGTCAATTCTACTTATCAGAAAAAAAGCTTGTTTATTTTAGTGGTAAAAGAGATATTTAAGGACCAGAGAGCCACTCGCTTGTAATAAAGAAGTCATTTTTGTCTACTAGATTTCAGTAAAAAAGGAGAGATTTTCATTTTTAATAGGGAGGTACAGACAGAAAAAATGAACATCCTTTCAACAGTTACAACATAAAAAAGCTAGACAAACTGTAAGTTAGGAACATTTATTGAACCCATCAAAAATGTGATACCAACACATTACTCAAAATCTGGAGAGAGTATCACAGAGTGAAACAAAACCTTAGCAATTGCTAAGGTGGGGCAGCAGGGTCACAACATGTAAACTAGTAGGAAGATCAACTTAAGAATTTTTAAGAAGTTGCTATAGGCTGAGTATGAGCTAATGTGAGAGTATGAGCTAGTGTGAGAAAGAAGTTTAGGGCTGTAAATATAGACATTTGACATCCTCTTACAGACTATTCTTCCAGAACCTCACGAGGACTTCATAGGAAGGAATGGGAAGAATCTGAATGAAGCTTTCTACCTGGGGCTTTCCGGGGGAAGATTACAGTAGTTAACTGATCTCCATATCTCCTCTACAAAACAATGATCCTAACCTACAAGGGATAAGAGCAAGAAAAACCATTATTTCTGAAACTGAGGGAAACCCATTGCAGCTTAGGAGGAATACAGAAAAATAAAGGCTCTACTATTGGAGGAAGAACAGAAATATGTGTTAAAATAAGCACAACAGCTTCAGGAGGAGCAAGAGCTCTTCTGAAGGGCCCATACTCAAGACACAGGGACATAGACGCTGCCTAATAAAGAGGTTTAATCAGAGCCTAAAAGAGTATTTTACTCCCCTGCCATCCCTCCTCACCACTAGTCTGATTATCCAGTAAACATAATAATGGGGACTTCCCTTTTCAGCCTGAGATACAAAGAACTGGAATCAGTGTCTCTCCCACAAAGAAAATCTGAAAAAACCCACTGTCAGAGAAATACTGCACAAGACAACTTAGACCAAAAAGAAAAACTTGGAAAAGAAATTGAATGCAACTCCACTGAAACAAAAAGTGAGAGCGTCTTGAGCACTGGGGTGAGCTAGTGGAAAGATACTGAACAACATTAGCAGGGAGGTTGGTGTCTCAGTCTGCGCAAGCTTCTGTAACAAAATATAGAGTAAATGGCTTAAACAACAGACATTTGTTTCTCACATTTCTGGAGACTGAGAAATCCAAGATCAAGCTTCCAACTGAATAGATTCCCTCTTCCTGGCTTGCTAAGGACACTAATCCCATAAAGATGGCCCTGCCCTCTTGACCTCACCTAAGTCTAATTACCTTTTCAAGGCCATTCTTCCAAATAGCATCATATTGGGTGCATCGACGTTAAAGAACAGCAGAGACAGGCTCTCCAAAGAAAGAGTTTATTTAGGATTATCAGAGGATTGCAATTCAAGATATGCATGGTATGTTTAAACCACAGGCACATCCAAGAGGGCTGGAATGAGGAAAAAATATATATATATGTATATATTTAATTAAATATATATATTTAATTAAAGGAGATAAGGAGATCAGTTCATGTAAGCTGTTTTGAAATAAGGGCCATTGGTTATAGGGGTTTCTTGCAAGAGTTGGCTTTGGCTAATTAGCAGAGGCAGCCACTGTTAGACAAATGTCCTTGTGCAAATGGCTTCTCTGGAATACTAAGTTTTTAAGGAGTTCCTTCCATAGTTCTTGTCATAGAGATACATGCATTAATTTATTTTGATAAGTCCTGTTACAGGCATACTGGCATGACGGTTCCTTCTTTATGGCCTGACAGCTCCATTTTGTTGAGTTTGACGTAAGTGACTTCATTTTGATATTGATACTTTTTTTTTTGGTAACTTCGACAGCGGTTAGGGTTTCAATATATGAATTTTGGTGGGGACATAAACATTCAGTCCATAATTTAGTTCATGTAGTTGTCAATCTGTGTTTGCTAATTGGTGAAGTTAGGCCCCTGACCTTACACAGAGACTGGAAGATGAAGTCTCTCTGTTTCTTGATTTACATTTCAAAGGAATAACTTGAGAAAGACATTCCTGAGTAGTAAACCAGCAAACAGACTGGGAGAAAAGATTTGTGTCTCAAAGGGGAAGAGAAAGAATTTAAAATAGAAACTTTTCTAATGTAAAATACTCTAAACATAAGGAGACCAGTAGCCTATAATCAGAAAGAAATCTATCTAAAGTTTATTTAAACTGAGGGAAGAGTTAAGGCCATTTTGGTGACTACAAATAAATAAGTTAATTAGCAATAAACTTTCCTTGAACAAATCAGAGAACTGAAGATGCAGAGCAAACTTTAAACCTGAAATCAATCAGGAGAGACACAGACTCCTAGAGGGAGAAGAAAGTTGGCTGGATTTGCTCATCAGGGGCGGATCTCCATACAAAGCAGTTAGAAGATTATCATGAGAGCGTGAAGCCCCTGGGCCCCACAGACATAAGGGTATTCACATCCTCTTGCAGGCAGAATCTCACCACGTCCTGACTGAGAAGATCAAAGAGATCCCTGAGAAAGCTCATTGTGTGCTGGCTGGGGGTGGGAAATGACAGCCACATGGAAACCCAGGCAGCAGACCCTTATCTCCACCTCCACTAGGGAAAGGAGACAATCAACAGGGAAAAAATATCATCCAAATCTATAGACTGAGGACACTTGGGAGGATAACAGAAGTCACCATGGGAATTTCACTAAGATCCAGCTCCCCTGCCTTCCCTAGGGAAAACAAAATCTAATCATTAGGGAGAAGTTTATCGAAACCTATAGCCTGAGGACTTTGGGGAAGGGAACAGAAGCTAGAATGGAAATTTCACACAGACCCAACTTCCCTATCTATATTATGAAACAGGAAGCTTAATCAGCAGGTGGGAGGTCATCAGAGCTGCAACATGAGGGCACTGGTGGAAAATCCCTGTAGCTGAGAGGGGCACAGAGGAATTTTTTTTTTTAATAAATAAAATAAAAAGAGAAGAAAATTCAAAAGACAAAAATAAAATAAAATAAAAATAAATAAAGAGCTCTAGCCCTGGAGTAGAGGCAGAGATACAAGCTAAGTCCAGCATTATATCCAGAGGGAAGGCAGGAACAATTATGATGCTGATGCCTCCAGATCCAGGGTTAAAGAACCTGCTTAAACAGCCTTAATGGAACATCCCAGAGCACTTTCTCTTCTCCACCCCATACCACCAAGATGACAAGCCTCCAGTAAAAATAACGGTGAAGTCAGCTGGGAGAGTTGTAAGTGGGAAGCAGTGCAAAAGGAAGACCCAAGACAAAACACTGAAAAAGAAACAGAGCATTACTAGGAACTTGAATTTTCTGGATAGCTGAAGATAGTAACTACAGCAACAACAAATTTCAAACCCTGCCAAACTTCTACATAAAATTGCAAACTAATGTCTAACAAAAAGAGGCACTTATATCCAAATATGTAATAAAAAAAAGTTCCCAGTATCTATTGCCTATATATTTCTGTCTTTCAACAACAAAGAAAAACTGAGGCATACAAAAAGTAAGAAAATACATATTCAGAAGAGACAAGGTAATCACCAGAAATAAAGTCATGTATGAAACAGATGTTGAAACTATCAAACAGAGAATTTAAAATACGCACAGGAAGTCAATAAAGAGAGCACTTTGGGAGGCCGAGGCAGGCAGATCATGAGGTCAGGAGATCGAGACCATCTTTACTAACACAGTGAAAGCCCCGTCTCTACTAAAAATACAAAAAATTAGCCCGGCGTGGTGGTGGGCGCCTGTAGTCCCAGCTCCTTGGGAGGTTGAGGCAGAAGAATGGCGTGAACCCAGGAGGCGGAGTTTGCAGTGAGCCGAGATCGCGTCACTGCACTCCAGCCTGGGCGACAGAGCAAGACTCTGTCTCAAAAAAAAAAAAAAAAAAAGAGAGAGAGAGAGAATAATAGATAATTTGCAAAATCAGATAAGCAATTTCGGCAGAGAGAAAAAACTGTAAAAAATATCAAACAGAAATACTGGAAATTAAAAGAGAAAAACAAGAGATCAGCAAGCAGCATACCACCACTGCAACCACAAACTACCCCCCACTACCCTACCCCCCCACAAAAAAAAACAAATTACCTACAGGGAAATAAAAATAAGAATTACAGTAGACCGCTTGTTCAAATCATGCAAGCAAGATGAGAGTAGAATAACATTTTTAAAGTGCTAGAAAAAAAATAAATACATTAGCCCCCTATTATCCATGGGGAATATGTTCCAAGACCTCCAGTGAATGCCTAAAACTGAGGACTGTACAGAACACCATATGTACATTTTTTCCTACACATACATAACTATAACAAAGTTTAATTTATAAATTACACACAGTAAAATAATAACTAATAATAAAATAGGACAAATGTAACAATATTCCAGACCTGGCATGGTGGCTAATGCCTGTAATCCCAGCACTTTGGGAGAACAACGTGGGATGATCACTTGACCTCAAGAATTCAATACCAGTCCGGGCAACATAGCAAGACTTCGTCTCTATAAATAATAAAAGAAAAGTTAGCCATGTGTGGTGGCACGCACCTGTTCCAGCTACCTGGGAGGCTGAGGTGTAAGAATCACTTGAGCTCCAGTGGTCGAGGCTACAATGAGTTGCGATCTTGCCACTGCACTCCAGCCTGTGTGACAGACTAAGAACTCATCTCGAAAACACAAAAACAAACTGAAAAATGACAACAACAACAACAAAAACCAATATTCCAGCATCATTACGCTTGTGCTTTGGGGTCTTTATTAATTAAAATAAGGATGATTTGAACAAAAGTATTGAGATGCCATGACAGTCAATCTAATAACCAAGATGGCTACTAAGTGACAAATGGGTGGGTAGTGTATTCAGTATGGCTGAGCTCCACAAAAAGGCAATTCTCATGCCAGGCATGGTGGGGCAGGAGGGTCTGAGATTTCATCGCCTAACTTAGAACAGCCCACAATTTAAAATTTATGAATTATTTCTGAAATTTTCCATTTAATATTTTTGGACCACAGTAGACCACAATTTCTGAGGTAATTGAAACCTCAGAAAATTAAACTGTGGATAAGGGAGTAGTACTGTAAATAAAATCTACCAAAGCTGACTTCTATGTCTTCTGAAAGTACCCTGCAAAGGTAAAAGGAAAAAAGAGTTTCTCAGACTAATGAAACTAAGGGATTTATTTCTAGCAAAAACTGTACAAAAAGTGTTAAAGGAAGTTCCGCAGGCAGGTGAAATATGGTATGTCATATCTTGGATTTAAAATAAAAGAAGAAGTTTAGAAAATGAATATATAAAGGAAACATATTATTTTAAAAATGTGGAAAGTGTTCTAAAAATATTGCTTAAAGCAATAAGAGTAGCAATGTATTGTGTGTTTTAGCATATGTAAAAGGGCAATGTATGTCAACAATGGTAAAAGAGAAGTGAGGAATGGGGATGATATTGTTTTAAGGAATTTACTAATAAATCTCCATAAGATTTTCTGAAAGTCAGTTTAGATTCCTTAAAAATTGACATTGTAAACCACAATGTAGTCATAAAAATATTAAAATAAGAGGAATAAATAATAAATAAATGAAAAGATAAAACTAAATTATAAAAACATTCAGTTAAACCCATGGAAGAAAGAAAAAAAGGAAAAATAGAAAAGAGCTAGCAAGATGGTAGATTGTAATCTAATTCTATCCATAATACTTTTAAATGTAAACATTTTAAATACATCAACTAGAAATCAAAATTATCCAACTGAGTAAAAGAGCAAGACCAAACTACATACTACTTACAAGAAACCATTTAAAGACAAGCTTAGTTTATAAGTTAAAAGCTAGGAAAACATGTCAAACAAACACTAATCAAAAGAGTTGGAATAGTAATATTGATTTCTAAAATATCACACTTTGAACAAGAAATATTATGTGGAATAAAGATGGACATTATATAATGATGAAGGGGTTAATCATCCCAGGACATGTATGACCTAAATTGCAACGTAAACCACTTTGCCCCAATGGATGCAAATAGATGTCACCATCATCATTAGCAGAATAAACATTCTTCTCAAGTGTGAATGAGATATTTACTGCAATAGATTATAGTCTGGACTATAAAACAAACCCTGTTAAGTTTAAAAGAATACATATCATAAAGAGTATGTTCTCAGACTACAGCGGAATTAAACTTAAAATCAATAACAGAAAGACAACTGAACAATCTTCAAGTGCCTGCAAATTAAACAACATGCTTCTAAATAATCTGAGTCCAAAATTAAATTCAAAGAGATCTTATGAAATATTTTGGACTAAATAAAAGTGAAAATTCAATGTATTTAATTTTGTGGAAAATTTAATGTAAAAACTGCTTCGAAGGCAGTTTTTTGGGGGGAAAATTACAGCATTAAATGCATGCATTAGGAAAAAAGAAAATCAAAATCAGAAAACTAAGGTTCCATCTCGGGATACTACAGAAAGATATTAGCAAAGTAATAATTTAACATCCCAGCCTCCGTCCCAACATTCCAGTGACAGTGACCAGTTACCAGAATAATTTTATTTGCTATTTTTATAAATCACAACTGTAAACCTATGCCTAATCAGCACCCTCCCTCAAAAAATACCTAATACTTTTTTCACAGTCATAAACATATTAAATAACAATAAAAATGTCATTTGATTTCAGAATTTCAAATTATAGAAGGCAAGTAGAATTTCTTAGTACAAATTTAACAACATAGAATATGATTTATTAGAAAAGCTCAAGATTCAAGTTCTCTACTGCTGATGGAGGAAAGGCAAGATCAGATTAAAAATACGGACCTTTCCTTTTCATCTTTCTTCACATTCATTCCAATGTTATATTTGCCCTTCCATCTTACAAGCAGCCTCTACTAATCTATTTTTAGAGAAGCAGCTGGCCGATATTTTATGTCTATAGACTCATGAAGTATCTATGGTATCTCTGGGAAAAAAAAAACATAATTTTTTAAAAAGCATTCTCTAAGTTTGTTTACCAGGTGGCAGCTGTTTAACAAATCAAAGTTTTGAGATAGAAAAAATGAATTAAGATTTAGAGGTGAACAGTTTTTCAAAAACTAATGATCACAGTCTCATAAGCATTTGGATGAATTCACAGATATAATATACTGTTTGAAGTTGTCATTCTACAAAAGTTGACATGCTGGGAAATCATGAGCCTCATGCAAGAACATGGAAATTTTCTAAGATTATGGCAAATCTTTGGATTGTGTCTAGTTTGTCATTCTACCATCTGTTTAACATGGATTTATTACTGGTTATTGGCTTGGAGTAAGTAATCTTTAAATTCTCTCTTCAGTTTGAACAGTGATCCATAAAGTTTCATCCATAGAGCCTCTGCAGGACTCCATGACTCAGTCAGCACCATGCTTAATATAAATTCAAAGCAAAAAAAAACAAAAAAAAGATTTATATCCAGCTGTGGCCAAATTGTAGCTCATAGGTTAAACTTGTCCTTCTGTGACTCCAATATTGCAAAGAGAACAGCTGTATGGGCAATGCTACACTTTCCTTATTAACCATGCAGAGATAAAAGCTGCCAGAGAGGAGGTTTCTATCTTAAAATAATGCCTGACTACAGCACTGAGGTTAATTTACTTAAATTGCAAATCATGCATAGAACATTAGATCCCTTGTAGTCTGATAATAAGATCTAAATTATTGTTGATACTCCCAGAGGGTATCATCCCTAATGGTCCAAATAGTTACTAAGTTTTAAGATGCTATAATTAAATTACTTTTATATTTTTCCTTTTATATTTTACCCTGTAGTATGCATGCATGTAACAGCAGGCTTCCATTTGTCCTAAAGCCTGCTATGTAAGTCTGTCTGCATTTGTGGAGGACTGTATCCTTCCTGTACATTTTATTATATTTAGGTGCCCATATAATCTCTGAGATTATGAACTCAGATATATTTCTGGACAAAACAATATTGAAAACCAAAGCAAAAATATCAACAGTGACAGAATTATTAGTATATCTGATGATAGACCTTTAGTGAAACATATGGAGCTGTAAAAATCAAAGATAGTCAGAGGGTGGTAAGAGGAATGGAAGAGTTTCACATCCAACTATCTATTTGATAGCGATTTCTACTTGCGGTTTTGAAAAAAATCTCAAGTGTAATATATCCAAAGCAATGCTTCTGATTTTCAAGGTTGAAAATGGTTCCACCAACCCTCATGACTCAGGTAATTCCTTATACCCCTACCACAACTTCTTTATAGAGTTTTATTACATCTATCTCTAGCAAAGATTTTGGTTCAGAAAATCTCTGTTGATCTCTGCTTATATTTTCAGTCACCCAAACCAGCATTATCTGTTATTCCAAACTTGTCTTCATTCTTTCAAGTTATTTTATCTTCCTTGACATTATTTTAAACTTTTCTAATACATTCTTCACAGAACAATTGGAGTAATTTATGAAAATAAAAACAAAACAAAGACACTAAAAATCTAGTTTCCCCACTAAAAATGTGGCAATGACTTATCATTAATAAAATCCAAACTCATTATGGTTTCTGTTTTTCTCTCCAACCTCATCTAATACCACATTTTATTTTTTCCCTACTATATTCCTAAAACTAGCAGATTGTCTTTTCTTTGAACATGTCAAGAACTTTTTGAATTTAGGGAATTTGCATATTGTTTTCTTTAATTCTCTCATTCTTCCTCTACCTATTTAAATGTTGTCTAATTTTTCCTCCTGGTTTATATAACCTAATCTGTTTCCTTCTGAAAATAATACAAACTTTATTCAAACTGGCCTATAAAATTGCAGGATCTATTGGCCCCGTGTGCTAAAAGTCGAGATGAAATGCCGACTTCAGGTTTCTTTAATTCGATAGTGTCAGCTCTATTTCTCTGGATTAGCTAAGAGTTACTTCCCTGAGGTGGCTTTGATCGGTAATTTTCTCATTTTTTTTTCTTTCTTTCTTTTTTTTTTTTGAGACCGAGTTTCACTCTTGATGCCCAGGCTGGAATGCAATGGCGCCATCTCGACTCACTGCAAACTCTGCCTCTTAGGTTCAAGCGGTTCTCCTGACTCAGCCTCTCGAGTAACTGGGATTACAGGTGCCCACCACCATGCCCGGCTGATTTTTTGTATTTTTAGTAGAAACGGGGTTTCACCATGTTGGCCAGGCTGGTTGCAAACTCCTAATCTCAGGTGATACACCCACCTCCGCCTCCCAAAGTGCTGGGATTACAGGCGTGAGCCACAGCACCTGGCCTCTCATGTTTATATGTTAAGATTAATTTTTTTAAAAAAATTTCTTCAGAAAAGCAACCTTATTTTTCAAAATTAGAGTTCACAGTCATCCCTGAATCAACAGCTGTGGAATGGAAAATATTCAGGAGCTGTTTTAATTAGTCTTGTATCACCTGCCGCATTTCTAGGTGCTGTTAGCATCTCTCAAAACAGATAAGTTGTGGTTATGCACATAAAAATCAGTGTAGCTTCCAAATGAGAGAAGTTATCTACAATATCCTCTTCAAGAACTCAGTTCAAACATCATTTTCAAAAATATCATCTGTAATCATACTACCTAAATTAGCTTCCTCCAGTAACTTTCTATCCCATCATTACTGATTTTCTTCTGTGTAGTTATCACAATCTATAATAGTATTGCATATTATTTGTTATATTATTATTATTTGTTGATTGCTTATATCTTCTACTGCTATAAAAGGTACATGAAGATAAAGACTTTGTGATGATACTTTTGTTTAATTCCACAACTAGTTCAATGCCTGTATATCTCACACTTGTTAAGAGTATAATAATAACAATGTTCTCATTATTATTATTATAACTTTTACATTTAAGATTATATATGCAGGTTTGTTACACAGGTAAACTGTGTGTCTCAAGGGTTTGGTGTACAGATTATTTCGTCAACCAGGTAATAAGCACACTACCTCACAGGTAGTTTTTTTTATCCTTTCCTTTCTCCCACCCTCCACCCTCAAGTAATCCCTGGTGTCTGTTGTTTCTCTCTGTTTCCATGTGTTCTCATTGTTTAGCTCCCACTTATACATGAGAATATGTGATTTGCTTTTCTATTCCTGCTTTAGTTTGCTTAGGATAATGACCTGCAGCTCTATCTGTGTTTGCTGCAAAGAACATTATCTAGTTATTTTTTGTGGCTGGCTGGTATTCCATTTATATATATATATATATATATATAATTTTATATATGTTTTATTATATATTTATATATATTTTATATATTATATATATGAATGGATATATATATATCACATTTTCTTTATCCAGTGTATTGTTGATGGGCATTTAAGTTGGATCCATGTCTTTGCTATTGCAAATAGTGCTGCAATGAATACACATGTGCATGTGCCCTTACGGTAGAAAGATTTCTATTTATATTTCTTTCAGTGTATATCCAATAATGAGATTGCTGGGTCAAATGGCAATTCTGTTTTACGTTCATTGAGAAATCACCAAACAACTTTCCACAATGGCTGAATTACTTTGTATTTCTACCAGCAATGTATAAACATCCCCTTTTCTCTGCTATCTTGCAAGCCTCTGTTATTTTTTGACATTTTAGTAATAGCCATTCTGACTGATGTGAGATGGTATTTCATTGTGATTTTGATTTGCATTTATCTAATGGTTAGCAACTCTGAGCATGTTTTGTGTGCTTGTTGGCCACAGGTATGTCTTTGCTTGAAGTATCTGTTCATGTCCTTTGCCAGTTATTTAATGGGATTGTTTGGTTTTGCTGTAAATTTATGTTCCTTATAGCTGCTGTATATAGACCTTTGTCAAATGCATACATTGCAGATGTTTTCTCCCATTATGTAACTGTCTGTTTACAGAATGGGAGAAAACATCTGCAATGTATGCATCTGTTGATAGTTCCTTTCCCTGTTAGAAGCTCTTTAGTTTATTTAGGTCTCATTTGTCTATTTTTATTTGTTGTTGTAATTGCTTTTGGTGTCTACTTCATAAAATCTTTGCCAGTCCTGATATCTAGAATGATATTTCCTAGATTATCTTCCAGGGTTTTTATCGTTTTAGGTTTTACATGTAAATCTTTAATCCATTTTGAGTTGATTTTTGTATATGGTGTAAGGGAGGGGTCCAGTTTCAATCTTACGTATATGGCTAGCCAGTTATCCCAGTACCGTTTATTGAATAGGGATGCCTTTCTACATTGCTTGTTTTCATTGACTTTGTCAAAGATCAGATGATTATAGATGTGTGGAATTATTTCTGGGTTCTCTATTGTGTTCCATTGGTCTATGTGTTTGTTTTTGCACCAGTTCCATGCTGCTTTGGTTACGGTAGCCTTATAGCATATTTTGAAGTTAAGTGACTAAATTGGTTTCAGCTTTTTTCTTTTTGTTTATGATTGCTTTGACTATTAGGGCTCTTTTTTGTTTTATACAAATTTTTAAATTGTTTTTTCTAATTCCATGAAGAATGTCATTGGTAGTTTGATAGGAATAGCAATAAGTCTATTAATTGCTTTGGACAACGTGACGTTTTTGACTACATTGAGTCTTCTTATCCATGGACATGGATTTTTAAAATTTGTTTGTGTCAGTTCTGATTCTTTTGAGTGATGTTTGTAATTCTCAGTGTAGAGATCTTTCACCTCCCTGGTAATCTGTATTCCTGGATATTTTATTATTTTTGTGGCAGTTGTGAATGGGATTGTTCTCAGCTTGGATGTTGTTGGTTTATAGAAATACTACTGATTTTGGTAAATTGATTTTGTATCCTGAAACTTCGCTGAAGTTGTTTATCACATCAAGAAGATCTGGGGCAGAAACAATGAGGTTTTCTAGGTATAGAATCATATCATCTGCAAACAAGGACAGTTTGACTCCCTGTCTTCCTATTTGGGTGTCTTATATTTCTTTATCCTGCTTGATTGCTCTAGCCAGGACTTCCAGTACTATGTTGAATAAGAGTGGTGAGAGAGGGCATCCTTGTCCTGTTCCAATTTTCAAGGGGAGTAATTCCAATTTTTGCCCATTCAGTATGATGTTGACTGTGGGTTTTTCATAAATGGCTCTATTCATGGCAGCCCTAGGAATCTAACACACCATGTAAAAGTGGATCTGTATCCATCGTTGTTTATGTACAATGGAATGCTACTCAGCCATAAAAAGAATGAAATCTTGTCTTTTGCAGCAACATGGATGGGACTAGAGGCCATTATCTTAAGTGAAATAACTCAGAAACAGAAAGTCGAATACTGCATGATCTTAAGTATAGTTGGGAGCTATATATTGTGCACACACGGACTTAGAGAGTGGAAATACAGACATCAGAGACTCAGATGACTGAGATGGTGGGATGGGGGTCAGGGATGAGAAATTACTTCGTGAGCACAATGTACACTATTCAGATGATAGTTACACTAAAAGCTCAGGCTTCAACACTACACAATGTATCCAGGTAGCAAAATGGCACTTGTACTCTCTATATCTATAAAAATATATTTTTATGTATTAAAAAAATGGCTCTTAATATTTTGAAGTGTCTTCCTTCAATGCTTCGTTTGTTGAGGACTTTTAACATGAAGGGATATTGAATGTTATTAAAAGCCTTTTCTGCATCTATTGAAATAATCATGAGGTTTTTGTTTTCAGTTCTGTTTAAGTGACAAAGCACATTGATTGATTTGCATATGTTGAACCAACCTTGCATCCCAGGGATAAAGCCTACTTGATCATGGTGGATTAGTTTTTTGATGTGGTGGGGGATTTAGTTTGCTAGTATTTTTGAGGATTTTTGCATCTGTGTTCATCAAGTTAATGGCCTAAAGCTTTCTTTTTTTGTTGTGTGTTTTCCATGTCTTGGTATTGGGATGATGCTGGCCTAATAGAATGAGTCATAGAGGATTCCATAGGATTCCATCTGCTCAATTTTTTTTCAGTCATTTCAGTAGAAATGATACCAGCTCTTTTTTATACATCTCGTAGAATTCAGCTGTGAATTTTCCTGGACCTGGGCTTTTTTGTTTGTTTGTTTTTGTTTTTGATGAGCAGACTTTTATTACTGATTCAATTTCAGAACCTGTTACTGGTCTGTTAAGGGATTCAATTTCTTCCTGATTCAGTCTTGGAAGACTGTATGTGCCCAAGAATGTATCCATTTCTTTTAGGTTTTCTAGCCTGTGTGCACAGAGGTGTTCATAATAGTCTCTGAAATGTTTGTGTATTATTGTGGGGTTGGTAGTAACATCCCCTTTGTCATTTCCAATTGCATTTATTTTGATCTTTTTCCTTTCTTTCTTTCTCTTTTTCTTTCTCTTTTTCTTTCTTTCTCTTCTTTCTTTCTCTTTCTTTGTTTTCTTTCTTTCTTCTTTTTTTTTGTCTAGCTAGCAGTCTATCAATCTTTTTTTTTTTTTCAAAAAAAAAAAAAACCCAACTCCTGGATTTGTTGACTTTTGGATGTTTTTTACGTCTCACTTTACTTCACTTCAGCTTTATTTTTTGTCTTCTAGTAGCTTTGGTGTTACCCTGCTCTTATTTCTTTAGTTCATTGAGTTACCATGCTAGGTTACTGATTTGAGATCTTTCTAACTTTTTGATGTGGGTGTTTAGTGCTATGAACTTCTCTATTTGGCTTAATTGTGTCCCAGAGATTCTGGTATGTGTTGTATCTTTGTATTCACTAATTTTAAAGAATTTCTTGACTTCTGTCTTAATGTCATTATTTACTTCATAGTTATTCAAGAGCAGGTACTTAATTTCCATGTAATTATATGGTTTTAAGCAATTTTCTTAGAATTGTTTTCTGTTTTCATTGTATTGTGGTTCCACAGTGTGGTTGGTATGATTTTGTTTTGTTTTGTTTTTAATAAGTTGAGGACTGTTTTATGGCCAAGTATGTTGTTGATTTTAGGGTATGTGTCATGTGCAGATGAGAACAATGTACATTCTATTGTTTCCGAGTGGAGTGTTCTGTAGATGTTTATTGGCCCATTTGGTACCGCTGTGTTCTTGTCCAGAATATCTTTGTTAGTTTTCTTCCTCAGTGATCTGTCTAATAATGTCAGTGATGTGTTGAAGTCTCCCACCATTATTGTGTGGTTATCTAACTCTCTTCACAGGTCTCTTACTTGCTTTATGAATCTGGGTGTTCCTGTGTCTGGTATGTATATATGCAGGATAGTTAAGTCATCTTGTTGAATTGAGCCCTTTACCATTACGTAATGACATTCTTTGTCTTTTTTTATCTTTGCGGGTTTAAATTCTGTTTTGTGTGAAATTAGGAAAGCAACCCCTTCTTTTTTCTACTTTCTGTTTGCTTGGCAGATTCTTCCACTATACTTTGAGTCTACTGATGTCACTGCATGTGAGATGGGTCTTTTGATACTGTTGGGTCGTGCTTCTTTATCCAACTTGCCACTCTGTGCCTTTTAATTGGAACATTTATCCTGTTTACATTCAATGCTAGTATTGATATGCAGATTTGTTTCTGTCATCACGTTGTTAGCTGGTTATTATGTAGACTTGTTTGTGTGATTGTGTTACAGTGTCATTGGTCTATGTACTGAAGTTTGTTTTTGTAGTGGCTGATAGGGGTCTTTTCTTTCCATATTTAATACTCCCTTCAGGATCTCTTCCAAAGCATGTCTGGTGGTAACAAAAATCCTTTACCATTTGCTTGTCTGAAAAGGATCTTTTTTCTCTTTCGCTTATAAAGCTTAGTTTGATCAGACATAAAAGTTTTTATTGTAATTTATTTTCTCTAAGAATGTTGAATATGGGACCCCATTCTCTTCTCGCTTGTAGGGTTTTTGTTTTTGTTGAAAGGTCTGCTGTTAGTCTGATGGGGTTCCCTTTGTAGGTGACCTGCCCCTTTTCCCTAGCTGCCTTTAACATTTTTTCTTTCATTCTGACCTTGAAGAATCCAATGACTATGTGTCTTGAGGATAGTCTTCTTGTATTTTGCAAGGGTTCTCTGTATTTCCCGAATTTGAATGTTCGCATATTTCCACATTTCTCAGAGGTCTTCTTTCTTCTATTATTATTATTTTTAATCTTTGTCTGACTTAGATTGGAGAACCAGTCTTCAAGCTCTGAGATTCTTTCCTCAGCTTTATCTGTTCTGCTGTTAATATCTGCAATCGTATTATGGAATTCTTGTAGTGTGTTTTTCAGCTTTATCAGATCATGTTTGTTCTTTCTTATAATGGCCATTTTGTCTATCAGCTCACATATCATTTTAATGTAATCTTTAGATTCCTTCAGTTGGGTTTTGACATTCACCTGAATCTTGATGATCTTCTTTCCTATCCATAATCCGAATTCTATTTCTGTCATTTCAGCCATTCCCGCCTGGTTAAGAATACTTACTGGGGAACTAGTCCAGTCATTTGAAGGAAAGAAGACACTCTGGCTTTTTGAATTGCCAGATTTTTTGCATTGGTCCTTCCTCATCTGTTTGGGCTGATGCTCCTTTAGCTGCAATGTGATTTGAGTACAGTCAGTAGAATTCTTTTCTGGAAGTTTTCAGATGGCTGAGGTTTTCTGCAGTGTCTTTAATTGTAGCTGAATTTTTATCCTTGGTTTCACAGGGGAGTATATTAGCAAAGTATTTTTGGTGTTGAAGTCTGGGCTGTGATCCAGTAGATTGTGCTTAAGTATAAGAGCCTGTAGGTGGGGTCTTGCTTAGCCACATGCTCCTCTGTATTTTCTCATAATTGCAGCCATGCTTCCTCTCAGTGCTCTGAGAGTGTGGGCTCCTCTCCCACTAGAGTGCTGGCTGCAGATCTCAGCATGCACTGTTGGGCTATACACTGCAGCTCTAAGGCAAGCTCAGGCTTTATATTCCCTCCCTAGCTTGGAGGCATCAGGTGAAGGAAACTTGGTAGTGGTTGTGGTAGAGGGTCTTTCACTTGTCTCTTGGGGCTCTACCCTAGTGAGATGCAGAGCCATTGTCAATCAGTTTGATTGGACTGCAGTGGGGCTGCTGTGCTGTAGGCCCAAGACAGGGGCCCCAGGTGGTGACAAGCAGAGGGTTCCAGGGGGAGGGGTATATATAGGAGATAGACTGGTATCTTCTCCTTAGGGCAACTGCAACTTGCTGGAGGTGTGGTTAAAGCACTCAAGTTCTTCCTTCTTCCCTAGTCTGAGGACAGCAAGGGCAGTACCACTGCAGTGGCAGTGGTGGAGGGTCATTTAGTTGCCTCCTCTGGGAGCTCCACCTCAGAGAAATGTAGAGTCACTGCTACTGGGAATGTTCAGCCAGTGGGTAGGGCTACTACACTGCTGTCCCAAGCTAGGGGGCCTGTTTGGCAAAAAGTGGGGGATTGGAGCTCACAGAGAAGAGAGACTGGGCTCCTCTCCATATGGTGGCTGCTGTGTGCTAGAGGTGCTATTGTAGCTTTCAGGACCTTTATTCCTTTCCCAACCTGAGGGCAGTTAGGGCAGTACCACTGCAGCTGCAATGCCAGAGGGGCTGTAGTTTGTATCTGGAGTTTCCTTCTCAGAGAAATGTAGAGGTACCTCCAACTGAAGTGTTCAGGAGGGACAGACTAATTGTACTGGGGGCCCAGGTCAAGAAGTCCTACCCAATGAAAAGAAGTGGGAATTGGGACCCATGTGGAAAACAAAGCTTTTCCATAGGGTGGCTGTTCTGTGCTGGGGATCCACACCAGTCCCTAATCACCCTGCTCCCTCCAGAACCTAAGAGGAACAGTGGTGAGGGCTGCAAGACAGCAAAAATGGCAGCTTGTCTCTCCCTCTGGAAGCTCCTGAGCGGGAGCTCCCTCCCAGGGAACTGCAGAGCTGCTCTCAGCCTAGGAAACCAGGTGAGGCTGGTCTGGCCATGCTAAGGCCCCAGGCCAGAGGGCCTTTTCCTGCTAGGTGTGGTGGAGGAAAGGCCTGAAGTTCATTAGTGCTCAGCCCCTGGATTTGGCCCCTTTCCTGGGGGCATGCAAGCGGGCATAATATCTCCCATTTTCGGGGCTGCAGCTGTTAATATCAGGATACCCTGGGATCAAAGGCTCCTGGGACTCTGCATTTGCCTTGGCGGGCCTCTGCCTAGACTCCATGTAGCTCTCCATGTCAGTTTAGAGACCCAAGGTCTTCAGGGACTCTCACTCACCATTTCCCCATGGTTGGGGGGCCTTCCCTGGCTCAATGCCACTCTGGTGAGTGGTTGTCTCATCTCACTTCTCTCCATTTTCCGCGGGTCAAGTTGTTCCCTTGATAAATCCCAATGTGTCCACCTGTATGTTCCAGTGGAAAAGCTAATACTTGCCAATCTGTCTTCTCTCCGTGAGAGTTGCACACAGCAGCTTGCTGGAGGTGTGGTTAAAGCACAAGATAGCTTCTGGTCAGCTATCTTGGATCCTCCTTCCTATTTTTTTTTAATAAGTGTTGACAAGGATGTGTGAAGATATAGATAAACTGGAACTCATACATCACTGGATGAAATGTAGAATGGTTCAGCCCATGGAAAACAGTATGAAGATTCCTTAGAAAATTAAAAAACAAAGATAATTCAGTGATCCCATTTCTGGATATTTACCCAAAAGAATTGAAATCAACGTCTTAAAGATATATTTGCACTCCCATGTTCATGGTAGCATTATTCACATAGCCAAGATGTGGAAACAACCTAAATATTCTTAGACAGATGAAGAAATAAAGTAAATATATTCTGTTCACATCATGGAAAATATTAGGCTTTAAAAATAAGGAAATCCTGCCATATATATGTGATGACATGGATTAACGTGAAGAACATTGTTAAGTTAAATAAGCCAGTCACATTAAGATAAATACTGCATGGTTTCAGTTATATGAGGTATGCAAAACAGTCAAATTCATAGAAAAAAAAAAGTACAATGGTAGTTGCCAGGGGCTAGAGGTAAGGGGATATGTGTAGCTGGTGTTCAAAGGGTATAAAGTTTCAGTTATAGAAAATGAGTAAGTTCTAGAGATTTGCTCTACAATATTGCTCGTCATAAATAATACTGTACAGTGCATTAAAACTAGATTGCATGTTAAGTGTTCATATCATGAGAAGAATAAATAAATCATCTGAAAGGTCCAAAGCAAAAGGAAAAAATTGTCAGGCAAATATTTACAGAAGAATTCCAAAATCTTAATAATTATGGCTTTTAAGGTTATTTAAAATAAGTACATTCTTAAATCCACAGAATGACTCAATGCTATTTACTGATGGCAATAGTTCATTCTTAATGTCAGGAGTTAACTGAATATTTATCCAACTTAAATTTTCTTAACAATATAGCTGAAGTTATGCTTTTGAGAAAAATATTCTTTCTGTGAAATATAAATGCCAATTCCTATATCAAAATATAGTAAATAAAGAAATATATTACCCAAGAAATACTTCAAATGGCTCTTTTTTTAAACAAAACCACATAATATTTATCTTGTTTTGCTAAAAGATATAAAATAAAATAACACCAAAGCCTAAACTAATTGCTATGACTCACACCTATAACTCTGAGGAAAATATCCTCAGGAATTCTCATACCCATTAAATAAGTAAATGAAACTTCTGTACAGTTGTCTGAAAAGTTATACCTTATTATTTCTAAAGAAAATATTTTGTTCTATTTCCAAAGCAAAGTCTACTGAAATAATGCATTAAAATTTTGAATTTTAAATATGGAGTAAGAAACCTTAAAAACCTATAATTAGTTTGTGGGATAAAGTGCTTTAAACGGAATTAAATTTTTTTTTTTTTTTTTTTTTTTTTGAGATGGAGTTTCGCTCTTTCACTTAGGCCGGACTGCAGTGGCGGGATCTCAGCTCACTGCAAGCTCCGCCTCCCGGGTTCACGCCATTCTCCTGCCTCAGCCCCCCGAGTAGCTGGGACTACAGGCGCCCGCCACCGTGCCCGGCTAATTTTTAGTAGAGATGGGTTTCACCGTGTTAGCCAGGATGGTCTCGATCTCCTAACCTCGTGATCCGCCGGCCTCGGCCTCCCAAAGTGCTGGGATTACAGGCGTGAGCCACCGCGCCCGGCCTAAACAGAGTTAAAATTTAAGGAGATTTGCAGGTGTAATTTTCTGTCATCATTTTAAAATCATTTGTAAAACCTGAGGGAATGATTAAGATATAATAATAGATTATTAACCAATATCCTAATTATACCTAAACTATAGCTAACAATATCCTAATTATACCTAAATTGTAGCTAATCTAGGCATGCCCAGAGTTTGTACACTTCAATTTTGTGTGGTCTGAAAGTTTTCACTTACCAACTCTCACATGAACAAGACAAAACTAGGTAATAACAATTGTGACATTTGGTGTTTCAGGCAATTGAAAAATGCATTATTTTAATAGGTGAAAATAGAGCTCCTTTAGAAAAAGAACTGCTTCTGTTTAGGACAATATGTTGATAAGATACATGGGAGTGGAAAGTAAGGCTCTGAAAACGTTGACTGAAAGAAAAAAAAATGAACCAAAGGAGTTAGCTAAACTGCTCTTCATAAGAAACTTACATTTAGATGGGAAATGGGAGAGCACAGAAAAAAATATGTGTAGAGTTGGGGAGAAGAGGGTTTGGTATGAGATTGAGAGGGTGGGCAACATAAAAGGGGGAATAAGGTTGTAAGTAGAGTATCTTGGCCACATTAAATTCCTTGAGATGGAGTGGCCACAGGTATTATGAGATTACAGATGTCTAACATCCAATTTTAATTTGCCACGTTTTCTTTAACGTAACCACTTATTCTCTGAACTCCCAATACATCTAACACTCATAACAGTAATAACTTAAGACACAAAGAGATAAGAGAGTGGGAGGACTAATGAATAGTTTTTGTATTCAACCCTCTATTTCTGATGTCCATGCTGATGTAGGATTGTTTATCTACAGGACGGGTAGATCCACAAGGTTCTGTTTATGACCATCACCAAGGTGAATAGTTATTCATCACAGAGCTAAAGAGTTGCAAGGAAGCTGCAGCAGCTTGGAAATAATTCAGAGCACTCCATGGGCCAGCTTCCTTTCTCAAATACCTTAGTGAGAAGTGAGCTTGGGAAAGGAGAAGCCGACATCTGGATTACAGTGATGTCATCACTTATTCACAGATGAAGGATGATTTAATTATTCCAGGAATTTCTATCTGCATTGATATGCAGTTAAAACTTAAAAAATAATCTGTGCTGTCATTTAGAATCCTTCTAAACAGAGCTTCATTCAAATGAGGGCCATAATTGTATAATGTGATATGAGTATTAAATTGTGTAAATGTAGAGAGGTAACTTTCTGGTAGCAAATAGAAAACTGACTGAGGGTAAGAGATAGGCACAAAACAAGAGGAAATGGAGGTGAGAGTAATATGAAGAGGGAGATAAACTTCAAATGTGGAGATTTAGGAGACAACCAAAGGTGAGAGGGCTTTTGAGTCATGTTTTTCAACACGCAACAATCCATCTGTCCAGTGATTTTTTTTTTTAGTCACTTACAGACTGGCATGTTTATGAACCCTGCCGCCTTCCACAAATATCCCATATGCAGTAATGCCAGGCAACTTGCCAAGGGCAGAGGACAGCTAAAGAACACATTTATATTCCAAATTAGCACACAGAAAAATCATGTCATTTCAAATTCTAACTAATATACAGATACAAGCAGAAACACTGAAAATGAGGAAAATAACTCTACTGTTGCTGAATTACAAGGAAATAAATGGAAACTTTCTGCATCTTAAGACTAATGAAAAAGAAAAAGAAAAAGAAAAGCCCAGGATAATTAGATTATCAAGTGCAATAGCAGTAAACAGGAGCTTAGAATGAAACATAGGAGTGTTAAGAGTATGAGATAGTGAGCATAAGAGGCTTTAGTGGAGAATAGATAAGCTAATTTTTCTACCACTCTACAGAGTTATTACATATACCTTCATTAAGAGACATCAAGAATTACCATTAGGCCTATTACCTGTGCTATTGCATGTATATTATTTGTGTATTTATTTGTATATTAGAACTATGTGTATTAGCATTATAGATGCATAGTGAGAAATAAATGAATTCTGAACACATCTTTTTATTATCTTTATACATTGTTCAGTTAAAACATTCTTTTATGTGTTTTTAAGAAGAGTTTTTTGTTTTTCAAATGGGTAGAATAAACTTATTTTGAGATCTCTTTCTCAAATTGGGAGAATACTGTCTGTAAAAGTATTACTGCAATTCGTTGTCACCTTTTATATATACAAATGAATACTGACAAAATGAGAATAGAAAAAACACAAAAGCACAATGCATTTTTTCCATTGTTTCTCTATTTACTATTCTTGTAAATAAAATTGTTGTTTGGTGTGCGGGGAGGGGTGGTTCTTAAACCATTCCAGAGACGACTGTCTGCTAGGCTTTGTACTAGTCTGACTGTATTGAGGAATTTGTGGACAAAGAGAAGGATCTTTTACAGTATCAGTGAAAGGATTCTTAAAGGAGGGGACAACAAGATAAATTTTCCTGAGAAACAACAGTCAATTGAGCAATAAAAGCAGGGTTGTCATGGCACTAAGCTGGAATGTCACATTGATGATCCCTCAATGAACCACAATATCCTTCATCCATACCCTTATGTAGTCACTACTCACACTAATCTGGGCTTAGCCACATGGCTAAATGTGGCCAATGAGACCTTAGCAAGTTTAACGTAAGCAGAAGTTTGGCGCGCACTATTATGGATTGAGTGTTTGTTGCTCCCCAAAGCTCATATGTGAAGCCCTAACACTCAAGGTGATTATATTTTGAAATAGAGCCTTTGTGGAAGTAATTATGGTTAAAGGAAGTCAGAAGGGTGGGGTCATGATCTAATAGGATTAGTGTCCATATGAGAAGAAACACCGGAATGTGCTCTCTCTTTCTTGCTCCTCTCTTCTCTCCCTAAGTGCAAGCACCAAGGTAAAACTATTTGAGGACACAGAGAGAAATCATTTGCAACTAAATCAGCTAAAACCTTGATCTTGGACTTCTAGCCTCCAGAACTGTGATAAATAATTTTGGGTGTTTAAGCTACCCAGTCTGTGATATTTTGTTATGGCAACGTGAGCTGACTAAGGAATGCACTTTCACGTGACTTAAATGTTCCCTCTAGGTAACCCTCTAGACTACATGGGAGTCGAGATTATCCTCCAGTGGAGAGAGGATAATGGAGAAACCCTGGAATGTGGGGTATTATATGAAGAGAGTGAACATGTAGAAGAAAACTGAAGGTTCTTTTCCTGTTTCCAACAGTCAATATTTCAGCCTCTTGCAAACATATGAGTGACGCAGCCAGCATAACATGAAACACAAGGCTCATTAAGTTTACCCAAAGGAAGCACAACAAATACTAAACCATTGTTGTTTTAAGCCACTAAAGTTTGTGATTTTTTTTTGTAGTTAACAAATTGTTAACTAAAAGAAGCAACTGGCTTGAAAATGAAGCTGTTTTGGGTAACATACTAATAGTTCATTAGTGATTACAAATCAGGTATAAGGTAAAAGAGAGATGCATTTCATTGGGGGGTAACTGTCAAGTAGACAGTTTATAATTAACTTGTCAAGAGAATATTTGCTATAATAATATGTTTTTTATTATTAAGCAAATAAACACAATTGCTGTTCATTCACTATGTTTGAATAAAATTATATTCCAAATATCTATAGCTTCTGCTTTCAAGCAAGCTTGAAGTGAATTTGGTTAAAAATATGTGACAACAAGCCTTCCTGGCTTCCTGCTATACAGAAAGCCGGAAGGAGCATCACTACCATAATAATAGGAAAAAGTTGGATAATCTACATTATTATAAATTTTACATAACCCATCAGGGACCTAGAGTCACAGGATAATGAAGTAGTATTACATCTTAAGGAAAGGTCGGTGCCTCAAAGAGAAGGTACTGGCTCCCTGCAGCAAAGGAGGACAATGTGGCATACAAGCAGGAAGGAAGAATTCAGCTACAAACTTTAACAAATTTCAAAAGGGCAAATGCAGGTCTGTGTATCAGTATAAAACTTCTAGGAGCTGCACACACACAAGATGAGCACACACGCACACACATACATGCACACACACACATATACACGGACGTGTGTTCTTCTCTGTGGACTACTTCTGGCACTCCCAAGAAAGCCCAGGAGCTTACTCAATATTACATTACCTTATTTCGACAAATGTGAACAGAACCTCTGCTAAATGAGTGGACTTCTAAATTCAGTTTCTAAACTGAAGGTTTGTACAATGATGACCCATCTATTAGATGTCTGGGATCTTTTTCCTAATAAGGTTTGTACATTAATGAGTAAGAAATAGAACATGTAAGCATATATCCTCATCCTTTTTGACGACTAGAAACACAACTTTCTGCAGGGGATCCTGAGTGTGGCACTAACTGGAATACCTGGGTTTGAGATAAAAAATGGCAGAGTCTGTTTTAATTTCTTCAGATCTTCTAGATGGCTCTTCATGTATAAATGGGCACATGCAACAGAATGATAATTTAGTGGTGCCCAGTTTGGAATATATGATGGTCATGGCAAAGCTTTTATTCTCTGCTAGTCATGGATTTTTGCATATCTAATTCATGATCTAGGGCATTCTTCTACAGAAAAATAGATGCTTCTGGCTGACCAAATGTAGTCTTGTGTCAATATCACAGGAATAATTTAATGTTTTAATACAGACTTTTATGTTCAGTAGCAGAAAGGTTTATAAGTTTGCAAACCAGAGTCCCATTTGCCAAGCCATGAACTCTGGCCTGAGGCTATTTATGCAAGAAGATAGTGGCACCTTTTTAAATAATTTGCATAAAATTGTTCTCTGGCTCATTAATTAAGATCTAAAGAAGAGAAAAAATGTATATAACTAAATTAAAGAGAATTTCTAGATAGATATTAAAATGACAGTCATCAAGACCTTCCTATGCATTGAGCACTACACTACTTCATTTTACATAATATATCTCAAAGAAAATATTCTCCAGAAATAATAAAATAACTGTATAACACATTCTTCATGGTTCTTGTTTTTTGGCTATTGAAAAATAGATTCTAAGATTTCTGAAAACAAAACAAAATGATTTCTGACATGGTAATGACTAATAAGATGTGTGTTATTACTAAAGTTAGAAAAATAACTTTGTTTTTAAATGTTTAGTGTATAACCTCTGACTAATATTTAATGTCTTATTTGTATTTAATTTTTTTATTTTCCTCTCTGCTATACTTGAGTTTTTATTAAAGATAGGACACACCTTTCTATAAGTATATATAACCAAACCAAAACCGAATACCAGCCAATCTATTATTATACTTTTATAGGAGTTACATAAATCTCCAGACTTAAGACATACAAGCTGATACCACCATGTTTGGTAGAGCACATAACTAGTTATCAACTAGTTGCCAAAAGCACAAAGGAACATTGTACTCTCTTCCAGCAGAAAGGAGAAATTTCTAGTAAAGAATGAAAACACTCAATATTTCATCTGAAAAACTAGAAGCTAGACTTCGGTGAACTAACAAATTCTGCAGATTTTAAAGAGAAAAGACAGCAATATAAGAATTTTCTACCTAGGTAAGATGTCATTAATCTGCATAAATGCAAGATTGCAGAAAATAAACCACCACATGTGAAGAACCGCACCTAAGGAAAACAATAGAGAACAGATCATATCCAAACTGCCAACAATTCAGAATAGAGACTTCAAGATAAAAATGAAAAAAAAACAGTAGAGTGGTGTGTCATTGATCTTATAAAATATGTAATGAAATCTAAATGAATAAGGACAGAGTGTGAAATAGTGCTAAATGGGTTGTTTTGATTAAAAATAATAACATTTTAAAAAAGAAATAATGTAGAAAGAAATATAACAAAATGTTAATATTAATCATCATTTTAACTGGGTGGTGGATTATTGATTTTAACTTTCATCTTTAAAAGCCTGTTGGTTCTGAACATTTTGAAGTAGAAAAACAGTAAATGCTATTTATTACATTAAAAAACTTTTTTATGGACTTGCCCCTACAGTTTACCATTGAAATTGCTGCACAAAATTCTAGGACAACAATTTTTGTTTATATCTTGAATCCAAAATGCATAAACTTAAAATATAAAGCAAGTATACGTTTTTTATACTGTAATTAATTGGCTTCAAAAATTTATCTTAGTACCTTCAGGATATTCTTAATTAATTGTTTTACTTACATTTTCAATAATTGTTTTACTTATATTTTACTTATATTTACTTATATTACTTGAAAATATAAGTAATAAATTTATATATTATATAATTATATAAATTATTTATATAAATAAATTATTGATAAAGGTTATCTCAATTTTGTTAATGAAAAGATGCAGGTTGTCATTGTTCTCTTTACCTTGTGTTTTGAAGAGAAGATACATGGCATATGATTTTGACTCAGAAGTATTTGAATGCTAGGTGGTAAATAAACCATAAAAGTCTTTATTGGAAGATTAGTATTGTAAAACTATCTACATTTGTTTTGACTTTCCAGTACAGATTCTCAAGTTTGAGCTAAAACTGTAAGATGAACAGCTGGTAAATAATTCTGGTATCTCTGATGATTATCGATATAATTGCAAATTTGAGAAAAAATAGGATAAATTACCAAAAAATATTGATATTGAATCTCTCAAAGAACAAATTATGTTGAAGCAATATGTCAACCCATTTAAGAAATTTTATAGTTACCAATTCACTAAGTTATTCTTTATATCCTGAAAAAAGGTATATACTTAAGTAAGAAAACCTAGGTTTGGATACTGGGTCCTCATTTTACTATCTTTTTATTGGAGATTATTAGTCAGGATAAAGGAAATTAAGTTTATAAACCTTAATTTCCTCATGTACAATAGTGTATGTTAAAGATAAAGAGAAATAAAATAAGTAAAATACTTTATACAGATCCTGGATGATTGTAGAGCTGAATTATTGTCAGGTAGCCTTGCTATTGCAGAAGGGAAACACCTTTTTTCCCTTTTCCACTGTTCCTAGAAAACGTTATTTTCTCTATACTACTCTGTTCATTGGACATATACTATTTAAGGAATATCCAAGGAGTTACACGATTGGTGGAAGACAATCACTGATAAAAAATTCTCAACTGGGTGTGGCTACTCTATCCAATGCCCTAAGTCTGGCATATTAATTCTCTTATCCTTCCTAGTAAACTAACCTTTTCCTCAGGTGGCACGTTGAAAAGCAAGCAAGCTTATTTGTTTATGAGAACTTAGCCACAGCGCTCACTTTCACCTTTATCACTGACAAAGGTGATATGAATTTTCAGCTTAATTTCTGCTTTGTTTTAGGTCTCAATTTTCTAAACCACTTTACTGAGGTATGATTGGCCTACAAAAAGCTGTACATATTCAATGTATACATCTCAATGAGTTTGGAGATAAGTATACACCTATGAAGCCATTACCACAATCAATGCCATAAACATATTCATCACGTTCAAGTGTTGCCTTCTCCCCTCTTTATTTATGACTAGTTTTGGTGATAAGAACACTTGACATAATTTCTACCCCCTTAGCAAATGTTTAAGTATGCAGTACACAATTGTTAACTAAGCACTGTGCTGTGAAGTAGATATCTAGGACTTACTCATTTTGCATAACTGAAACTTTGTACTTTTCGACCAATACCTCTTTATTTCTCCCTCTCCCTAGATCCTAACAACTACCATTCTACCCTCTGCTTCTACGAATATGGCTGTTTTTAATTCCTCACATAAGTTGTTATCAATTAGTTTAGAACTGCACTTGGACAGAGGGACATTGATTATTGGGTCCGATCAAAACCCAGTAAGATTACCTGCCTTGTGGAGTAATTTTGAGGGAAAAGAGATAAATCATACAGAGGTGTTTAGTACAAGTCATGATACATATTAATTTAGTTGTTATAATTTGCAACATTTCTCAAAACAACTCCAAACATTCTCAAGATCTTACTGAAGTGCAAAGAAAACCAGATGTTTATATCTTAGAGTTAGAAGTATGTATGATTTCAGTAAGAAAATAAGGCAATGATAACATTTTAGTGCTTGAATGAACAAGAATGTTCTAAAAAATAACATTTTTTAATCATTTTGATTCCCTCATCTATTAAGAATTGAAACATTTTAGGTTATTATCACATATTAAGAGATGAGCCCAAGCATTTAGATACTAAATGGGCGCAAATAAACAATGTATTTGGAACAATTTTACAACTCTTTTTACCACAAGTTTAGACTTCAATTAAATTTTTTTTTTTTTTTTTTTTTTTTTTTGAGATGCAGTCTCACTCTGTCGCCCAGGCTGGAGTTCAGTGGCATGATCTCGGCTCACTGCAACCTCTGCCTCCCCGGTTCAAGCGATTCTCCTGCCTCAGCATCCCAAGCAGCTGGAATTACAACCACATGCCACCATGACCAGCTAATTTTTGTATTTTTAGTAGAGGCGAGGTTTCACCACATTGGTCAGGCTGGAATTGCATCTTTTTAATGACTGTAGGCCATGATTCAAGAATGAGTCTCATATACATTATGCTCATTCTTAATGTCTTCTAAATTAATAAATATATTAGAATATATTCGCAAAATCTTTCCAATCTGATCTGAGACTCTCACAATATGTCTAATATTATGTGAAACACTATGCTCTTTGAAGCGATTTCACATTAATAAACTAACATTTTCATCACACAGATTATTTAAGTAATGTAAAATATTATTATGAGTATATAACAGAAAAACAGAGTTAGGGAAGAAATCCACCTAAAATGATGAGGGGTTAATAGATTTTGACTCTACACTATTACCAGGTCTCTAATGAAGTGTCCCAAAATTTGTGTCTTTTTAGAATACATAACAAATTATATTATTTGTACAAGACACTGAAGTAAAATGACCAAGGTGTTCCTAAGCCACAAGCTACAAGCACTGACCTGCTACTCCAGCCTTGCCCTCTCAAAGAGCAAAGATGTTAATACCTGGTCTCAGTAATAAAGTTGGGTAAAATTTAAACAACCATGAGAAAGCTTTGATAGTATTTTTCATGTTTCAATTTTCTGGTGATGTCAAGATATTATTAATTATTCATTGACATGTATAAATAAACTTCAGTCACCTTAAGAATACTTTACATTATTTTCTGTAAAAATTTTCTGTAAAATTATGCCTAATTAATAAACTGATAATATTAAAATACACGTTCCACCAAGTGTTCACTTTTTTTAACACAAGTGTTAGAATGCATTTCAGATCACGACTATTACTCATTATCATTTTAATTGATGTTTAATTAAATTTTAAAAATGTTTTATTTTTTAGTTGAAAAATACAATTGTATGTATTTATGGTATGCAACATAGTTTTAAAATATGTATTGTTGTGGAATGGCTAATTAGAGCTGATTAACATATGCATTACCCAATACACTTATCATTTCTTTTGTGGTGAGAACACAAAATATATTCTCTTAGTGATTTTTGAGTATTCAATCTATTGTTATTAAATATAGTCACCATTAACAAGAACTTGTATTTTGTGATTTATTTCATAATCCAGTTTAGTAATATTGCTTATTAAACTATTCCTGATTTTTCACGGAACACATAGCACTAGAAACATGGAACAGAACTAGAGTAATTAAGTGTCTCATTGTATGCGGCATGATAGATATTTAAAACTAGAAAAAACATAGATAATACTTCCTTATGTCAGATGCATTATTGCCCTGAGACAAACGTTTAGAAATGGTTCTACATTACAATGCATAAATTATATATGTGACTCTCTAAACTTCAATAGACAACATAATACAAAAATGATATTCCAGAACAAATGGTTTGGAAGATGGCAGATTATAAGTTGTATATTAGCTATAAAACTATGGAATGCTAATTGATGGTAGAGGTGCTAACTCTAATGAAACATTTGTCAAAGTAAATAAATATTCTCTGCCAACATTTAAGCAGGTAATATTTTTATTTTATTACATATACAGAAAGAAAATAATTACATGAATTTTTACTGTTATTTTAGTAAATTATTGCTAAATAAATAAGAGCATGTATGTTTTATCCTTTATAAACCTATTTAAATCCATCACGCTTTAAAACAGTAATTTAAAGATCATTACAGTGACCATTAATCCAGTTATATATTCAAAGAGACTGAGATTTTATTTTTAAGGAATTGTATGTGACAATTGCAACCTAGAAGCAACTATTTCTTTAAGCATATTTTATATGCTTAGGTATTTATAAATTAAATTATTAATTTTAAGAATACACTGATATAAATGTGTTTATTATATCCCTGTCCATGCTTGTCTTTAAAGCAGAAGTCTTGCTCAAAGCCACATCTAATTAGAAAATAAAAGATTTGATTAATTCAGTTTGCGATGTGTTAAACGAGTAAAAAAGAGCAGTGTACCCAGAATTTCTAAGACATAATGGCCTGTGTGAGATTTGTCTTAATAGATAAATCAAGATAATTTTGAATTCTAAGGAATATTCAAAGGCAGGCTAATTGTTCACCTGTATTAAAAAAGATTCTTTTTAGAGAAGATGGAAGTAAATCTACAGTAGAATATGGAAAAGAGTTAATGTCCTCTTTGCCTAGCAATTCAGATTTGATCTGCAATCTTTAGTTAATAACGTCAATATATTTTTCATTATGTTTCGCATGTCACATGCATATTTTTCTAAATATATCCAACAAAAGCTACGAGATCCTAATGTTTAGTAAATACTCTCATTCACATTACTAAAGCAAAATTGTATCATTCTCTTCTGCACAATAACAGCATTCCATCTTATTGTGAATCATGTTATGAAGAGCTTAGAAAAGAGTTTATGAATCTCTGAAGAAAGATTAAGGTACATATTATCCACATTCTTATATTTTATTATACAAGATATGTAATTCTAAAAAAGCCCTTAATCCTTTAAATCAAAATATTTCAAAACAAACAAGATTTCAAGTGTTAGAGGAATCGTAAATATAAACCCAATCTGTATGCTTAGAGAATGCAGAAATTTCCCCAAGCTGTCATATTTTACAGAAATATTACTTTCACCAAATAAAACAGAAGAAACAGTTGTCTACTGACAGTTGCATTCACGTGGCTCTAGTCAGCAGGAATGTTATATGTCCCAGATGCCCATGTAAATCATCAAAACATGTTTTCATTGAGAAGAGAGTGATTAGGGAACTATTTTTGTAAAATAAGTCATGTCCTTATGGGAAGACATCATGAATTAGAAATTTTGTAGTCTAGCTTATGTTTCTTTTTCTTTTACCTTCACTTCAAGTCAGAGATGAATTTGGTTTATTCCAGAATAATAAACATAAGTTCTGAAAAGACACCTCCCTAACATGCTCTACTATTTTAGATAAAATTTTATTACAGGAAGTCAATGTTCCTATGCACAGAACTGCAATTAAAGGCTTAAGCAGGGTGTTTTCATTTTGTTTTTGCTTTTGCTTTCTTCCAAATCTCTCCTAGCAGTTCTGTGTTGGCTTCATTCTCGGGCTGTTGGTAAGTTGGCTTTAGCAAAACAAGGGTGTAGCACACCTGGAGGAAGAAGTAAGACTATGTCTTGGGGAATTTGAGAGGATCAAGGGAGCTCCCCATCAAATTTCCTCTAATGTTTTATTGGCCAGTAAGGGATGTGTCCATTTCTGAAATGATCCTTGACAAGATCAATGAGATTACTGTTAGGCCTGATATGAATGTGACTGAGTTTTCAGCTTCCCCTTTAATATAAGACTGTAAGGAGGAGGCTTGGAGACATGAACAGTTTAAGTTCTGTAAGTAGCAAAGAAGGAAAAGATGCTGAGTAGGCAACTAATAGCTTCTATCATTCAGTAAAAAACTAAAACTAAAAACATTTATATATAATAATTTCTATAAAACAAAAAATATTTCTAAATATATGTTACAATATTATTCATTAAAGCCAATGTTAATTACTTACCACCAATGATTTAGGATCTAAATACCTTTGATGAAATCTTCAATAGGCCAAGAAGATAAGCCATGCTCTACTCACAGAGGTTATCCTTGTGATACTCTTATCTTCCTTCTGAGTATGAATAAAACAAAATTAATAGTTATTTTTCCAAAATATCATTCAAACAACTAAACAAAATTAATGTTTATTTTGCTAAAATATCATTCAAATAACTACAGTAATCAAGAAACTGTGATTAAGAATTCTTGAAAGTATGTATATGATGTGAGGAATAGAAACGAGGTTAAGTATTTACTTTTGTTGAACTTACAGACTAACATTAGTAACAGCAGTCCCTTGTCACCCATAGGGTGATTTTGAAACTAAGCAGGGAAATTCAGATTTGCTCTAAGAGGTAATTTGAATAGTTGAATAAACTTTAATTGAATACTGAAAATTGAGAAAGAAGTCTAAAAGCAAGGATCAAGTAAACAAACAATACAAGGACATGGAAAAATTCTGTGAGTGATTACATTTTGTGCTGCACTAAAAATTGTAATTAAAAATTATAGTGTAGTATACCGAAGCTTTAAGAGGTAGACCTTTTATTTTTTCCTAGTCACTCATTAGCTGTGATTTTTTTTAGCAAGTAATATTTCCATCCTCATTGTCCGACTGTCTTCTCTGCTTTGCAATTGTTTGTTTTATTCTCAAGCATGCTTTCAATCAGTATCAATATCTCTTTCAAGCAGTATCAATAAAACTGTCTCTAGTGGTTTTAGGGTATGCAACCCTTACTCATATTATTATGAGTATATAACAGAAAAACAGAGACTTAGGGAAGAAACAGACATTTTGTGCTGCACTAAAAATTGTAATTAAAAATTATAGTGTAGTATACCGAAGCTTTAAGGGGTAGACCTTTTATTTTTTCCTAGTCACTAATTAGCTGTGATTTTTTCTAGCAAGTAATATTTCCATCCTCATTGTCCGACTGTCTTCTCTGCTTTACAATTGTTTGTAATTGTGTTTGCTCCTTAGAAGGAAAAAAAAGATTAAGTTTCTGTCCTCCAGTATTTATACAATCTCTAAAAAGGATTTTGATGGCTAAACTTATATACCCATACTTTTAGCAAGGAAGGTGAGACAAGTTGACATGTGATAGAAAAGGCTGTTTACAAAAGGGATTCTAAGCTAATGAAAGTAGATCTCTACTACATGATTTTTAGAAAAAAAAAAACAAACGAAAAAGTTTGTTGATAGCAGATATAAATAGTGGAAGAGCTAGGACTGCCCTGAATATTTAGGTTTATATTGTCATAGGGCTGGGAACAACGGAAGTTTCAGTTGACAGAAACTGGAAGATACGTTATTCTTCTTTCACAATCCTAAAGCACTTAACAGAGTAGCTGGCAGATGGCCAAAAATAAGACTTGAGTGAATGAGTGAGTGTATGGATGAGTAAATAGTAAACTTGAAAGGACTGTTAGAATACATGCTGTGTGTTAAGTCTCATATTGGCAAATTTTGAAAATACAAGGCATAAAATATCCTGGACTTTTTCTCTAAGGATTTGAACCCTATTGGAGAAAATACTATATGTGTGTATATAGTTATGATAAAAATTTTATAGGTAATTATTATAACTAAAATAAAATATTACAGGAAATTACTCTAGGAGTAGAGGGAAAGGCAATATGCTTAATTTCAGGTGGTCTGGAAGAGTTGAACAAAAGTCAGGGATAGCTTTTTAAATGAAACCACATATACTGTGAACTTTGATGATGGTTATAGCATTTGTTAGATGTTAGTAAAGAGATGGTATTAAAGAATAAAATATATTTTACATATGACTCAATATGGTTTAAAGTAATTAACATATAATGATATTCTTTTATGTAACATTGAGTCCCTACAATGTTAGCCACACAGTTCTCAGAGCTGGTGTTACAGGGATGAATTAAGCATTTCGTTTTCATTTGACTTACATTTTAGTGAAGAGGACCAAACAAATAGAGAAAGGAGAAAAAGGAGAAAAAATACACATCAAGAAATATACAAACATGACTATTCAATAGCCATTATTCTACACCAGTACAACAGTAAGATTAAAACTAATATTTTCCTTGCAGTATGGGTAATCAGTGCCATAAGCAATATCATATAAGTAACACGAACAATATTATAGCACTTTGTGACAGACTTAACATAACTGTGGTAATATAAGTCATAGAGCAAATCTAACTGGCCAAAGAAATTTAATTTGACAATTCATCATTCCTCTGTAAATTAGGACATTAAAAATCATGTCAGGAGAATTGACAGAAATAGTTCTTAATTTATGGATGTTTGCTTCATACAATTTAATTATACATGTTATTGTCAATAAATACCATTTGAGATTTCAAATAAATGATGTCATTAAACTAAATACACTAAGTGAGGCTCTGTAGTGGGCTGATAATATGACAGTTATTTAAATAGCTGTACACATTTATGAAAATTATATGTTATTATTGAAAGCTATATCTGTAGTTACATTTATTGTATTAATATAACAATATATCATATTGAAGTTATTCATTTAAAACTGTATGATATGAATATTTTAATGAGAAAGGCATGCATTAAGACATCTCATCAAATATAACAGCAGAGAGAAATATTTTTTCATCTTTTCAAAGAAAAATTGCAATATTGCAATGTCACAATTTAATCATCCTCTTTATTGAAAGTGGTTTATTGGCATTTAAGAGGTTATAGTAAAGTGATTTTACACAGTGTTTTAAATATTGGCTTAAATATAGGTATGTTCTCTTTATATCAGTGTTATGCATTTAATATGAGTTATTATAATAATACAGAACACTTCAGTGATAGATGGAATACCTTAATTTGCCAGCTAATTATTTAAAATTTCAAAATAAATACTTTAAAAATAAATCTCAGAATAGTTATAATTTTCATAGTTTCTTCTTCGACATTGTTATTGTTAAGTCTGGTAAATATATGCAAGGCAAGATTTATAAGAAACCAGCTGGGCTCCTTGGGCAATGCTCCACAGTGGCTTCAAGGAAACTTCTGGTTTAATTGGCAGTCTGTTTTTTACAAGACCACTGTGGCTAATTGATGTCCCTGGAGTTGTAATAAAGGAGAGAAATGAGAGAGAAACGGTCCTCTTCCCCACTTTAATTCCGTAAATCCAGAAAATTACTGAAACAAACAAATAACAATACATATAATCTCCAAACCTCATTGCCCTTTATTCCCACTCAATTTGACATTCAGTATGTAATGTGGATTCTGCTCACAGGGCTTTATGCCCAGTGAAAACTGATTCTGAACAAATATTTTCCTCTTTTAGAAATATGACACTGACATCCTGCTGTAATGGCCTGGAATAATTAATATTCTATTCTGAAAGAGAGACATTGTTATATTATGGAAAGAAATGTGTACTTACTCATTGTCAAGGTTACAGTTGTTATTATTTTATTAGGAAAATGGCTTTTGTCTAAATTCCCATATACATTTAAATTACCCACTATATATCTACCATTTGACTCAGAAGATTAACTTGATCTTTCAAGGCAGCCCTCTTACCTCATTCCATCTTCATCTAAAGAGTTACTGAAATATCCTCTATAGAAAACATCTATTGATTTATTTTTTAGTTAACATTTTAGCATTACTTCTGGAATATACTGCCTTTATTGTAATGGGGTGATTTTTTCCTGCTCTATGGGAAAAACAATTAGGCCAAATGTAATATGACTAATTGTATATATGGGAATGTATGGACTGATTTTCCTTGCCACTTCAAATCAATTTCCCATACTTCATCCTGTCAAGAGTTTGGAATAGCTAACCCACCTCAGTAGGCAGTTTGCCCATTATTTTCTCACTGGGTTAGACTAGTGATGAACACTAGCATGATATCAAGTGATGGAAGACTGATATTCAGCTATCATTCCCTTCACTTCTTCTCCACAGTGTTCTTGATGGCACTTTGTTACACCACCCAAAGCCAGAGCTTCTACCACTTGGCTCCCTTTTCTTTCTGGCTTAGTGGGGATGTCTTCTTTTACCCCTTGAGACATAAGAGAGTCAGATGATGCATGCCAGCTCCATGGACAACATCCTTTCTCTAGTATCCCTACACCTTTGCTAAATAGAGATTCTATCAAGTTATTTACTAGTAAATTACTATGCACTATCTCTTTTTCCAAGACCTTGAATAATTCAAAGAACACTTTTTCTTCTGTTATCACTATTCGTATTCTTCTGATTAACTCTGGTTATCTCATTAAACATCTGTTAATATATATTAGAGTATTACATGTAGCAAAATATTGTGCATATTTGCCTTCCATTTTGTTATGATGTAAATATTTTGTCAGCACAGATCTTACCTAATTCATTCTACCCTCTTTGAAATAACTAGCAGAGGGATTTGCATGGCAGGAACTTAAGTAATATTTCCTAAGGGGTGAATTATTAATGGGTAAATTAATTATGGGTGAATTTATTTATCTCCTCTTTTCATGCAGGGAAAACAAAATTCTCATAAATAAATATGTTTATCTCCATATTAAGTTTTATGAGGTGAATAAGCAATTTACTGTTAAAGGAAATAATTTCTTGTTTTCTAATTTGAGCAGTATGGCATTACAAGGTTTGTAAGTGAAAGCTATAGAGTAGAAAGAATGTGGCTTTTGTATTCCTTTTATAAATTTTTATTTAAAAGTAAATTGATTCTTAAAATAGTATGTATGAAATGCAATGCAAATACTTATGAAGGAATATGCATATTATGTACAGATTATTTAAACATACACATGAATTTATATCTGCATATGTGTTTCTTTATATCTATATGAAGATTTTTGCATAATGCTTGGTAAATGGTTAAAAGTTCAAAAAGCTAGATGTAAAGTGAGCTTTAAGTTGAATCCATTTTGAGTTAATATTTTTGTGAGACAAGGGTCTAATCTCATTCTTTTGCTCATTGATACTCAAATTTTTCAACACCACTTGTTAAAGAAACTCTCCTTTCCTTACCATGTATTCTTGGAATCCTTGTAGAACATAAATTGATTTTATATGTGAGAGTTTATTTCTTGGGTCTGTATTTTGTTCTATTGGTATGTATTTCTACATTTATGCCAGTACCATACTGTTTTAATTACTGTAGCTCTGTAATATATTTGAAATTAGGAAGTATGATGTCTTCAGCTTTGATTTTCTTTCTCAAGATTGCATTGACTATTTGGATTCTTCTGTGGTTCCATCTGAATTTAATTTTTTTCTATTCTCCTTAAAAATTCTATTGGGATTTGGATAGAGGTTGTATTGAATCTATAGATTGCTTTGGACAGTTTGTATGAAGATGTCAAAAAGATATTTGCACTTGCATGTTTCTGCAACATTATTTACAATAGCCAAGAGATGGACACAACCTAAATCTCCATATATAAATGAAAGGATATAGAAAATGCAGTATATACAAATGATGCTACATTCACCTTAATCAAGGGAGAAATCCTGCCATATTTGATAGCATGGATGAACCTGAAAAACATTATGCCAAGTGAAATAAGGGCCGTCACAGGGTAAATACTGCACAATTCCACTTATATAAGGTGTCTAAAATAGTTAAACTCATAAAAACATAGAGTATAACATAGTTTCCACGACTGGGTGATAAAGGGAAATGGGGAGTGACTGTGAAACAAATTAAAGTTTTAATTATGCAAGATAAAAAAGTTCTTGAGATGTGCTGGGAAGCATTGTGCCTATAGTTAACAATACTGCATTTCGCTCTTAGAAATTTGTTAAGAACATACATCTCTTGTGCTCTTACCACAATAAAAATATTAATTTAAATTCAAAAAAATAAAAACAAAAACCTTTGAAAAATGATTTTATATTGCATATGGTACATTCAGATATATACTATAAGTAAATAAATAAGTGTAACACTAGAATGGTGACTTTCCATTTTCTTACCCCAAAATGTTATTCTTTCATATTATGTATCAAAAGCAATGTATCATTACTGTGACACTGATTCTTAGGGAGAATGTACGTGTGTTGTGTTTGTGTGCCAGGGTTGGTTTCTGGGAGGCTGTGGTTGGAAAGAAGACTCATTTTTTTTCCAGATTTGACTTCTTGAAGCAGATTTTCTATTTTCTTGCTTAAGCCTAATTTCTAATTGTAAATTTTGTGCATGCAGATTAAATGAGTGACTTACTACCTTGAATCCATGGTTCTTGAAATGGGTTGATTCCTCCCCAGGAGTCCTTTGGTCATATCTGGAGGCATTTTTTATTGTCATATTGAGTGAGGAAAGCTACTGTCATCTCGTAGGTAGAGGCCAGGGATACTGCTAAACACCCTACAAGGCACAAGGCAGCTCCACAGGAAAGGATAATTTACCCCAAAATGTCAATAGTGCCAAAGTTTGAAAACTCTGAATTAAATCTTGTGCCTAACTGCCATAACAGTTTAACATGATTGAAGTTTGATACATATTTATGGAATTAGATTAAAAGTTACTATTACTGTTATGGTCAATCTTTAAAGTGGGAACTGGCAATATCAAAAAATAATACTTTTTTTACTCAAAAAAAAGATTTTTTTCTGATATAAATCTATAAACAGCAACTATTCTATAGTTATAGCGTTTTTGTAGCTACTGCCCCGCCAACCTCCTTCATTCTGAGTGTACTTTTTCAGAATATAAATTCACACATGTCCACACAAACACACACACCTACTGGACAATTTTTTCTTTTAAGTCTATGGTTTTATCACAATCATCAAAATGTTGGAATTCTTTCAGTATAGTTCTATTGATTGCAAATTGTAGTAATTTACTAAATGACAATGGTATCTTCTTAAGTGTTTTCAATCATTTTATCAACTTTGTTAATTTGTAATTTAGCTAATGTATCCAATTAAATAATAAAATTAAATCATCCATCATGTAACAATTCTTAATCTTGCTTGCTCAAGTATGACATCAGAGAATCAAATAAATTAATAATAAAATGGCATCGTATAGTGGAATGTTTATTATCTCTCCCAGGCTTTCGTATAAAATGTCTTTATTTAAAAAAATAACTTTACTTACTGTGACCGCTAAATTTAATTAAAATTTACAAATAAACCAAACCCTTGTCTTAACTCCCCTTTGCTATCACAACCAATGAAACTTAGAATTACTAAATGAGTCCAACTTGTTTTATAATTCCTTTTGTTGAAAAGATATAAAATCTTTCACATACCATATCGATGGTGATATCAGAAAATGACTTTTTAGAGATATTATTTATATTTGCAGCTTATAATAGAATAAAAATTAAATATTTTACTGAATTTAAACAACTATACATTTTTAAAAGTTGAAGTTGGCTAGAAGTCAGGCAAATTAGGGAAAACTGTACAATTTGTATGGAATATATAAGGAGGTGGGGTTTTGACTAGTTTATTAATTGGGCTAATCGTAGATGTTGTGTCAAGTAAGACTGTCCGAGGCCTAACTGCCTGAGAGACAAGATGTTGGGAAAGAAGCATGCTTACTTTAAAGAACATGAGACAGTAGGGGAATGGAGAAGTTTTATGCACATAATGGCATCTGTCACTCAGATTGACCTATGGTACACGCTTGAAGCAGACTATACAAGACGGATTTGAGATGCATAATTCTTCACTGAAATCTCTGTAACACAACGTAACCTGAAGGCAGAATGGCTTTGTGGTTACAAAGAATTAGTTTGAATAGTGATTATCTCATTGGAATTACTTTGAGGCATATTAGAGCATTGAAAGGATGGCATGACTTAAGTACAAAAGTGTAGTAAACACCATTTAGGTTAAGGAAGGAGTGGTCCAGTTTACCAGCATAAAAACCAATACCTAGATAGGAGAAGTGGAAGTGTCTGCACTATCTTTGCAATTTATCTTAGGGACATCAATGTTCGCTGGAATAGAGTACAGATTTATGAGTTCAGAGAACACCCAATCAAAAATATTTGAGTAATGTTGACTATTAACAATTTGCATTTATTTTGTTTTCTTAATAACAATAAAAAAGTTTGTTTTTTATAGGGGTCTATTATCTGATTCTGCAATTATACATTTTGAGGATCTTTGAACAAAGATGAAATTTAAATTATATACACATATAAGTGTATATGTGTATATGTATGTGCATATATTTGTATATATATGAATTATTTTTATAAGCATTTATTCTATCCTTGGATTATTTTTTTCTGTGATGCTGTCTCTCAATATGTATTTTACTGAAGCTAGGTGTTAATTACATATTTACTTTTTTCTAAGTTGTGTATGGAAACATTCCAAAAATCAGATATAATTAATTGTATATATTTATTAGATTTTCTTTGTAAGTAAAATTCTTTAAATTAATTAGATAACTTTAAAAGCCACAGGGAAATTTTAAGGATATACTTTCATCTCTAAAATATTCTGATACCTCTTGACCATCTAATTCCAATTTTTTTTTACTGTAAAATAGCATTTTTTTTTTTACTTAAAGAAAACCACATCATTTACTATTTTGCCCAAATCAAAGGGATGCCTAAATAAATCACTATGGCATCTTGAAAATAAGTATATCTGTATTAAGAAATTATTTTTAAAATAGTAAGAATATAAGATGTACTAAGAAAGTTATTTTTTAAAGTCATAAATATTTATATTCAAGATACATTTTCCCTTTTAAAATGAAAATAAATTTTGTTATTGAGAAAAATTATATTTTTAAGCTAGATTACCTGTTTTATAGAACGAGAAAGTGCCAGTTTAAAAATTGTTAAATATTCATATTTGGAGTAATTTAAAAAGTAGCTTTATAATATTTTAACTGTAATATCTGTATAGTCCTTTAGAATTCACAAGAGATAGTCACATACCATGTAATTATATATTCCAAAAAATAAAACAAACTAAAAAGATAGATTTAAAAAAATTATTTTTTGTCATAAGAAAAAATATTCAGCTCATATGTTTCAAATCATTTTAATAAATGGACTTCTCTAGAAGTGTGAGGATGTTGAGGAAACAACAGAGTGTGCCAAGTCACCCAGATATCAGCAACAACATGAAACCATTCTGGTCACTACAGGTCCCAAGGGAATTAGAGGGTAGGTAGCATATTCTTAGACTGGTGAGAAATGGAGCCCTGGAGAAGATTCCTCTTTACAGAAAATGTGATCATTGAGGGATTGAGTCATTTCCAGAAAGGTGGCTCAAAGAGGTGAAGAAGCAGGGAACAAATTCCCAGATATTCTCCCATTTTGCATTAGTAATAAATCTTTTATTTTCGCTTGAGTCTGTTTGCTGACAGAAATAAAAACAAAATATCCCAACCTCCCTTGCAATTAGTCATATAACTAAGCTCTGACCAATGTAGCAAAAGTAGAAGTGATGAGGACAATTTCTGGGAAGCGTCCCTAAAGAAAGGAGGCATTCCTTCCCTGCTTTCTGGACTATTTTCTGCCAGATATAATGTAGATATTACAACTGCAAATCAAGCAGCTGTCTCAGCGGCAGAGCACTGTGTTGAGGATGGCTGTGCTGGTGTCTTCTGTTTGCCCTTGCAGATTGATTCTCCATCCTTCTCTATCTTGTTTAGTGCCCTAGGAGGCTGAACTGTATGTGTGCCATTAACAGGCTCACTTATGTGCTCATAACCAGGCCTTCTAGTTTCCAGCTGAGTTTAAACAAAGGGAAATCTAGGCAGTAAATTGGAGAAAGAAATGAGAGTAGGCTCAGGTTATTTCCCACCGGCTTCCCCCCAGCTGTGTCACTTTGTGCTGACAGTGTCCTCAATTGAGGGTCACAACCCTTCACAAAGTGGCCTTTACTATAAGACTCTCTTCTCTTGGGTTTAGGTAACTGTTTTCCCAACTCTATCACTTCTGGGCCCAAGGTTAGTAATGACTGCTGCTATTGGCCTTGAGTTTTTAGTATATTCCAAACACCCTTTTGAGTAATCATTTTACAAATCAACTATTTTCAAATTATCCTAATTTAAGTGATCTATATGTTTCTTATTGAGATTCTAAGAATAGAATGGTAGAACAAAAAATTGGAAGGAACCCAGGCCTCCCTGAACACCAGACCTATAATGTATTGTCTGCATATAGATTTATTACATATGACAGAAAAAGAAAATCCTCCAAATTTTAGTATCCAGTATAGGTTTTGCTGTACTTCATCTTACTGATAAATTAATACTTACTAAGACAGTGACTATTATGACTGCCTCTAATTTTAAGATGGTTCAGTTGACGTTTGAAAGGAAAATGATTTGCTCAAGGGTATACATAAAAGAGATAGAAATGGGCCTGCAATAAGCTCATTTGATTAAATCATTATTTATGGAGTATCTATGGTTATACAGACACTCTGTAATATATTACAAATACAGCAAAAAAAATTTGGCCTTCTGATTTTCCATTTTAAACCTCTTCCTCCACCCACATCGATTCTAGGTAAGATGTTCTACTTGATAAAATTAGGTTAGGACAAATACTGCATTCCAAAGAGCACGCTCATTTCCCATTTTCTGAAAGGGACAATTGTTTGGACCTTCAGCAGAATGTAGTTTTAAAAGACATTCTACACTATCACTTCACTCAGTACTGCCCCATACCTCCACTGTTAATTAGTTACTTATTTGCACTTCCAAAATTAATGACTGACACTTAAATTCTTGCCTCAGTGTCTATTTCTGGGGTAATAAAATTTAAGGCATTTGGAAGAATTCTCTTCAATTATTCGAATACAGTGACTAGAATTGGTATTAGTTATACTTGAATGTTTGCTAGCATGCAGACTGAAGCCATTAGGTCCTGGGTTTCCTTGATGGGAGACTTTTTATTATGGCTGCAATCTCCTTTTTAGTTATTTATCGGTTTGATTTTCTGGTTCTTCATGTTTCAATCTTTGTAGGTTGTATGTGTCCAGGAATTTATCCATTTCTCCTAGGTTTTAAAATTTGTTGGTGTATAGTTCATTTGTTGGTGTATAGTTGGTATATAGTCTCTAATGATTATTTGTGCTTCTGTGATATCAATTGTTATGTCTCATTTTAAATTTCTGATTGTATGCATTGTGTCATCGCTCTTTTTTTCTTAGTATAGCTAATAGTTTATCAATTGTATTTATCTTTAAAAAAAACTTTTTGGTTTTTTGATCTTTTATGTTGTTTTTTAGCCTCAATATCCAAAATATGGAATTAACCTAAATGTCTATCAACAGATAACTTGATAAATAAAATGTGGTATATATACACAATGGACTATTATTCAGCCATAAAAAGGAATGAGATCCTGTCATTTGCAGCTATATGAATGGAACTGGATATTATTACTGGCACAGAAAAACAACTATTCCATGTTCTCACTAAAGTGTGGGAGCTAATAAAGTGGGTCTCACAAAGATAGAGAGTAGATAGAGAGTAGATTGGTGGTTACCAGAGGTCAGGAAGATGGGGGAAAGGGGATCAAAAAAGATTGATTTATGGGACAAAAATACATTAGGTAGAATAAAACCCAGTGTGATATTTCAGTAGGGTGACTATAGTTAATAATAATCTATTATATATTTCAAAATAGCTAGAAGCAAAGAGTTCTAATGTTCCCAGAAGAAAGAAATGGTAAATATTTAAGGTAATGAATATCCAAACTACCCTAATTTGATCACTACACATTAAAATAATGTATCAAAATATTATATGTGCCTCAAAAATTTGTACCTCTATTATGTATCAATTTTTAAAAACCTAAGGCATTGTTATAAATTTTAACATCTACTTCAATGTCTAATTTTCTGTTATTCTTTATTAGTCAGTTCTCAAACTACTATAAAGGTACTGCCTGAGACTGGGTAATTTGTAAACACAAGAGGTTTAATTGACTCACAGTTACACATAACTGGGGAGGCCTAAGGAAATATATAATCACAGCAGAAGGTGAATGGGAAGCAAACACCTTTTTCACAAGGTGGCAGGAGAGAGAGAGAACCAGAAGGGAAATTGTCAGGCACTTATCAAACAACTAGATCTCATGAGGACTCTCACTGTCACCAGAACAACATGGGGAAAACTGCCTCCATGATCCAATCACCTCATATCACATTTCTCCCTCAACATGTGGGGACTACAATTTGAGATGAGAATTGGGTGGAGACACAGAGCCAAACCATGTCATTCAGCCCCTGGCTCCTCCCAAATCTCATGTCCTTTTCACATTTCAAAACTAATCATGCCTTCCCAACAGTCTCCCCAAATCTTAACTCATTCCAAAATTAAATCAAAAGTCGAAGTCCAAGATCTCATCTGAGACACGGCAAGTGCCTTCCACCTATGAGCCTGTAAAATCAAAAACAACTTAGTTATTTCCAAGATAAAGTGGGGATATAGGCATTGGATAAATGTTACCATTACAAATGGGAGAAATTGGCCAAAACAAAGGAGCTATAGGCCCCATGCAAGTCTGAAAGCCTACAGGGTGGTCATTAAATCTTAAAGCTCCAAAATCTCCTTTGACTCCATGTCTTACATCCACGGCATGCTAATGTGAAGGATGAGCTCCTGTATTACTATGTTCTCATGCTGCTAATACCCAAGACTGAGTAATTTATAGAGGAAAGAGGTTTAATTGACTAACAGTTCCACATGGCTGGGGAGGCCTCACAATCATGACTGAATAGCAAGAAATGTCTTACCTGGTGGTAGACAAGAGACAGCTTGTATAAGGAAACTCTCCCGTATGAAACCATCAGATCTCATAAGACTTATTCACTATCATGAGAACAACATGGGAGAGACCCCATCCCATGATTCAATTACCTCCCACCAGGCCCCTCCCATAACAAGTGGGAATTGTGGGAGCTACAATTCAAGATGAGATCTGGCTGGGGACACAGCCAAACCGTATCAGTTCTCAAGGCCTTGAGAAGTTCCTCTCTTGTGGCTCTGCAAGTTACAGCCCCCATGGCTGCTTTCACAGGCTGACATCAAGAGCTTGCAGCTTTTCCAGGTGCATGGTGCAAGCTGTCATTGGATCTACAGTTCTGGAGTGTAGAGGACAGTGGCCCTTTTCTCACAGCTCCACTAGGCCATGCCCCAGCAGGGACTCTGTGTGAGGACTCCAACCCCACATTTCCCTTCTGCACTGCCCAAGCAGAGAGTCTCCATGAGGGCTCAGCCCCTGCAGCAGACATCTAGGCATTTCCATACACCCGCTGAAATCTAGGCAGAGGTTTCCAAAGCTCCACTCTTGTCTTCTGCACACCTGCAGGCCCAACACCACGTGGAAACTGCCAAGGCTTGGGGTTTGCACCCTTTGAAGCAATGGCCTGAGCTGTATGTTGGCCCCTATTATCCATGGCTGGAGCTGGAGAGCTGTGACATAAAGCATCAATCTCAAGGCTGCACAGAGCAGCTAGGCCCTGGGCCTGGCCCATAAAACCATTTTTCCCTCCAAGGTCTCCAGGCCTGTGATGGGAGCTGTTGCCATGAAGGTCTCTTTCCCCATTGTTTTGGCTATTAATATTCAGTTCCTTGTTACTTATGTAAATTTCTGCAGCTGGCTTGAATATTCCCCAGAAAATGGGTTTTTCTTTCCTACCACATGATCCACTGCAAATTTTCCAAACCTTTATTCTCTGCTTCCCTTTTGGACATTAGTTTCAATTTCAAACTATCTCTTTGTGAGTGCATATAACTGAATACTTTCATAATAAGCCAGGTCACATCTTGAATGCTTTGCTACTAAGAAACTTCTTCCACCAGATACCCCTAATTCATCTCTGTCAAGTTCAAAGTTCCAAAGATCCCTAGGGCAGGGGCAAAATGCCACCAGTCTCTTTGCTAAAGCATAGCATGAGTGTCCTTTGCTCCAGTTCCCAATAAGTTCCTCATCTCCATCTGCAACCACCTCAGCCTGGACTTCATTGTCCATCGGCATTTTGGTCAAAATCATTCAACAGGTCTCTAGGAAGTTCCAAACTTCTACATGTCTTCCTGTCTTCTTCTGATCCCACCAAACTGTTCCAACCTTTGCTTGTCACCCAGTTCCAAAATTGCTTTCACATTTTCAGGTCATCTTTATGAGAGTATCTCACTCTGCTGATAACAGTTCTCTGTATTAGTCTGTTCTCACACTGCTATAAAGATACTACCTGAGACTGGGTAACTGATGTACAAAAGAGCTTTAACTGACTCACAGTTCTGCGTGGCTGGGGAGGCCTCAGGAAACTTGCAATCATGGCACAAGGCTAAGAAGAAGCAGACACCTTCTTCACAACACAGAAGGAGAGAGACCTAGCAGGGGAAATGCCAGACACTTACCAAATAACCAGATCTCATGAGAACTCCCCTCACTATCACAAAAACAGCATGAGAGAAACCACCCCTATGATCCAATCATCGTCCACCCAGTCCCTCCCTTAACATGCGGGAATTACAATTCAAGATGAGATTTGGGTGGGGACACAGAGCAAAACCATATAATCTTCTATTAAAACTACACTGTCTTGGCCAGGCATGGTGGCTCACACCTGTAATCCCAGCACTTTGGGAGGCCGAGGTGGGCAGATCACAAGGTCAGGAGATCGAGACCATCCTGGCTAACACGGTGAAACCCCATCTCTACTAAAAATACAAAAACTTAGTCTGGCACGGTGGTGGGTGTCTGTAGTCTCAGCTACTCGGGAGGCTGAGGCAGGAGAATGGCATGAACCCAGGAGGTGGAGCTTGCAGTAAGCCGAGATCACGCCACTGCACTCCAGCCTGGGTGACAGACCGAGACTCCATCTCAAAAAAAAAACAAAAAACAAAAAAAAACCCAAAAAACTACACTGTCTCAATTATTATAATCTTAAAATAAGCCATGATGTATGGCAGAGGAAATTCAGCTAACTTTTTCTTTATTCAAGATTTTATTGGCTTTTCTTAGCCCGTTGCATTTCCATATAAACTTTTCAATCATCTTATTTATTTATAATAAATACTTCCTGACATTATGAATGAAATCGTTTTATATCTATGAATTAATTTTGGAGACCTTATTAATATAATATCAAATTTTGAATTCATTGAAACCAGGATATGGTATAACCTTCTATTTATTAAGTTAATTACTTTTTGAATATTATATTTTATGGTTTATTTGGAAAAGTTCTTGCACATATTTTATTATATGTTTTAATGCTATTTTAAATTGCTCTCTTTTAAAATTGTGTTTTTTGTCTGTGCCTTACATATAGAAATAAAATTGGTATTTCCAAACTGACCTTAACTAATTCACTCACTAATTCTAATAGTTTATTTGTAGTCTCAGATAGTATAGGAATGGAAAAAGTACAGAAATAGCTCAACAATTCACAATGTAAAAGTTTACACAGACCTATATGAATTATTACTATGTGCCCAGCACCATAATTAATGTCTTGATTTTCTCCTTGCACTCTAGGAATAGCAGTGGCATACTTGTCATTGTCTTAGTGTTCCAACATCCATGTTGGCCTGCCCTGTCTGCTCATGTAAACTTCTGCAAGTTATCTGTATTTTATATTGCTTATGATCTTTTCCATTTCTACATGGATAGATGGCCTTTATAAATATAAGCTGAGCCTTTTACAAATATAGTCCATCTACTTGTTTTATCTTTGTGCAGTAATCTCATAACTTCAGTAACATATTTACCCATTCCATCAGCAAGTATTTCCTGAGTTCCCCTTCTGTGTCAGGCACTTTTCTGGCCACTGGGTTACAGGAGTAAACAAAAATCTATCCTGCTTTTATGAAACTTAATTCTAGTGGACAAAAATAGATAATAAACTAATTCTCAGACTGTCACTAAATCACCACAATCGACTCAACATATTTCATGCATTGTCAGACTTTCAGCAATGCCAATCTCACTACATTTAGGGCTCCGACTTGATTCATCCTATGGCTGCCTATGGATAGGCACTGGGTATGCTGTCATACACTCTTTTGTGTGTAAGGCTTGAGCTATTGAACTACTTGAATTAATGGTTTCTTTATTTGTTTTCCTTAATAAACTGTGAAATGAGCTGCTTCATCATTCATTTTTCACATATTCAAACATAAAATGAGAATGTATTCTTATGACAGCATTTGTTAATTTTTCTATATGGCAGAATGAACTGTTTCATTACTTATCATTAGTGACCTATTTATATAATAGGGTAGTGAAAAAATAATATCATAACCAACTGGACTTGTAGGAGAATTCTGGGTTTACATAGTATAATGAATCAAATTTATGATGACACTATGGTAATAATTCTTCTTGGTGGAAAGGACTGAAGAATCTTTAAAGGGTGAAAGGTATGGTTTTGTATTTCCTTCTAAATATATGTCTATTAGGCAAAAATGGAGTTGAATTTCCAATTACTTAGTTGGAATAAAAATTAATTTCTAAAGACAATCTATTTGTAAACAACTTTTAATCTTAGCCACGAAGCATACTAAAATGTTCTTTGAAATATTAGCAGTTATCAAATGTAACTTCTGCATTTTGATATAAGTCCTAATGTTTAACAAAATATCATTTTAGAAATTTTCCTATTTTCCTGTATTTTCAGTGAGTCTTCAATAATTTACCTGTGCTTTTACAGTTTTATAAAGTCTTGGGAAATTGGGTCTGGCTTTTCAAATCAAATTTTGTGAAATGCCAAGTCAGAAGGTATAATAGGAACATGAATTATGTGTAAGACTTGAGTAATGCCCATTCAGGTTGATATTTTCTCACTGATGAAGACACCAAAGAAAATTAGGTTCTTTGATTACCCAGTACTATTTATAGCATTCTAAATGCATCATCATGTTCTTTAAGGATATCATGCTGGAAAAATATGCTTAACTCTCTCTCTGGAGAGTTTTCTCGTAGCCCTTTCTTTTGCTTTACCTAAAAAGGGTTGGGGAGAGGAAAAAAAAAGCCAACAATGAAAAATCTCTACTAGACCTACAAATAAATAAGCTTAATGCTGCAGCAGAGATATTTTTTCCATGGTCTCAGATGTATTTTTCTTTGCATTAGAAAATAATATTGTTTTATTGGAGAATGGGAATGTTCAGTGCGGCTGGAGCTTAGTATCTGTGTAGTAAATGAGAAAGAAGAGAGGCTTGAAGGTCTTAGGGATATAACAATGAGCTTGGAATGTATTCTACAGAAACTAGACACTATTATCAGATTAAAAGAATATCAGCCATAATGAATTATTCTAGGTTTATTGAGTTATACCTGACTTTCAATAAACTACACAAATTTAAGGGGACCAATGTGAGTTTTGGCACATGTACACACATACCTGAAACTACCATCACAATCAAGATAATGAACATATTATTCACCCCTAGAAGTTCCATTTTATTCATTTGTAACATTTTTTCTTCCCACCGTGCCAACCCTAAAAAATTCTATGTGTCCTGTCACTGCAGCTTCTCTAGAATTTTACATAAAGAGAATCATGTAGTACGTACTTTTTCTTGTCTGGTTTCATTCACTTAGTATAATTATTTTGTTTTATTCAAGTTGTATCTATAAATACTTTGTGACTTTTAATTGCTAAGTAGTAGTCCATTGCATTTCAGTACTAAAATGTGGTTATTTATTTACCCACTGATGGAAATTTGTGTTATATTTAGTTTTAGTATTACAAAAAGCTGTTATGAACATTTATATATGCACCTTTGTGTGGATATATGCTTTCATTCACCAAAAAAAGCTTCAACATGTCTAACGTTACATGCATTCAAATATACACACACACACACACACACACGTGTATATATATATACACACATATATATATTCTGGAGTATATATACATACTAAAAACCTATGAGAAATGTGCATATATATCACAAATGTACAGAACTAAAAGGAATATTAGGGAAGATCCACTATCATCATGGAACATGTTAACACTCCTCTATCAGTGATAAGACAAGGAGCAATAACTCAATAAGATATAGAAGACTTGAACAACTTTATTAACTAACATAATCCAATACATAAAGAACACTGTAATTAACAAATTGACTTCTTATGTAAACACTATACCAGAGAACTTCTCAAACAGAGGTAGTGTGTGGTATCATCTAAAACATAAATGTAAAGCATTTGGGAAGGAAATTGGAGTGAGAAAGGGGAATGGTCTGGAATGATCTGGAAGAAGAAGAGAGAAATCAGTAACAGAGAACACCTACCCTATCACACACCCTGTCCCAGTGATATGAGCAGTGAGAGGGAGTAACCAGTCACCACTGATGAGAGCGACAAGATAAAGGATGTCTTCAGGAAAGGGTCTTATGCCTTAAAACAAAATCAGAACTGATCTGTGTTGGGGAGAAGAAGATACACTTGCAGTGGTTTACGGACAGAAGTGATGGAGGTTTTGTCAAGAATATGCAAAAATCCAAAGCCTTGTCTTAAAACGTTGGTCAGATTTATTTCCTGGCACTGCCTGGTAAAGCAACTTCCCTATTCTATGCTGCTGCCTTTCTGTGCACCATCCAATAAAATGACAATCTTTAGTCTATGAGAAACATTTGCTTATTTTTTCCTAGACTCTATGGACTTTTCTGAAGAGAAGACTCTCAAGAATGAGAAACTTTTATCATTGGCAAATGGGTTGTGTGTGTGTGTGTGTGTGTGTGTGTGTGTGTGTGAGAGAGACAAAGAGAGAGACACAGCGACAGAGTATGTAATGTTTTCTGATTGTTCATTTTTTCTTGCTGTCTTCAGGATGAACAAAGCATTAACTTAAATTAACAGATGAGGCTCTTTACAAACTGGGATTTGCATAGTATTTGAGACGCATCTCCTGCCCTAAACATGATATTGGAACTGTCTTGAATAACTACTGTGCTGCTTTAACCACTCACCCTTCACCATACATGGCACTGTCTCTCCAGGACTTCCCTTAAATATACTTCCATCTTTGTCTCTCTAGTGCCTTTTCAATTGTAAAAGCTCAGAACCTTGAATACCTTCGGAAAAGTGGTTCAGGTGCTAAGGTTTAAGGGCTGCCACAGAAATCTGGCTTTATGGTTATAAACTGTATTTTATAGTAGAACTACCTTCTATACTACACGTACTTTGTATCTCATCATGTAATATTCAGTGTTGGCAATTATTGATAAAAAGGGAAACCCATTATTTGAAGACAAAAAAAACACATGCTAAAAATAAGTTTATAAAATTTATATAAAAGGTTTGCATATGAACAACTATTTTGCTATCCTTAAAATACCACATATATTGTACTATTATAAATCACTTATGATTTAGGAGAAGAAATTCTGAAAAAGGGGTAGAGGCTACAAAAAATAATGATTTCTTGTGACTATAAATGTGAAGTATAACAAGATCACAATTAGAATAAGTTAATGTAAGATCCATTCAAGCCTAGTGCAAGTACTGTTCAAATTGCCTCAGTTTTCAGAGCCCTTTTCTTGAGGAAGAAAAAAAAAAATCAAGAGAAGCAGAAACAGGTGCAGAGTATCACATAATTAGTTAAATCAGTCTTTCAGCAAAGATTGCCATAGAATTTGGGAGAGGTCTGAATATAAACTAAGCCTGTCATTATATAGAGGAAAAAAAGGTTTTAGTGGTTGGTATTATGGGCAGAATTTTGTCCCTGCAAAATTCATATGTTTAGGTCCTAACCCGTGTACCTCAGGATGTGAATGTATTTGGAGAGATGGACTTTACAGAGGAAATTTAGGTAAAACGAGGTCATATAGTTAGGCCCTACTCTGATATGACTAGTGTCTCTGTAAGAAGAGGAGGTTGGAGCACAGACACACAGAGAAAAGACCACATGAGAACACTGGAGGGCAAGGGTCATCTACGAGCCAAGGAGAGATGCCTTAAAAGAAACCAACCCTGCCTATACCTTGATCTCAGCTTGTTATCAGGCCTCCAAGGCTGTGAGGAAATAAAGTTCTGTTGACTAAACCCTCCAGTCTGTGATACTTTGTTATGCCTGCCCTAGCAAACTGACACAAATAGAATGCATATACCTAGCTTTCCTGAAAGAATCTTCACTAAAATGCCTGCTTGATATTTTTTGTTGTGGAAACTGTGGTTATGATTAGGGTAAATGGACTAAGTGTTTACAAATCCTGGTTTCCTCTTCCATTCCAAATGAGAAACTACTTAATGGCTTTCTTTAGTTAGTAGATAATGGCAACTGAATAAATTAATTGCTTTCCCTGCCTCTTGCTGCTACTGAAGACCACTGCACCCACTCAAAGGAGAAAAAATTATAATATAGTGATTCATTAGCATTCTTGCCTAAAAATGTCTTAGTAATGAATTTAGTCTAAGTATTAACATGTATAGGGCTGTGTGTTACAATAGATTCACCTTTTTTTTTTTTGACTGATTGAACACTTGTGAATGCCTGACAGACACCAGGTACCAGCAAAAAAAAAATGGGGGAGAGGAGAAAATTATTGTGATACATGAGGTAATAAAATAACTCAGAGAGAAAACATTACATTGAACATATGATATATATTTTATACACTTATGAAACTGTCCATAAAGATACTGAAGTTAGATCACTATATTTGAAAGTGCTATTTAAAACAGTGTAAGGTTTAAAAGAAAATTTTACCTTATTTGTTCATAAAACTTATGCCATTTATTTCAGAAAAGAAGTGCATATTACAATGAATTGAAATCAGTGTGTCAGGGAAAATATGAGAATCTTTTAATTAATTTCATAAAAGATCTGTACTTAACATTGTTAATTGATCTAGTTAACTGACAGCATGTTTATAGTAATTTCAGAATCATTTATGTGGGTAAGTTTAGCACACAGTCAAGATTTCAATTAAGAACATCTTTAAGAAGCTGCAATTTAGAAATAATAAAATAATGAGGACTGCTAACAGATATGGAACCTTGGTGAGGAAAATTATTTTGCAAGCTGATTTGCTTGGTGGTGCTGTTAAGGTGGGATTCTAAGCTGGCATTTTGATTATGAAGAAAAATGCACCTGAGAAAAGTGAGATCTTTAGGAAATTAAAACTCAAGGCTTCTACTGACAAGAAAGCTTACAATTTTTTAAGATTAATTGTAACCCCAGCTTACTCATATTTCATTGCAGAATTCAAAACGTTTCTTTATTTTATTGATTACTTAACAGGCTATCCATGTTTTTCCCTTTTGCTCTGGCCTTTGAAATATGAAGATATGAGAAAACAATCATATTTCAAGAGGAAAAAATTTTAATAAATGACTATGTCTTAGAAAATACATATTAAATTATCTACATTTTAAATATATTCCAAGGATTTTAAATGAAATATATGTGCATTTTAATAGCATATGTAATAACTTAATAGTAAGGTTTTAATCATTTCTGATACATTTTTAATTTTTTTAATTGTGAATTAAGAAAGCAAAGCAAGCTTTTCTTCTCACATACCACCTGTTTGTTTAATTACATATATCTTTGCCAAAAATATGTTGTCAATTTAATAATCATATCAAACACACACATGCACATAAAACATGTAAAGCTATTAAGATTATATAATATTTATTAAGAAACATTATATATAATAACATATATATAATCTTTCTTTTTTTTTTTTTTTTTTTGAGACAGAGTCTCGCTCTGTCACCCTGGCTGGAGTGCAGTGGCACGATCTTGGCTCACTGCTACCTATGCTTCCCAGGTTCAAGCAATTCTTCTGCCTCAGGCTCCTGAGTAGCCGGGAATACAGGTGAGTGCCACCACGCCCGGCTAATTTTTCTTTTATATTTTTAGTAGAGACGGGGTTTCACCATACTGGCCAGGCTGGTCTCGAACTCCTGACCTTGTGATCCACCTGCCTCAGCCTCCCAAAGTGCTGGGATTACAGGCATGAGCCACCGTGCCCGGCTATAATCTTTCTTAATAGCTTTACATTTTTTATTTCTTTAATACTTTCAAAGCCTTATAAAACTTTATTGTTAACATCCCATTTTAGAGAAATGGTACCTGAGGCAGAGAGATTGATTAATTAATCCCTCCTAGGTCACATATTTACATAGTTAGTAAGAGCCAAAGTGAGGAATCAAGCCCAGCTATTCTGAGCCCTATTGTCTTTTCACTGGGAAAAAAATGTACATAATCCAACATAGAACTAATTTAGCAACTAATTTATCAATACATGGCATGTATATTTTTATTTCAGATGAGCAAACACATAATTTGAACATTTCAATGCTTAAAAAATGTAACTACATATATTCTATTGGCTATACTTTTGGAATTCTATTAACGTGTATAATCTCTCACAATTTGATTTCTGTTTTTCTCTGTACATTGTTCTGACCATAAATATAAACTGGAACCTTTCTATGCTTATCTAAGATATAGATGTGTCTCCATTTCAAACATGGACAAGAAATACGGAAGCTAAGCTAAGCAGCTTTCTTAATAGTTTATTGACCCAACTGGACTCTTAACTTGGTTCCAGGTTTTTCTATTCATTTGTATCCAACTGAAAATCATGTCACATATTACCACCAAGCTGGATGTTTGCCTTTGTCTCCAAAACTGGTTTTCTGTCCATGAGAATTTGAGCCTTATCTTCTTTCTCAATTTTTAGAATTACCAAATATTGATTTCTGTTACCATGTTTTATTAGACAACTCCTTTTCCAATGTTTCCGTTTATCTAAATCTTTCATGGACTACCTTTGACTTGCTTTATTCACTTCCAGAAATTATCTGCATTACCTACTGTGAAATCTTTCTTGCACTGAATGCCTCCTTGCCTAGCTCAACTATCACATGCTTGTCAAACCTCCATTAATGCAACACTTGGCTCAGTCCCATGCACTATTCAAATTTCTTGATGAGAGCATTACATGGGCAGCTTTTCAAATTAATGATAGTGTACCAGCTGACAGGTACATCTGCATTATTGACTGAAAGAATGCACATTGTATGGGGGGTTATGATTATCTTTGCTAATTTGAAGATTATAAGGGGGAAATCATGGGCTTTATTTGTTTACCATGGTCACAATGCAAACATTCTTATCAAGTGGAGACAGATGAATATTAAAATAAACCTGGTTTAAAATAATAAATTAAGTTAAATTAACCATGAAATATAAACCTATCAGAAATTTAACACCCTATCAAATGATTACTTAAGGTAAGGCTCATTGAATATTGTTTTCTTCTTTGTGCAGATTAATTTTACTGACCATATCAACAAGATGTTGTTTCATTTCTAATCATCTCAGATGTACAGCTTTCTAGGCATTTGGTATGGTCAATTTGCTTACTTTGCTTACTTTGATCATTTTAATTAGATAATTATACTACAGTCAATACCAAAATGTTATCAACAGAGAATTTGTGAAATAAAATTTCAAAACAAATACACTTTATCATCCCTGGAAAAATATCATCAAATGCTCATGAAAATCTTGCAAAGGCTTTTTTGTTAATAGTTTGTGACTTGCACAAACAGAATTAACTGAAGAGTTCAATGTTTTTCTAGCATATTCAATAAATGAGAACAATCAGGTCAATTGCAGACACAGCTAGTTTTTCTTCAGTATTAACGAGGTTTTCTGGCTTCCTTTGGTAAATTGCCTTAGTACTACTGCTAATTTTACCATGTTTGTATTCATGCTTTTTAAAAAGAGTCCTATATAAGGAAAATAAATTTTTAAAATAATAGGTTTAATTCTCCTTGAAAAATAGGGAAGATACATCCTCCTTCCATTTTAGAACATATACTTTAGAAAACTTGTGATTGTTAATTCTTTCTCTGTCTCTTTGAAATGTATGTAAGTCTTTTAGAAACTCAAGGCTTTTGCCAGCTTTCACATCCATGAATGCCTTTCTCAAAAACTTGGGAACCATCTTTTTATAATGTAATCATCGTAACTCATAACGATAATGCCCCAATCTCCCATTTTCTCTGAGAGGGCAGGGGCCTAACTGGTGCCTCCCTCTAAATTGTAAAACTACCTCTTGTCTTAAAGATATGAGGAGTTTATTTTTCCTTTGTATAAAGTCAATTAGCTAACACAGATGGCCACTCCAATTACCAAGTAAATTTAGGGTAAACTGCTGTAACAAATGGTGCTGTCAAGTCCTCTTATTTGAGGACTAGTTGTTTACCTTAGACACATGTACAGAATGAGTTGTGTCTGCTTGGTTATATAAAAGAGTAAGTTTTTTTTTCTGTCTTTGCAAACTTTTAGCAGATTATCTGTGATGGACAACATAATCTGTTTTAGGGCTTTATTCAATAATAAAATGCTTTCATTCACTTCTACTTTTGTGGAGGTTTTCCAGGTTGGGAGAGTTTGTTTTTAATTATGATTTCCCAAGAAATGAAACTACTACATTATTTTTAACATTTGCAAACAAAAGAAATTAATAGAGTGTAACAAGCAGAAAACCCTTAATTTAACCAGTGAAATAAAATGGTAATAGATTTTTAAACAATGATACTATAACTTACATCAAGATATATGCAACTGTCTATTTCATGTTTTGAAGTATCAGAACTTCAAAGAATAAAAACCCATGGATAGACTTATTTTTTAAAATTGCTTTAAAGTATTGCCTGTCATTGTTTCCTTAGTTCTTTTATTCTTGTGAATTCAGCATGGTGTTTAGGTTTTATAATATTTTTCCAAAATATTCAGTTGCATTGATTTCAGAAAACAATCCTTGACTGTAAGCTCATAATTTGAGTGCCTCCCAATTAGAGTTTGTTTGTTTTATAATACAAAGCTTAGATTTTCAAATATACAAGTTTATTGAGAATGGGAGGATGGAGAAATCTGCCATATTTCTAGATAAGTATTTGAATTTCTCATACATTTCTACATTAGTATCTCAAAATTCTCTTTTTTAGTATTTCAAAATTCCTTTTTAGCACAGATTTATATAATAACAAGTTGGCATTGCTGGAAAGGTTTACATTAAATCTACGTCGTATGAAATACTTAAAATGTTATACACAACCATGTCTTTTAAATCTTTTTAAATTCTGTCATATCCACATATGTAGTATATATTTATCTACAGTTAAAATGTCATTTAGCAAACATTTATGACAACCTATATATACTGAGCAAAAGAAAGTACATTGTTTCCTGATTTTAATATTAGATTTTACTTAACACATTATGTGCATTTACTGTGTTAAAACTATCCTTTTAAAATGTCATGGTAGTGAGCCGAGATCAGGCCGCTGCACTCCAGCCTGAGTAACAGAGCAAGACTCCATCTCAAAAAAAAAAAAAAGGCATGGTAATGATAGCACATGTCTCCCTTTATGGCAATTAAATTCTTACAGTGTGGGCCATTTTGTGTGTTTCCAAATTCTTGTTTTTACTATCACTGTAATAGACAAACTTAAATATACATTAGAACAACAGACATCACAGAACTCAAAGCTCATGGACCTCAAATTTCTCTATTGGGTATTCTTCGAAAAATTACTTTACACATCTGTGACTCAGCCTCTTCAACTGTGAAATGGAAAGAGTAAGACTAACCTACCTCACTACTTTGTTTGTAACATTAAATGAGATGATATTCACAATGCAAGTAGTAAAATCCCTGGAAATTAAGTGTGAATAAATGTCAGGTGCTTTAGTTGTCACAGGTGTCAGTAGTAGAGAATATAAGTTAAATACACCTGGCTCTAAATATGCCCTTGGAATGTCACATGCTGCACAGATGCATGAAGAGATTATTATAACATATCTTATGAAGTGAAATAATAGGAAAGTATACAGACTAGCATCTGAAGATATGGGGAAGAGCTTCTGCTAATTACAAGAGTCAAAGTCAAAGCTTTCAGATGGAGGTAACCCCTCTGAGTCTTAGAAGATGAATAAGAAGCCCAATAGGAAGATCTGAGGAAAAAAGCAAAATATCAACATGAAGAAATAAGTCATCCCCTTTTTAGGGAGAGCTGTTAGTGATGCTGAAAAAATAAAATAAGAATCAGAATTTGAAGAATGTATCTAATTATCACATATACAGAGCAATGAACTCATACTCATGCATTTTCCTAATTATACACCTAATAACACCCAACCTGAGCTCAAGTAGCAAAGTTAACTATCCTGCCATCCTCCTACGATACGTCGTGTGCTGACTGACCGTGTTATTGAAACAATAGAAGAAAGAGATAAGGAATCATACTCTCTTCCAGAATTATGTCTACTTCTTTGGAGGACCAGCTGGAGAAAGAAAAATAAGACTGTCATTGCCCACCAGACTAGTTTATTTGTCTAGATCTGTGAAGTTGTTTTTAGACAAAGAGGAATTTCAGTAGTGGGGAATCGCCAACTTTGTCTATAGAAATAAATTCTCTTTCACTGACACTCTCTGACTCCATAAATTCATCTAACCCTAAGAAATGTGTTTAATTATCAACCCTGACACTAGGCCCCTCAATTACACACACACACTTACATCTCTCAATCATTTGTTCCAGTCTATTGCAACTAAAATGAGAGTTCAGAGAGCAGGTGATGACACTGTAATTTCTGTTTAGATGACAAGGCTGGAGTGAGAAGACCACTTTATGCATTGTGAATGCTGCATTCACTCAATGTGGCATAAAGCAAAATACTGAAAAAGAATCAGATGTATTTTTCTGTGCTGTGTCAAAAAATACACTTTACACCGGAGGCTAAGTGACATATTCTAATAGTGGAACAAGAGATATTAGTATTAAGTGTGAATCAGAAGTTCAGAATGAATTTTTTAAAAATAGAATCTCACATTTAAGGATGTCGTGTGCTGAAGCTGTCCTTTACTTACTGTCTAGCCCATGAAGACAGCAGTGGAAACGGGTCATACTGGGGAGCTGGATAGGTTAGAGGTATTAATCATAACAACTGAATAGAAGTAATAATAAAATATCACAAAATAAACAAATTTTAATCATACCATATAATGTAAAGTATGTAATAAGATTCTAATATTACAAAATATTAAATACTATCCCAGAAAGGGTGCTAGAAGTAATGAGTAGACATCCAGGTTTGATGACTTATTGAAAGAGATGCTCATAAGGCTTACAGGAAAGAGAGAAATGATACTCCAATGGAAAGAAGAAATGGCTTTCTGGCAGGCACTGCGAAAAACCAACAGGGGCACAAGGGAGACTTTGTCAGTCATTTATTCATTCTTTCATTCACTCATTTAATAAGTGATTTTGGCATTCTTGATAATATAATTCTTATTAATATAATTCTATGCTACTAATGCTTGCAAGAAAAATTGGCGGACTATAACTGAAAACTGGATTAGAATAAGGCACCATACCAATAAACAGGGCTACATGTTCTTGACATCCTTTATCCAAGCATTTCAGGACAACAAGGAAATGTAGAGATTATATATATGTAAATATCATTGGGGAAATCATTTTATATATAGGATTGTCCTTCTGTCCCATTAATATTTGTGTATCTCAATATTGATTCAGTTTGTATAACATTTAAGAGCTTGGGCATTAGAGTCGTGTCTCTGAAATTTAACATAAGCTCACTTTATCAAGTGTAGGATTGGACTCTACTTGATATTTCAGTATAGATAGTCAATCTGATCTTCATCTTCACTCATATGCATCTTCTACTAATCTCTTCTTAATGAATAGAATCCTTGTTCAACAAGTGGTACACTATACCATTCTGATTCCCATTCTACGCAATATAGTTTCACTAACTTTTCTTTTGATTTTCAATGGGCCAGACTAGAACATTCCTGACTTTGGAAGGCGATACTTGAAGACAGTTGGAACCTATACTTTGTGGTTTAATAGTTATTTGGTCTTAAGCAAGTCACTTAAAATCCAGATACTTTAGGTTTCTGATCTGTATAAGGTTTACAATATTACTCTCCCATTAATTTATTGTGAAGGTTAGCTAAGGGAAGTTTCTCAAGCTTTAGTGGGCATCAGAGTCACCTGCTCCTTAAAACAGAAATTCCTGGCCTGATCCCAAGAATTCATAATTCTGGATTTGAGCATAAAAATTTGCATTTCCAACAAGTTCTAAGGTGATACTAATGCTGCTAATTTGGAGCCCACTCTGTGGACATTGAGCTAAGGATAAAGCATTTAAGGAATTCTGACTAATCCCTACAAGACAGTAAGCACTCAAAGATTGTCAGTTTTTTTTGTTTGTTTGTTTGTTCCTATCTTTCCAATTTCAGGTTAAATATCAGTTCAACAAGTAGTCTTGTTATAAATCAAACCAGATCAGTCTTCCTTCCACAAGTCCTTATTGCATTTTTGCATTTTAATACTATTTTATATAGTTTTCAAGGTTTTTAATAATTAGATGTAAATTATATATAATTTCTTATTTTATCAGTGAATTATTTCCTATCTCACTTGTTTCATAATGAAAAAGATATTGGTGTTTGCTTATAATTGTAAGTAAAAAATTAGACACTCTTGTTCCCTGGTTTTAACCTTCCTGTAAATTGATGCAAAACTTATAGTTAGATGCTTATGTCCATATTCACTGAGAAGTGAGATGAGGAGGGTGACTTGGTATTCGAAGGCCAAATACTTGGTATTTGAAGGCCAAATTATGAATAAATACCATAAATCTTGGGGAGATTTGGAAGAGGATTCAATATGTATTCCAAAGTTCTAAGTATATTTGGAAAGTTTTGCTCCTCTAAACCCCAATTTAGGGATTCTGAGTATACATCAGCATATTTTCTCACAAATAATTCCTGAGTAAAAAAATTGCTTATTAGAATTATATTTTATACTTTTATATATTATATTATTGTCAAATCCTTCTTTTGAGGGAAACAATATCTTGTTTAGAAACTCTAAAATCTTAGCAAATATAATTAAGAAAATATTACTTTGATTGCTTGTCCACATCTTCCTTTTCACCAATATCACATTATCATAAACACAACTGATTTTGTATAATTGGCTTACAAGTGCAGAATTATTAGACTCTCATGATTTGTCAATATTTTTTTCCATTTCTGACATTTTCTAAGTTGATATCATCTACTCTCTTAAAAAGAGCTTTATTCCTTTGCAGCCACACAATTACTGTTTTATCCAAAGGTAATGAATTAATTATTTTTTCTGTTGTTGATCAGTTTTCAAGAACTATATTGAATAATACTCGAAATAATAATAATATATTTTACAAAAAATAATCTTTATAAGTTGGTTTTTCTTACTCTGTGAAGTCTTGTATTGGCTGTCAAATGTTTTGAGCTAGAGGTTTCATATCTTTTTTTTGGAATACAAATTTTTGTATTCCATATATATAGACATATATCCTTTTTTATTTTGAGAAAAATAGTTAATATAGACAAATTTACATATCACACTCTTATTGAGGTTTCTCTCATATATACAGATGCATTATTTTATAAATGTCGATGATGAACCATGAGCCAGAAAGGCCTATGTACTAATGAGTTTAGATTCAATGAAATTATTAGGAACAGGTCAGGTGATTTGGAAGAAATCAAAGGAGAACTAAAAAATTTGTGTAGAGTTGACCACTTCTCTACATAGATGTATGTATTTGTGTCTATAATGCAATCTGCATCCTGGAATGAAAATTAATTCTCATTGGAGAGGGACTGAATGATCCTTGCTCCCAAGTGTGAAAACAACGTATTTTTTTCTAAAAAGTTATTTTTATTAATGTTGTTAGATCTCCAGTGAACAGTTGCATACATTAAAAATGACAACTTCTGCTCTAATGTTAATGGTTAGGTTTCATCTCTAACATCAAGATGCTTAGAAATCATCAGCCTCAGTGGATCACAAGGTCAGGAATTCAAGACCAGCCTGGACAATATGGTGAAATCCCATCTCTACTAAAAATACAAAAATTAGCCAGGCATGGTGGTGCACCTGGAGTCGCAGCTACTCAGGAGGCTGAGGCAGAGAATTGCTTGAACATGGGCAGTGGAGGTTGCAGTGAGCCAAGATGGTGCCACTGCACTCCAGCCTCGGTGACAGAGCAAGACTCTGTGTCCAAAAGAAAAAAAAAGAAAAAAAAAAAGAAATCATCTGCCTCCTTCTTACAACATGTAAACACTGAGGAAACTTAACATCAAGGAATCTTCATGTCCTCCTCAGAGAAGTGAGTTTGCAAAGCAGACTGCTACTGTAAAGTCTGGAAAGACAGGCTAATCCAGTGAGTCACCACCAAAATCCAAGATAGAGACCCACTAAAAGATGAAGATCTAATAATATGATTACAGAACACTTCCTTTCCCACACACGTTACACTACCACCAAAAGGGTTCTAATATAAAAATAGTGGATTACAGCTGAAAAAGCTGCAAAACAGACTCCCTGAGATTATGTGGAAAAGCCCAAAGTTAAGAGGGGATGCATGAACAAGAACAATACAAAATTTTGAAGTCTCTGGCACCTAAAGCTGTAGCAGACATTAGATAGAAACAAAATTATACAAAAACGTAGATCACAAACATAAACACAAGACTAAAACCTAAAACTTCCAGAATAAAACTGTGATATTTTTGTTAGGCAAATATTTTCTTAAATATGGTCTGAAAATCATAACTACAAAGAAAATTACTAAACTGCATCTTATCAAAGTTTAAACCTTTCGTTTGCTAGTTACACATTTTAAGAATTCAAAAGCCAGATCCTAGATTGTTACGTTTTTGAAATCTGTATTTAACAAAGGGCCTCTATCTAGAATATGATGCTTGTAAAACTATAACAAGACAGACACATAAAAAATGAGTAAACATTTTGAGTCAATGTATACCAACGGCCAACAGGCTCATAAAAAGTTGCTAAACATCTTTGGTCATTTGAGAAATGCAAATTAAAACTACAGTGTGTTATCACCGCATATCCAATAGAATATATACAAATGCTAACTGTTGAGCATATGGAGTATCTAAGACCCTCTTACACTACTAGTATGATTACAAAATTGTTTACCCTCTTTGGAAACAGCTTTCCAATTCCTTAAAAAGTTATGCATACATTTACCATATGATGAAGTCATGCCATTTCTGTTAATTTACCTAAAAAGAGAAAAAAGGATATATCCACAAAAAGATTTTTATGTGAATGTATATGTCAATACTACTCTGGATAGCCAAGTAGTATAAAGAACTCAATTGTACATCAGCTTGGGGGAAAATAAAATATGGTATATCCCATGCAAAGTAATACAATAAAAAATGAACAAAGTAATAACGTGTCAAACAACAGAGATAAATCCCAGTATTGTCATGCTATGTAAAAGAAGCCAGAGACAAAACACTATACAAAATTTTAGTTCTATGAAATTGTAGAAAAGGCACAACTAAAGCAGCAGAAAGCAGATCAGTAGTGTCCTTGGTCATAGGTTAAGGGTAGAGAACAACTGCAAAAAGGCACAAGGAAATACCTTGGTTTGGTAGAAATATTCTAAAATCTATCTGTGCTTGTTGTGAAAAGGAAAAAGCAGCCCCTAAAATCCAGGAGCTGGTCTGGATGCTATCAGCTGGGAATTGGTGTTGTTATGAGCTGGCTTGGCATAGAAAGCTAGTTCTTATTGTATTTCTGTTGAAGATAAGAATTTTTAACAGACCATTAACTTGAAATAAGATCCCTTTGTGACGATAATGGATCAAGACAAAAACAAGACCACTCTGTAATCATATCTGAACATGTACAAAATATTAACACGTTGAAGACACAAAAATAACTAAACATTTCCCTGCCTTGACTAATAGGAGTGACTGCTCAATGATATCCTTATCCTCATTCCTTTTGTTCCTCCAGTCAAATATTTCCTTCTGTTATTTAAGGTTAAACATGCGCAAGAATAAAACTACCTCTGCTTCCTGACAGCATCCAATCCAGAACAAAGCCTTGTTTTTTTAAAATCTACACAAAGTAACCTAGTGCAAACCAACTTCTATAAGAGCTTTTTAATAGTCTGCTACCCAGACACCTCGTAAATCCCCATAGGGTGTAAAATCCAACTTGTTCAACTATAGGTACATTCCTGGTGGTCTTTGCCTGGAGGTATTGACAGTTGCTCCTTTACAAACTTTCACCAAAACTCAGCTGACTATAATCTTTACAATCAAAATTTAAAGTACATAAAGTAGCTTAAGATAGCTTTAAAAAAGCAAATCGACTCATGTCCTTTGAATTAATTAGCCAAGGACTCCAAGAAATTTTTTGACGGCACAGTCAACTTCTTAAAATATAGAGCGTAATTGGGATTTGGTTCCCATTAATTTAGCCTACTGTTAGAGGATTCCTGCACTTTGTCCCTGTGCTCTCCTATATCCCAGTGATAATGCAATTGAGACAGCCAGCTGGGAGGGGGTCCCTGGCAAAACTCCAACCAGCCTGTGTGCTGGGGTGGAGCCTTGGAAAATTTATGCCCTTTGTGGCTGGGAGGAGCCTGGCCCCTCCTCTTCCTGTGTGAAACCAGGAATTCATATAGTGAGGAAGGAAGTGCTCTAGCAGGGATTCTGGCCTTGCTGACAGTCCCTGTTTCTTCCGTTTCTTACTTTTCACCCAATAAAACCCTGTATTACTCACCATTCAAATTGTCTGTGAGCCTGAATTTTCGTGGCTGTTGGACAAGGACCTCGTCTTTAGCAGAACTAAGGAAAAGTCCTGTAACACAGTTTAATTTTAAAAATATGTCTATAATCTGTCTTCTGCTCTTCGATCATTCTATTCAGTCTTTTTCACTTTCCCCTTATTTGTTCTTCCTTCACATGGGTTTGGTTTGTTGAATTCCATCTCCCTAAATAACACAATATAACATGCTGATGATAAGCAAAAGCTCTGTTATTGTTTACTTTGATAACTCAAACACTTTTAGTAGTGTCTCAGAGGGAGAAATACAGGATAAGAATTTTAGGGATTGAAAGTTTATTGTAAGACTTTTAATTCAGGGGCTTGATTAAGGTTGAATAAGAATTATGATGTAACAATTTACTGTTGATGGACACAGCAAGGTGAGAATTTTGAGATTCAAACAGCGGATAATACAAGCCAAAGTTTTCTTTCTGTGGAAAAGTTGATGCGCCTTTTAAGAAGTGAACAACCAAGTTATTTGCCTGGAAAAGTCTCCTGAAATACTGAAGTTATGCTAAAGAAGGTAAAAGAATGAAGTCTTAGTATAGGTAGCATAGTTGTGTATGGGAATAGATAGTTTCAGTTCTCAAAGGTCAAACTGTATACGTGTTGGGTGAGTAGAGTGGATAGTTTCTGTTTGCTGATTATAATTGGTACATATTTTTTCCACCATTAGTTTCTCTTTACTACAGTCACTGTGTTTATTGAAAACTTACTAATATTTCCTATAGTTGTAGTTTTCTTATGACATCCATGAGCTGGCAATGACTCACTGTGGCTAATTTTTTTTTTTTCAAATGAAACTCTTCATCTTAACTTTACTGCATATCAGAAACTGACAATAAATTAGACACCATTGAATCCTAATTTCTTGGCTAATCTTTCTATTCTTACCATTTTTTGTAAGGGGCATTGCCTTCCCAATATCCCTAATACATCTTTAATAATTGTGTTTCTCACCTCTTGTTTCTCTGTAATCTTTTGTCTTTATATACACATTTAGTGTGTTTATTTTCATGATTGAATATGTTTCACATTCAATCTGCAGAAAAATTCTATATATTTGGAGGATTTCTATAAACTTCTTATCCTAGCATAAGTTTTTTCAAATATTCTTGTAAGAAAAGCAGCCTTAACCAGTATAAAAGTCACTATCCTTTTAAGTTACACTCCTCTCAAAACAGATTATATATTGCCTTTCCCCTCCCAAGAAATGCAGTTTAAGATTTTACTACTCAAGCCTCAGTATAATATGATAGCCAGCAGCATTAACTTAACTTGGAAATTTGTTAGAAATGCGGAATCTCAGACTTCACCCCAGATCTATAGAATCAGAGTCCATATTTTGACAAGCCTCTCAGGTAATTTATATGCACATTAAAGCTCAGGAAGCACCAGCTTAAGTTATTTGCAGCATCTCTGAGGCAGTCTGCCTAACTGCATTAATAGTGAATTGGAATTAAATCCTCTTTATGAATTAGTAATTTGCTCCAGTCACAATCACTTCTCTGTATGCTTCTGTTCACTTTTCAAAACACAGTGCCCATCTGGAATTTTCACTGTTTCAAACTTAGCAAAGATCTTATCTACCTGTAGTCATATGAGGTAAGGAAAGGACTTAGAAAGTGCTTCAACTCAGGTGGGCCTTAACTTCAAGGGTATATTCATTTTTCAGAAAAAAGAAATTTAATTTGACGACATAAATTCATGAGAATGCTAGAAACTCCTGTTATTTTAATTTTAATAAATGTTATTAAATAAGGAACCTCTGTCAGGAAAGATCTTTAAAAATGGAAATTTCAATTGAGATTTGAAATATAAATATGAATTACTCAGATGAAATAATCTGTGAGAGACATTAGAGCAGCATATTAGGCATAAAAAGAAACAGGACATGAAATTGTTGAAGTGTGAAGACTTGAAAGAATATGTAGTAGAATCTGATGCTTCCAAAACAATCTGATAAATATTGGTTGTCTCTTAAATTCATGTGAAATTATTTGTCCTGTATTCTAAGAGAAACACAAGCAATGTCTTCAATTAGAATGCTATTGTGTCAGACCAGAGTAGTGACAAATTTTGTCTGGAATATTTGAATTGTAGATTCAAGAAGACGCCTATTAATTACAGAATTATTTAGAAAGTGGATTCATTAGGACTTTTTGATTGAAAAATATAAAAAGAGAAGTAAAAGGACATAATAATTGTTGCTACATTTCGAATTTAGCGCAGAAAGTATAGAGCTGTCCTGCCCTCAACAAGACAACACAGGAGAAAAAAACAAAACTGAAGGAAAAGGATAAGTTCTGGTTTAGATATTTTGATTTCCATGTGAATATAAGACTTTCAGGCAAACTATGCTACTTATTCTCTCTCTGTCTCTGTCTCTCTCTCTCTCTCACACACACACACACACACACACACAAATGCATAAAATTTAACAGGTTGCTATTGTGTTGAGAAATATATTTGCAATAGAATATCATTGGGGAGGATCTTAAATTGAATTTTACGCAATATTTGGGGGTAGCAGAATGGGGATATAATGGACAGGTGAGAAATCACAGACAGGAAGACAGATTAGAAGACTTTTTAGGCTATCTGGGAATTTGGAGGTTGTAGCTTAAAAAATGTTATCTGAGTATCAGTGCAAAAGAAGAGGAAGGGATCAGATAATATTTATTTTTATTAAATGAGGGAATAAACGTGAGTGGAAAAATCCAGGATCGTGCCTGTGGTATGATAGGAACCACCACTATAAATCTTCCATTCTGAGCACCTAAAGATGTGTCTGCTTATTCTCTACCCTCAGATAAAGTTAGTAAACATCTGAAGGATTGTGGAGAGGAGGTTGGATGGGTCCTCAAATCTCAATTTTCTATAATTTAGGTTCCAAATATACCTTGGACTATATTTTAAACCTTCAAGCTAATAACTTACTTAACACATTATGATTATGCATTTTCCACTCACTTTTACCCATTTTATTTACTCCCTTTCCCCTCTATATTTTGATTTATTTATCAACTATCCTGACATTCTTACTCTTTGCTATTACCTTTTAGGATAAAAAAAAACTCAGATATCCCCTACTACAAAAAGGAATTTCCTATATACATTCAAACAATAGCTACATGCTTCTCTCACTCTAAGGTTTGGTGGGTTCAGCTACAACTGGAATTTCTTCTGGTTCAAAGTGACGACTCCTCACCACAGTCCATAGAATCTCCGTATTTCCATGCTTACAACTCTCTCAAAGGTCATCAAATGTGTCCCAATCTTAATATACAATCATGTTAGAACCATTTACTATTTATTCAAAAAAATGGGTAAACACAGAAAGGGTTGCAGGGTCATTTGGCAAAATAAGATATCTTGAAGATGGGATATGAGACCCCAGAAATATTAAGAAACACATAACAAATCTGGTATCTATCTACATCTCATATAAGTTATTGAAAACAGATCTCCAAAACACTTCTAGAAATTAATGCTAGGTGAAGTGATTTTGAAGATTTATGTTCCCAGTTCTATGGTCATGTGTTAACATGTAAAGAGAATATTCATCATAGAAAATGTAGTGCTATGAGAGAATTTTGTGGAATTGTTGAAGACATATGTCCACATTTCTGCATGGTTAGGGTTTTCTGAGCAAATAAACTGAGAGCAGACTGGAAGGGCAACTCTGGAGATTAAAACTGAATAGCAACCCGCAGAGAGCAAGAGACCTTCAGCAAAATTCAGAGTATTCAGCTCCCCTTAGAGCTATGTTTCATGTTATGAAGGGAGATACAACTCAGAGACATTCCTTTAAATTCCTCTTCTCTCCCCACAGAAGATTTACCTGTCTTAGGGAAATATGGTTTCTCTTCTTTTTTCAGGAGAAGAGAAAGGAAGCTGCAGTCCCTGTATAACTCCTAAATTTTTAATTTGGAGTTCCTCTTCTTCGGTGCAACAATCTTTCTGCATGCACAGATCCATGTGGCACTCATCTCATCATTCTGAGGGAAGAAAGATGCATAGGGAATGTTGCATGTGGTTATTTCTGTAAGTATAGTAATCATAGTGTGCCTTTAATTCTGAAATCTTATGTTTGCTTTCAGGATAAAATAAATAAGTAAAAATATCAGAAACTTGTCAATCTTAAGACATCGGCTGGCCCCTCACTACACTTCATTGTCCTGAGATGGCAGAGGAGACAGAACACCAAACCTAGCTCTAGCTTTTGAGACTTTATTTTCAGCAGTTTACATTGATTGGTAACTGGTGTTTTGCCAGGTCCTCGAATAAGCTAAGCAACCGCGTCACAGGGCAAAATGACTCAGGCTTCTTTAAATAGTGAATTGATCTGCATATAAATATAAAGAAAAATACAATGAGAGGGGGGAATCTATCTTATTGGGTTATTATGGGTAGATAACCCTCTTTATTGCTATTTATTTTTAACAAACACATACTTTGTGCTATGTTCAAAGCATTTTTACAAACTCTTTTCAAGTATCAACGCATTGAATATGTACAGAAGTCCTATTAGGTTGATTTTTAAAAATTATTTTCATTTACAGATAAGAAAACGTACCTTCAGAGGGGCTTACTCTCTTGTCCATTACACCATTTTAAAGTGGCAGAGCATGATTCTAAACCAGGTTTTCTGGCTGTAGAATCCACACTTCTCTCTGCTTCAAGATGCTCCCTTGTGGTTGCTTAACTGTATTGTTTTAGAATCTTGACTTTTATGGGGACTTCCCTACAATTTCAACTAAAAATATTCTATATATTATTGGTGTGAAGTTTAGTTCTTATACTTAAGAAGGTTAAATTCTGGCTATTAATATTGTTAGAGATTTTTGTCTCTAAACAATTTAAAGATTGCTATTAAGAGAATATACTGTACTAAAATGTTTGTTCCTTATACTTCTTTTTTCATAAAATAAAAAAGTAGCACTTAATGTTGAAAATATGTAAAGCTCAAGAAGAATGGAGGATAAATCTAAGGATACAGAAACCTGTTCAAGAAAAAATATTTTCTGGCCGGGCGCGGTGTCTCACGCCTGTAATCCCAGCACTTTGGTCGGCTGACGGGGTCAGATCACCTGAGAACAGGAGTTCTAGACCAGACTGGTCAACGTAGTGAAACCCTGTCCCTACTAAAAATACAAAAATTAGCCAGATGTGGTGGCACACGCCTGCAGTCCTAGCTACTCAGGAGGCTGAGGCAGAAGAATCGCTTGAACCTGGGGGGCAGAGGTTGCAATGAACTGAGATCGCATCACTGCACTCCAGCCTGGGTGACAGAGCAAGACTCCGTCTCAAAAAAAAAAAAAAAAAAGAGAGAAAATTTTCCGACGCATTTACTGTGTTCTGTAAATTTCTTAGATTTATTCATCTCAATTCAGACACCCCAAATTCTTATATGTCCCAGACTGTTTCAGTTACAGTGACCATTTGCTTTTATTATTATAACTAGGACACATTTGAGAGTGTAAAGGTATGTGATTAACAATCATGCTTTGATAACAGGCATGAACAAGATAATCTTGCTAAACCTGGGAGTCTCTTGGTCAAACTGTGACTGACGGTTAAGCTGGTGAAGTATCCTTGGGTCTGCAGTCTTAAGAGATCTCTGAGTCTTCCAAGTGGCCCCCATAATATGATGGAGTAAAAATGTCTACCTGTGATGATACAGGAGTTCTGAAGACATTGGGAGAGTATTTCTTAATGTAGAACATGCATTGCAAAACCCATTAGCACTTTTTACATTTTTTTCAAGAAAAGGAATTCAGAACTGAAATACCATTTTATTTATTCCAGTGACTTTAGGGCATTATGATAGAAGTGAATACTGCTTACTTGCCTTTTCAGTTTGAGATTTAACAATCTCCCATACCCCAAGCATATTGGGAGTGTATGGAAAGGACACTAATTCTAATATACATAATGAAACATTACAAACTGTAGTCACACATCTTTATCACTGCAAGCCTTATTTGCATTTGGAACACTAAAAAAATTTAGAATTTTCTTTTTTTTTATTATACTTTAAGTTTTAGGGTACATGTGCACAATGTGCAGGTTAGTTACATATGTATACATGTGCCATGTTGGTGTGCTGCACCCAGTAACTCGTCATTTAACATTAGGTATATCTCCAAATGCTATCCCTCCCCCTTCCCCCCTCCTCCCTCCCCCTACCCCACAACAGGCCCTGGTGTGTGATGTTCCCCTTCCTGTAAGAAATGGAAATATTTGGAATTCACTTTCCTCTCATGGTGATGAAAAAATATCTTAGTTATCACATGAAATTACTAAGGAAGTAGGGAAATGAAAAGCCAATACATATCATTAATTATGTTACACTAACTGTCTGTGAAAGGCTTTTGCTGTGCATCCAACATAAAGAGCCTAAACAGCAATTCCTCAAAGAATCAAACAGACTTGTAAATAAATTAACTGCCTTCTAGAATAATGTCTCCAACAATCTTTAAAGTAATACAACAGAATCGAGACTCATGTCAACAATGTACAATTAGCATTTTAGATAAAACAATAAAAAATTACAAGGCATGTAAAAAAGAAGAAAATGTGACAAATATTTTATTTCTAGGAAACAAAAAAATGACAGATGTGATGGAAGTCATAGGAAGTAATCTTAAAAAGGTTATAACTATTTTACAAATGTTCAACTAGTCAAAGGAAAACATGAATATAATAATGAAACAAATGGACACTCAAATAGCAATTCTAGACATTAAAATTAATAGCTAAGGTAAAATTTCTGTGGATGGAATTGACAGCAAATTAATGCAGAAGAAATAAAATTATTGACATTGAAAACAGAAAACAAAGACTATCCAAAATGAAACAGAGGGAAACAATAGATAATGAATAGAGTCATAACAATTGTAAAATTACGGTATGTTTTCAAAATATGATAAACACTACAAGACTACTGTTTAAAGATGAACAGATCTAAGCAGAATAAATACAGAAGTGCCCGCTTATCTGCAAGGGATACATTCTAAGACTCTCAGTGGATGCCTGAAACCATAGATAGTACCAAACCCTATATATACTATGTTTTGTTCTGTACTTACTGCACATACCTATAATAAAGTTCATTTTATTAATTAGGCACAGTAAGAGATTAATAATAGTCACCAATATAATAAAACTATTATAACAATATACTATAATAGAATGTCTGTGAATGTGGTCAGTCTCTCTCAAAATATCTTACTATACTTTACTTAGCTCCTTTTGGACTGCTGTTGGCTTCAAGTAACCAGAATCACACAATCAAAACTGCAGATAAGAGGGAACTACTGTAATCACCTATTTCTCTCTCTCTCTCTCTCTCACACACACACACACACACACACACACACACAAGATGTATCATTAGGTGACAAGAAAACAGCTATAAAGAGAATAACATAAAAATCACCAAGGAAGTGGGGAGAGACATTATAAACAAAAGAAGAATGATTAAAATTAATGATAGCAGAATGAATGCATAATCTGTGCAAATTGCATGACTGTTAAGCAGCTTTATGACACAAGAAAAAAAAGTATGCTAAACTAAATTTTTTAATCAAGGAAAAATATACTTTTTAAAAAGGTGAAATTTAAAGACAATTATATTTGAGAGTATGCATTACTAGCAAACTTATACTATAACACAAGATAAATATTTTAGACCAAATAAAAATGGTAACAGATAGCAATGTGGATTTACCTAAATAAAGGAAACTAGAAATTGAAAACATGTAGGAAAAAATAAAAGACATTATCTTATTTTTTATTTACTTTATTTTTAAAATTTTATCTTATTTTTGTGAAATAAAATTTTATCTTATTTTCTTTGATGGTTTACAGCAAAATATTATTACTGTATTGCATTGTGGTATATAGAAAAGTAAAAGGTATAATTATAATAGCAAAAAGGATTACAGGGGAGAAATGGAAATACATAGTTCTAAAGGTGTTAAAAATATATTAATCTATAAAATGATATTTAAGAGATGTAAAAGTTTAAAAAATATACTGTAAATTCATTGTTTTATTAAATAATAATAGATATCTAACTAGAAGAGATAAAGTGGAATGCTGAAAAGTTCTCTATTATTTAAAAGAAACTAGAAAACAAAGAGGGAAAGGATTTAATGATTACAAATTAAGTAGCAAAATGGAAGAACTAAGCCCAACCATATTAATAATTAAATATAAAAGGGCTAAGCTTACCAATTTAAATAAATACATTGTAAGACTGCGTAAAAAAGCAAGATCCAACTATATGCTGTCAACATGAAAGTCATTTAAATATAAGAATAAATTATATCTTGTATAGAAAGATAGATTAAAATTAGTATGAGAGGAAGAGCTATATTATGCAAATCACAGACATAAAAACTGACGTGCCTATGTTACAATGAGACCAGGTAAACTTCCAAACATGAAACCTTACCAGAAATAGAGAGAAATTTCATGGGTAAATTCATCAAAAGGAAATAACAACGATAAAGATGAAAGAGCTTTAAAATACTTACACAAATCTTGACAAAGCTAAGAAGAGAATAGATAAATCCACAATTACCGGTGGAGATTTCAACACTTACGTTTTAGTAATTGACAGTAGACACAAAATCAAAAAAGATATAAGAGACTTGAACAACAGTGTCCACCAATAACACTTAATTTATATTTACAGAACGACACACACACATACGGACAAAGAAACTGCAGAGTATACATCTTTTTCAAGTTCAAACGGATATTCACCAAGATAGATTATATATTGGACAATAAAACAACCCTTAATATACTTAAGAGGACTGAAATTACATAGCATATGTTATCTTTCGTCACTGGATTTAAATTAGATACCAATAATGGAAAGGTATCTGGAATAGTCCAAATGATTAAAAATTAAGCAATGGATTTTATGTAAATTATGGGTAGAAATTTGAAAATAAGTAAATAAAATACATTATATCAAAATATGTGAGACACAACTAAAGCAATTGTTGAGGACATTTTGGACCTTTAAATGTTTATATTAGAAAAGAAGAAAAGTTAAAAATCACTTAACTAAGGTTCTACCTTAAGAAGTTAGAAAAAGGACAGCAACATAAACTCAAAGTGAATATATAGTAAGAAATACTAAAAATAATTGTGAAACTAATGAAAAAGAAAATGTAAAACATAATATAATATCAGTAAAACCAAAAATAGTTTATTTGAAAAGATCAAGATGATAAATGTTTATACCAACCAAGAAGAAATAGACATAAATTAACATATGGAATAAGAGAGGAAACATCAATACATATCCTACACCTGGGGTCACCAACCCCTGGACCCAAGGACTGGTATTGGTCCATGGCCTGTTAGGAACCAGGCTGCACAGAACGAGGTGAGCAGCGGGAGGGTGAGCATTTCTGCTTGAGCTCCACCTCCTGTTAGATGAGCTGTATCACTAGATTCTCATAGGAAAGCGAACCCTATTGTGAACCGCACATGTGATGGATCTAGGTTGCATGCTCCTTATAAGAATCTAATGCTGGCTGGGCACGGTGGCTCATGCCTGTAATCCCAGCACTTTGGGAGGCCAAGGTGGGTGGATCACAAGGTCGAGATAATGGCCTGGCCAACATGGTGAAACCCCGTCTCTACTAAAAATACAAAAATTAGCTGGGCGTGGTGGTGCACACATGTAGTCCCAGCTACTCAGGAGGTTGAAGCAGAAGAATCGTTTGAACCAGGGAGGCGGAGGTTGTACTGAGCCGAGATCACGCCACTGCACTCCAGCCTGGCGACAGAGTGAGATTCCGTCAAAGAAAAAAAAAGAAAGAAAAGAAAAAAGGATCTAATGCGCTGAGGTGAAACAGCTTCATCCCATCCCAAAACTATCCTCACTCCCCATCTGTGGAAAAATTGTCTTCACAGAAACTGGTCCCTGGTGCCAAAAAGTTTGGGGACTGCTGTCCTACACAATTTAATAGAAAGAAAAATGTTATGTCAATACATTCAACAACTTAGGTAAATGTGTCAAATAGTTTAAATAACCTATTTAAATTGAATCAAGAAAAAAGAAAATCTGAATAGCCCCGTGCTAAAAGACATTGAATTCAGAATTAAATATTCCCACTGTATTTTTCTATCTTTGCTGTAACAAATTACTACAGACTTAGTGGCTTAAAACAGTACCCACTTATTATCTGACAGTTCTACAATTCAGAAGTCCGGGCAGCCTCTGCTTGTACTCTCTTCGGGTCTCACAATACCTAAATCAAGGTGTCAACTGACTAAGTTCTTGTCTGGAGACTCTGGGGAACAATCAATCGCATTGTGTGTGCATTTAGTTTGTTGGTGGAATTCTGTTCTGTGGCATTGTAGGTCTGAAGTTCCTGTTTCCTTGCTAGATGTCAGTGAGAGGTCATTCTCAGCTTTCACAGGTCAGTGAGAGGTCATTGTCACCCACATTCTTTGACTTGTGGTCCCCTCCATCTTCAAAGTCAGCATGGAAATATAAAATCCTTCTCATACTTTGAATCTCCCTGACTTCCTTTTATATAGCTGCTTTCTGCTTTTAAAGGTTCATGTGATTATATCAGACTCACCCCAATAAAAAGGTAAACTCTTTAGTCACCTTAATAAGATCTGTAAAGTCCGTTGTGTTATTTAATGTAACATATTCACAGGAGTAACACCAGAGGATAGAGGACACTGTTTTGACTCCCACAACCACAAAGAAAAGAAAATTGTAGGTCCAGATGGCTTAAAGACATCTTTATGCTTCCGATATGTGCATTTAGGAAAGGAGCCTCTGATGCGCTCTGATAATCCATGAAAGGGGCTCCTAGTATCCCAAGACAGCCTCTTTAGGTGTGTCAGATAGAGCATGGAGAAATACAGGTGAAAGCCTTGGCAGGAAAAAAAAATGCTTAGAGACGTTAGCTGCTCCAAGTGAAGAAGTTTCTTAAATGACAGTGTCAGTTAAGATTTATCCTGAAGGCTATGGAAATCAACCATAGGATATAGACTTTCCAGAGTACTATGGGATTGCAAAGAAGGAGAGAGTGATGAATCCAAGATAAAGCCAGTGAGATCATTGATAAGATAATTGAATTTATTACTTAAAGATGGGAAAATATTGCCAGATTGAAGTTGGAGAAATAACTGGTTTTTGAGGAGTCTATCTTAGTGAATTATAGAACAAATTAAATAAACTTTGGTTATTATTTGAAGTTAAACAAATGCACTAGATTGCCTTATTCAGACCAAAACATATCCAGTTTGAAGACTGTGAAAAAGTTGTTTTCAGTATTTTCTTTGTAAAGAGGGATCATGTATTAGGACCTTTTACAGACATATTTCCAAAGAACATTGAAAAATTTTATTGATTTCATTCCATGTTTACCACACAGTTTTCTTATTTTTTTCTTTTGGATTTTCTATGTACACTGGTAACAGGAAAGGTGTGTTTGTTTAGCAAGGATGTGTTATGTTTCCTTGAAAGTAGAAATGGTAGCATCCCGTCAACAAATGTCATTCCACACAATGTCTATTGTGCTTATTGGGATCAATTTAGTTTCTGTAAATCATAGTGGAATATAGTCTGTTATTTTTCTTCTAAAAAGCTTAGAGTTTTAAATTTAACACATAAGTATATGATCAAATTTAATATTATAGGTGGTATAAGGTAAAGATCGAGGCTAATTTATTTTCCATACAGATTATCAGTTGTTCCAAATCTAGTTGTAAAAAAGACTTTTTTTCCTATTAAATTACCTTGTATTTTTGTTAAAAATAAACTGACCACAGGTAGGATAATTTCTTTTCCATTAATCTAAATTTCTATATTATAAAAATAACACTCTGCCTAATTAACTATATCTTTATTGTAAGTTTTGAAAGTAGAAGTCCTCCAACTCTGTTTTCTTATTTCTAAAACTGAATTAGCTTTCTAGATCTCTTACAATACCATATAAATTTTTGAATCAGCTTGGCAATTCCTAAAAAAGATCCATGTATATCTTTCAGTTTCTCAATCAAAATTAATATCTATCACTCCTCTAATCTCTGCTGAATTATGGTTTTTACCTCTATCATAACACTTAAATTTCTATATAAAGTATGTAGTGTTTCCTATTTTTACTGTCTTCTAAAAATTGTATTGTACGTAGTTGGCCCCAAAAAAGGGTTAGATCAGATCCATCTTCATTAAAATAGCATGAAGCTATTCTTAAGAAAGAGAAAAAAGTTTTAGTATATTTCTTACTTTGCTGTGCATTATAATTCTTAAACAATTTTTTTTAACAATTTGAGACTTTACAATTATTTCAAATATAAGCTAACTAGAGTAATGATAATTTTGGAATATGGTTCTAAAATATATCTAGTATACGTTTTACATTCTGATTTCACTAATGTAATTCAGTGTATTTCCACTGTGATTATTTTAGCCACTTACTCACTGATCTTCAATACACGCAGTCTCAGCACTACCACCATCTGTTACTACCATTACCACCTCTCAATCACATTTTTTCACACATTCCCCTTGGCAACACTGTATACTGACCTAAAGTACTTAACTCATTTTTTTTTTGTCTGCTAGGAAGGCCTCTTTTTAATTGTAAAGTATCTCACACATCATCTCTAACAGTCTGAGATTAATTTCCTACAATAATTACACAGAATAATTTGTAGTCAGGGCCTGCAAAAAAAAAAAAAAAAAAAAGTGTCTAGAAACCAGTTCCAAAAATTAGTTGTTTCAGAAGGCCTCTGACAGTTCCTAAATGTTCCCGACCTTAATATAATATTTTCCCTTCCAGACACCATGGCAATATGTTTTCTTGAAATGAAGCTAAGGACTGGGAAATTGAAAGTAATCCTCATGCTTTTTGATAATGCACCTCCTCAGGAATAATATCAAAGTAACACCTGAACAAAAAGGGCTGGTTCAGGTGACCACAGAGTGACAGTGAGTGCCTCTTTTAGGGATGGATGGGTCCTGATTCTAAACTTTTCCTTTCATTTCTTTACCCAAACGCTGCTTTCCTTATTTCTTGCCTCAAAGCTACACCTGGGTAGGAAGTGCACACTTAAAATTCCAGCCTCATTCCTGTCACTCATGAGCTAATATAACCACCCAGAGAATCCCACAAGCCTCTCAGTGTGGATTTCACAGTGCTGGCCTTCACAGAAATGTACTTTTCCTTACTAGAATATCTCCCTTCCCTTCCTTGCCTATTCCTGAGGGATACCAAAAGTTCCAAAATTCATTTTTGAACCTTTCCACTGTCTTTACTGTGAAAACTGTAGGCCACTGTCATATGCAATTCAACTAACCATGATGAATCTCCCAAGCTAGACAATCAATAAGCACGTCTTGTCTTCACGTCTCTTCTCTACTACAACTATTTTGTCTTTGTAAGTTCCAGCCCCTCTTCTCTTAAATATGCTTAAATGTCTCCTGATTCACACAAATGTTCTCCCTTGATCCTGTATCCAATTTTAGTTTGAAGCCTCTCATTTCCTTCCTAGATAAGGTTATGGAGTGCATATTTGCCATTTCTACTTTAACAATTAACATTTACTTCTCATATGTCATGAAATATTTCAAAGAAAAAAGGATCTGAATCTAATATAATGTGGCTCCAGATTTAACTTTGACAAATATTATCAAATATTGTAACTTTAATAATACAGTTTTAAATATATATTTTTCAGGAGAAATTTAGTATTTATGTATATAAATGACCATAGTTTTCTTCATCTGCAAGACAATCTTCTCTGATCCAAATTTCCTCTTTTCTAATCCAGATATAATCACGGATTTAGTATTTTTTTCTTTGCAATCTATCATTCTATATCTGGTGATATAGAAGCTTTTTGGCCGGGCGTGGCGGCTCACTCCTGTAATTGCAGCACTTTGGGAGGCCGAGGCGGGTGGATCACTTGAGGCTGAGAGCTCAGGACCAGACTGGCCAACATGACAAAACCCTGTGTCTACTAAAAATACAAAAATTAGTCAAGCATGGTAGTGCACACCTGTAGTCCCAGCTACGTGAGAGGCTGAGGCACAAGCATCTCTTGAACCTGGGAGGCGGAGGTTGCAGTGAGCCAAGATCATGCCATTGCACTCCAGCTTGGGTGACAGAGCAAGGCTCTGCCTCAAAAACAGAGCGAAACAAAAAAATCAAAAAACAAAAAACACGAAAGATGAACTGTTCAACAACTGTTTCAACAGAGTTACTATAACACCAAAACCAAACTATAAAAGACAGTAAAATGAAATACATTATACAATATTACTTACAAAAAAGTTTTCAAAAATCTTAAAATGCTAGCAAATTTGATTTTTAAATGTTTTATATAAAATAGCTATTTACATAAACTATATGTAATATATTTGTTTTTTAATCTATTTTGAATCCTTAAATTCTTCAAAAATTTACTTTTTCTTTAATATTATTTTAAACATATATATTATTGTGGAAATATATTTGTTGATTTTGATTGCTACAATTTAGTACATGCATTATAAACTAATTGTATTTATCTTTTTCATTAGTGAGAAACAGTTGGATTACTTCCAACTGTTGTTGTTACTCATAGTGTCTGTACCTATATTCACACATTAAAAAATGGGAATGCTGAAAATGATCCTGGGATTATGTAAGTTAAAATGTGTCTCTTACTGACAAATTCTAAGAAACCTATATTTACCTTTTATTTCAGATTTCTCTCAAGTGCACATTATCCATCAAGAAGATTTAAATCATTTTGAAATATTAATATAATGATCAAAAATTAACTTTTATACATGTTATTAGGTAGGTTATTGTAATAACTATTACTATAATTAATATAGGCGAGTTTGTTTTGCCAAAACTCTTAAAATGAGATCTAGAATTAGAAATGACTTTTTTCCTTACATCTTAGGCAGAACCCACAGAAAACAATAAAGCACGAGAGAAAAGAGGATGGCAGTTTACCCAGGAAACATAGGTTGTGCAAAGCTTTGCAATGATACTCTCAATTCAGAGCAATGAAGAACAGAATGCTGTCTTCCCATAATGATGGCATTCAATTATCACTAGACTTACAAGACTACAGAAAATTTCTCAAGAACCAGTAAGGATCAGACAGAGCCAATGACAATACTGAAGAAGCTTGCCAGTGGAGAATGAAAGCTCAGTTACACAAATTACGTTGTTGAACCAGTGCCAGAAATAAAATGTGATGGACAAACTCATTAATTATGAGCGTGAACCAGACAAAACTGAGAATAAGGTGGGAATTCCTTCATAATCTGTCCCTACTTAGTTGCACCATAACCATAAATATTGTAAGAGGCAAAAGAGTGGTAAAAAGCTCATTAACACTGAGATTATTCTTGTTAATTCATCTGAATGAGACCTTAACGTACAAAATAACTTGAATTACAGAAAATGTTGAAAAGTTGTATTTCTTGCACATCTAAGATTGAGAGGGAGATATATGTGTGAATTGTCACGAAAGGCCATCTTCAAGATATCACAATCAATCTGTAGATTAAGGTCAGCCAATATAATATTCCAACCTGAACCTTTGAAAACTGAACAGGAGTGAGTATAATAATCTCTAGAAAAGCATCAGTTAAGATTCTAGCTTGGCCATCTCCATCATCTGTGTCCTTTATTTCTAATAACCTTCAAGTTTTCTATATATGACATTATCTTTCCAGTCTCCTCGGAAAAATTGCTCTTCACTTCAATTAGTTTGAATCAGTTTATTTTGCTTTCCACCAAGAGCTGAAATTTTTCTAAACCTGCACACTCACTTATGAAGTCCCTAGAGATTACACGTTACTTGTGTTCCTTAGTCTTCATTCCTTGTTCTTATCCTGTTTACTCTTCTATGCATCAATTCTGTGAGAGGCAAAACCAATTTTTATGTGTGTAAAAGGGAAAAAAACATATGTGCATAACTAATGACTTCTGAAATTTATTATGACAAGAACCCTCCCACTCAGAAGAATTATGAAGGCTTGTTGTAAAAAATAAGAAAATAAGTCTTTGATAATGACAGACAACAATTAGGTTGCTTGGACTTCAGAATTTTATTCTAAATAAACCTTCTAAACTGAACTTACTACCCCAAACCTTGCCTCAATCTGCCTGTGATAGTAAGGTAAGATTTATTCAATTCACCAAGTCAGCTAAGATCAGGTTAACTCTTGCCTTCTCAAAGTGTCCCACTATCAAGATATCCAAGGTAATCACACCTCTCCTGCAACAAAAATTTACAAATACAGCAAGAATGGTATAAGAACAAACATGTGTCCTTACATTGGTCCTATTGTGTCCAGAATTGGTGGGTTCTTGGTCTCACTGACTTCAAGAATGAAGCCGCGGACCCTCACGGTGAGTGTTACAGTTCTTAAAGATGGTGTGTCTGCAATTGTTCATTTTTTCCAGTGGGTTCATGGTCTGGCTGGCCTCAGTAGTGAAGCTGCAGGCCTTCATCTTTAGTGTCACAGTTCCTAAAGGTGGCACGTCCAGAGTTGTTCGTTCCTCCCATCCAGAGTTATTCGCCCCTCCTGGTGGGTGGATTCATGATCTCGCTGGCTTCAGGAGTGAAGCTGCAGACCTTCTCGGTGAGAGTTACAGCTCATAAAGATGGTGCAGACCGAAAGAATAAGCAGCAGCAAGATTTATTGCAAAGAGCAAAAGAAGCAAAGCTTCCCCATCACGGAAGGGAACCCAAGCAGGCTGCCTGGGCTGGCTCGGGCAGCCTGCTTTTATTCCTTTATCTGACCCCACTCACATCCTGCTGATTGGCCCATTTTACAGAGAGCTAATTGGTCCTTTTTACAGAGAGCTGATTGGTCTGTTTTGACAGGGTGCTGATTGGTGCGTTTACAAACCTTGAGCTAGATACAGAGTGTTGATTGGTGCATTTACAATCCTTTAGCTAGACACAAAAGTTCTCCAAGTCCCCACCAGATTTGCTAGATACAGAGTGCTGATTGGTGCATCCACGAACCCCGAGCTAGACACAGAGTGCTGATTGGTGCATATACAATCCTCTGGCTAGACATAAAAGTTCTCCAAGTCCCCACCCAATTCAGGAGCCCAGGTGGCTTTCCCTAGTGGATCAAGTGCCAGGGCCGCCGGTGGAGCTGCCCTCCAGTCCCACGCCAGGTGCCTGCACTCCTCAGCCCTTGGGTGGTCGATGGGACCAGGTGCTGTGAAGCAGGGGGCGGTGCCCATCAGGGAGGCTGGGGCTGCGTGGGAGCCCACAACCCTGGGGCTCCGGCACGGCAGGCTGCAGGTCCTGAGCCCTGCCCCGCGGGGAGGTGGCTGAGGCCCGGTGAGAATTCGAGTGTGTTGCAGGTAGGCCAGCAGTGCTGGGGGACCCGGCGCCCCCTCTGCAGCTGCTGGCCCAGGTGCTAAGCCCCTCACTGCCTGGAGCTGGCAGCACCGGCTGGCCACTCCAAGTGCAGGGCCCATTGAGCCTGCGCCCACACGGAACTCGCGCTGGCCCACGAGCGCCACACACAGCCCCGATTCCCGCCCGCGCTTCTCCCTCCATACCTCCCCGCAAGCAGAAGGAGCCAGCTCTGGCCTCGGCCAACTCAGAGAGGGGCTCCCACAGCGCAGAGGTGGGCTGAAGGGCTCCTCAAGCATGGCCAGAGCGGACACTGAGGCCGAGGAGGTGCTCAGAGCAAGCAAGGGCCGCTAGCAGGTTGTCACCTCCCACTATTATAAATTAAGACAAATACACTCACTTTTTTCATAAAATCACCTAGTCAATAAGTGCAGTGTTAATAATGGTTTTTCTAGATATCTCTAAACCCATACTATTTGGACATGAGGTTTATCAAATGCATAGTGTTCACAGTAAGTCATGTTTCTCTACTTTTTTACCCATATTCTGATAATAGATTATTATTGGTCACTTCAGAACACTTTTTTAATGCCGATGGATAACATACACTAAGATTACACTGAAAGTCCTGGTACGTCTCCTAAATAGTCTGCTAAAGACTAGCTTGCTGTATTTCTCAGCCATTTTATTTTTAAAAATGAATTAATAATCTTCTTTTAGAACATCCCACAACAATAGTCTTTATGGAAGTTTTCTCAAATCAAAATAAATATCCAAGAATTCTGATTGCAGCATAGATATAAAAGGAACGTGGAAGTTGTCAGGCCTGTACTTAAACAAGAAAAAACTGAAAACCAGTTATTTTACTTGGAACCATTAGTGAACTGAAGTAGCATAGTAAACTTCCACTTTGAAATCTTGGAGACAGATGGATGCACAGATTCATGGCTGAGCTCTACTAACCTAGGACAGAAGTTGCTAGAGACATAACTTGGTAGGAACACTTGTTGGTAATTTTGGTATGTTGCTGGAGGCTGAGTGTAGACAAACATGATAATGGAACAACCTCAGGGAGGAACAGTCTTAGGAACACGTCCATACTTTCCTGGATATTAATTCCAAGAACCCTACCTAATTCTTATTTCTCATGGTGAAGATTCTAGAAATATTCCCTTATGACACCAACAATGAAAACAGAAGGTAACCCACTGTGAAATATGCTCAGAGCATTTTCCAAGCCAAAGCTTACTCTCTAGGGGAAAACATTTTCCAGAGCCTATTTCACCTAGGAGAAGTGCATTACTCCTCCTCTACCCCAAGCTAGCTTTCCTGTCTCATCTAAGAAGGAAAAGAAAATACCACTGTAGAAACACTTATGAAGGTCAAAGCCCAGACACATAGCCCACTGAACGTCTAAGATTTAATCATGAGACTGTAAAATGCTTTCTTTCTACCACATGTTATCAAAACACCAATAAGCCTCCAACGTAAGAACAATGAGTTGCAGCTTAAGAGGTACAAGCTGCAGATGTTCTCTAAGGAAGAATACATGAAGAAGTGCAAATCCAAGCATGGAGGCAAAATAAGAATGCTAGAGGAATTTGAAACCTAAGACATCTGCAGATACAGTAAACATTAAGCACAGCACAGTTCCTGCCCAAAGTAGCATAAACTCTCAAATTAAAGGCTGATTTACCTCATTTCCAATTGTAATCTAAACTATGTTCAGTTTTAAACAAAAAATTACAAAGCATGCCAAAAAGCAATAAACGAAACAATCTGGAGAGACAAAATAAGTATCATAGATGGGATGAGGTACAATGCAGATCTTAGAATTATTACACAGGGAATTAAAACTAACCATGATTAATATATTAAGAGTTCTAATGGACAAAGTAGAGAATATGCAAGAATAGATAGTAATTTAAACAGAAAGATGGAAATTCTAAGAGATAATCCAAAATAAATGCTGGAAATAAAACACTCTAACATAAATTAAAATATATATCCTATGGGTTCATCTGTATACTACACATAGCTTGAAATAATTAGTAAGCTTGAAGGTAAACCAAAAAATTTCCAAACTGAAATGCAGAGAGGGAGAAAAAAAAAACAAATGAAACAAATAGAAAAGTTACATAGTATGTAAAAGTCTAAATACATCAATAATTACTTCAAATGTGAATGGTCTAAATACACCACTTAATAGAGAAAGATTATCACATAGATAAAATAAAACAAGTTCCAACCATACATTTTCTATAAGAATATACTTCAGGAAGACTCAGATAGATTAGTAGTAAAAAATGGAAAAAAATATTCCATGCTGACACTGATCAAAAGAAAGCTAGAATAGATATATTAATTTCAGGCAATTCAACTTCAGAAAAAGGAAGATTATGAGGAAAATCAAGAGTATGCATACTGATAAAGGGGTAAATTCTCCAAAAAGACATAATTCTAACGTGTTCACCTAATAACAGAGCATCAAAACACATGAAGCTAAACCTCACAAACCTGTGAGAATAAAGACACCAATAGATTATTACAGTTGGAGACTTCTTCCCCATCTTTTATTAATTGAAAGATCAAGCATGTAGACAATACAACATTATCAATTAACATGATATAATTGATATTTATATCTAAATCTATCAAACAAATTCTTCTCAAGCTCAAATGGTACAATCACGAAGGGAGACCACATTCTGACCCATAACATATTTGAAGAATTTCTAAGGAATAGAAGTCATACAAAGTATGTTCTCTTATCACAATGGAATTAAGCTAGACATTAATAACAGAGCAACAGCTAGAAAATCCCACGCAAATGAAATATGTACTTCTAAGTAGCACATGGGACAAAGAGTGCTCAAGAAAACTTAAACATTATTTTGAACTAAGTGAAAATGAAAATATAACATTAAAATTTAAAATTTCAGGGATGCCATGAAAGCAGTGTGTAGAGGAAATTTTCTAAGTGTGTTAAGTGCATACAAAAAGGAGAAAGATCAAAACTCAATAACCTATTTTTACCTTAGGAAACTAGAGAAAAAAGGATATATTTACATCTATGTAGGATAAAGAAAAGAAATAGTTAATATTAGAGCAGAAAACAATGAAATTAAAAGCAAAAAAATAGAGAAAATAGATGAAACCAAATTTCATGCAAGGAGAAATAGACAATCTATTAAAAAATCAATAGCTTATAACTTTTCACAAAAGACATCCAGGCGAGATGTTTTCACTGGTGAATTCTACCAAACATTTAAGGAAAAAATGATGCTAAATCTCCAAAATATTTCCCAGAAAATGCAAGCAGAGAGAACAGCTTCTAATTTATCCAGTGAATCCAATCAGAGAAAGATACTATAAGGGTGGGATATTTCTCATGAACATAGATGGCAAAATCCTCAACAAAATATTAGGAAATTGAACCTAACCATGTATAAAAAGAATTTATACACCACAACAAAGTAGTATTTATGTCAGTTACCCAAGTCTGAGATAATATTCTAAAATCAGTTAGTATAAACTATCATATCAATAGACTAAAAAAGAAAAATCATATGACTGCTTCTATTACATAGAAAAAGCATTTGACAAAACACAACACCACCATTTATGATAAAAACTCTCAATGAACTCGAAATGTTTAAAAAATAAGTCAGCTTAGCAAACACCGCATGTTCTTACTCATAAACGGGAGTTGAACAATGAGAACACATGGACACAGGGAGGGGGAGGGGAACATCAAACACTGGGGCCTGTCGGGGGGTGGGGGGCTAGGGGAGGGATAGCATTAGGACAAATACCTAATGTAGATGACAGGTTGATGGATGCAGCAAACCACCATGGCACCTGTATACCTATGCAACAAACCTGCATGTTCTGCACATGTATCCCAGAACTTAAAGTATGATAAAAATAAAAAAGAAAGAAAAGTGATACAATCAATTTGGAAGAAAATTTGGCAGTTTCTTAAAAAACTAAAGACAGTCTTAACATACAATTCAACAATCTTGCTCCTAGGTATTCACACAACTGATTAGAAAACTTATGACCACACAAAAACCTACATGTGAATGTTCACAGCATCTCTACTCATAACCACCAACAAACTGGAAGCAACAAAGATATCTTTCAATAAATGCATTTTTAAACAAACTGGCACATTCATACAACATAATATTATTCAGCAATAAAAATAAGTTATCAAGCCACAAAAATATATATAAATTTCTTATAAATATTGCTATGTAAAAGAAGCCAGCCAAGAAAAGTTATGTACTCTATAATTCCAATTATATGATATTCCTAAAAAAGCATTACTGTAGAGATGGTAAAATGATCAGGCTTTGAGCAGGAGAATTGCATAATTGAAGAACAGGAGGTTCTTAGGGTGGTGAAACTATTCTGTAGAATAGTTTACTGACTGATATATGACACTGGGCATTCGTCAAAACCAATAAACTTTCATAGCAACAATCAATTAATACAAATTTAAAAAAATTTTAGAAGGTCAGGGTACCCAGGATAGAATGTATAACATGAGGATAACAATCTAACAGTATTATAAGCATGTAAAACAATGTCACTGAAGGGGAAGGGGGTATGGATAGGCTAACCTAAGTAACTTTGGAAATGAATGAATTCTCTAAAATGAAACGTGAAAGAAGTTGCATGTAAGCACCGCATTCTAGTTTGTAAAGTTGTTTCCCATAGATTAACAATTCTGATTGACCAAAAATTTCTTTCTACTGTATATGTGTACTGGAATTAAACAAGTAAGTGGCTGTTGAATGGGGAATGCAACAGATATCTCAAACTGTTGAAGTAAGGAGTTATGGTTAAGCAAGAGAAAGAAAGTAGTATGATCCATGTGGCAATGTATTAGAGTTGGAGGTAGCACTATGAATTCATATTTAACCTAATATAGATACAGATTTTTACATATAGAAATAACTATAGATAAGTGAATATATAAGGGTTATTACACAAACATATATTTCCTTGCTCTATTAGCTGAGAGTGCTTAGAAGCACCAATATCACAGTAGCAATGAGTATTAATACATCTACTACCTAGGACCCAGATCTTGTTGATAATACTATATTCCAATAAGAGGAACCAGGACTATTGAAGAAATGGCTGATTGCATGACTAGGGCAGAAAATATACAAGATAAACCTGAAGCATATTGTAAGACCAGGAAATAATGAAGTGCTTAGGAAAACAAAACAAAACATGCAATAAAACACACAACCATGAGTTTATGTCAAACGACACAGAAGCCAACTAAAAAAGCTTCCAATAGCCAAAGCTGAAACAATTTATCTTTAAAAATAGTATTGGATTGATGGGCATTTGGGTTGGTTCCAAATCTTTGCTATTTAGTGAATAGTGCTGCAATAAACATACATGTGTATGTGTCTTCATAGTAGAATGATTCATAATCCTTTGGGTATATACCCAGTAAAGAGATTGCTGGGTCAAATGGTATTTCTGGTTCTAGATCCTTGAGGAATCGCCACACTGTCTTCCACAATGGTTGAACTAATTTACATTCCCACTAACAATGTAAAAGTGTTCCTGTTTCTCCACATCCTCTCCAGCATATGTTGTTTCCCGGATAAAGAAAATGAGGCACATATACACCATGGAATACTATGCAGCCATAAAAAAGGATGAGTTCATGTCCTTTGCAGGGACATGGATGAAGCTGGAAACCATCATTCTCAGCAAACTAACACAGGAACAGAAAACCAAACACCACATGTTCTCACTCATAAGTGGGAGTTGAACAATGAGAACACATGGACACAGAAAGGGGAACATCACATACCAGGGCCTGTCAGAGGATGGGGGAATAGGGAAGGGATAACATAAGGAGAAATACCTAATGTGGATGATGGGTTGATGGGTGCAGCAAACCATCACGGCACTTGTATGCCTATGTAACAAACCTGCACGTTCTGCACATGTATCCCAGAATTTATAGTATAATAAAAAATAAAATAGTATTGGATTATAATTCTAGCTGTAATATAAATAAATATGATTCTATTTGATGTGAATTTATAATTGAATAAATAAATATATGGTATAAAATAGAAATTTTCATACAGAAGAATTATTATTTTTGTAGCTACTCTACCCTCAAGGAGGTAGATCAAAACTCTGTTTTTAGTGTAGACTGTAAATAGTTACTTCTTCTAATGAGTGTATTTCTTCTAAAGATTATATTCTAAAATGAAAATAGTTACTTTATAGTGAAGAAATGTCAACATGTGATCAAGATCAACATCAACAGTGATGTCAAGTTGTTACTATGTACCTTTGATCTGATGAAATAAAATGAAACTATACCTTTATGGTATTTTTCTCAGGAAGATATAACCCCAGTCTAATCATGAGACACATCCCAGTTGAGGAAATTTAAAAATACACCTATTAGTCCAAACTACCTCACCAAACTATCAATGTCATGAAAAACAACACGTTCAAGAATTCTCACAGTCAAGAGGAATCTAAGGAGATGTGACTATTAAATGTCACATGGTTTCCTGAAAGAGAAAAAGCACATTAGGTAAAAACTAAGAAAATTTGAATAACATATGGTTATTAGTTAATAATAATGTATCAATATTGATCCATTAATTCTAACAAATATAACATTCTAATGCTGGATGTCAGTAATAGTGATATGCGAGGGGGTCAGGGAAGTGCTGGGAGGAGAAAGGCAGGGTACCTGGCGAGGGCTCCACCCTGGGGCCTGTGCCCAGGGACCTAGGTGAGGACAGGCACTCCTGTTGTTATGCATAAATGTTGCATTTTCCAAGACCACTCTGGCCTTCCATGCCCCCATCTTGTGCCTATAAAAACCCCAAGACCCTAGTGGACATAGACATGAGTGGCTGGACATTGAGAGGAACACATGTGCAAAAGAATACACCAACAGACTCTGGTAGGCCATCGACAATGAAATGACCTGGACACCTAAGAGAATTCAGTCGAGGGCAGTTGGAGGAAAACCCAGCTGCTGAGTGGCCCGACTCTAGGGGAAGACCACCTTCCCACTCCACTCTCCTTCTGGTTCCCCAACGATCTACTGAGAGCTACTTCCACCATTCAATAAAGTCTTGCACTCATTCTCCAAGCCCACTTTTTCCAGGACACTAGGGCAAGAACTCTGGGATACAGAAAGGCTTCTCTGTCCTTGCAATAAGGCAGAGGGTCTAATTGAGCTGATTAACACAAGCCACCTGCGGACAGCTAAGCTGAAAGAACACACTGTTACACACGCCTGTTGGGGCTTCGGAAGCTATAAACACAAGTGTAGGTACTGCAGTGGGGTCGGAGCCCATGCTCCCACAACCTGCCCGCCTGCAAGCTCTCCCTACGGGTTTGAGCAGCTGGACTCTGAAGAAGCAAGCCACACCCCCATTGCACACACTGTGAGGAGGATAAGGGAAAACTCCCATTTCAATAGGAGGAACTGGTAGGAGATATGTCAACTCCCTGTAGTGTGCATATTTTACATGTTGGAAGATGGTTCACATGCTAAAGTTCTTGATAATGTCTTGTTCTGCTCTCTGTATTGAACAGCCCACATCAGCAAGGGAAATGATGAGGGCAGAAAGAACGATTTGTGATGAGGTTGCCTAAGTAATTCTCAATCCAGTCAAAGTTAGATTGTGCATAAGATAGTAAATTCTAGATTACCCCAGGCATTAGTTTCTACAAAATTGATACAATTATTGTAGTAGGGAAAACACATAGAAATGGATGCACATTTTGTTAACCACACTAACTTGATCAGATCAGTAAAAAATGCAATAGTCTAGTGAAACCTGGAAGCTCCTGGCAACAAAGACTCAAGATTATATAATATTATTTTCTTGGTTTCTTTGATATCTGGCAAAAAGCCCTACCAACTTCCTACCCCATATATTTGAAAAAATGGAGCAAACTCCAGAATGATTGTGTTTACTAAATGTATAAGAACAATTTTCACCCTAACCCTACCATAGCGATTCAATTTTCATAAGGTGGGACAGATGCCAAGATAACCCCAAATGGGGCAGTCCTAGTAAAAGCTTCTCCTAGATATTAATTTTACTTGACAGGTGTGTGTTGTTTCCTTTCAAATCTGTGGTTTAAGGACCAAAAAGCACTCCACTGTTTTTCTTCTTTTTTTTTTCTTTTAAAAAATTATATTTTAATAAAACCATTATAAGAACCATGTAAATGATTTGAAATAGAATAACCTCTCTGAAAGAAAGTTACAGCAGCAAAAGTGTACATCTGGAAGTGACTTTAATATAACAAAATCAACCCACACTAAATACTCAAAATGTAAGAAGAGTCAAAACACAGCATTATTTATAGATGATTACAAATGAGAGTTTAAACATTACAGAGTTAAGCTTTTGTATAACACATGAGTTTTGACCTGCTGTGCTTAAACCACTTCAGCTCTCTGTTTTACTTCTTTACTCTTCTCTGTTTATATTTCTTTACAATATTCCCATATCCTCATGATTCAGAGTCAGAGTTAACTACAGTGATGTGCCACACAACAACGTTTTGGTGAATGACAGACTGTATATATGATGGAGACCCCATAAGATTATAATACCATATTTTTATTATATGTTTCCTATGTTTAGATATGTGTAGATACACAAAAACTTACCATTGGGTTACAATTGCCTGCAGTACTCAATACAGTAATATGCTGTACAAGTTTTTAGCCTAGAAGCAATAGGCTATACCACACAGCCTATGTGTGTGGTAGGCAATACCATCTAAGTTTGTGTAAGTGCACTCTATGATGTTCACACAATGACAAAATAGCCCAATAGCATATTTCTCAGAAGAATCCCTGCTGTTAAGCAACACATGACAGTATTTAATATTTCCTGCTTCCCTTTGAATGTGTCTTGGTGGGGAAGAGAAACAACTACGAGGGACTCAGACACACTGTAATGGGGTTTTTAGACGTGAATTTCAAAGCAATTATGTTTAATATTTTAGAAAATAAGAGACAAGAGAAAGAATTCTGTTAGTAATACATATACAGGGAATATATATTTGCAACACGTATAACTGACAGACTCCTACAAATAATAAGGAAAAAATCAGACAACCCAGTAGGAAAAATATAGCATGGGACTTGAATAGCAATTTCACTTAGTATTATAGCCAAAAGTCATTAGTTTGTGAAAAAGTGCTCAGCTTCATTAGTCATCCGGGAAATGCATGTTAAAAATGCAATTAGCTACCTCTAAATGCATACCAGAATGTCACAAATTGAAGAGTGATAATACCAAATGACAGTAGGAAGTGGAACAGTGGGAATTCTCTTGCAATGCTGATGGGAGCATAAATTTTTATATACAACAAACGGGAAAAAACTTTGGCAGTTTTTTCAATGGTTAAAAAATATGCACACAAAGTACACCTAACAATCTTACTTCCAAGTTTATACCCCCCTAATTTTTATGTGTATGTTCAAATGTTTTGTTGAACAAGATTCACAGCAGGCTATCTATTTCTCAAAGCCAAACCTGGAAATACTCCAAAAACCCAGGAACAGTAAAATTGATCAATAATTTGGAATCTCAACAGTACAAACTTCCCAGCAATAAAATATAAAAACTATAGCTCCAAACAGCAACTTGGACATAATTCACAAATAAAACTGTACATATGAACTTTGAATCTTTTATTTGCTAAATCCACAATGTCTACATATGTCAAAGCATCATGCTGTATATGATAAATACATAGAATTTTTGTCACATAAAATAAATAATTAGGGAAAAAAGAAGCCAGATACAAAAACATACATAGTAAAGATTTAATGTATATGACAAAAGCAGACAAACATACAGCATTATGAATTATGACTTTCTGAATGAGAGAAGGGGTAGTAAATGGGAATTAATATGATGAAGACTTCTATGGCATTGGTAGTGTTATAGTTATTAATAGGAGCACTGGTTACATATATTTGTTCATGCTGTGGTCATTCTTTCAATTGATAATTATTATTGGTGCATATCTATGTATTTGCATTAAACCTGAATAAAAATTTTACAGCATGACTCATGTTTACTGAAAAATATATCCAAATAAGGGTGCAAGATATTATATAAAAAGGAAATTATACCATTTACCAAATATTACTCTTTATACTATTGTTCAACTTAATTATTTTTGCACAAAACTTAAACATAAGTATGTTTCTAGAACTCTAGCATTTTATCGATTTCTATCTACCTCATACTTTCTGAAGGAGAGTGTAGCACTCCATTCTATAGGTTATTTCATATTCTTTTCTATTACAATTCTGCAAGGAGTATGCAGGCATTTCCACTTTAGTATTCATGTAAAATTGGATAGACTCTGAATAAATGAATAAATAAAAATGATGCTAATTTGATAGATATTGCCAACAAACTGACATTGAAATACTTTGTCTATACCCTACCAAGACTTTATAAATAAAAGACAGAAATATATGGCCTTGATCCCAGTGTATCTCAGGAAATGAAAAGAAAAGGAATCAAAGGATGGGAGGACCCTTTCTGTGACACAACATTGAGAGTATACAGGTTTTGTGTGTGTGTGTGTGTGTGCGTGTGTGTGTGTGTCTGTGTGCGTGTGTGTGTGCTGCTGTTACTACAACAGAGAAGGTCCCTTTCTGGGGCAATTTTTCCTAAATTGTAAATTTTAGAAAGAAAGAATATGGTTGCCCTAGTGTGTTTCAGGACTTTTTGGCCTTAAAAAAAAATCAATTTTTCTCTATCCAGGTGAGTTCTTTTAGAAAATCCATGGTTAGATGCCCACTTCTGTGTGCCTAAGGCCATTTGCATAAAAGAGCAAAGCAAGAATGGTGAATTTGGCTGCCTCCCCGAAGAAGGACCTTGTGCTGAGTGTTTTTAGTCATTTTATTCTTCATCATTTTGTAAGTGAAAAAATAACTATTTTTCAATTGTGATTCTTTAAATCTGAAATTTTGAGCATTAGACACACTTATTTTTCCTTTCTCTAAAATACCAAATATCTCTTTTCTGCTTCAATTTAGTTATAATTTTTTACATTTTTGAAAAATATTCTTATGTTGAAATATTAGAGGAATGTTTATCTTTTATATAAGGACTAAATTTTCTCAGTCTAAAATTTGAATTGTCATTTTTTAATGGCACTTCTTTGCTCATGCAAAAATTTATATTGTCTGTAACCAAATTAATCAATCTTTCCTTTTGTTATTTTGGTTTTATTTTTAAAAGGACTTCTTAATTCAAGAATATAAACTCTATACTATTAACATAAAATACATTTTCCTTTTTATCTAATAACTATGGTTATGTTCCCCCAAATTAAATTTTTTTAACTTTTTATCTGGGGAATAGCTCTTTATTCTTTAAAGTTTAGTTTTTTATCTTCTGAGCAGCTTTTGCTCTCTTTATTTTTCTTTCCATCTCATGCTACTTTTATATAAAATATTTCTGTATTAACTTGCACTTATCTTTCTTGGTTATAACTTATTTATTTGCTTTTTTCCTGTCTGATTTCCTAGAAAGTATCTAACACAGGAATGTAGTAGATCTAATATGTGCTGAATTAAAGACTTGCCCTCAATGAGCACACTTTAATCAGCTTTCAGGATTGAAACCTTACAACTCTTCCAGGATATTGGCAACCTAGTTAAAACATCTTCCCGACATCTCTCAGAAAGAATAGATGTCTCTCTCCTGAATTTCTCTAGCATATTGTTTTTACCTCTATTACTATAATTACCAAATTTTGGTATTTTAACTCTATGTACATAATTTGTTTTCCTCTAGCCTTCTATTTGTAAATTGCCTGAAAGATATTTGCCATTAAAAGGAGAATTTTATTTGAAATTTTACAAATAATATGAGTATATCAAAGCAGTGTTAATATCAGAAATACACTCTTTTGAAAGTTTCAACCTAAGATCTCCATCCAGCATAGTCAGATAAGCCCCCATAAATTATAATCATTGTATGATTTATAAAATTTGAGTATCTTTCTTCTTTCCTTTCAATTTTCATTTGACTGAACTGGCCTTTTCACCTTGGACGTTTCAACAAGCTCACTGCTCTTTCAGTTGACACTAACTGATAACAACTGAACACTGCCACCTCTCAAATGCTGATCATTGACCTGCCTCATTCTCCTTGATCAATGTTGACAGCCTTATACTACCCTTAAGCACTTCCCATTTCTTGCTTCTGCCAGGGGGAAGTGCAGTTTATTTTACGACATCCACTAACAAACTGACAAATCCCTCCTCGCCACCCTGAAATGTATCTACCAGAGCCCAGGGAATGGGTTACGAGCAGGTTGGAAATCAGAGCCCAAAGACAGGTTTTCCTAATGCTTTATAACTCTTCTTCAGCACTCCAGACTCTTTTTATTTCACTAGGCTATTACACTTTTTGGAGGGCAGGTGACGGTGGGGCCAAATAAAGGAAAATGTCTTCATCCTCACAAAGCTCCTCCTCAGGGGCTAGACTGGACTAGATTGGGCAGTGGGTCACGTTACTCCCAAGGTTCAACATCTACTTCAGTAAGATAAGCAAATGTGCTAATTCTAGCCCTTTGGTTTGGTTTCAGCCACTTTGGAATCATGAGACTTTTATCCTTTCCTAACCTTAACTCTGCTTTTCCCCATGCTCAGGATCAGCTGGTGAAGCAGCTCTAAAAGCCCTAGAGCCTCTTGTCTATTTCCACAGTCCCTCCCCTGACAGAGCTGTTCATCACTTCCACTAAATCATTCCCTCTTGGCAGCCTTTGCTCTTCACACACAAATGTATTTTCTTCATTGCAACCCTAAACTGCAGGGCTTGTTTCCCAGGCTTTTTCAGTTTCCCTGAATGCTGGAGCTGAGCTATACTAAGACGTACTGTACCTCACTTTCTTCAGGCTGGACAAAACATCTATGCCTCATGTTTTCCCTTTTCTCCTTCATTTACCCACAATCTCTCTTTGAGGGCTCCATCATTCTTCTTCTAAATGTCTTCAAAGTCATTCATATTTAAAAATGTCCTAATGATCTTGCAATCCAACACAGCGGAAACCTGTTTTCTCTGTCATTTTCTTCTTAAACAAGTTTAACAAATATACAGTCACTGTCATTTCTTTACTCATTGTGTTTATTACTGTTTAATGAGAAATAGCTCAATAGTAAGACAAAGTACCAGATCATGGTTCAGCACTAATGAGTGTTCAAATATTGCCATATTTGCTTCCTAGTTTTTAAAACGAAGTTAAAACTATATATAATAACCTACAGCAACAACTCTCTGTAATCCGATTTCCCTCCTTTCTAGCCTAGAGGTAAATACTATGAATATAGTAGATATTTTCATATTAATGCATATTTAATTCAAGTGCATATTTATATACTCATAAATTATTTACCATAGTGTTTTGTAGTTTAAAATTGTATAAATAGTATTTGTTTCTTTCCACAACTGGCTGTTTTCTCTCAATATGATGTGGATTTTGTTTTGTTTTGTTTTCTTTTCTTTTTGAGACGGAGTTTCGCTCTTGTTGCCCAGGCTGGAGTGCAATGGCACGATCTCAGCTCACTGCAACCTCCGCCTCCTGGGTTCAAGCAATTCTCCTGCCTCAGCCTCCTGAGTAGCTAGGATTACAGGCATGCACCACCATGCCCGGCTAATTTTGTATTTTTTTTAGTAGAGACAGGGTTTCTCCACGTTGGTGAGGCCGGTCTCAAACTCCCGACCTCAGGTGATCCTCCCGCCTCGGCCTCCCAAAGTGCTGGGACTACAGGCGTAAGCCACTGTTCCTGGCCTCAATATGATGTTTTTGAGGTTTATCAACATTGGTACATGTAGCTCAAGTTAATTTATTTTATTGTATACATGTAATATTTTATGGCATAAATATACCACAGTTTACTCATCAATTCTTCACCTGACAAAACTTAAATTGCTCTGTGTTTTTGTTATTATAAACAACAGTTCAGTCTGCATGCTTATTCTGTCTCCTTATGCATGTGTTTGAGAGATTCTCTAGGATATTTCCCTAGAACTGGCATTCCCAAGTCATAGTGCATAGTTATTTTATCAAAAATGTATATTGTCAAATAACTTTCTAAATGTTTGTTATAATTTGCATTTCGCCAGCATTGAATGCGTCTTGAGGATAATGCATATCATTATTAAGACTAAATAACGTTAGGATCTCTAGTATTTGATGATTTAATGAGTGTGAAATGCATTGCTTTCATTTTAGTTTGCATGTTCCAGGTCACAGTGGTAATTGAGCATCCTTTTATGTTTTATAGTTCATAGAGTTGACTTCTGCTATTAATTTACAGTTTCAAACCCTTTATCATGTTCTTAACCATTCTAACTTTTCTTATTACTGATTTTAGATGACATATAGATACATCTATATCCTGACATTTCTTTCTCCTTCCTGGTTTGTGATTACATTTGTATATAATTTGATTGTTATACAAATATTTAGATATAAATGTTACTTTTTTAAAAATTTTCTTCTTTTCTGCTAGATTTTCTTTTTTCCCTGAGAATAATTCAGTTACACCTTCTGGAATTCGCTGTGGTTGAGAATTATCTCTGCAGTCTTGCTCTTTTTTTTTTTTTTGAGACAGAGTTTTGCTCTTGTCACCCAGGCCTCAGTGCAACGGCATGATCTCGGCTCACTGCAGCCTCTGCCTCCTGGGTTCAAGCAATTCTCCTGCCTCAGCCTCCTGAGTAGCTGGGAATACAGGTATGCGCCACCATGCTTGGCTAATTTTTGTATTTTAATTAGAGACAGGGTTTCACCATATTGGCTAGGCTGGTCTTGATTGCCTGACCTCAAGCAATTCACATGCCTTGACCTCTCAAAGTGCTGGGATTACAGGCATGAGCCACCATGCCCAGTCAGGTTTGCTCTGGGGTATACTCTGGGGTCATATCCAAATGAAGTAATCAGGGTACAATAACATAAGGCATAAGCCATGGGAAGAAAGAATGGAAAGAAATGGGGAAATATGGGTGGAGATTGGGTCAGTGAAAAAGAAGAAAGAAAGTTGGTGATTCTATAGAGTAATTTTGGTCTGTGATCTAGGAAATGACTCCTCAAATTCTAAAAGGAGTTGTGTGTATATATGGACATCTAGAGTGGAATATACATTGTAGGCCCAATTCTCACCTCTTCCTAATCACAGGAATATCTGCGAGAGTGGTTAAAAAGATTGTCTCAGCACACAGGTGTGCATGCTATTGGAGAAGCACTGCTCTTCACTGGGTTTTCTGAAGATATTAAACCTCAGTAGAGCCATGTTTGGGAATAACTAAAGACCCCATTTGTACTTAATAAATCCTCAATTCCATACTGAGCTTGATATATCAGAGTATTTGGATTGCATAAGTGAAATCAAAAGGTATGCTTTTTTTTTCAATAATTTTGATTAGAATTTAAAAACAAAATACTATATATGTTGAAAAATTTTGTCATAATTTTTGACATACGTACTTTAAGAATTCAGATATCTTTGCTTTGCTTCACAGAAAGTATGAAGGATAAAAAATAGAATATTTCCATTCTGGTAACTATAATATTATGAGTAAGAAAATCACTTCTTTAAAACCAATATACAAATTTACTCACAGAAAACAAGCTGGAAGATTATTTTTTAGAAAATGCCAGGATCATATGCAAACATTCAAAAGTTAGGAAGCAACACAAGAGAAAAAATGCACAGAGACTACAGTAAAACATTCACAACAGAGAAAGGCTGACCAACAAAGATATAAAGAGAAGTGCAAACTCACTAGTAATCAGATAAAGTTAAACAATGAGATTTGACATTAACACCATTAAGTTGGCCAAAATAAGAAAGTCAAGTAATTACCATATCAAGAATATTGGAAATAAGAACCCCAGAGTTCTCATGAACTGCTGAAGGAAGTATCAATTTAAAAAGCTATTCAGGAAGGCATCTAAATGTATTTTGTGAAATTGTGTATATTTATGACAAACACTTCTCTAAGTATATAAAACCTGATAAATGGTTTGCATATTTTCTTTTTATTTTATTTTATTTTTGTTGAGACGGAGTCTCGCTCTGTCGCTCAGGCTGGAGTGCAGTGGCACTATCTTGGCTCACTCCAACCTCCGTCTCCCAGTTTCAAGCAATTCTCCTACCTCAGCCTCCCTAGTAGCTGAAATTACAGGCGCACGCCACCATGCACATTTTCATAAGGTATCTTATGTAAGATTTTTCCTTGCAGATTCCTTATGAGCCTAAAACTGAAGACAAATTAGTTGTCTATTTTTAGGAAGAAAGGTAAGTAAAATGTGGCAAATAGTTTCCACAAACCCATGGACCTATTTTTGTTTTTTTTTTTTTTTTTTAGACGGAGTCTCGCTCTGTCACACAGACTGGAGTGCAGTGGTGCCATCTTGGCTCACTGCAAGCTCTGTCTCCCAGGTTCACACCATTCTCCTGCCTCAGCCTCCTGAGTAGCTGGGACTACAGGCGCCCACCATCACACCCAGCTAATTTTTTGTATTTTTAGTAGAGATGAGGTTTCACCGTGTTAGCCAGGATGGTCTCGATCTCCTGACCTCGTGATCTGCCCTCCTCAGCCTCCCAAAGTGCTGGGATTACAGGTTGAGCCACCACGTCTGGCCACATGCACCAATTTCTTAAATAAATTCCTTCAAATAAACCTCTGCCTCTCTCTCTGTCTCTGTCTCTCTCTAATCCAAAATCTGAAGGGTAGCCTAGTAGGTTGTGAAGAATTGATGTTGGAATTCAATATGGAAGACAGTCTGGAAGCAGAATTCTCTCTTCCTCAAGAGACCTCAGACTGTTTACTCGTAAGGCCTTCAACTGATTGAATGAGGCCCAACCATATGATGCAGGGCAATACACTCTACTCAGTCTACTAATTTACATGTTAATCTCATCTGAGAAAATACATCCATAGCAAAATCCAAACTGGTGTTTGAACAAATATCTTGGTACTATGATCTAGCCACGTTGACACATAAAATTAACCATCACAGTAATACTACAGGAAAATAGTTGTGCAGCTAGCCTGAAAACAGACAATCCTGAGACTACAAGAAACAACTTTAAAAATCCCTATTTATTAATGCTATGCATACTTGGATGTTGACACACAATGCTGAAATCTCCATCCCTTTAATTAAGAGTTTAAAGAGGAAGAAATAAGCAGGATCCACAATTTGGGTTTCACTGTGAATGTGCCAACATACATTATTCTGAACTTTGCATACTGATAATTTTTGTCAATCCATAAACTCTCTTATTCCTCACTTTCGAATATTCTCTCTGCTTGATGATATACCCCATTTTTAAAAACTTATCTCACTGTATTTTTGCATGTGTTACTCTTCATATTTTTGTCTACTTTATACTATTCTTCTTAGCTAATAAAAATGATTTCTAAAGTTCCTCACCCGAAATAAGACTTTTCTATTACTCTACATAACCCACTCAATACTACTTTCTTTCTAATTTTTGTCTCAACTACCAGAATAAAATTATCTCCATACCTTGTCTTCATTTCTGACTATTTATCCATCCTCAGCCTACTATAATGTTTGGCTGCTGTCCTTATCCCTCCTTCCATTGAATTAGCTCTCACAAAGAGCATCAAAATACCTGGATTACCAAGCTTACTGGCTCTGGTGGAACCATTTACATTGTACCTAACTAACTAAAATAAAATCTTCATGTCGGAAATAGAAATGACCTTAGTGGCCTTCACTATGACATTCATCGTTGTAAAGTGGAGGCTCAGAGATATTTGAATTCAAACACAATGAATTTCATTTTCATGATTCATTAAATCTTGAAGAGCTAGATGCTGGGGTGAAGGAATATTGCAGATTTAGTTTAATTCCCCATAGGTACTGATTATGTTTTAGCTAAGGAAGAAAATATCCAGTAAGGGATCAGAGTAAATCAGATGCAACAGCAGAGAGAAAGGTACACTAAATTATTTCTACTTTCTTTGACCTCCCGGATTCAACTCTATTCCACTGATTGATTAGCAAGTTTCAAGGGACTTCTAGGTAAGTATACAAAGCAGACAAGAAAGCAGAAAGCTTGAGGTAAGTTGAAACAATTATGCTTCCTAAATTTTATTGTACTTTTATGGAGGATAGATTATTTAGAAATATAATTATCTGTTTGTCAGGTTTCTACTATTTTAATTTTATATTTGTGTTTTAAATTTTTTATATTTTTATTGACATTATAATTGTACATATTTATGTTGAACAATTTGATTTATTTTGATACATATATGTTGTATACTGATCAAATCAAGGCAGTTAGTGTATTTATCACCCCATCCATTTATCATTTCTTTGTGGTGAGAACATTCAAAAGCCTCTCTTCTAGCTATTTTGTAAATATATAATACCTTACTGTTAATAGCCCTCACCCTACTGTGCAAGAGAACACCAGATCTTCCTTCTAATTGTAACCTTGTACCCACTGACCAATTTCTCATCCTCCCCATTCCCCCCACCCACTCTTTGGAATTTTTTATATTTTACTTTGCAAGAGAATATTCAGAATAATTTAAGAAAGGATCCGAAAAATATTTTTACTTTTTTTTTGCTATAATATATACAATATTTTTTCTTTCCACTTTGTATATTCTAGTTCAGCATTTTTCATTGTGTTTTAAAATCAGGAGCATTCCTCAAGAGGCTGTTTGGTGTTGTTAGATGTTCAAGGAGGTGAACAATTTTATAATATGGAATTCTGATGATTTTAAAACTCAACTTGGAGATTCAAAATACACATCAGCTTAGTATAACTACTGGAATCCTGAATTTTTAAAGCTCTATTATTTTAAATGAGTATTTTCTCAAAATTTTAATCATGGAACTATCTTTTGAAAGCATATTAATATTTTAGAGATATTAGTATTATATTTTTAAATGCTCTGCTATTTTTGTGATTGATATTTATGTACTTGATTCTTATATAATATTGCATTAACTTTAACGATTTTTTTTATTCAGTTAAGCTTTTCAAGTATGTTATTGTTTATACTTATGGAAAATTTTATTACAACCTGTCCGATATTCACTCTACTAATATGAGTATTAGATTGGCCTAAACTTTTTTTTATTTTTTTTTTTAAGACAGAGTCTCACTTTGTCACCCAGGCTTGAGTGCAGTGGCGCCATTTCAGGTCACTGCAACCTCTGCCTCCCAGATTCAAGCAATTCTCCTGCCTCAGACTCCTGAGTAGCTGAAATTACAGGTGTGCGCCACCACACCTGGCTAATTTTTGTATTTTTAGAAGAGATGGGGTTTCACCACGTTGGCCAGGCTGGTCTTGAACTCCTGACCTCAAGCAATCCACATGTCTCGGCCTCCCAGAGTGCTGGAATTACAGGTGTGAGCCACCACTCCCAGCCTAGCCTAGACTTTTAATACAATAATAATACTATTCAATAGCGATAATACGCAACTTTATTTTATTGATTTTAATGCAACTTTCTTCAATGCTGTATTGTGAATTCTTAGGTTAAGGGTGAATATTTATAACTTTTGACCATGAAAATAATCTATTATTTGGGGGCTTGCATAAAATTGCATCATTATGGAACCTGCCAAAACTTACAGAAAATCCTTTTTCTCAGCCAGAGCACATTATACTTTGATTATTCTACTCACCATGGCATAAACATTTTATGATTGCTAGCAATAGATACTGATCAATCTTTGCACCAAACTTTTCTATCTTATTAAAAGTAATGTCCAAAACCTATGAAGGGAAGAATACTGGCATCAGCCTACACTCACATTTGGCGTTTTATATTCACTTTGAATGTGTTTTAACAGAATTATCAGATCATTCGCTCCAACAATGAGAGTTTTGTGTATTTAAAAAAAAAAATAGAAGTGAAGCTGAGAAGTCAGAGGTTAAATTTCATGAGAAAATTTAATTCTCATCTTCCCAGGGACTCATTAGAACCTTTCCCAGGTTATTTTCTTTAAAAAAAGGGCGAGTTGTTCCCAAATAGATAAAGAAGAAGTGGAGCCAGAAGAAACTATAAAAGGGTAACTTAAATAAATTTATTCTTTTTTAAATTCAAACAACAAATGTTATTTTGAAAAAGAACCTGGAGTTTATTAGCATAAGTTGCTTAGGAACAATGATAATAAAGTTACTAATAATACCTTTTATTACATAAAAAAAACCATGAAAACTGATCATAAGTTTTAGTTTCCAGAGTGCATATTCTGAAAACCTCCTGAATTAATTATATTTCTTTCTTAGCTTATTCACAAACTTGTTCTTCATTAGGATATATTCTCCTGTTAAAATATACATTTTTTCTATTGTTTTACATCTTTCTGTTATGAGACAAAAAGTCCCATAAATTTCAAAGATGAACCTTTAGAAAGGAAGTCATCAAATCTAATTAAAACTTTGTGATCAAACAAACAAACAAAAAAACCTCTGCGACCAAAGACCACAAGGAAGATACCTGTGGCTACACAAAGCTTGATTTTTTTTTTAACTTGAGGCAGCAAAGGAAGATGCTCCTCAGCAACTCCATGGTACCCAAGAGAAAATTAGAAGGGGTTTATTGTAGTTGCCTTGTATTTAACTATTTAGGGAAGGGTTCAAGAAAGTGGGGGTTTATTTCAGACTGAATGCTATCAAAAGGTAGGAACAATCAGGGATTGGGCATTTTAATTATCGTTTTCTAGAAGATAGAGTTAGAGAGGCCACTAGTAAAAAAGTAGTAGTCACTCCTGTCAGCTGGGATGCTGGGAGAGGTTCAGTTATTTTTTGTGGTTGTGTAGTTTCCTTGTTTTGTTCTACATACACACATGATTACAGATGGCCTTGTTTTCATTTTCTTCTATCATGATCACAGGGTGACATTGTCTAATTGTTATTAACATTTAGAAGAATGTTTATACTCAGCACAGAATATGGCAGCCTAAAGCATGCATTCTCAGTTGGGGCAATAGTGTTTTAAAGGGAGCAAAAATTGATTGTTGGGTGTGAAACAGTCTTTGATATTACAGTGGTCTGTGGCTCTCTAGTACATAAACAGATATATAGTAGTATCTCTGTACTATTACAATTTTAAGGAAGGCAGGGAGGGGCCATTAGGAGAAAAAATAGCTGAAAACATTTTTCGGGAAGGTGATAATGAAAAGAAAGCTGAGAAACACTAGATTAGACATTAGTAGCTAGCCTCCAGTTTGTTTTTATTTTAATTTTTATTTTCCTCACCAGAAATAGAATTATCTGTCCAACATACAGGCTCAAAATGGCTCCCTATTGCTTAGTACAGGTAGGGTTTAGAATTCAAACCTATCTATGTCACAAAAATGCTGCTCATCCCATTAAAAATTTTACCACACTTTCCCATCCCACAGTCACTTGGGATAAATATTACAAAATGTCCTGGAGGGAGAATGGATTTGGTACCACTCCTTGTGGCATGAAGCATTCAGATTTGTACCCATGGTCTTCTGTCTCTTCCAGCTTTGATATCAGAGACTTGGTGTTTCTCTTATATTTTCAATTTCTTAAGAAAATAGGACTTCCTAGGAAATGAGTTGCTCTTAGGAACCAAACGTTGGCATCCTATGGTACAGAGAGCTATAGTCACCAAACTTAAGCACAGTTGTGTGCAAAGAGCTGATATCTTTACTTATTGATAATGACAAGATTGAACAACATTTGTTTATTTGTCAATAGGGTAATCCAACAATTTGGAACTCAACCTTTTCTCTATTCATTTAGAATAACAATATGCAAACTACTGATATATTTTAGAGGGCATAATACTCCATCTGGTTAGAACTTCAAACTCAAACCTGGCTCCATATTAGTCTCACCTGGAGCACTTTAATAGAAAACCATGCCTGAATCCCACCCTGAACCAATTACATGATAGTTAAGAGGTCAGTCTGCAGTACTTTTAGAAACTTTAACTTCCTGCTATACTTTAGATATTTGACCCCTCCAAATTTTATGTTGAAATTTGATCACCAATGCTAAAGGTGGGACCTAATGGGAGGGGGTTGAGTCATGGAGATGGAGCTCTCACAAATAGACCAATGCCCTTTGGGGAGGGATTGAGTGAGTTCTCACTCTAAAAGAACCAGGCACCTCTTCTCTCTCTCTTCTTTATCCTTTCTCTCTTACTTCCCCACTTTCTTTCTTTCTTCCCCTCTCACCATGTGATCACAGCACATGCCAGCTCTGCTTCACCTTTTGCCATGAGTAGAAGCAACCTGAAGCCCTCATCAGAGTAGATGCTGGCACCATGCTTCTTGTACAGCCTGAAGAACTGTGAGCCAAATAAAGCTCAATTCTTTATAAATTACGTAGCCTCAGGTCTTCCTTTATAGCAACATAAAGTGGCTAAGACACTCCCCCATTGTAACATATAGCTAGGTCAAGAAACCATTAATTTATCTGCAGTATAGTAGAAAGAGATGTCCAGGCTATGCTGATCAAAGTCCATTGGAATGTAAAACTTTCAGCATAAATTCTCCCTTAATGCTTTCTATAAATTCCACTTCAGGACAGTGACATAGAATTTCTAATCCAGTGGCCTGGTCTGGTATTTACCTGACCCCTGGCCAAAGCAAGAGAAAATCTAAGGTTTAGAGTTTACTCAAAACCAGTCCCTTTCTTAGTGCCTCTCTTTCTTTTTCATATTAACTGATCTCTTCCACCTAGAGCACCAACTCAAAGTCTTCTCTCTTCACACGAATATTACCAGTTACCTCAATGGGACATTTGGATTCTGAGCCCTCAGGAGCGCATACATTATAAGTAGTGTCCACCTCCTTTTAGGGTTGCTAATATCAATGTTATTATTTTTCTACTGACAGAAATTTCAGTGTCACAATGTAACTATTATAGTTCCATTTTTTCTAATCTACCATCTTGAATGAAATTTGGATGTCAAGGCACTCTGGAAAGTAAATATTTCCCTGAGTTTAAAACTGCAGCCAGAGAATACAGCCTAAGGAAAGCAGATCTGGAGACTAGACAAGGAGAACACAGCTACCAGGGGAAAACTGGTGCCAAAGGATCTTTTCCACTACACGTGTATAGTAGTCTACCAGGAGGCCGATGTTTAATATAAAGAGCTGGGTTTCTGAACTCCGTGGGCCTGGATTGGAATTTGGTACACTACTTTTTACCTTTGTGACCTAGAACACAATATTAAATCTTGTGTCAAAAATGGGTTAATATTACTCACTTGAAAAGATAATTGGGAAGATTAGGCAAAATATATGTCATTTGTCTCCAGTTCCCCAGAGCTTACCACAGTTTACATCACCTGGAAGGTGTTTATCAGTGAAATAATAGCAACTTTCTTTCTTCCCTATAATACATACTCCTACTATCCTTGCCATTTTTATTAAGAAATCAATTTATGTTTATATATATATAACTTCTGACATTTCTCCTTCATAACACCGATTACAATTGTGTCTAAATAACCAAATTGTTGAATGTCTCCCCTTCCTTCTAAAGTATAAGTTCTGTTAGAACAGAATCGATATCTGACCCCTGTATACTTTCATTTCAATACCTAGCATAGTGTCTTGTGTACACATACACACACACACACACACACCTGTGCGTGTTAAGTGATTATAGATTACAGAGCTTGCTGTGCGAAGCTTACTATTTTTATGCAGCAAGATAAAAGCAAGAAAATGTAACATAGACTATGACAGAAACGAGTACAGTTGAGCTCTGAACTTCAGAAAAGGCGTTCTGAGGAATTTAAGCCATAGATAAGGTCTTCAGTAACGAGGCAGATTTAGCCAGGAAATAAAAGTTTTAAACAGTGTTAGAAGCCTGAAGCTTGGACATAGGGATTCGATCTATATAAAGGCCAGGCTTAGGAATTTGGATTTTGTCTTTTAGACTCTGGAAATCCACCAAAAAATTTAAGCAGTTGAGACACACACCTGTCTATTTAATAAGTTAATAGATTGCCCAGATTTATGTAAGGATAAATATTCATGGTGTTTAAAGATAAACAGGAATTTGCTAGTTGAATTGTTTAAATGAACCAGTGTGATCAGAAGGAACTTCATACAGTGAATGAGGTCAAATGGATGTAAATTAGCAAATATCACTATGTCTAGAATGTATTACAAATGAAATGTTAATAAATACAATTTAAGCCTTTTGAAAAATAAGATATTTAAAAAAATGATAGTGGTCTATCTGGAGTATATGAGAAAGGCAAAACTATTCAACATACATTATTTATACATAATAATAAATGTTATTTACACATAATAATCTATTTTTCAATGAGACAAGAATCTCTGGGAATATATACTCTGTTTATAAGCAAGGATAGTTTATCAGGTTTTTCCACTAATAACTTGAACATCCTTAATGACCTTAGGATTCACCTTATCCTATTTCACCACCATCAAGCAATCAGGAGCTCTCTCCACCAGGATAGGGAGCAATGTACAGCTAACTCCTTGACATTGTCTGGTCACTAGGATGCATTATCCCTTACTGTCTTTGGTTTTCAACAGTATGCAGAGCTTCCTGGGAAGTGGGGAGGGGGAGCTTCTCTTCCATATACTATTCGGCTTGCAAAGATTTTTTATGGGTCCTTCTAGTGAATGTACTTTTCCTGCTTATTACATCACCAGTATTGTTAATGTGATTATAAATATGGGGTCATGGAGAGTCAGAGAGGGAGAAAGATCTCTTAAAACCACGGGGTGACAGTGCTGATTTGTATACACAATATTTTAATTCAAAGTCCTGTGATTTGAAATCTATAGCTCTGCTCTACAATATACTCCCCTAAGCCATTGCCTATGCAGCCAACAAGACCTTCATGGATTCATTAATGATATGTATATCCATATCTATATATACATTTAACATGTATATTTTATACTCATACATATACACATATTATGTTCATACATTATACATTCATTCATTCATTCATTCACACATTAGGGAAGTAAGTGCCCATTTTAAAACATACACATGCAACCTATTTACACACATTTCCAGATAGTAAAATAATTTTACTTTTTACTTTATAAATATTTGTATTATCTGTACATAGAAAAACTTACTGCTTTGTGATTAAACTCATTTTCTTAAATACTTTTTGAAACTTGCTTTTTAACCTATGACATATTGTAGACACTGATTTATAGCATTGGATTGAGATTTAATTTATTAATTTTAAATATCTGGATATTATATTCTGTTCTATAGATGACCATAATTTATTTAATCAGTCCCTTCAATGAATAGTTGATTTGTTGATTTTTTAAACTAATACAAATAACTTTTACATAGATACCATTGTTTGTGATATATATATATATATATTTTCACAGTTGAGTTTCTTTATAGGATACTTTTCCATTAATAGAATTGCTGGGCTAAAAATATGTTCAAATTTTGATAGATATATTCAAGTATAAGTAGAAATATCTTTTAGCAACTTACGAAGATTTATTATATGGAAGTACGTTTTCAAACATCCCTACTAACACTCAGTATATCAGTTAACATTTGCTGTTTAACAAATTACCAAAATGGCTTAAAACAACCATTCATTTACTTAATAGTTTTGTACATTGCCATGGCTCAACTGGGCGTTTTTCTCTGGGAAGTCCCAATGCATAAAACATTTTACAAGTCTCTGCTTGCATTGTTTATGTTTGTTAACAACTCATCCACCAAACAAGTCACACAGTTAAGTCCAAATTCAACAAGAAGATAAATATATGTCATCTGTCAATGGGAGAATCTATATATATACATAAACTTTACCTTTTGATAGGAGAAGCTGCAAGTTAACATTGTAAAATGGATATACAGACATGGATAAGAAGAATCTGTGGCCATTTTTACAATACAACATAGCAATTATATATTAATAAATAACACTAAGTTAAGGTCACTGGCTAATGACTTTGCATTTAATTGTCACAATAACCTATGAGAAAGGGATACAGCATTATTATCCACTTTACAAAGGGATAACTGAGGCAAATAGAAAATAGGTAACTTGCACAAGCTTACTTAAGCTCTTGCAAGGGGATTCTCATCTACACGCAACTTCAGTATTCCATGGCATCTTAGTTTTAGTATTTTTGTTTTGTATGGTATTTAAGCCACAAAAATATTTAACAGTATTTTTCTCTCAAATATTTATGTATTTATATTTTGTTTATTTAAATATTTCTATCTCTAACAGCATCCTCAAAAATTTATACAATCTATTAAATTCCATCCCTACTTCATAAAACATATCAATTTTCAAATTTTCTGAAAAGTCTATTCTTATTTTCAACATTATATTCTCACCATTCTTATCATTTTATTTCTATATTTTAAACATATATATATTTGTGTATATATACACACACATCTGTGTGTGGGCCATTTCATGGTGCAGATTGTATTTTTCTTTTTTTTCAGTATTATACTGTGACTTCCTTGAAGGCATTCTCATGTTTCGAAACCGAATAAACACTAAATGCTTTTCTTGCTGTTGTTTTTAAATAAAATACTTGTCCTTGAGCAACTCATTGACTTTTTGTGATAACACCTAAGCAAACATTTGTCCATGTGTACTTGTTGAAATTCTACCTATTTTCTCAGGCCTTAACATTTCCCTTACTAATATTTCTAGAACTTCTCTTAGAGTAATCTCTTTTTCCCAGATATTCCCAGAGGACATTATTTAAAGCACTGTCATAATACTTATTACTATTGAACATCTCCCTAGAACCCAAATTTTCTAGTACATAGCAGATTAGGAAATTGAAGAAATAAAGCAGGCTATTTTCTTTTACCAAAATTCTTTTTAGCACTTCTTTAAGTTATTATTTTTTATTACCATAAAAATCTTGTGTGTTTTTAATATTATGCTAAATTTTAAAATAAATGCAATAGCACAACTGGCCTTGTTTCTCTCTACCAAACCCTTCCATACATTGTCACCAGATTAATCACTCACTCACAGAATCTATTTCTCTTTTCTCACCTCATAGTATCAGCTTACAGAATTCCTAACTTCTCTTCAGTCATATTCCCAGTCATAAGTATACCTAATTATAGGGACTCCAACGTCTAAGGGTTTTTCATAGGTGTTGCTTTCTACTTGCTAGTTTGTTAAGGACATAGTTCTTCCCTGAAAACTTTAAGATGATTGCCTTATATCCCTGGGAATATTTTAGAGCTTGGCGCAATGGGAAAGGCAAGGATTCCAGAATACAAATATTCTGCTGGCTGCTCACTGTGGCGGGGCTGCTTCATGAACTTTCCGTCTGGATGTCCTCCACTTCCTACTAGGTAAGCTAAGGTCTAGGGTAGATTTAAAAAAAAAAACAAAACAGCCACATCATCTCACAGGAACCCAGGCTTCTAGGTTTTCTTACCAAACATCCCAGGGAGACAAAATAAAGCAGAGCTGGACTAGGAGGCCTGGGGGTTAGATGGTAGCAATGGGTCTATCAGGGCTTTCCTGCAGCAGGCCCAGTAGGAGATGGATACTCTAGCCTCTGTGTCCCATCTACATCTGTGACTATGGAGCTTTCTGTTTTGTTTTGTTTCCCAGTATTTGATTTCTTTCTGCTCTCCTGAAAGTACTTGGTAACTGTCATTGGCTTCAAGGCAAAATAAAGCTTCTGAGAACTGATCTTTGGGGAGAGGCTCTGGGGCTTTGGGCCTGAGTACCACCATCACAATGCTAGTGGGAATGCCTTACCTGATACTTATAAAACAAAAATTAGAACTGTGTGAAACAAATTTCTATTATTTAAACAAACAAAAAAACAAAACTTGAAAAACAGAAACCAAAGCCGAGCATGATCAGTTGCAAAGGAGTCGCAATTTAAAGACAAGTGGTTTTAACAATTGATAAAGACAATTGGCTTTAACCATTGCTAAACCATGGACAAGCTATTATGTCCACGTTTGTAAAAAACGGCAACTATGTTTCAAGGAGTATTGTTATATTAGGGCAAGTATTTAATGGATCAATATAGAGTTCATTATTTCCAGAAACTTCACACTTCTGAAAGTTTTAAGGTAGAATGCATGAGATATTGAGAAATAGAGAAGAAAGGCTACAAAGTTGATTAAGAAAAGACATATTAACTGAGATTTCTACACCAGTGAGGTGACTGGCCTTATTAGAGAAAAAAGTAAATGTCACAGTATTCAAGATGGAGGCCACTGTGTAGAGTTGGGGTAATTCCTGGGATTCCCTAAAGGTCATTTATGTTTAAGAAGGTTCTTAAAAGTCTGAGGGAATGTTTGTACATGAAAAAGAACACCCACAGCTATTTTTTATTTCATAATGCTCAATTTATTAGATTCACATCTTATGGAACAGCACTTGGAAGCCAATTTTTCTTTAGCATTTAAACACTGAGCACCTATTTAATTAATTGAATCTCTTCAAACATTTAAAACAAAGTTATAAATAACTAATAGGATAGTGAATAGTAGTTTTCATGCTGTCTCAAAATTGTAGTGAAAATTCATGGCTGAAAATAGTGGAGATTCAGCATCGCCTTATACTAAAGATAACTACTAAGGAAAGGAACCCAGCAGACATATCACATTAGTGATGAGATGTTGACCGGGCACTGTTACCATTACTCTTCTAGGTTTTCACAAAGAAAAGTGGAAGTTTAAGAAGTCTTAGAAACAGTGAGTCATCTTCCTAGTGTGAGACTATTTGCATTTTCCCTTCTCTTTCGTGAGATAGGGGTGCAGGGATACTGTCTCTCCCCAGTTCCCCAGAGGTTAAAGGTAGCTTTGACATAATCGCCCCTGGTGAGATGGGATGCCTGGAAGATGGGGGATGTGTTAGCCTATTTGTGCTGCTATTAAAAAATACCTTCTACTAGGTAATTTATAAACAATATAAATGTATCTCTTACCGTTCTGGAGTCTGGGAAGTCTAAGATTAAAGTGTCAGCAGGATTGATATTTAGTGAGGATTGCTTTCTGCTTCCAAAATGGTGCCTTGTTGCTGCATCCTCTGGAGGGGAGAAATGCTATGTCCTTACACGCCAGAAGAAATGGAAGGACAGAGAGTTCTCTCATCAGGTGCAAGTCCTTTTATTCATTCCAATACGTGTAGCCTATCAACACCATCATTAATGGAAGTTCCTTTTCATCAACTCGTTTATAGCCAATTTATATACAGTAATCACAGCTCATAATTTTCTTTAAAATATTGGCTATATTCAAGTCTGCCTGAAACTCTTGTCTTCTCTCTTAAGCATCATTGAATAATACTATAATATCAAATAGCTTTTTTATTGATACAAAATATTTTACATATTTATGGGGGTACATATGAGTATTTGCTGCATGCATAGAATGTGTAATGATCAAGTCAGGGTATTTGAAATATTCATCACCTTGAGTATTTATCATTTCTATATGTTGGTAACATTTCAAGTCCTTTCTTCTAGCTACTTTGAAATATACAATACACAGTTGTTAACTATAGTCACCCTACTCTGCTATAAAATGTTAGGGCTTATAATTATTATTTATATGAGATAGAAATGGATATAACAGTGATTTTCACTGGATCATTGGACCTAAATACTCTTATTCCATTGAATAATTCATCTTGAAATTTTTCAAAGGGTTTTAAGTGGGTATTCAGCAAGCAATTTGTCTTATAATCTGTGCATAGTAAAATAACTTCCCCTTTAAAATATGGAATGTGTTTCATATTTTGGCCTATTCTAAACTAATTATATATGTAAGTTGGATTTAGATAATTGTTTGGTAAAGACTAATGCCAACTATTGAAAATAATTAGACTATTAAGGATAACTATAAAGCAAGAGCTCTTTCCTGGGGCCTTTTACTGTTGTGATCAGATATTCTAAAGTAAATAGAGTTATTTAATTCCAAGTGACAAGATTCTTGAAATATGCAAATGGAAAGACATCATCATAGGAATAGATGAGAGTAGCAATGACAATGCTATTTATGTCTTTAAAACATAATAGTTTAGAAATTGTCACATATATTCTTGCATTTGATTATCCTATGTTTATAACTGTTGTAAAATAGTATCTTCATTTGACAAATGAGCAGATTAAGGTTTTAAGATATGATTTTTCCAAGTTTCATTATTAAAAAGTTGCTGAGATAGGTCCAAAGCCAAAGTTCTTCAGGTCTTATTTTAAAGCTCTTCTTGAAATAAATGTTACAAGGAAAAAATAAACAGAATAAATTGGGTAAAATAAATCTGATCATAGATTGGATTGGATAGAATACCTCTCAGAAGAGTTGAAATTTGAGCAAAAAATCTTGTTAAAGTGACGGTGTGATCCATACATAATCCAGATCTAGAGTGTTCCAGGAAGAGGAAACATTAAAGGCAAGTTTTTTAAAGAGGTGCTCTATGTGGAACATTATATGAATAACAATGAGACTAATGCTACAAGAGTACAAGGAGAGTAGAAAGGAAGGATGTCATGCTAAGCAGTTTGAACTTACTTTACATGTTAAGAGAAGTCAATGAGGAACTTTGAGAAGAAAAGTGACGTCAGATTTATGTTTTATATAAATCTCTACCTAAACATGAATTTGGAATATATTGGAAAGGCAGAGCCATTGTGATTTACTGATAAATTGTAAATGAATCATAAGGGCAAAAGAGAAGTCAAAGATGAATGCAGGACTTTAGCATGAGGAACTGCAAGAATGGAGTGTCGTTTACTGAAATTCATAGAAGAGAGTTGATGGAAGGATATTATTTGTTTGATTTTTTATGCTATTTTAAAAATGGCTATTATACATCCAAGTCAAAAGCTTATTCTATAGGCATTTGGCTATATAATATCTAAAAATGAGCCTAGAGCTATTAATTTAAAAGTTATTAGGAAATATATTTTCAAACTGTGGACTAGATGATATCATCTAGAAAGTGGCTGTAATAATGTTGATAAGAGGTCCAAATACTAATCCTTTAAAAACAAAATGTACAGGTTGTAGAGCTGAAAAAGGCTCACCAAAGAATTTGAGAGAGTACAGTGAAATAGAAAAGAAAGTAGAAGAGAATGGTGTTCAAAAAGCTAATAGAAGTATTTCAAGAAGGAAGGAGTGATCAATTATGTCATATAATGTAGATAAAAATAAGAACTGAAAGTTTGTCGTAGGATTTGGCAATTAGGAATTATTGATCATCTTGGAAAGAATGGTTTTGGTGGCATAGTAGAAATAAAGCCTGAGCCACAGGATTCCAGGCACAAGAGAAAATGGAGAAGCAGAGACTCTGGATGTAGGCATTTCTTTCTAGGAACATTAGTCTATAATGGAACATAAAAATGAAGTAGACATTGAATTGGAGCCAAAGGAGGATTTTTGTTTGGTTTTTGTTTTTGTTTCTATGAAGTAAGATATATTTCAGCATGTTTGTTTGCTGATGGGAATGATTCAGTTAAGAGAGAGAAAAAGTTATGAAATAGAAGAGATGCAATAAACGTAGAAATTACTTAAATCTATTGGAGTTGAAAAGAATAATAATTTAATTTATTATAGGCCCCAATTTTTCACCCCTCTCCTTCATTACACCATTTTGTGCTTTAGTTCATTACACTAGAGGGGAAGAGAATAGTTCTGTATGTCTTGAATTTGTGCTTGGCCATGTGACTTGCTTTGATCGGTAAAATGAGACAGAAGTGACAGATTGAAATTGCCTACCTCTGGAGGCCTTCTGTGTTTCTATTTTTTTTTTTTTTTGCTTTTGTTTTTTCAAGGCTCTACCATTAAAAAAAAGAAATACCCGATGTGTATCTTTTGCATTCTTAGTCAATGCCTCAGAATTAACCCAAATGGAGCTGACCTGGTACCAAACCTCAGCAAAGAATTGAGTCCAGATAGACTCGTTTGAAGCAAAGCCTACATCAGCCAAGCCACAGCATATGTGTAGATTCATGAGTGATAATAATAAAACTGTTGTCTTTAGCTATACATTTTGGAGTGATTTATTACACGGGAAAAGCTAACTGATACAAGATCTATCATAAAAAAGATGTTGGCTTTAGGAAAAAGTATGAATAGTTTACCTATTGTAACAGAAGGACACACAAATTGCATGGGTTTAGATTTTGAAGATGGTCTGGTAAGTTAGTTGTAAAAATCATCTTCTGAAAAACCTCTGTTTTCTTGGTGATATATAAAGCAAGAGTGAGGGAGTAAAGTGCCATTTAAAGAAATAAGAGAAAGCATGAAATATTACCCTTGAATAGAAGGGTGAATTGACTGGAGAAATGTACTTATGTTTTCAAGAAATACTGAGAGTGCAATTAAATTTTCTGGCCACAAATTTAAAGTAAGCATGGTTGTGTGTTTTTCTTCATTTACCTTCAGCTGATTTGATGCAGATCAGGGAGTTACCAGGGTTTCCAGTTCAGTACTTCAGACAGAAAAAAAAATGGGGGCTGATGCGAGGTAAAGATTATTATAGACCATGGAATCGAAGCCAAGTAATCAGAGAATTGAAGACAAGAAAGTGATGATGCAGAGTAGCAAAGAATATATTTAGTATACTGAAGTTACCATTGAGGTCAATAAATAATTGTCCTCCAAATACTAAAGTAAATAAATTTCAAATATAGTAAGTGGTTACCAGAGAGTGGAGGCTTAAAAATAAAAGTTTGGAGATGTTGCAGTTATTACAAGTGAAAAGGTATAGGAAATGATCAAGAAGATTGATACCAGAGAAGCATAGCAAACAAGATAATTAGATGTAGAAGAAAAGCAAGAATTAATTATTGAGAGAGGAAAAAGAAGAAAAAAAACAGCAGTGAGTCAAATGCTAAAACTCTAGCGAATGGAGAAAAATGACCAGGTTTATAAATGACTAAAATAAGGAAATGGCCATATAAACCAAGAGCTATGTTTCAAAACAGTTGGGGTTTAAAGGAAGAGGAAAGAATGACAGTTCTGTATTGTTCCTGAGGACAAAGAAACACATTTAACCCTCTCTAAACTTTTAGTAGCACATGGGGTATAGGAAAATAACAGCCATCCTTTTAGAGACTACAGTGAAAACACTGTCATTATCAGATATTCAGATTTCACATAGCAAAATAAACCAAGAAAAAAATCACAGCTATAAACTATTGCAATTTTACTGATGACAAACACAAAATTCCAAAGGATAGTAAAAGTTCGGGGGGAGTAGGAGTGGGATTAAGAATGAGTAGATTAGATCTGATAAGGACATATTCAGAGCTGAATGGAGGTAAGATTACAGATGAAGGATATTTGAATTACCTCTGAAGACTAAAGAAAACAGGAATATAGGCATGACAGGATTAGTCCTGAGTAATAGCAAACACTTGCCTTTAATATTGCGCCAGCTCAGGTAGGCATTTCTCAATAGACTTCCAGCTCTCACCAATATGATGAAAATCTCAGGACTCAGAAAAGAAGTAAAGAGTGACATAATCAAAATGATCATTCCAACATATCATCTTCTTTTTGGAAAGTAGCACGAAAGTCCACCTATTAATATACCTTGATAATGAAACAATAAGTAAGATTTCTATCCCAGTAATAAATAAGTGAAGTTTTTGCCTTTCTCAAAAATTAAAGCAGTATTCAAATGTGACTCAAAATAGCAGCTTTTAGAAGAAAGAATCAGTAAGCATTTTTGCAATGGTAACTTATATTCAATAATGACAAACCTAAGTCTCTTAAATAATTTTTAATCGATTTGTATTTGATAACCCATTTTTCCTATCAAAACCTAACATTAACCTAAATATTTAAATTAATCAGGTTAATGTATAGTCTATACCTTTAAATAAAATGTTGTATTTTATTTTCATTTGTAATGTACCCATCATGCTATTTAATATATAAACAACAATAATAAAGGGTGACAATGAAGTAATTGAGGAGAAAATAATTTCCTTTTGAAAGCAATTCTCTTATAAATATCAGCCATAAGGCATTTAATTACTATTTATAATGCTTTGAAAATAATGTAGAATAACATGTTTCCTCAGAATGCCAAGAAATTGGCTTTCAAAACTGGGAAAATCAGTTGTGAAAAACAAATACTTTTAATCTTTTGATATACTCTGGGTAGTGGTCTGAGAATAATTTTACTATTGAGACTGTCTAAGCAAATAGTGTTTTTCAACAAAATAAATGACTAATAAACAATCTGGGCATTTTTAGTGACAATTACAAAGCTTAAAATGAGATATGCAAATAAGCAATGATCCTATAAATTGATTGTTTTATTTCCTCTCTTCTGAATCAATAAATTCAGATAAATAATGAACTGCAAAAATAAGAAATAAAATAATCCTATTTTAGTAGGGTCTTCCATTTTTAGAAGTCACACTTTAAATACCATCTTTTTATTAAAAGCAGAATCTCTCAGCCAATTCTGCCTCATCTAAATTTGTTTTCATCTAACATACTAGAAAGTGAAGAAGTCAACCATATTGATAGTGTTCCAACATCATACAGACAAGTATCTCCCAAATTAAAAAAGTATATAGAAAGGCAAAATTTTGAATAATTGAATAATTTTGAATAATTATATAGTCTTTCTTAGGTAGTCAATAATGATTTGAAAATTAATTTGATAAATTGTGAAATTAAAATCATGTTTAAAATTATACAAAGTATAACAGTTGGTCTTTTAGAAAACATTAGACTGATTGGAGGTTGAATGGTGTAAAAAAAAAATCAAATTAGTGGCCAGACAAGTCTTGGCTAAAATCCTGGTTATTTTACTTACCAACATTTTATTTTTAGGCAATTTATTATACATATTCTCTTTATTATAAAGGAGCAGGAGCTGTCTTGTACTATTGCAGTGAACATAGTGGATTATATTTTGGACACAGGTACTTCGGATAGTGGCATCCAGAGGTCACTCAGTAAACAATAAAATACAGCTTGGTTTGTCTTGTCAGGGAAATGTTTGTTTTGTCAGGAAAATGAAGAACAACAGAAATACAATGAAAATGAAATACAATAGAAGGGATGTTGTATTAGAGTTCTCCAGAAAAACAGAACCAGCAAGATATGACATATATATGTTATATATTATATATAAAGATTTATTAAGAAATTGGCTCATGTGATTATGAAGGCTAGAAGGATGTCCAAATCTGTAATATGGGCCAGTAGGCTCTAGGACCAGGAGAGCTGTTTGTGAAGTTCCAGTCCAAAGGCTGGCAGCCTGAAGGCCTAAGATAGCTGATATGGCCGATAAAGTTATATTTTCAAAGGCAGTCTACTGAAAAACATGTTCACCTACTCAGGTGAAGGATGATCTTTTTGCTTTATTCAGGCCTCCAACTGACTGGATGAGGCCCATCCACATAATGAAAAGCAATCTGCTTTAATCTGCCAATTAAAATATTAACCTCCTCCAAAAACACCCTCACAGAAACACCCAGAATAGTGTTTGACCAAATATCTGGGTACCCTGTCGCTCAGTCAAGAGGACACATAAAATTAACCATCACAGATGTCATGGACCACATTAAAAAATTGATAAGCCACATTTGTTCTCTGTAAATAGCCAGAAGGCCAAATAGGGAGAACTAAATAAAGCCTGGGACATCAAACGAACAAACAAATAAGCAAAAACTGCTATATGTCATGGTTTGGTCTCTGATAATTGTTTCGTTCTTCAGCATATAATACAAAACATTATTCTTGAGTTCTTGGGGATAATACATTGGAAATTCATTATTACAACAAATATTTAATTAGTATCCACTATATACAAAATACAGTTTTAGGCACTTGCCATAGAGTACTGAGTAATCTGGAAAATACTCCTCCTGTCTTTCATATCATACTTGGGAAAAGACAATAAAGAAATAAATATATGTATGTATGCTATGCAAAGGCCATTTAGACCAGTTACACTAAACTGAATACAAATTCTAGCAGAACGAAATAAAAAGTGCAATAAAAGTTACATTACAGAGGAGCAGAATGGCAGTTCCTGACAACATTTTTCATACGTGGGGCCAAAGGAGAAAGAAGTCAAAGAAGGCCCGAGTTGATTAGCCCAGCAATTGCAAGAGTAAAGTTGAAATTGATGGCAACAACTACTTTTGATGCTATGAAGATAAAGGGTATTGTTGTTCATTCTTACAGGATAAAATATTATAACTTTAAAGGGCAAAAAACACTCTCCTCGTACTTCACATAATAAAATTAATGCAATGCCATTTAGCTCTTGTACTTTAAACTAAGTAATAATTATTACTTGGTTTTTTGAATAATTTTTAAAGGCTAGAATTAAAATAATTTAATTATTTGGTATGAAATTCACCAACACAAGATTAAAAGTTCATGCATTTTAAATCCTAAGTCTCAAAACAATACAATTTTTGTAAAAATGCTATGAAAAAAATCTTTAAATTATTATTCCTAAATATTTGAAATGTAAAAATATTCTTTTATTGCAGAATTCTCTTATCTAATGTTGATTTTCTATTTCTTTAATACAACTGAACCTTTATATAAATGTATATAGATTAATTCATCAGTAGAAACTTAAATTACTTAAATGACAGTAATTGAAGTGTTCTTTCACCTTGGAGTGTGTTGTTTATTTCCTTTACCTATTATACACCTGTGAATCAATAACTGTCTAATCACAGGGGGAAAGTAGTTCATTTTATTCTCTAGCTTTATTTATGACAGTTTACTTGGCCAAAGACATTTTATCCATCTGGGCATTAGCTGCTAAGAATTCTTGCCTCCAGGTTATTCTCTTTCTCCCTAAATCATAAGAATATAAGAAAATAAATGTTAAAAATGGAAATAAAATGATAAAGTAAATCATATTTTTCCTTTGATATCAGGGTTATTTGTTTTTACTTTCATGCTAGTGAAGAAAGCAAAGACAGTCTCATTTTCAGCTTCAGTTTAGTGTTAATTCCTAATTGTCCTGCCACATTGTTTAAGTGTATCTCTGTTGAATTAGGGTATAAAAATTTCCAGACATGTCGGTTGTATTTACAGTATTAATAATAGTATTGATATAGGAGTTAAGAAGAAATCACTTAGGCAGATAGTAAGGGTATGGGAGTCCTCAGTATGGCTTTTCTTTCTAATGAAAAGTAGCCCCAAATCATTTTCTAACAAAAAGCAGCCTGTAAAGTCAAGCTGCCCACATGAAAAGCAGGCTAGGAGCTTGCACGAGTGAATGCCAGCAGGAACTATGGACTAGACATATTCAAAACGGTGGTTCCGTCTTCCTTTCTCTTTGTCAGCCAGGTATGAAGTAAGGAGTAGACAAGATGGCATGGATCAACTGGAAAGCTCATTTGCATAATAAGAATAAAGTGGGGTACTCAGCCTTCCCCAAGCACTATGTAAACATCATACCTGATAGAACCAATCTGTGAGCCCCATGTAAATCAGACACCGCCTCCTCAAATCTGACTATAAAACTGGATGCATGCCAGCATTCCAGTCCCTTCCCCTTGAAGACCCCTTTCTCTATGAAGAGAGCTGTTTCTCTTCTCTTCTGCCTGTTAAATCACCCTTCTTAAACTCCTGTGTGTCCCTGTCCTAAATTTTCCTGGCACTTGATGACGAACCCCAGGGTATATACCCCAGACAATATAGATGCTTCAGTATCACTGTTTTTCTGAATTTTTTGAAACATGAAAAACATGCATAAACTTTTATTTTATTGTTAAAAAATTATATCAAACACTGGATTCTACAAACTGAGTTAAACATAGGCTTCTTTTAGATGTTTTTGTTCTAACATTTAAAAAGGAGTATATGTCATATAACTAACAGTATATGTTAAATAAACAATTAGTTTAATTAAAACAGAGGCATATATGCTATACAAATATTTGATTGGATTAAAGAAAATGGGTTACAACTAATTAACATATTATCTGTAAATGTTTAACATTTTTGATATACCACATGAACTAAGAACAAAAAACATGACAATGGTAGATAAGTATATTTATAATTCAAAGGCAGTTCATGATTATACATGAAGGGTCTAATCTGAATGTATACTCAAACATATAAGTTTACCACTACTTAATTGTATTTTTATTTTTAAAAAGATATAAACACAAATGAGAGGGAGACGTTTCACTGGTCAGAAGAAAAATAAGACCTCTGAATTTTAACACATATGTAATAGAACCAAATGTAAAATTCAGCTTAGGTCGATTTGCATTATGTCTCTAATATTTCTGCTGTGTTCCCTTCTCACATTGACTCTAAGCTTGGTGGTGTTTTGCCAATGGAACATCAGCAAAGTGGTGCAAGCGGAACTTGGTAAATCCTTTTGCACTGGGGCTTGCCCTGTTGGAACTCTGCTGCCACCATGTGACAAAATCTGGTCTAACATCTTTCAGAATGAAAGATTATATACATTGAGAGATTTATGGGAAGCTGTTGCTTCTGTGCTACTGTGGCCTCTGTGGAAACACAGCCAAGCATCTGGTAGCTGGTCTGAGGTCATTCTATGTCAAGAGGGCCAGCAGTAAGGACAAAGTCGGTGCAGAAAGTAGGAGAGTGATGGAATCTACCAGGCATCTCTGATTCTATCCATTGCCACTTCATCTGAGTATGAAAAGACCTCCAGAGAGTAATAACCCAGCTTCAGCTCTTGTGCACATTTCCTCTCTACTGCAGAAGCATTACAATTGATGCTGAGAAATATGTTTCCCAGTTTAACCAAGTTATCCATCAAGTTGTATACCACAGTCCATCTTAACATGGCATCCATAAATACTACTTTTAATCATATTTAACTCCCCCATAAAATAATAGTAAAATTATGTTTTATCTATCATGATACTACTTGTATTATTGCAAACACATCAATCTTCTCTCCAAAGGTAGATACACAAGTCCCACAAGGTCCTTAATTCATCTTGTAATGATGAGTTCACATTTCACTTTTGATATCTGTATGTTAGGTACAGATATGTAAGATAAACAACAATTAGAACATCTACATAAGAAAATAAATGAATGTTATATCATAGTAATAATTGGTATACATTTTTATGACTATATAAGATATTGAATGAATATTTTCAGTTTAGTTTTCCATGGAACTGAAAATTTGCTCATAATTACTACAATCTCCAGTTAGGTTCAGTCAGAGGAATATGGGCTAGCCATATGCCATATGGATTATACCTTTCATGATTGTTTGTGTAGCTGGTAAGGGTCTAGAAATGGGAAATGGAGGATCATAAAGGCATCTCCAATCATCATCCTGAAAAACAAAGTCTTCCAATTATTAAGAGAGAATAAGGAATGGTGCTATGTAGTATAGTCTGTGGGAAATTGTTGCCTCTCCGTAGGTATGGAGAAGGCATCTGGCAATGTACCTGAGGTTGCTACAATCCCAACAGATACAAAAACTGGGCATGAAATCAATGAAGATTGAGGACAAGCTGGAACTCACAGATTGTATATGTCTGACGCTACATCTTTAGTGGAAGACATCATGCACAACCAACATGTCCCTTCTGGACATATCCCTCTGGTTGTTGTAGAGAGTAGTGTTGATAGACAGCCCTTAGCTGTCAGCCCTCTCTACGAATTCCCCTAAGCTGAAAAAAGCCACCTTGCAAAAAGTCATACTCTGACCAGGGACAATCTTATTTAGCAACCTGTCTGTATAAAGATACAAGCCTATGTTCCTTTCACTCTAACTAGAACAACTCTAAAAAGCCTAGCTTCAAACATCCCCAAGAAGTTGGCTGAAAATTTTGAGAGCGGATAATAGCCTACCTTCTCTCTTTGCATAATCTTGCTTCCTTCCCTTCATGCTAACCTCCTTCTTAGAGTCTGTTTCCTGGAGTCTTGATTGGTACCAGAAGAAGGGTCAGAATAATAAGCAGTAAAATTGGATGTTGGAGCTGGATCACCTCCCAATCTGCTGATAATCAGGAATCCATTACTTTAAGGAGTGGAGGGCAGACAGCCCCAGCATGCTGTGGCAGGGAATCTATTAAAACTTCTACACATCATGAACTGTTATGCTACATTAAAAAAGCACATGCACTAGTGCAGAAGTTAGCAAACTCTAGCCCACTATCTGTTGTACAAAAAATGTTTTATTGAAACACAGCCACATATTGTCTACAACTGCTGTCAGGCTGCAACTGCAGATTGGACTGATTGCTACAGACACTGTGATGCCCGTAGAGTCTAAACTGTTTACTGTCTGGCCCTTTACAGAAAAACTATGCTGATCCATGAATTAGTGAATGAGATTTAGTAGGCATTACATAAATATGGCAGAAATAATAATTATAAGGATAATAAAATTGGATAGCTGTTGCTGGGGTTAGTTGATGCTTGAGAGAAAGACAGTGTAAAACTCCTCAATTAATAGCTATGTGTGAAAGCCAGAGGGACTTTTATTGGCAGTATACAAAGAGATATCAATTCCTTGTTGATGGAGAGCTGAGCAAGCTAGGGATCAGGAGCAAAATTCAATTATAAAGAGTAACAGAGTGCCAGAGAGCATTAAATTGTTACTATAAGCAGGTCCGTTCTACCAAGATCAGCGCCCTGATTGGAAAATAATGGGACCATCAGAATGGGATAGAGATGTCTCGGTTAATATACTTAAAAATCTTGAATTCTTATATGCTTCCAAGTCCTCTAAGCCTAGAGAAGGGTTTACTCCACTATCTAAAGGACTTTACAATGATGCAGTCACCTTCTTTGTGCAGGACAGCAGCACACCCTCACTCTACCAGAATCTGCTCTCACTTTTCTTTCTGACTACCATATTAATAATTAGAATTAAATCACAGAATTGACTGATGGAGAAAGTTCTTGGCCTATGAAGGAAGATAAGGGATAATTATTGACCTGAAGGAACTGTAGTGTCTAATGAACATATACCAGAAGACTCCAAGACAGTATATATAGAACTGTGTTCTGAGTATACTAGATCAAGACACGTGGCACACAAACTTGTGTGAGAAGGAGAGTTTATTGATATGGCAGCATTCTCTCAAGATAAAGGACTCAATATTCTGGCAAGGACCCTGGGACAGTGCAAAGATACCAAAAGGATGTCTCCTCAAAACTTGAGGAAGGCAAGTCTTGTTAAATGAAATAGAAAATGAAAACATTTCCAAGAATTTGGCATGCTAGAGTGAATATTCTAAGTAAACCCAAAAAACTACCAGATAACTATTTTTATGGGAATGCTGTAAGATACTCACCTCCTCCATTAAAATAGGAGACAAAATAAAAAAAGAAAGAATTTTCTTGTGAGAGTAGTAGCAGATCTAGATGGTAGAATCTTGATGCTGGCTCTTCTCTGTTGCTCATGGCTAACAGTAAAAGATACCAGAGTCACTAATAGGTTTGGCATGACAAGATTCCAAAGTAATGGAAACCAGGTGGTAATGCTCAATCATATCAGAAACAATGAAGCACAATAATTTCATGTATAGCAAAAGTGAAGTGTCAGCTGACCTGTAGAGAACATTGAAAATATTTAATGGAACACAATGTCTATAGAGGAAAGTTAGGTGGGCAGCCAACAAGATTGATGCTCAGTCTGTAATTCTGAAAGAAATCAGGCATTCATGATTACCCAATTTTTTGAACTGAACTAGTTTCCTCATCTGCAGCCCAGTGACTGAGGAGTGGTAAGATTTCCAGAAGGAAGAACGTGGCAATGTCGTGTCAAATGCATAGGTTAATGATTCCCTGAGTCTTCCTCCTGTGGGGACCTATGGAAATATATTTTACTTAAAAAATTCTGAATACAGGGCCCAAACTGACTTGACACCTGAGGACACAAAACTTCATCATGATTCTTGTATTAGAGTGGAGAACACACTGGTCATTTTAAATCTATAAATTCAAGCTTAATAGTAGTCTCTTTTCAATAAAAGTAAGCCCATCCCAGAGCTGATTGATTATGAGTTCACTGAGTCAAGAATTCCATCTGGTGGTTATGTATATCGTCATTGAATATAACACTGGAATTGATATACTTAGTAATTGCCAGATAGCATACGCATTAAAATTCTGTCCACTCCACTTGCAAACACTCACAAGGTCACTGTCACTATAATCCACAGGTGTACATACAAGTGATGCATTCTGGTCCCTGGAGGATAGAATCTGAGATGTGGCTATACAAGCTCCAGAAAGTATGGTTTGGGAAGGGAATCTATTAAAATGTATAGGGAATTCTAGAATCCCAGGTACACAGAGGAGAGTTTTAAATGGAGAGGAGCATGCTCTTCAAGTATTCACGTTTCCCTGGAGGGCACAGAAAGAGGAATGACACAAGGGTCTTCAGATCCAAGGTTAGCCCAGGGACTTCTTACCGTTCTCTAAGGACAGTAATGGTGGGGAGGAGAAACATAAACTTTACAGTGGCCTTGAAACTGCCTGTCTCCATTGATTCTGGTGAGAGAAACGTCAAAATGCCTCACACAAAATGTAGCACTGACATATTTATTTTAGCTTGATGGTACATTTTGATATATGTTAGGAACCCTCCCATTCTTAACTATTATTTTCTAAATTATCTGGTATGTTATTGAAACTTTTCTTTGCCATCTGGATATTTAGAACTATAGATCAATTTCCAAGTTTTTAGATTTTGACTGAACTTTCATTTAATTTATAGATGGAAGAAAATTTATATCATTATGATAGTAAATCTTGTCCACGAACATAACAAGAACGTAATTTTTTAATTTTTTTTTTTTTTTTTGAGACCGAATTTCGCTGTTGCTTCCCAGGCTAGAGTGGAGTGTCACAATCTGAGCTCACTGCAACCTCCACCTCCCAGATTCAAGCAATTCTCCTGCCTCAGCCTCCTGAGTAGCTGGGATTACAGGCGCGTGCCTCCACGCTCAGCTAATTTTTATATTTTTAGTAGAGACAGGGTTTTGCCATGTTGGCTAGACTGGTCTCAAACTCCTGACCCCGTGATCCACCCGCCTCAGCCTCCCAAAGTGTTGGGATTACAGGCATGAGCCACCGTGCCCAGCCCACAAACATAATTCATATCTCCATTTTGGTGAGTTTACACAGAAAATTTGATCCTTCACGTACTGCTGAGGAAAATGGGAATTGCTGCTCGCATTAACAAGAGCAATTTGACAATGCCAAGAATCATTTTCTTTGGTTATCTTAGATACATCATAGAAACGGAAAGTAGAATGGTGACTTTCAGGTGCTGAGGAAGTGGGTATGTTAGGCCTTTTCTGTGTTGCTACAAGTGCCTGAAACTAGGTAATTTATAAAGAAATAGGTTTAGTTGGCTCACAGTTCTGCATGCTGTACAATGTTTGAATTACTAAATCAAACTAATGATTATATCCATTAGAGCACATTTTTTATAATGAGAAGATAGTTCTAATTTAGATTAAATTGTAATTAAATTAATTAAAACTTCTTCCTAAAACCAAAGGACAGATGACAATGAGACAATGCTTTTTAGACTTTACGAGTCTAAATTCAAAAAGGTTGTGATGCCCTAAATGATACATAGCTGAATTGTTTCTGGGAAAAGTACAGTTAGTTATTCTAAGAGGTACAGTCATTCAGGAAATATATCATTTAGCCATGTTCTAAAAAAATTTACTTAAATTTAATGTTGGTGCAAATTAAAACTGTATAGCACCGTCCTTGTCTCTCTATTGCTCCCACTCTTGCCATGTAGATGCCTACTTTCCCTTCACCTTCTGCCATGATTGGAAGCTTCCTAAGGCCTTCACCAGAAGCAGATGCCAGCACCACACTTCTTGTACAGCATGCAGAACTGTGAGCCAACTAAACCTATACAGTTTTAAATAACCAGATCTCATGAGAAAAAATTCATTGCCATGGGGACAGCACCAAGACATACATGAAGACTCTGCCCCCATGACCCAATCACCTCCCAGCAGACCCCACCTCCAACACTGGGGATGACATTTCAACATGAGATTTGGAGGGGACAAACATCCAAACTCTCTCAGGGGAAATTGGGAGTTGCTCTTCAATAGGTATAAAGTTTCTGTTATGTAAGAGGAGTAAGTTCTAGAGATTTGCTGCACAACATTATGCCTATAATTAAAATTATTGTATTGTGCACTTTTAAAGTTGAGGGTAGATCTTATGTTTTGTTCTTACCATAATAACAGTGAGTTGATTGACTAATAATTAAAATAAATGATTAAAGATGCGAAAATCACATTACCCAGGATTTCTAACATACAAACATGAGACAGGTAAAAAGACTTTCTATTTAAGCCTGGGCACAGTGGCTCACACCTGTAATCCCAGCACTTTGGGAGGCCGAGGCGGGTGGATCACGAGGTCAGGAGAACGAGACCATCCTGGCTAACATGGTGAAACCCCGTCTCTACTAAAAAGACAAAAAATTAGCTGGGAGTGGTGGCGGGCGCCTGTAGTCCCAGCTACTCTGGAGGCTGAGGTAGGAGAATGGCGTGAACCCGGGAGGCGGAGCTTGCAGTGAGCTGAGATCACACCACTGCACTCCAGCCTGGGAGACAGAGTGAGACTCTGTCTCAAAAAAAAAAAAAAAAAGACTTTCTATTTAAGAGTAAATATTGAAAACGAATTATACATAAATATGGAAATACATAACTATTGTAATTTGTACATAAACTACCAATAAAAATTAATAAACTCGATTTAGCTGTATTGGTATAAAACTTGGTTGAAAAACTCGTATCGGGGAAAGAATATTTGCAAACCACTTACCCAACAAAGGACTTGTATCTACTTTTATTTTAAAAAGAACAAAATAAACTCAACATTCACAAATCACATTTTACATAAAATCTGATTTTGACATTTTTAATAAAATTAGAAGATTTGGAAACACTACCTACAATCTTTCCTGACAAATTTGAGTATATTCAAAATTCAGCTGCTATTTTATCTGTTATGTATGTTTTATTAGTTGTATTTATTTATTTTTGCCTGCAGAGATATATTTTGGGATAGGTTGCTGTTTCATAAAAAGTACATGTTCTTCAGGTTGCTAGGGTGATGACCATTCCTGATTATTTCGTATACTTGGAGCTTTATAACTTTTTTACACAATCCTTTGCCTAGAGGCGAATTCTTTTAGACCCTACTGACAAAATCGGGCTTTTAACATGGACATCAAGATAATGAAGCACAAGTTTCCATGTCTCTTTGGGTCCAATAATTAGAAAAGCTGATGACCTAGATTGGGGGCTTTTCTATAGCTGTCATTTCATCTAGCCCATTCTACCTGATTATAGCTTTCTAAGTCTTGTGAGATGTCTAATGCTCTGATTCTTTTCTAATTTGCACCAACATTAAATTTAAGTAATTTTTTTTAGAACACGGCTAAATGATATATTTCCTGAATGACTGTACCTCTTAGAATAACTAACTGTACTTTTCCCAGAAACAATTCAGCTATGTATCATTTAGGGCATCACAACCTTTTTGAATTTAGACTCGTAAAGTCTAAAAAGCATTGTCTCATTGTCATCTGTCCTTTGGTTTTAGGAAGAAGTTTTAATTAATTTAATTACAATTTAATCTAAATTAGAACTATCTTCTCATTATAAAAAATGTGCTCTAATGGATATAATCATTAGTTTGATTTAGTAATTCCACATGGTATACATATATCAAAACACTACATTATACAACATAAATATATAAAAATGTTTATTTATCAACTAAAAATAATGACATAAAAGCAAATTTTAATTAAGTAACTAATTAAAACTATATAATTTTATTCTGCTGGAATATTTAGAAACATTTTTATCTTGATATAAAAATAAATTCCAAAATTCAAGCTTAATAGTAGTGTCTTTTGAATAAATCTCTACGAAATAGAGGTCATTTAAATTTTACATTTTACATTTTTAAATCTTAGAACACTATTCTATTACATATTTTTATGTTGTTTCTAAATTATTCTATGAGAACCACAATTATTATTCATAAGAGGATTTTCCACTGTTGTCACCCTTTTTATAATTCTAATTTATTAATAATAATAGACCTATGATTTATTGAGCACTTGCTCCATGACTAGCAAGCCATAAGCTAAGTTACTGATTCACATAACCAAATAAACTTTCATAATATCCTTTTGAGGCCAGTATTTTACAGATGTGACTAGACAGGTTAAACAATGGGAAGTTGATGTAAGTGTTAAGGGTAAATCTGGTCTTTTCTAAACCAGAAAATATTGCTAAATGTCAGGCCTCTGAGCCCAAGCCTGCAGGTATACATCCAGATGGCCTGAAGTAACTGAAGAATCACAAAAGAAGTAAAAATGGCCTGGTCCTGCCTTAACTGATGACATTACCTTGTGAAATTCCTTCTCCTGTCTCAGAAGCTCCCCTACTGAGCACCTTGTGACACCCCCGCCCCTGCCCACCAGAGAACAGCCCCTTTGACTGTAATTTTCCACTACCTACCCAAATCCTATAAAACAGCCCCACTCCTATCTCCCTTAGCTGACTCTCTTTTCGGACTCAGCCCCCCTGCACCCAGGTGATTAAAAAGCTTTATTGCTCACACAAAGCCTGTTTGTGTGCTCTTCACATGGACACGCGTGACACTAAGAATTCTATTTTCCAGGGTTACGTTTTCAAACTTTATTTTGGCAGTTTTAATTATGGTTGGCATATATTTTGTCAATCGAGAAAAATGAGAGAAGTCTTAATCATTTTAGGAGGTTTATTTGCCAAAGTTGAGGTTGCTCACCTGGAAGACAGGTCTATGCCTTTTTCTGAAGATGATTTTGAGGGCTCCAAATTTAAAGGGGGAAAAGGTGGGATACTGAGAAGCACACAATTTTCATGTAAGGGGAGGGCTAGAGAAAAACAGTCATTCGTGCCCCTGTCTAGTTCAGTGAATCTGAATTTCTTACATAAGGTGACATAGACAAATGGGGCAGAGGAAAAATGCAGGGAATGCATTTTACATAAGATAACACAGACAAAATGGGGCTGAGAACAATCAGGTTTGCCTTTGTGTCCGGTGGGCAGGGGAATGACTGCCCCTGTAAAGATAAGCTATCAATTTACATTGTCATGGTGAAATTGTAACAGAAATACCTTAAAAGATCTTAAAGCTCCCTAGAAAATTCTTTGTGGGCAAAATTTGGAGGAGGCATGTAGCTTTTCATCTAGTAACCATCTTATTTAGGAACCAAAAGGTGGAGGCAGATTTGCATGACCCAGTTCCTAGCTTGACTTTTCCCTTTGGCTAAATGAGGTTGGGGTGCCAAAATTTAATTTTCTTTCACACTTTCAATACTTCTTTCAATTATGAGACTATCTTTTAAAATTCATTTGCAGTCATTTCACCTATTTTTACATCAACTTTTTGCTTTTAAGTTTACTCAGATTCTTTCAAGTCTGTCTCCAAAAGGCTATTTTTATTCCCTCTTAAGAAAACAAAATATAACTTTAACATATATTATTTTGATCTCTGAAGTAAATATGTTCAAAAATATTCCTTTTCTCTGATTCTTTAGGGCCATGTTTTCCTTGTAAGAATTTCATCACTGTCTCTATGTTTCTTTTTTTCTTTTTTTTTTTTTTTTTTTTGAGCCAGAGACTCACTCTGTCGCCCAGGCTGGGGTACAAGTGGCGCGATCTCGGCTCACTGCAAGCTCCACTTCCTGGGTTCATGCCATTCTCCCGCCTCAGCCTCCCAAGTAGCTGGAACTTTAGCTGCCGCCACCACACCTAGCTAATCACTGTCTCTATGTCTTTTTTATTATGTTTGTTTTGTAATTTGGTTGGTTACTCAATATTTAACATGGAGATATCAATCTAGGCATTATATTTGTGAGAAAAACTAATGTACTGTTATGGTTCTTCAGTCACTTTATTTCACACTTAAAGTTATAGATTGTGGGGCCGAGCTCGGTGGCTCATGCCTGTAATCCCAGCACTTTGGGAGGCCGAGGTGGGCGGATCATGAGGTCAGGAGTTCAAGACCAGCCTGGCCAACATGGCAAAACCCTGTCTTTACTAAAAATACAAAAATTAGCCAGGCATTGATGACAGCCACGTAATCCCACAGCCACCTGTAATCCCAGCTACTTGGGAGGCTGAGGCTGGAGAATCACTGGAACCCAGGAGGCGGAGGTTGTAGTGAGCCAAAATCTCGCCACTGCACTCCAACCTGGGCTACAGGGCAAGACTCCATCTCAAGGAAGAAAAAAAAAATTATAGATTGTGAATGCTTGTACCAATTTAATTTTTCTGTTGTTTGTATTTAGGTATTAGATGAGATTTGCTCCTGTTCCTACTTGGTGTTTCTCTGCTTAGAAGAAAGGGGGGGGAAAAGCATTGTAGGGGTTCATAGTATTTGTAGTTACTCTTTGACCTGATGCTTTGTGTAAAATCTAAAATTTCACAATCCATAACTATCAAACTTACTGCCCACAAGAGAGACCTCTGAGTCTCAGAATAAATTCTATTACTGATAGTGCCATATATAACCTTTTCATCTTTCTCATTACCATCATGTTGTACCATGAGAGTTATAATTCTGTTTGGAAATAAAAAAGAATAGTATTATAATTAAAAAGGAGAAAAATCAAAGCAGAGTATTATAGGGTGTGTGGCTTATAAAAAAACAGAAATGTACTTCTCGCAGATCTGGAAGCTGAGAAGTCAAAGTCCCAGGAGTTTTGGTGTCTGGTCAGGGCCTGCTTTCTGATTCATAGACAGCCAACTTCTCTCTGTGTCCTCACAGAGTGGAAGGGTCAAGAGAGTGCTCTGGGATCTCATTATTAGCTTGTGTAAGAGCTCTCATTCCATTCAGAAGGGCTTTGCTCTCATGACCTACTCACCTCCCAAAGGCCCACCTCCAAATACTATGGCATCAAGGATTAAGGTCCAACACAGGAATTTTAGGAGGGACCCAATACCAAGTTTATAGCAAAGTTTATACATAATTTTGCATTGGTATAAGCAACTATGCAATCTACTTGATATTCACCCTATTTTAAACTGTAGAAGATGTTATACCAAAAATTTAGCAGTTTTGCTAACCAATTTATTTTTCTAGATTTTAATGTTTTCCAACATTTCCAATACTTCTGGTAAATATACATTCCAGTTTTCACAAAATAGTCCTAATTTACACCTGTTGTTCCAGCATCCCATCTGGTTCAACATTTGTCTCTGAAATAGTGTCTCAGTTTAGACAGTATATTATATTGTAACCTTATCTAAGATCAGAAAGCATCTCACAGAAGATTTTTAAACATAATTTATGCACTGGGGTAAGAATTTTTAGTCTTGTAATTTTGAGTTTCAATTTAAACACACGAACTTTGGCCTCTAGCTCTGCAGAAATCGCTTTGGCAAAAAAAATGAATATTGTATTATATAAACATATTTGTAGCAGTCATAGCATTATGAAAATATAAGATGCTATATGAAAATTATGCGAAGCCAGTAGCCTAGAACTTTAAGTATTGAAACTTCTGTAAGTTATTATCAATCACTTTAGTATTCCCTACTAATGGATAATGAAATCAAGTTATAAATTTAGGGCTAAATAATAAATTCACACAATCTAAGAAGTCATAGCCAAGACAATATTGCTCTGAAGGCACTTGAAGAATGCATCAATGGCTTCCTAGAGAACATGATTTAAAAATTTCTCACACAAACACTTTTTTTTTTGTCTAGAAGCTTCCAGTACTTACTAAATTGAGGACTTTAACCTCTTATCTAGTGCAAAAGACAGCTAAGCTTCAAACTGTATGGGAATGACATTAGTAAAAGTCCCCTCAAAGCTTTTCACATATACACCTCTCAATCCTCTTCCCTGATGACTGCACAAAACATCTCCCAATTACTTCCTAGTTAGTTCCCAATCTTATGTACCCATCAGCCATGGTTAATTTTATGTGTATTTGTCAGGGATCTCCAGATAAACAACCAATAGGAAGTGTATATATGTATATATACAGAGAGAGAGACAGAGAGAGAGAGATTGATTATATGAATTGTATCACACATTTATAAAGGCTGAGAAGTCTCATGATCTGCTGCCTGCAAGTTTTTGAATGTATCAATAGTTCATTCAAATTATTATTTTTATTGCTAAGTAATATGCCAAGATAAGAACATACCACAGTTTGTGTAATCACTCAACCACTGAAGAAATGTGGATGATTTCTGGTGTTGTGGCATTATGAATAAAACCATGAATTTATGTATGCAGATTTTTGTATGAGCATAAATTATCATTTTTCTTTAGAATTAATATTGAGTACAGTTGGTAGATAATATGATAGTTACCCATTTAATTTTATAGGAAACCCTCAATATGTTTTCAAGAATGGCTGTACCATTTTCCAATTCCGCCAGCAATGTATGAGTGATCTAGTTTCTCCACATCCTTGTCAGAATTTTGTGTTGTCACTGTTACTAATTTTAGCCATTCAAATGCATGTATAATGATTTCTTTTTGCAGTTTTAACATGCATTTCCCTCATGGTCAATGAAGATACACTATTACATGTGCATATTTACCACGTTTATTTTATTTTTTTTTCAGTGAAATGTCTGTTCATACCATGTGCTCATTTTCTAATAGAATTGTTTGTGTTTTTACGTTGATTTTTGAAAGTACTTTATATAATCAAGCTACTGCTCTTTTGTATACAATATATGTTTTGTAAATATGATCTCCTTGTCTCTGGCTCCTCTTTTCATCCTTTTTACAGGGTTCTTGTCTCTAGCTTATCTTTTAAATCTTTTAACAGGATCTTTTGTAGAGCAAAAATTGTTAATTTTCATGAGGTCTAATTTTATCATTTCTTTATTTTATGAGTCTTGCTTTTTCATGTCATGTAAGAACATTTTGCTAACCATAGGTCCCAAAGATTCCCTCTTATTTTTCCTAAGTATAATTTTACTTTTTATATTTAAATACTGACCTTTTTTGGCCAGGTGTGGTGGCTCACGCCTGTAATCCCAGCACTTTGAGAGGCTGAGGCGGGTGGATCATGAGGTCGGGAGATTGAGACCATCGTAGCTAACACAGTGAAACCCCGTCTCTACTAAAAATACAAAAAATTAGCCAGGCATGGTGGCGGGCACCTGTAGTCCCAGCTACTAGGGAGGCTGAGGTAGGAGAATGGCGTGAACCTGGGAGACGGAGCTTGCAGAGAGCCGAGATTGCGCCATTGCACTCCAGCCTGGGCGACACAGTGAGACTCCGTCTCAAAAAAAAAAAAAAAAAAAATACTGTCCCATTTTGAGTTAATTTTTTCATAAGTTATGAGCTTCAGTTTAAGATTATTTTGTCTACCAATGTCTAGTTAGTCCATCTGCATATTTTGAAAAGGCCATCATTCCTTCATTGAATTACCTTTGCAGCTTTGTTCAAAATAAGCTGGCCATATTGTGTGGGTTTATATCTGGGTTCTCTACCCACATGGATTTATTTGACTATCTCTCTATCAACACCTCACTGCCCTGAATACTGTAGCTATTGTAATATAATATCAGATATAGTAATTTCTTCTACTTTATTCTTCTTTTTCAAGAAGGTTTTAACTGTTTTAGGTTTTGTTTCCTTCCATATAAATTACAGGATAAGCCTATCTGCAGCTACAAAATCTTTCTGAGATTTTGATAGGAATTGCACAAAGCCTGTAGATCAATTTGAGGAAAATTAACATTTTCACTATATTGAATTTTCAACTTTACAGAATATATACCTTTCTATTCATTTAGGTCTTCTTTGATTTCTTTCATCAGTATTTTATAATATTCAGTATATAGACCCTGCATTTTCTTTGTTAGCTTTATGGTTTAGTATTTCATTTGAAGTCATTCTAAATGGTATTGCATTTTTAAATTTCAGTTTCCACATTTTCATTGTTAGTTTGAAGTTTATTTTAAGCACAATTTTGGTTACAGAAAACAGAAGTGCAGACCAAATCTCTCCTAAAGTCTACAAGTGTGCAAAACTTTTATCTAGGCAATAGAATTGACACAAAGTCAATGGTGAAAATATTACCCTATTTAGTAAAGACAAACAACCACTAAGGGTAGTAAGTAAATGCATCTGGCTAGTTTCACAGTATCAGAATCGAAGGGTAGGGATTATGATAAAATTCTTATTCCAGCAAAGCTATGTGCACCTAAGGCAGAAACAATGTGGAATACAGATACTCAGAGCAATAACAAAGGATAAGACACACTGGACATATGCAGAAACAACATTCAGAAATCTCATACGCAGTTAGGTTTGAGAATATTAACACTCTTCTTAATTTGTTTAGAATTGGCTCAAAAATGTGTAGGGAAAAAGACTCCATATGTTGAAGAAACCTTAATACTTACAATGATATGAGGGTAGGAAAATAGCTGGTTAACTGTCTTTCTACAAAAGGGATATACAAAGTTTTCCTGTTTTCCCAAAGTTCCCCTGCCTTACCAATGACAAATTTTAAATGACTGGAATTTGCTCACAAGAAACATTGCTCTCTCAATGTAGAGAAGATATGTGTGTTGTGGCAGATTGAAAACATAGCCACAGTATTTCACAGCTTCCATCAAGAAGTGGAGTCTATTTCACCACACTTGAATCTATGCTGACTTTGTGGACTGTGTTGACCCATGGAATGTATAAAAAAAAGAAATTTTTAAACCTTCGGGACATGGGTGCTGAGGGCTTGCAACTACTGCTAGTGTGCTTCCTTGCTATCCTGACATGAAAAAGAAGCAGCTCAGTCTAATCTATTGGAGTATGGGAAGCCACATGGTACAGAACCAAGAAGCACCACCTCAGCCACGTGAATTGCTGGACATATGAGTAAGGACACCTGGACCTTCCTGAATGCAGCATTATGAATGAATCCATGAAAAATCATTAGAAGTACCACCCACCGAACCCAACAAGTTGTGAGAAATAATAAATCATTTTTTTTGAAGTAATGAATTTTGGGGGGCTTTGATACGTAGCAATTAATATCTGATACACCATGTTTCTTATTAGTTGAGAAATTCAGAGACAAGATTGAAATATGTTTAAAACTTTTGAATAATCAGATAGGGTGGGAGCTAGTAATAATAATGTTTAAACTCTTCAGCTTTATGGTTTTTGGGTTTGTAACACTTCTTTTGCAACCCTAAGGTCTTAAAAGGCGAGCAGTTGTATGACGTCAAAAAGTAGGGCAGTAGCCTTTTTTCCTTTTTATTGTTTGCTAATAAATACCATACTAGTCCTATTCAACAAAGTAACTATTATAAATATTGCAATGCTATAACCAACAAAATTAAAGGCAATAAAATATTTGTATTTTTATAAAACAATGTCATAGTCATACTAGCAACTGGAATAAAATTACTTAACTTACCACATTAATATTTATTTGCAGTATAAAAAGTTTAGCACTTAAATCATGTGAGTTTCAATGTATTTTAACACAGAAATCTCTAATATTGATATCACATGGCCATTCTACACTTAATAGTTTTGTGTACTATCATTATTTTTATAAATTATGTGGCCCATAAAATTAAATTAATTAAGATAAAACCAATAAAAGGCACCATTTTTTTTTACTATGAAAATGGATATAGACACATGTGGAAGTCAGATTTTGTATATTCATGAAATTAATTGAGGTGATTTTTAAAATCAAGGGTAATGTGGGCTTAAACTTCACCAGTATGTCAGCTTTGTAAAGAAAAAATATTGTGATAATCTTAGAAAAATAATCATGGGTTTATGCAAAAAAAAATGTAGCACACTTAAATATTCCTTTTTCTCTACTCTTCCTCAGTCCAGTAGATACAAAAATTACTCTTCTGTATTTATTCAAATTCTAAAAGAAGTTCAAGTTCCTTTCAGAGTTCTCAAACCCATTACATTATCATGCCTGTACCTTGAGTTTTGAGTCACAAAAAGAAAGACTCTTACTGCAGAATTTGGAAAACAAAATTGCTATTTTTACTTTCATTTCAGGACTCCTACTTATAACAGGTTCTGAGAGGAACTGAGATTGTACAGCAAAAAAAAAGATGGAACCCTAAAAATTACTGCCATAGAAATAAATACAGAGCATTGGTATAGCTTTTGAATGTGCTTGAGCATTGTGTGTATCCTGGTGTATTAGTTTATTCTCAGGCTGCTGTGAAGAAATACCCAAGACTGGGTAACTTATAAAGAAAAGAGGTTTAATTGACTCATAGTTCCTTATGGCTGGGAAAGCCTCAGGAAACTTATAATCATGGCACAAAATGAAAGGGAAGAAAGGCACCTTCTTCACAGGGCAGCAGGAAGGACAAGTGCAAAGCAAAGGGGGAAAAAAAACCCTTATAAAACCAGCAGATTTTGTGAGAACTCACTCACTATCAAGAGAATAGCATGGGGGTAACCACTTCCAAGATTCAATTACCTCCCTCAGTGTCCCTCCCACAACACGTGAGGATTATGGGAACTACAACTCAAAATGAGATTTTGGTGGGGACACAGCCAAACCATATAATTCCACTCCTGGCCCCTCCCAAATCTCATGTGCTCATATTTCAAAATATAACCATGCTTTTCCAACAGTCCCCAAAGTCTTAACTCATTCCACTATTAATCCAAAAGTCCTCGTCCAAAGTCTCATCTGAGACAAGTCTCTTCCACCTATGAGCTTGTAAAATCAAAAGCAAGTTGGTCACTTTCTAGATACAATGGGGTTACAGGAATTGGGTAAATACACCAGTTCCAAATGGGAGAAATTGGCCAAAATGAAGGGCTACAGGCCCTGAGCAAATCTGAAATCCAATAGGGCAGTCATTAAACCTTAAAGTTCAAAAATGATCTCCTTTGCTTCCATGTCTCACATCTAGGTCATGCTGATGCAAGAGGTGGGCTCCCATAGCTCAGCCCCTGTGGCTTTGCATGGTACAGTCCCCTCCTGGCTGTTTTCATGGGCTGGCATTGAGTGCTTTTCCAAGTGCATGGTGAAAGCTGTTGGTAGATCTACCATTCTTGGGTCTGGAGGACAGTGGACCTATTCTCACAGCTCCACCAGGCAGTGCCACAATGGGGACTCTCTGTGGGCACTCCAACTCCACATTTCCCTTCAGTACTGCCCTAGCAGAGGTTCTCTATGAGAGCTCCACTCTTGCAGCAAAGTTTTGCTTGGACATTCAGGTTTTCCCATGCATCTTCTGAATCTAGGTAGAGGTTCCCAAACCTCACTGCTTGATCTCTGTTCACCCATAGGTTCAACAACACATGGAAGCTGCCAAGACTTGGCCCTCTGAAGCAACGGCCTGAGCTGTAATTTGGCCCCTTTTAGCCATGGCTGGAGCTGAAGCAGCTGGAATGCAGGGAACCATGTCCTGAGGCTGCATAGAGCAGGGGCACCATGTCCCAAGGCTGCATAGAGCAGGGGCACCTGGGATCTGCTGTGAAACCATTTTTCCTTCCTATGCCTCCAGGTCTATGATGGGAGGGGATGCCTTGAAGGTCTCTAACATGCTTTGGAGACATTTTCCCCCATTGTCTTGGTGATTAACATTTAGTTCCTTTGTTACTTATGCAAATTTCTGCAGTGGGCTTGAATTTCCCCGGATAAAAATAGGTTCTTTTTTATTACATCATCAGGCTGCAAATTTTCCAAACTCTTATGCTCATCTTCCTCTTGAATGCTTTGCTGCTTATATATTTCTTCTGCCAGATACTCTAAATCATCTCTCTCAAGCTCAAAGTTCCACAGATCTCTAGGGCAAGGGCAAAATGCTGTCAGTGTCTTTGCATAGCAAAAGTGACTTTTACTCCAGTTTCCAACAAGCTCCTAATCTTCATCTGAGACCACCTTAGCCTGGACTTCATTGTCCATATCACTATTAGCATTTTGGTGAAAGCCATTCAACAAGTCCCTAGGAAGTTCCAAACTTTCCCACATTTTGTTGTCTTCTTCTGAGCCCTCGAAACTGTTCCAACCTCTGCTTTTCCAAAGTAGCTTCAACATTTCTGAGTATCTTTATAGCAGTGCCCCACTACCTTGGTATCAATTTACTGTATTAGTCCATACTTGCTCTGCTATGAAGAAATACCTGAGACTGGGTAGTTTATAAATGAAAGAGGTTTAATTGACCCAGTTCTGTATGGCTGGGAAGGCCTCAGGAAACTTACAGTCATGTTAGTAGATAGAGGGGAAGAAAGGCATCTTTCGCACAGGGCAACAGGAAGGAAAAGTCCCGAGCAAAGGAAGAAGCCCCTTGTGAAACCATCAGATATTCTGAGAACTCACTCACTATCATGAGAAAAGCATGAGGGTAACTGCCCCCGTGATTCAATTACCTCCCACCAGGTGCCTCCCAGGATACGAGGGAACTAGGGAAACTATAACTCAAGATGAGATTTGGGTGGGGACACCACCAAACCATATCACCTGGCATGTCTTTACAGCTTGTTACTTCCACTGTAGCCATAAAGTGAAACCCCAAGCTCAACTTACACTCACACATTTGCTCAAAGAAGGCCAAGGAAAAAAGTAAAGGTTAAGCCATCTCAAAGCAGAGTTTTCTGTTATTTTAAGATGCTAAAAGCAACATAAACTACTTCAAAGCTCTGTTACAGAAAGTTTCACCTGCAGGTGACCAAAATAATCAGGCTGACCAAATGTACTGAACAAACCATTGCAGCTTATGTTTCTAACACTCTTTAGACAAGAAGAAATGTCAAATTCGGATTTATTCTCATTTCTGGGTTTGGTGATAATAATACTTTGAAGGCACTTACGAAAATCTATCAAAATAGTCTATTGTATTTCAAAATTCAGCCACTATAATAAAAATACTTTGAGTTATAAAGGGCAAGTATGCACAAATAGATCCTGAAGACATTTTAAAACAATTTTCTATCTATTACAAAACACATTACCCCCCAAAATGCTGCCCGTATATTATAGTCTGAAATGGATAAAATGGGATTCTATTTAGAGGTCACTTTAATAGCCAAAGGCCACAACAAGATACTGTTAACTCCAACTGATTTTCACTTATTCAGGAGATGGCCAGTGCCAATAACATTCAGAACTTGTAACAATGTATTTAGATTTTCCATATCTGATCACACCTAAAATATGGATTGAAAATCAGAGTCTTTTTCAACCTGGAATGACAGTAAATGATAAAATGTAAAACGGACACACATGTAGAGTCATATTTGAAGAAATATGGTTTTGTAATAATATCATTTTTTAAAGACCTCATGTTTTTTACAGGAGCAGATGGCTTGTGTATGTTTGAAGGAGAGTGGGAGCATCCTAGAGTCAGTTGTCTTCCTTCTGTCATTGGCACAGGTCAATATATGCATCATGGTAAAGATGAGTTAATGAAACAGGAGCTTGCAAGTTATCTAGAGTGTTATACAGTAGCTTATATGACAGGGAGCCACCTAAATATTTGTTGTATCGCATTTTAGACATGCAATCATTCCTAGTGAACTGTGAAAGCCCATACAATGGTTTCAGAGCTGTCAGATTTAACGGATTCAGACTAGATGTGGGAAAATAGTCTGAGAATAGAGCAAAAGCAAAAGGAGTTTTTACTTATTTTCAGGAGGCAGCTATGATAGGAACAAGTTGAATGTTTTCCTCTTTCTGAAGAGATTAATTACTGAAGAATTTATAGAAAATAAGTAACACATGAACTAACAATATGAACAGAAAGAATACAATATGTCTTTGATGTCTTTGATTATTATGCTGGGGCCCTCAACTACAGAATTGCTGATACCTTGTGTATTATGCTAAATAACGACCCCCAGAGATATCAGTCTCTACAAGTCCTTTAAATGTTACCACATATCAAAAAAATGCAAATGTAATTAGGCAAAAACATGTGAGATGGAGAGATCATCCTGGATTATCTGGGTGGGCTCTAAATGCAATCATAAGTGTTCTTATAAGAGACACAGAGGTAGAAGAGAAACAGGCACAAGCTAAGTAAAAGATATAATCATGGAGTCAGAGACTGGAGTGATGCAACTATAAACCAAGGAATGCTGGTAGCCACCAGTAGCTGGAAGAGGAAAGAAAAGCAAATTCTCCCCTAGAACCTCCAGAGGGAGCATGGCCCTGATGACACCTTGATTTTAGCCCAGTAATACTGATTTTTGGACTTCTGGCCTTCAGGAGCGTGAGAATATTTTTCTGTTGTTTAGGCTACAAAGTTTGTGGTAGTTTTTTATAGCAGCCACAGAAAATGAATACACCACATGTGTTATTAAGTTCAAGCTGCTATAACAGAACACCATAATCTGGGTGGCTTATAAACAACAGCAATTTCTTCCTCATATTTCTGGAGGCTTGGAAGTCTAAGATCAAAGCATTGAGAAGTTCCATTTCTGATGTGGGCCTGCTTCCTGGTTCATAAACAGCCATTTGCTAGTTGGACCTTCACACAGCAAAAGAGGCAAGGAAGCTTTCCACCCTCCAGCATCTCTTTTATAAGGGCATGAATCTCATTTATGAGGTTCCCATCCTTATAACCTAATCACATTCTGAAGGCCTTACCTCAAAATACCAGCATATAGGGAATCAGATTTTAACATAAAAATTTCACAGGGACACAAACATTCAGTCTACAGCAGTATGTTTAGCATTGATGCAGACATCTTAGGTGAATAAGACACACCTAGCAACTGAAAATTCTGGCTTTTGAATATACATATTTAAGGATTTTCCCAGATAAGGTGTTGCTGAAGTTTATCTGAGAATGCCTAGATAAGGGATGTGCGGTCCAAAATGTCATCCAATATAGGGATCCAGACATATATAATCCCAGGCACTAACTGCTCAAATGTGATGAGTGGATTGCATAGGACAGGAGGGATATTAAAGTAAAATTTAAATTTCTTAGGGACAACAGACTTGTATTTGTTACTTTCCTGATCTAAACAAGATTTGCTTATCTCCCTGACTCTGAAGACTTGGCCTGTATGGTGAAAATGATAACGATAATATGGATAATTATGTTGAAACTTCAGTAATCATTAAAGTGATGACACTCATATTTTCTCCAAATATTAATACAAGAAACAGGAATGTTAGATACATTTAGAACTTTTAACTTTGGCAAGCAATCATATCCATCTGTAAGAAACCAAGCCAAATACACTAGGTTTATCAGGCTGTGATTCTCATAATCCAAAAGGAGCTACCACGCTTCCAGTACAGTAGCTATAGCCTGGTAATTTTTTTACTAGAGTGCTTATCATCTGTTTCCTTCCAGTGAAGGACATGTAATTCCAGTAGGTATACATAGGTTTCTTTCTAAGCTGAGAAGGTGGAATGATTTCCCTAATTGATATATTTGTGAAGCATATTTGGACACAGACAATTGCCTCAGCTCTTTCCTATTCAGTTTTTTCCTCAAGAGCAAACTGCTTCAAAGAGCAAACGTTCTCTTTTACTTAGTGAGAGTCTTGGTGACTGATGAGTTATTTTGACTCATTGTGGACATCCAATACATGGCCCATTTGACCTTTATACTAAGCTTCACCTGGCAGATTTTCTACATGAATACTACAGGTGATATTTTGTTCTCTATGTTTCCTTTTTGGTTTTACTTTACAAACTTTTTGTAATTCAGTTGGCAAATTGGTGGGGATGATATTACTTGAAGGCTCTCAGGGCCCCAAATGTTACAATATTTATTTCAAGCACAAAAACCCAGAGTCACAGAGAGTCTGTTGGAATACAAACATCCAGGCTCTGCTGATGGGCCTACAGTCCATTGCTTAAATTTTAGCCAAGACTGTATGACTTATTTGTGTTTGCTCTAAAAAACCAGGCATAACTCTGATCTTGGAGTCTTTAAAGTCAGAATCAGAAAACCACTTATTGTAATATCACCACAAATTGCATAAGTGTAGTGGCACTCTTCAAATAATTTTTAGAACTAGAACCACTGGCTCTGATTTTAAATGTACTTCCAATTTGAATCTGGCAGTTTGACTAAAATCATGTCTCTCAAGAGGAAATATGTTTGAGTGGAGTGTACATTCAGTAGCTCTCCTGTTGCTTCTGGGAGTATGGTATTAGCTGTCACAAACTGGATTTGGAAATCCAAATTTTGTACCCATAATTTTACTGCCATTGTAAAAGTCATAGAGTGATTCCTCTACAATATTGAAGATATGTTTAGAATGCTGTGGGAGACAGGGAGCTGCTCCCACACTGATGGAGGAATTGGAAGGAAGGTGAATTCCAGGAAGTGCACAATTTGTGCAACTGAGGCTGGCTGAGAAAGTGTCTCTTCCAAATCATCAAAATCCAGGGATCATATGAACATGTGGGAGGAAAAGATGATTAAACAGAGATATCAAAGGGGCTTCTGAGGAATTAGCAATGTTCTATTTGTAAAGCTGGGTGATAGACCCAACAAAGTTACATTTATTATTTTTTCTTGTTTACATTATTTTTTAAAGTTAAGATAAAATGCACAGATATGAAGAATACAATTCATTGAGTTTTGACAAATATATGTACTAATGTAATCAGCATAAAAAGGAGGACATATTTCCTCCACTGTTTACTTGTGCCCCATTGTTGTCAATCCCTACCCCTCTTCAGCAACCACTCTTCTGATTGCTATCATTCTAAATTATTTTTGCTTGTTCTTCAATTTCATTTGACACTTGCTTTTGTGTTTTTTTTTTTTTTTGCTCAATATACACATTTTCAGATTCATATCTATTGTTGCATGTATGGGCAGTTTATTCTTTCCCTATTTTAAATAAGCCCTATTTGGCTAAATTTATGTACAATAAAATTTATCAATTTTTAGTGTACTAGTTGATGAATTTGGGGAAATATGTATAGTTGTATAACCACCCACATATTCAACATAACTACTTTTTGTCACTCAGTGACATAGAGCTAGGTTCAAGATGATACCAAAATGCTGCATAAGAACTGAAAAAAATGTCAGTATGGTGATTTTATAAACTCTGAATAAAGAATGAGTACTTGTTCAATCACTGATAGGTCTTAACTAGTAATTTGACTAAATTCAAATTTTATAATAAAAATTTGTTCAATCAAAAAACAAATATTTTATGCAAATTGCTCTAATTTTTATTATTCTTACATTTAAATTTATTATTACATCAAAAACAATATACACAGTAAAGAAATGAAGAAAAAATTAACTACATTCAGTTAAATTATAATGTTTGAGACCAAGAAGTATTCACAATTATTTGGAAAAAAAATTATTTGAAGAGGCCCATGAATAAATAATTTGAAAACAAAAATAGCAACAAATAATAGGTCAGACTCTACATTGTAAGTTTTTAGGATCAACACAGAAAGCCCAATTTATGAATAATTGTGTTGGCTTGTCTGTTTTGTGGTGTCTATGCATAGAACATTTAGACTGTGTTTAAAAAATCAATATGAACACTTACTATAGAATGAGGAGTCCATTATCATAAAATATACTTTTTAATTACTTCAAATTGCTAAATTGGAATTTGCCTTTTCTCCTTCTGCTTTTATTTCAGAAGGAAATTAGCAAACTTATTGAAAAAACAATCTAACTTCAAATCTAGAAAACTAACATGCATCTGCTGCCGACTGCATAAATTCCTCCCTCCTTGTAAGGCATATTAGTGTAGTGTCTGGAATACAGCACACATGCCAACAGTGGCAAGTCACAACAAGAGAGACACTATTTCTGATTATTTAAATGCCACCAAAATGTGTAATGACTGCTTTTATCATACTGGAAGGAAGGAAGGCCTGGAGGCTTCCATAGATAAACAGAAACATAGGTACAGTATTATGGAGATAATTTTTATATCATAATTATTGTGGGTTTTAAAAATCCACTGTGTAACATTTTCGTTAAAGTTTGAAGAGTTTAAAAATATTTTGAAAAATGGCTGAAAATGTTTAGTTAAACCAGTTTATCAGCAGATAATGAAAACAGGGAGAAATAGTAAAGTAAAAAGGAGTAAGATTCCAGCAGGCTGAGCTTCCTAATACTGGGTAGGCTTTTTATCAGAATTGCATGAGTCAGGGTTCTCTACTTTGAGTGAAATAAATTTAGTGATTCTTTGTTACCTATCCACGGAAAATAACCTCAAGGAAACTGCCTAGATGTTAAATTGCCACATGCTTCATTGAAGTTAATGCATCTTTAACTTATCCTTGGCTTTTTAATAACCACAAAGACAAGACACAGGAAAGAAAGGAAGGAGGGTGGGATGGAAGAGGGATGAAGGGAGAGAAAGTAAACTTCTTAAGGTGTTTTGCCTAAAGGAATTTGACATCTACAAAGCTCTACTTTTTAACTTACTGTTTCCGGATGCAATTGCACTATTTTTATAGCCTTATTTCTGGATTTATTTAGCAGAACAGCAGAGGTGGCAGAGGATTCAGTAGGAGAGTTATTCTCCACGGCGTATCTGTCAGTATTTTCTTTCCCAGTACATCTTATTTTAACCTATAGCAGCAGTAAAAATCAGAGCTCTATCCAGCAAAGTGAATATTCTTTCAGCAATGCTTCTCTGCCACAGTGTTCACCCCCACACCAGAGTATCATCACTTAGGCCTAGGTATAAGAAACCTAACTTCTTTCTTCCTCGTTTTCAGGCAAAAGGAATTAAAGCACAGTGAAACTAAAACTAAAATGCATGTAGCATAACATCAATTCAACCCATGTTTATTAACCCCTTTTGTTTTGAAAATTTAATTAAAAAATATTCTCCCAAACTAGAAACTCTCTCCACAAAGGAATCATGAAAAAAAGAACTTTCATTATTGAATAAGCATTAAACCAGAATGTGATGTGCTAAACGGGAAACCCTGCTAAGAGATTGTAAAGACAAAAAAAAAAACCTCACTCTTTTTATATAGCCAACCAGATACAACTCACTGCATACATTTTCTCAAGATAAACAATAAAAAGTCATCCTCAAGTAAGAGGACTTGACAGTACCATTCATCACGCAGTCTGTTCCAGACTCACCTGGTAATTGTGATTACCATCCATGTCACCATAATTGACTAATTGGCTTATCCACGGTAAAAAACAAACTTCTTATATCTTTTATGACAAGAGGTAGTTTTGCAATTTGGAGCAAGTTAGGCTCTTACTCTGCTACAGAAGGGGGAAGATACATTTTGTTACCTCCTTTGTTGTTTATATTTCAAAGAGATGGCTCCTAAGTTCTTGAGAAAAGACAATGCTGGGTCTTAAAGTTGGCAAAGACCTATCTATCTAGTTTTAAAAAGTCTTTATATACAGTTCAAAGAAAGGAGAAAGTTCTTACAATTGTGTCCGGAATTGGTGGATTCTTGGTCTCACTGACTTCAAGAATAAAGCTGTGGACCCTCGCGGTGAGTGTTACAGCTCTTAAGGTGGTGCGTCTGGAGTTTGTTCCTTCTGATGTTCGGATGTGTTCAGAGTTTCTTCCTTCTGGTGGGTTCGTGGTCTCGCTGACTCAGGAGCGAAGCTGCAGATCTTCCCGGTGAGTGTTACAGCTCATAAAAGCAGTGTGGACCCAAAGAGTTAGCAGTAGCAAGATTTATTGCAAAGAGCAAAAAACAAACCTTCCACCATGAGGAAAGGAACCCGAGCGGGTTGCCAATGCAGGCTCGGGCAGCCTGTTTTTATTCTCTTATCTGGCCCCACCCACATCCTGCTGATTGGTAGAGCGGAGTTGCCTGTTTTGACAGGGTGCTGATTGGTGCATTTACAATCCCTGAGCTAGATACAAAGGTTCTCCACGTCCCCATCAGATTAGTTAGATACAGAGTATCCACACAAAGATTCTCCAAGGCCCCACCAGGGCAGCTAGATACAGAGTGTCGATTAGTGCATTCACAAACCTTGAGCTAAACACAGGGTGCTGATTGGTGTGTTTACAAACCTTGAGCTTGATACAGAGTGCCGATTGGTGTATTTACAATCCCTGAGCTAGACATAAAGGTTCTCCAAGGCCCCACCAGAGTAGCCAGATAGAAAGTGTGGATTGGTGCATTCACAAACCCTGAGCTAGACACAGGGTGCTGATTGGAGTGTTTACAAACCTTGAGCTAGATAGAGAGTGCCGGTTGGTGTATTTACAATCCCTGAGCTAGACATAAAGACTCTCCACGTCCCCACCAGAATCAGGAGCCCAGCTGGCTTCACCTAGTGGATCCCGCACTGGAGCTGCAGGTGGAGCTGCCTGCCAGTCCCGCGAGCTGTGCGCTCGCACTCCTCAGCCCTTGGGTGGTCAATGGGACTGGGCGCCGTGGAGCAGGGGGTGGTGCTCGTAGGGGAGCTCGGGCCGCACAGGAGCCCATGGAGTGGGTGGGAGGTTCAGGCATGGCGGGCTGTAGGTCCCGAGCCCTGCCCGCGGGAAGGCAGCTAAGGCTCGGTGAGAAATCCAATGCAGCACCGGTGGGCTGGCACTGCTGGGGGACCCAGTACACCCTCCGCAGCCACTGGCCCGGGTACTAAGTCCCTCATTGCCCGGGGCCAGCAGGGCTGCTCCGAGTGCGGGGCCCGCCAAGCCCACGCCCACCCGGAACTCCAGCTGGCCCGCAAGCGCCACAGCAGCCCCGGTTCCCACTCGCGCCTCTCCCTCCACATCTCCCTGCAAGCTGAGGGAGTGGGCTCCAGCCTTGGCCAGCCCAGAAAGGGGCTCCCACAGTGCAGTTGGTGGGCTGAAGGGCTCCTCAAGTGCCGCCAAAGTGGGAGCCCAGGCAGAGGAGGTGCCGAGAGCAAGCGAGGGCTCTGAGGACTGCCAGCACGCTGTCACCTCTCACAATGATACATTTTCTAAAGTCAATATTCTAGAGAGGACGTCTTTTCCTTTACTTTCAACAAGGAGAATTAGTTCTGTTATTTTTAGTTGTTATTTGTTTTTACATCTTTCATTTATTAATTCATACATATTCAGCAAATGTGTACTAATATCTTATCGTCTAAAACTACCAACTCTCATCAGTTTTACTATTTCACTTATTTTAACTATTACAACTTACTTTTAAAAAATTACAAATATATATATTTGCAATATAAATTTGTAAATATGTATATATTTAAATATAAACAAAACACTGAAGCAAAGTAGAGAATATGTAACTCAGGCCAATGTGTTATAAAACAATTAAGCTTAAAGTTACTTTTTCTTTTTTTTTTTTTTTTTTTTTTTTTTTTTGAGACGGAGTCTCACTCTGTCACCAGGCTGGAGTGCAGTGGCACAATCTCAGCTTACTGCAACCTTTGCCTCCTGGGTTCAAGCAATTCTTCTGCCTCAGCCTCCCGAGTAACTGGAACTACAGGCATGCGCCACTACACCCAGGTAATTTTTGTATTTTTAGTAGAGAAGGGGTTTCACCACGTTGGTCAGGATGGCCTCGATTTCTTGACTTCGTGATCCGCCCACCTCAGCCTCCCAAAGTGCTGGGATTACAGGCGTGAGCCACTGCGCACAGCTGCTTAAAGTTATTTTTTCACAGCTATATTCCATAAATAGTAATAAATGTTTCAGGGTTTCATGTGAAACAAAATTTTAGTCTCACATAAAGTCAAGTGTTTACTAAAGACAAAAGAAAACCCCAGAGACAAATATATTTATAACTTCTTATAGATATTTGACTACTTACATGTTACTATGGCTAATCAAGTATCAATATAAACCACTTTCATTGTGTCTAGCCAACCCAACTTATCACCAACCCAATGAGAATAGAAACAAATGCTATGTTAAAAGATCTTCTATTTTTATTTATTTATTTGAGATGGAGTTTTGCTCTGTCTCCAGGCTGGAGTGCAGTGGCGCAAATTTCGGCTCACTGCAAGCTCCGCCTCGTCGATTCACGCCATTCTCCTGCCTCAGCCTCCCAAGTAGCTGCGACTATAGGAGCCCGCCACCACGCCTGACTGAGTTTTTGTATTTTAGTAGGGACAGAGTTTCACCGTGTTAGCCAGGATGGTCTCCATCTCCTGACCTCGTGATCCGCCCACCTTGGCCTCCCAAAGTGATGGGATTACAGGCGTGAGCCACATCGCCCAGCCGAAAGATTTTCTAAAACATAGTATAAAAATAAGTAGCATTATAACTCCAAACTTATTAAATGTTTATTCAATCTTAAGTATAAAATCCTAAGTAAATTCCTAAATCATCACACAACCATCCCCACAGGGTTGACAAGACTTGCATGCTGGGTTCTGGAAAGAAATGTAATTATAATCAAGCATTAGTCCGGCTGCACTTCGGCCCATTTTTCTGTTGCTAAAAGTAATACAGCACCAGATGCTGACAATTTGCGTCCCCATTGTTCCTATAGATAGGATTTTGGACATTAGGACCAAAAGACTGTTTCAGAATTGATATGTATCTTCATTGTTCCTATAAACAAGACCTCTGACTACAGAATCATAAGGCTTTTGTTTAAGGATAGCTTAAGATGTTTTTCAGGCTCCTAATTCCAGCAACCAGTTTGGAGTCCTCCACAGAGGAAAGGGATCAACACAATAACATAGCTTCTTCATATCCCATCCAAGACTTCGCTCCACAATCTCCATCCAATCAACGATCTCTACACTTTGGCTTACTCCCAAATCTCTAAAAACACTAGCCCCAAACTCTTCAGCAAGGTGGATTGGCAGTATCTTCCCGTCTCGTCCATCAGTAACCCTGTGATTAAAACTCCTCTGCTGCAACCTGGTGACATGCTGGGTGCATAGGGCAATAAATCTATTATGGTTACAATCAAAAGTAAAATTTTCTTAAATAACAGCATGAAAATTATTTCTGTATAGCAGTGGTTCTCATCTAGGGCTCCCCACACCACTGTCCTTCAGGAGACATTTGGCAATGCCTTTTCTGGTTGTCTCAGCTAGAGAGGGATAGTGCTCCTGGCATATAGTGGGTAGAGGTCAGGGAGGCTGCTAAACTTCCTACAATGTATGGGACAGCTCCCCACAACAAAGAATTACTCAGTCCAAAATGTTTATAGTGCTGAAGTTAAGAAAACCTAATATATTACAGTAAATTTTGTGACAGTTGCTAATTAGTACTATTCAACTTTTCCTCCACACTGAGATGTCTAATATGGTACTGATCCTAGATTGAATGAAAATTGGTACTGATTTGCACTAAAACACAGGATTATAAAGTATTAGTAGAACATTACTTTAACCCAATAGAAGCTTTACAATTTTATTCATTATTGAATAAGCTGACACAAAATGCTTGAAGTTGACAAGATGGTAGTGCAACAATTGTAGTACAGGGATAGAAGTTAGCCCTAAGTATTGTATTTTAACAGTTAATAAATAGTGAAAGAATTTAGCATTACATAAGAAAACTGTATCAACAAAGTGTATGGGCTATCCCCAGTTTGGCAAACTAAACCTGACGTGGACAGTGTTTCTAGTTTCTAGCCAAACAATATACACAAATTAAATCACAGTAATATCTCCACTAACAGCTAGAAAACAATGAAAAATGGCAAAAGTTTAGCTACAGAAAGTCAGATGCTTCCAAGATACAAAATTTAAAAGTTAAATAATGTTTTAAAGCATTGAATGTGATCCTTTCCTTAAAGCACTATCTGGAAAAAAAACTGAGGGTAAAGTTATGTTTGTCCCATTAAGATTTATATTATATGAAAACAGGCATTTCTTATCAATACTTATCCTTATTAAAATCTGTTTCTTAAAATAGAAGTGACAACTCTCTTCAAAAGTCAATTAGGTATTAATTTTATTTCCCCAAACTTATGCCCAATGTATAAAATTCATTACAAATACCAGAATGGAATTTACATACTCTGTTTTCATATAATTAAAAGTAAAAGGCATATGTCCATGGTTTGAATAGTAAAGGTATGAAATTCAATTCTGATCATGATAATTAGTTTATAGTAATTTGTGAAGGGTATCTTACATCAGGCTTTCTACTTATATAACATTCTTTTTTTGCTTAAAGCTTATAATTTTATCAAAGTAGGTAAGGCTATTTATACAATTGCTTTATGTCCAGGGACCTGAAATTCCCTTTGCTGTGATTACATTGTTTCAAAATCTATTACTTCTCCAACACCATCTCTGAAACAATTTTACTATGATTGTGTTGTATCAAAAGCTATATCCTTTATTCACCAAATAATAGAATTTTTAAAAACTTTTCTGGCACCAGACAGGAGAAACATCTTCACTCTGATTATACTTGAACAAATCTAAGTAGTCTGCTTTCCTTTTAGAAAGGTTTTCATTTGCATTTGCCATGTTCAGGATTCAGTGCTATTTGCAAACCACTTAAAGTTCTATTCCGAAAAAATAAACACAAATTTTCATTATCAGAGAGATTTCCAATTCATAACAAACGAAACAAAAAAGAGAAACCCTTTGAGCCATAGTTCAACTTTTTGTGCCTACTATATTCAGAATTTTTAAAAATCTAAAACTATGTTTTAGGAATAAAACAGAAAAATGGGAAATTAATTTTCAGTAGAAGAAGCAAAATTATATACGGGCATCCTTGTCAATAGGTTAAGAAAAAATATGTTTCTAGTATCTCACAGCGGAAAGACACTTTAAAGGAAATTCAAGCTAACGTCCTCATGCCTTTCTATAAAACACAAGTCCCAAGCCAAAAACTAAATTTGAAATTTTGTCAAAATAAGAGTAAGCTTTAAAATAGATTAAGACACTTTGGAAAGAGTTTTAAATATCATTACAATTAGCCTAATACATATGAAAGCTTTATTTCCCCTTCTCTCTCCTTTCCTCCCTTTTTAAATTTTCTTCCTTATTTCCTTCACTAAGTGAGAAGACTTAGATATAATGATTTTCTTAATGATATTGATAATGTGTATCTCAGTTAGTTTTCTACTAATCCATAACATATTACCCCAACTTTAGTTGCTAAAAATAATATATGTTTATCACTTCATTATGTCTATCTATGGGTCAGTAGCTTTAGCAAGACCTAAATAGGTTCTCTGCTTAGGGTGTCTCCTAAGGCTGTAATCAAGTTGTTGGCTACAGCTCCTGTATCATCTGAAGATTTGACTGGGGAAGGATCTGATTCTAAGCATATTCATGTGATTTTGGAAGGATAAGTTTTCTTTCAGACTTCTGGACCAAAAGCCTCAAATTCTTCCTGGCCTTTGGCCAGGAAGGCTCAGTTTCTTACTATGTGGGCCTCTCCATAGACCAGTTGACAACATGGCTACTTGCTTCAACAAAAGCACAAAGGGAGAAAGTTTGCTAGAAGACAAAAGTTGCTATATTGTATAATATAATTATGGAGGTGACATTCTATCTCCACTGTATCTTATTGGTTAGAAACAAGTCTTAAATTTTGTGTACATTTAAGAAGAGAGGATTACAGATAGACATGAATACCAGAAGAAGCGAAGCTTAGGTTACCACTTAGAGTCTGTTCCTTATACTAGCTAAAATATACTGAACACTTAAGGTTCCAGAAACTTCTGCTTGTTCCAAAATCTTCTTTCTCTCTGTAGAGCTAACACTAGTATGTCCTGGCTAGGCATATAATGCACAGGGATAAATGCTACAAATTTTTTCCTCCCTTACAGCTAATATAGTTAGGTGACCAATTGGATAAGAGAGGAAATTATACATACAACTTGTTCCTTCCCACTTTCTAGAACTTGGATGCATTAGTAAATTATCTTTGACTACATGGTAGTACTATATAAGCATTTTACATGATTAAACACATTTAACTATCACATACTTTTATCAGGTAGGGAATCAAATTACTCCAATATTATATCTAAGAAAAGTGAGGCAAAAAAGTAAAATATTTTGCCCAGAGACACAAAATAAATGCTGGTGCCATAATATAAACACAAAGTGTATAAACACAAACTTTAGTTTTTATTTTATCTTTATTAGTCTTCTGCTTTACAACTTCATAATTTGCATAAGTCATCTAGTTAAATAAAAGCATTTGAAATTCAGACCGAATTATTATGACAGCAAAGAAAAACACACATCTGCATATCATGGGAAGGTTTTCCAAATACCCATTTGATTTCCTCAGAGGTGATCTCCAATTTTGGCATCACTGAAAAACATGAGCTCAGGTGGCCAAGCTTGAGAATAATTTATACTTTGATAAATATACTTTAGGTACATCCTTTATGTATGATGCAGAGTTTTCTGAACAGTTCTCTATAAGAAGAACAATCTCCACACAATAAAAAAGACTTGACTTATCATTAAAATAAGACCTATATATAACAGAAGAAAGAACTAGAGGCTTATATTGAATGTCTTAGCATTTGACATTATTAAACAAAATAGATTAGGTTGAATAAATTAAATAAAATAACGAATTAATTGATTACATGGCTTAATAAACACCTAAACTTAAATAGATATTTATTTTTTCTTAGTTTCTCCAGTAAATTTAAGTATTATTTTACCCTTTGGTACCAACATAAGCATTTTTGCTCTCTGAATTAATCTCTATTATTTAAAAAAAATTTTTTTAACCAGGACTATAAACACTCATATTCATACATACACATGTGCATGCACACGTGTATACACCAAGAGCAAGTTAAGTAGTGAGAAAACATCAAAACTTACTTACTAAAGTGTTATGATAAACTGAATATCTTAGAGTTGTGATTCAAATCTGATCCAGCTGACCCAGACTTTTTGTACTATTGGCATAGCCTCTACCATCTCCATCCTCTGGTCATCTTTTATGAGAGTTGAAACAAGAAAGCGGAGCTTTCTCTTATCAGACTTGAGATGGGAAAATAGTGTATGGGGAATCAAACCCTTTGTCATTCTAGCATGTCCTCCAAGGAACAGGAAAACATTGCGATTTGGGGGTTAAAAATATGTTGTAGTGAGTAGGCAAATTAGCAAAACATAATATATGAATGATGAGACTAGATTGTCTATCGATTTGGAGAAATACTTATAAAACTCTCCCACTCCAATACTTGCAAAAGTCACAATATTCTTTCATCTGTACCAGTGATTCCCTATGGTAGTGACTCAAAGGAAGGACTACATGACTTCACAGAAATTTTTATTTCTTTGGATGATGACAAAAAAAAAATGGCGGCCGGGCGCAGTGGCTCACACCTGTAATCCCAGCACTTTGGGAGGCCGAGGCAGGCGGATCACGAGGTCAGTAGATCGAGACCATCCTGACGAACATGGTGAAACCCCGTCTCTACTAAAAACATACACACAAAAAAAGAAATTAGCCGGACGTGGTGGTGGGCACCTGTGGTCCCAGCTACTCGGGAGGCTGAGGCAGGAGAATGGCGTGAACCTGGGAGGCAGAGCTTGCAGTCAGCCGAGATTGCGCCACTGCACTCCAGCCTGGGCGACAGAGCGAGACTCAATCTCAAAAAAAAAAAAAAAAAAAAAAAAAAAGGCAAGACCTTTACTTCAAAGTAAAAAAGAAAAAAAAAAAAAACACATTTAATTAGTTCATAAAATCAGTCTGTGAAAAAGGATAATTTGCGTGTGTCCACAACAACAACGATGCAACAAACAACAACAAAATCACATACACATGTACACTTTTCTAGTTACCAGACGGGATGAGAGACAAAACCAAATTCTGTTTGTTAAGACATGGGCCTTTTGATATATTTTAACATTAATCAAGTTGCCAGCGTTACTTAAAATGACCTCTATTTTCAGTCTAATTACAATTTTTAATCTATATTTTTCCCCATTATCATGCTGAGTGCTTTTTTAATTAAATTGTTTGTGTATTCATCTAAATGAAGTTCTCTGCTTCACGACCTCATACACTTGTCCAATTTGATAATAATGTAAAGCAATTCAAGACTTTATTTGAAATTTTTTCATTTCATTCACTAGGTCTAAACTTAAATTTTTATGTATCAAAATGATTTCATTTTTATCATGGACATTTCCCTCAAAATCAAGAGTAATGTACTTTGTCCTTCATTGTAATATTTGGATATTAGCTTCTCATTACAATATTATTCATTATTAAACAAATGTTTGAATGCTATTCTGTTCTCCATGTAATATAAATATAAAAGGAATTCCACCCTAACCAATTGTTACCTCCCCTCCACAGCACCCCCTAAAAAAAAAAAAAAAAAAAAAAAAAAAAGAAACCCTTCTGGAGTTTATCCAGAAGCTGTAGAAATCTAAAATTGTATTTGTTTTCACCCATTTGTATGGCAAGAGTGCTGAGCTAATATATTTTTATTTTGTATTAGGTTGGCACAAATGTAATTGTGGTTCTTGCCATTACTTTTTTTTTTTCTTTTTTGAGATGGAGTCTTGCTCTGTCGCCCAGGCTCACTGCAACCTCCGCCTCCCGGGTTCACGCCATTCTCCTGCCTCAGCCTCCTGAGTAGCTGGGACTACAGGCACCTGCCAGCACGCCCAGCTAATTTTTTTTTTTTCTGTATTTTTGGTAGAGATAGGGTTTCACTTTGTTAGCCAGGATGGTCTCTATCTCCTGATCTCATTATCCGCCTGCCTCGGCCTCCCAAAGTGCTGGGATTACAAGCGTGAGCCACCGCGCCCAGCCGCCATTATTTTTAATGGCAAAAACAGCAATTACTTTTGCACCAACATAATACTTCTGCCAACTTTGAGAAAACCACCACTTTCTTCAAACCTGATTTATTTAATCTATACAAGTGAAAGAATAATATCTATGGTCGATGACACAGTTGTGATGAGATCAGATGAGATAAAATAGTATGTTATTTTAAACTGTAAGTCAAATATTTAAAAAATGTCTATTTCATTTGATATTTTCATGAAGATTTTAAGTAAAAATACAATATGTAGTCATGAGCTCTGTTTATGTAATAGTAGACATGCCTAGGGACACTTGATTATTCTTTATATTCTGTGTCAATACTCTCATTCTCAAAGAGGATGCCTTATATTTTCATCCATCAAAACTCATAAAGTATAACAAGAATTACAGGCTATATAAAAATGATTATGTTCCCTGTGGAGATTACATGTCAAAGGCTAGAAGTCAAAGGTAACTGTGGTAGGCAGAATAATGTCTCCTCCCACCCCCTAATGATGCCCTAAGCCCGGTAGCCTCTGAATATGTTAGGTTATATGACAAAGTAACTTTGCAGTTTTGATAAAGAGTAAAGATGCTGAGATGGGAAGATTATTCCAGATTATCTTAATGGACCCAATCTAATCACATGAGTCCTAAAAGTGAAAGAGAAAACTAGAACTGTAAATCTGAAAGATAAGATAGGAGAAGGAGGAGAAAGAGGAGGAGGATATTAAGCAAGAGTGGGCTTGACCCATGCACAATTGCTCAGCCTTTGTGGTTGGAAGAAGGAAGTCAAAGAATGAAGGTTGCCTCTAAAAGTTGGGAAAGGCCTTCAGTTAACAGCCAGAAAGAAAATACAGATTTTGTTCCCATGGCAGTAAATCACTGGATCCTCTACCAACATACTGAATGAGCAAGAAAACTATTCCTCCCTTAAAGCTTCTAGAAAGCAGTGTTGCATTGCCAACACCTTAATTTTAGCCTGGTGAGAGTTCATGTTGTATTTCTGACCTGCTAAATTATAAGATTACACATTTGTGTTGTTTATATAACATGAAGAAGGTTTGTTAAAAGTTAACAGAACTTTGGTATTGTTGAAGAAGTTCAGCTTTACAAAGATATTTTCACACTGATCTCCTCTCCTTCTCAAATTAGATGGTACTGTTGACAGACTGTACCACATATTGCAAAAATTCACTTCAAGCATATCCTCTGCCAAGAAATCCCCAAACAAAAAATTCACTCAATTTTCTGTGCTTCTAGAGCATGCTACACATAGAAGTCTTAGACCACTTGTGATATTGCATTTTTAACTAGTGTTTACATGTCTGCTTTGCTATTAAAATTAATTTTGCTAGGGTCATGTTATTGTTGTTCTTGTTGATGTTTCCTTCTTCTATATGGTCTTGACTGAAGCAATTTCTAAAAATATGCATGTTCAGTAAAGAAATCTGGGTAAACTTTGTCTTCCAAACCAAATTGTTAGATAGAAACAAAAAATAAAATATATTTATGTAGCCATTTTATAGTTTATAAAGCTTTCCTATAGATAGATAGATGATAGATTAGATAGATAGATAGATAGATAGATAGATAGATAGATAGATAGATAGATAGTGGTAGATATAGATAGATAGATAGATAGATAGATAGATAGATAGGGAGATAGAGTTAGAGATATTTGGTTAATTCTTCTTTCCTAAGATCAGAGTGTGTCCTCCTTGGTATGTAAGCAATAGCCCTATGTTTGTAGGTTTATCTCTTCTGTCCAGTCGTACTTTCTGACTTTGTTACTTCTGATCATATTTTGATAAGATGTATTGACAAGGATTTTTAAAGCAACTGGCCTTTAGTATAGTTGCAATTCTTAGCTATGATACTGTGAAACTGCTAGTCACAGAAAACTTGAGGCAAAGTCAGCCATTTAAGCTTTGGTATAAAAGAAAGACTATTGATTAGTATATCAATCTTTAATAATTGATTTTTAAAATCTATAAAAATATGGTTTTCTAGTCACATTCACATACAAAGGGGAATAACTTACACTGAAAAGTTAACCATTGATTTTTTCAAATGCTTCTGATATGTAGTAATAGCTTGGATTCAATTATGATGAGCACTAAATCCTATGTTTTTATTATTTGTTTGCATTTAACATGGGGACAGAGTTTTATAATTTTATTGCAGTGGGGGTTCAAACATTATTTAGAGTTATCTAATTTGATGACCAACAAAGTACTTCACAACTTGTAAATTTCAAGGTTCTGAATCTCTTTACATATGGGAATTTACAAATGGAGGGTAATTCATCTGAGCTCTCCTTCTGCCTCCCTCATGAGCATGCTGGGGGAGGCTCTCTGCCTACGCATGTCTCCTTTGTATAGCTATATATACATTCCCAGGGGACTACCTTCTTTAAAGGAAGTCAGAACAGTTAAATACAGTAAAAAATAACAAAAATTCAGAATGTTTTATAAATCTTGTGAAGTATAGTCATCCTTGTTTGCTGCTGCAGGATAAAGAATTCTCTATTTGTCCAGAACTTCATTTAGCCTCACTCAGCTGAACATCAATAGACTTACCCATGAGAAACATTGAAGGAAAAGATTGGGAACTTGTAGGCTGTCTTATGTTCCCCAGTTTCTTACTTGTAATAACAAATATTGAGCCATCTCTGTATTTCTTTTCTTTAATATCATTCTGCTCTTTCCTTTTCTACTTTAAACAAAATGAGTAGGAATCTCTTATTTACCCGTTCTTTCATTTTATATATATATATATATATATATGATATATATATATATATATGATATATATGCTCATAAACACACACACACACTCATATTCACCCAATAAAAACACACACATACAGACACACATACACATTATTTAACTCTATTTCAATAATAAAATATTTTATTTCATTTACAAAATAAATTTCAGGTATTAACATGCATGCAAAAAATGATCTGAGGTAAATCAAGGAGTACCAAAAATTTACCTAGGGATGTACATAATTAATTCTATGTTCACGTTTTCTTAATTTTTTTTTTTTGACAATTGATAATGGTTAGAGACCCAAGCAGTATAACTCAGCATCTTTTTTCTTTGGAGATGCTAATATTTTTAATGATATTGACTTAGTCACTGGTGGTTTATCTTATGGAACCACCATGGGTTATATATTCTGTGATAATAATAATAGTTGTTTTTGAGATAGTATATGATAGCCTGAATAGTGACACCTCAGAGATGTCCAAGTTAGAATATTTGAATATATAAACATATTGCCTTATGTGGTAATAAGGACTCTGCAGATGTGATTAAGCATTTTGAGATGGGGTGATTAGCTCATATTATTTGGTTGAGCCTCATATAATCATAGAGAAAGGCAAAAGGTCAGGGTAAAGAGAATGCAGTGTGACAGTGGAAGAAATTGCAGTAATGTGGCTGCAAGCTAAGGAATTCCAGCAGTCTCTAGAAGCCGGAAGAGCAAGGAATGACTTCCTCCCTGGAGCACACAGAAATAACCAGCACTGTGGACAACTTAATTTTAACCTTTTAATACTGATTTCAGGCTTCTGACCTTCAGAACTGTAGGAGCATAAATACATCTAGTTTTAAGCCACTAAGTGTGAGGTAATTACGGCAGTAATAGAAATGAATAGATAGTGCGTTGAGTTGTGGCTAACGGTAATAAGGATGAAAATGCTGTTATGTATGTTCTCTACGAGATTGTCAAAAAGTTCCAAAAAGACAAAACAGAATATAAATTCAATATATCTAGTCGGAAGGTCAGTGTTTGTATGACAATCTAAGTATTGTCACAAAGACATAGTTACACTACAGTGCAAGGATATATATGAAAAGCATTTAAACTGGTAATCAGTCCTACTACAGTCTCAAGATTTTGCTCCTATGATAAACCAAAGAGCAAGCAACAAGACCTAAAGTAGATCCAGAAAATGCTCAAGACATTTCTCTAGAATCAACAAGCAACAGGTATTGCCTGTCAAAAACAACATACACATTTTCAAATCAAATTGGATAATGTCTTCTGGTTATTTGTCATAAATACTATCTTTGTCCTTTATTGAACCCTATTACCTTAAAACATTAATGGCTAATATCAATGTAAAATATAGCGATTTAATAAATAAGTGATTTGACAATCGTATCAACTTTGATATTAATTTTGTTTTTACTTTTTATTCTACGCAGAGCAGCCCAGTGTTATGACTAGTTTCCAAAGAAAAGTTCCTCAATTAAATCATGCCTACTTCTAGTCACCTTGCTTAGTTCCATTCTACCCTGAATCTGGGCTGGTACTGTTACAATCTTTCAATTAACGATTTGTAGCAGAAGTAATTCTGTGTGAGTTTCAGGCTTAAAGTTTTAAGATGCTATAGTTGCTTGCTTCTGTGGACTTTCAAGATCCGAGTCCCCACACAAGAAGTCTGAACACCCTGAGACTAATATATTGTGAAGAAGCCCAAACGACACACCTGAAGATGAGAGATAGGAGATCAAAATACTCAGCCAGCCCTCAAATGTTCCAGCCATTTCAGCTGAAATGCCATGCATGTGAGTGGAAAGAAAAACAAAAACAAACAAAGAAACCCTTCTCGGATGTCCAGCACAACTGGCCCTTCAGATAGAACTAGCACTAGCCACTATATGACAAAATAAGATGTAAATTGTCAAGTAGGAACTGCGCAGTTTAGTGAATTAACCCATACAATTGTGAGAAGAAGTAAAATCATATAAAACTGAGCCACTAAGTTGGAGAATGGCTTACTATACGGCAATAGATAATAGAAAGGCCCATTCTTGTCAAATCACCTGAAAGTGTTCCCAAATTTGTTTTCCTGTTGCTCTTGTTTAATATTCTCCTTGTTCTTTTCTTCATGTGGCTATTCATTTTTAAGACCCAGCTCTTTTCTGTTGCTTATTTTTACTCAGTTATATTAGAAACCCCTTTATTTTCCGTTCTCATTGTACCTTGCTTTTTCTTTCATAATACCTGTCATCAAATTATAGTTTTAAAAATTTTCAGTTGTATTAAGGATACTAAAAGTTCTCTAAAATCATAAATCTATTCAATTTCCTATCTGTTTACCTTCAGCTACAAATCTAGGACCTAGTATAAGGCAGGCAATTAATAACTTAATTGAATCAAATGTTTGGATGTAGGACATCTACTAGCACTATTGTCTTAGTTGATACCATTACCATATATATTTGGAAAATATTTTAGGACAAAAGATATAGAACTATTACTAAAAGGTAAAAGTTATGCTTTATGAGATTAGAAAAAGATACATTAGAAAGATAAACACCAGGGCCAACAATAGAAAGATAAATACCAGGGCCAGAGCAGCCCCAGTGACCCGGGCTTCAGAGTTCTTTTTATACAGGCTCACTCCCATAGCCCCAGTCTTTAGGCCAGCCCAAGTGGTCATAGGCACCAAGACAGTCCCTGTGATTCCAGGCTTTAGACTAGCCCCTGCAGACCCAGACTCCATGCCTGCCCCAGAAACGGGCCCACTCCAGGCTCCAAGCTGGTTCCAATTATACCAGGCTCCAGTGGACTCAGGGTCCAGACCTGCTCTAGCAAAACCAGGGTTCAGGCTCATCCAAGTAGACCCCAGTGCCAGGCCAGCCTCTGCAGAAGGAGGATCTAGAAACACTCCTCCAGATCTAGGCTTCAGGACAGCATTGGTGGACCCAGGACCCAGGTTCAGTCCCATGGACTTAGACCTCAGGCCCATTTTAGAGGACATAGGTTCCAGGTCCATCCTGTTGCCTGGCTGGCTCCTAAAGACTCGGGTACAAGGCCTTTTCTAATGCCAAGCTAGTCCCTGTGGATCCAGGCTTCAGGCTAGCCCGTGTGGATAGAGGATGGAGGCCCACCCCAGCAGACCTAATCAACAGGTACATCACAGTGCAACTAGGCCCCAGGCCCACACACTTGCTGACCCGGGCACACCCAAGCCAACCTGAAAACTCCAAAAGCAAGCCTGTCCATAACCATGCCAAATGGCCCACCCAGAATCTCTGGATAGGCTGGCAGATGAAAGGCTTTTCCCAACACAGCCAGTCTGCAAAGACTGAAGAAGTACCTACATCATCAAATGTATAAACATTGACACATGACCACAAGGATCAAGAAAAATCAGAGAAACATGATATTACTAATGGACAAAACAGGGTGGGTACTAGTGACTCAAATTTTTGAGTAGAGGAGTACAAGAGGGAGAAAAGAAATACGAAAGGATAGAAAGTTTCTTTAAAGGAATAATAGCGGAAAACTTTTCAAACCTAGAAAATATATAAATATTTAGGTACAACAAGGTCAAAAGTTCCTAATCAGACTGAACTCAACAAGACTACCCCAAGACATATTATAATCAAGATTTCAAAACCAAAATTAAATAGAGGACCTTGAAAGCAGTAAGAGAAAAAGAAGCAAATAATATATAAATGAGTTCCAATATAGTTAGCAGCAGATTTCTTTTTTTTTAAATTTTATTATTATTATACTTTAAGTTCTAGGGTACATGTGCACAACGTGCAGGTTAGTTACATATGTATACATGTGCCATGTTGGTGTGCTGCACCCATTAACTTGTCATTTAGCATTAGGTATATCTCCTAATGCTATCCCTCCCCCCTCCCCCCACCCCACAACAGTCCCCTGTGTGTGATGTTCCCCTTCCTGTGTCCATGTGTTCTCACTGTTCAATTCCCACCTATGAGTGAGAACATGCGGTGTTTGGTTTTTTGTCCTTGCGATAGTTTGCTGAGAATGATGGTTTCCAGTTTCATCCATGTCCCTACAAAGGACATGAACTCATTATTTTTTATGGCTGTTAGTAGCAGATTTCTCAGCAGAAATCTTGCAGGCCAGGAGGGAGTGAGATAATATATTCAAAATATTGAAAGAGGGCAAAAAAAACAATTTTTCAGAAATGAAGGAGAGATAAAGACATTTCCAGACAAATAAAAGCTGAGGGACTTCATCAACAAAAGAACTGCCTTACAAGAAATGCTAGCGGGAACTCTTAAAACTCAAAGAAAAGAATATTAATGAATAACACGAAAATATTTGAAAATATAAATCTCATTGGTAAAAGTTAGTACTCAGTCAGACTCAGAATGCTCCAATGCATAATGGTGATGTGCACTTATATCTTTAGTATGAATGTTAAAAGACAAAACTATCTTAAGGAGATACAATAATTAAAACATATGCAATATAAAAATGTAAATTATGATATCAAAAAATCAAAGTGGGGGCAAGAGTGTAACAAAAGTATCAAAGTTTGTCAGAGGGGCTTAAAAAAAGTAAAATTGCTATGAACTTAAAGTAACCTATTATATAACTATAAGATGTTTTTTGTAAGCTTCATGGTAACCATAAAGAAAAATTGCATGATAGAAACATAAAAAGTAAAAAGTAAAAAATCAAAGCACACCACTAGAGAAAATCACTTAAGCACAAATGAAAACAGCAAGAGAGAATAAAGGAAAAAAAAAATCTACACAACAACTAAACAACATTTAAGAAAATAGCAGTAGTAAATCCTTACCTATCAATCATTACCTTAAATGTAAATAGATTAAATTCTCCAATAAAAAGACATAGGGTGGCTGAATGGATTAAAAACAACAACAACAAGACCCAAGTACATGCTTGAATAGTAGGAAACTAAATTTAACAGCATATTAAAAAGGTCATTCATGCTGACCTGCTGGAAAGCTCTACATTCCTATGGGGTGTGGGGAGGGGGTAGGCAGGTGAGCAGGAGCAGGACAAGACAGACCACTGGTGAAAGGCTGAGCAGAGCATGAGCAAGACTGACTGAATTCAGAGGGGTGGTGTGGGGAATGGATGAGACTGAGGGCAGAGGGCATGGGCAAGAGGTGGAGCAGGATGTGGGAGTGACTGAGGGTGCGGGGGCAGGGCAGACCCAGGTGCGAGGTGGGGTGGGGAGAAAAAATAGAAGAAAAGATCATTCGTTCACCATAGTCGAGTGAGATTTATCCCAGAAATAAGGATAGTTCAACATATGCAAATCAATCCCATTTAAAATAACTATTAAAAATGCTTAGAAATAAATTTAACCAAGGAGGTGAAAGATCTCTACCTCGACTTTCTGTGCTTCTAGAGCATGCTACACATAGAAGTCTTAGACCACTTGTGATATTGCATTTTTAACTAGTGTTTACATGTTTGCTTTGCTATTAAAATTAATTTTGCTAGGGTCATGTTATTGTTGTTCTTGTTGATCTTTCCTTCCTCTATATGGTCTTGACTGAAGCAATTTCTAAAAATATGCATGTTCAGTAAAGAAATTTGGGTAAACTTTGTCTTCCAAACCAAATTGTTAGACAGAAGCAAAAAATAAAACATATTTATGTAGCCATTTTATAGTTTATAAAGCTATTCTTGCTCAATGCAATCCCTATCAAAAGCTATCCTTGCTCAATGCAATCCGTATCAAAATACCAATAACATTCTTCACAGAAATTGAAAAAATGCTAAAATTTGTATGAAATAACAAAAGACTCTGAATAGCCAAAGCAATCTCGAGTATAAAAAACAAAGCCAGAGGAATAACACTACCTGACTACAAAATATACTAAAAAGCCATCTAAAGAGTATGGTACTGTCATAAATGCAGAGATATATACCAATGGAACAAAATAGAGATTCCAGAAAAAAACATGCATTTACAACCAACTGATTTTCAACAAAGGTGCCTAGAACACATATTAAGAAAAGGATGGTCTCTTCACTAAACGGTGTTTGAAAAACTAGATATACACAGAAGGAAGAATAAAATTGGATCTTTACCTCATATCATAACCTAAAGTCCATTCAAAATGGATTAAAAACTTAAATTTAAGTCATGAATCTGTAAAATTACTTGAAGAAAATGTGGAAAATCTTTAGGACATTTGTCTGTACAATAATTTTTGGATATGAGCATAAAAGCACAAAAATGATCTAAAGCAGAAAAATGAAAAATATTTTTCAACCAGTCATGTCCTAAGGAGTTAATTTTCCAAACACATAAAAAAAAAAACCCAAGCAACTCAATACAAGAAAACAAATAACCCAATTGAAAAATGTGCAAAGGACCTGAATAAACATTTTTTAAAGAAAACATACAAACGGCCAATAGATACATGAAAAAAATGATTAACATCACTAAACATCAGGAAAATGCAAATTAAATACCACAATTAGATATTACTTCACATCTTTTAGAATGGCTGTTATCTAATAGATGAATGATAATAAGTATGAGTGACAATGCAGAGAAAAGAGAATACTGGCACGTTGTTGGGGGGAATGTAAATTAGTACAGTAATTATTGAAATCAATATAAAGGTTCCTCAAAAAATTAAAAATAAAACTACCTTATGATCTAGAAATCCCCTACTGGGTATATATTCAAATGAAATTAAATCAGTGTGCAGAAGAGCTATCTGCACTCCCATGTTTATTGTAGCATCATTTACAATAGCCAAGATATGAAATCAGCTTATGTGTCCTTCAGTGGATGAATGGGTAAGGAAAACATAGTATATATATACAATGGAATACTATTCAACAATAAAAAGAAGAAACCCTGTCATGTGCAAAAACATGGATGAACCCGAAAAACATTGTGTTGTGAAATAAGCTAGTCACAGAAAAACTAATATAGCATGATCTCACTTAGACATGGAATTTAAAAATTTGAATTCATACAAGTACAGAATGCATGGTGGTTACCAGGGCCTGGAATGGCTTATTAAATGTGAGAGAGATGTTTATCAAAGGATATGCAAATTTAGTTAGGAGGTATAAGTTTGGGATAACCATTTCACAAAATATTGACTATAGTTAATGACAATATATTATACTTTTAAAAAATGCTAACAGAGTAGATTTTAAGTGTTCTTACCATATAATGATAACCATGTAATGTAATACATGTTAATTAGCTTGATTAAGCCATCTCACAATGTATGTATATTTCAAAATATCATATTGTACACAGTGCATATATACAATTATATTAGCAATTAGAAAATTAAAAGGAGGATAAATAATTTTGTTGGAATACAGAGGTGTACACAAATTACTTTGAAAACATGAAGAATGAGGGCCTAATTCTTTCTGAGATAACTTGTAATTGTAGAAAAGGTATAAACATTCAGTAGGATTTCAGAACATAATTAAGAAATTGTTAATTATTTAAAACAAAAGAAAGCATTGCAGACAATGAGCAAATTATATTAAAAATCAGACTTGAAAGCCCATGGTATTTTCCATATTAGTGTTAATGTGGTTAGTGCTAAATCTACTCAGAAGTGATTTGAGAAAGCCTGTGACTGTGCATTGAGACCAGCCTCTAAATGCACTTACGTGGCATTACAGTGAAGTTGGATCTAATAATGTAGGCAATGGTAATGTGTTCAAGATATTTAGTAGGTAGTTGATACCAAATCCAAATCTAGGTTAAGAAAAATTATAAATCTATGGATGCTGGAAAACATGCATTTGTTTATTGATTTGCTTGTTTATACGTTCATTTCAAGAACACCTATAGACATCTCCTCTCTGCCAGGGACTGTTCTAGGTTCCTCGGGATATAGAAAAAATACAACTCACAAACTTTCTGTTCTCAGGGATCTTTCATTCTAGTGAGAGGATAGATGTGGTTTTCAAAAGTATAGAAGAACAAAAAATACATGTTAACCTAAAACACAGAAAAATTCTAGTCAAAAATAAGAAAAAGAATAAAATTAAGATAGTTTTAAGATAAAGAATGGCTAGATATTCCTGTAGCAAGGGAGGCTGAATATTCATGTTCTGAAAGACAAACATTTATTGAAGACCATAATACGGAGGAGCCAACCAAGCAAAGATCTTGCTAGGAAAAGGTAAGAACAGGTTCAAAAAAACCCAAGACTGGAACATTTTGACAGTCCTGAAAATCAGCGATATGGTGTGTATTTGGAGGTTTGTCCCCTCCAAATCTCATGTTGAAATATGATTCCCAATGTTAGATATGGGGCGTGGTGGGAGGTGATGGATCACTGGGGTGAATCCCTTATGAATGGCTTAGCACTATCCCCTTGGTCTGAGTGAGTTCTTGCTCAGTTAGTTCACACAAGATCTAGTTGTTTAAAAGAGTCTGGGACACCCCCGCCCCTTCTATTTCTTGCTCCCACTCTCACTGTATAATGCATCTGCTCCCCATTCACCTTCTGCCTTCCTGAGGCCCTTACCAGAAGCAGATACTGGCACTATGCTTCCCATACACCCTGCAGAACCACGAGCCAATTAAACCTCTTTTCTTTATAACTTACCTAGTTTCAGGTATTCCTTTATAGTAATGCAAACTGAGTAGCACAATCAGATAGAGCTATTTTTTCAAATGTAGCTACAAGGTAGCAATTGAGGTTGAGAATGGAAAAAAGGAGGTCTGAGTGGTAGGTAGGTGACAGCTTATTAAATCATCATGAGTTAAAATACATGGAAAGTCATTAAATTATTTAAGTAGAAATGTCACGTAATTGAATTTATCTATATAGAAAGGAAATTCTACTCACTATGTGATTGTGTGTGCAGAGACAGGGTAGAGGATGAAAAGAGAAATCTAGGAAGGCTTGAAAGATTCCATAGATGCACATGGAGGTGGCCTTGGAAAGGCAGAGAATGGATGCCCAGAGCCAATATTGACACTTTGAAAGAAGTCCTAAGAAATGATAGAGAAGGCCTGGACTAAGGGTGTAATGCATAATAATGAAATGAGAAGAGTTGATGGTTATGAAAAATATATACAAGTTAGAAAGTAAAGGATGTAATATTTAAAAATATGTATGTATATGGTGTATGTGTATATATAAAAACACACATACACACACACTCACACACACGTGTCTATTTGTAACTCTACCTTGTTTCAAAAGTGTTTTATGCAGGCAATACATATTGCTGTCATTTAAGCCAGTATTATCTCTCTATAATATTATATCCCCCAATAATAAATTATTTATTTAGGGAAATAATTAAAATAGGAGAAATAAAAATCACTAAGAAGATGATCACATTTCTGACGCTATTTATAAAGCCAAGACACAGTGGCATGGCTAAAATATTTCAAGATCAAATTAAGTTTAATCACTTAGTATTTCTGTTTATTTTCTGTATGTGTATGTATTTGTCTACTCATATTTTTGTGTCTCTAAACTAGCTTGGCAGCATTTTCTTTTTCTAACTTTATCACCTTTGTGAAGTAGGGCAACCTGATTTTACTTCCTTAATTATATAATTGATGTTTAAACATTACATCGAAGTAGACAATCTATTCCATCGCAAATACAACCATTGTTTATCATTGCATTTTATAAAATGATTACTTTGCCCTAGTTCTGGTTAGAATGTCATAATCTTTATAATTTGAAGTAAAGAAAAAAGTTGGCTTAGATCTTCTTCCTTGTGTCTTTGAAGAGTTGTAATTACCTTAATTATGTGCTCCAGTGCAATGTTAAAATGTTTTAACACTCCACTTTATCTCCTGAGGAATGTACTTAGTTTCTAAGAAGTTGCCATCTGTTTTTTATTTGAACACTCACCGTAGGTTAAAAAGCCACTTGTGTGTTCAGCGCTATCAACTTCATCCATTAAGAACTTCCTATTTCAAGGCAGACACTCAGCAAGTGACAGTAGGCGGTACAAAAGCAGGAGCCACAGTGCAGAGAAGTATCCAAATTTATACCATCTCCTCTCTCTTTACCTAAAGAACATAGACTATTTTTTAAAACTCTTTTCTTTTTCCTCTTTAATCTTTTCATAATATCCAACAATGTATAATCATCTTTTAACTTTCCTTAGTTTCCTCCAGCTCTCTATGTTAATGTACATATATATTTATGAAGCATTGTATAAATATTACAATCTGAGAGGAGGAATGATAATTAGTGGAATTTTAAAAAGGTTGAATGTCACAATAACATCTTGTTTGGATGTATTTAAAGCAATGTAGAAGACATCTAAATTTGACTTAAAGTTACAAAGACAGAATCAACTAGAAGTGCCAGTTTATGTCATTTACTGTATTGTAAACTTCCAATTCTCTTTAAAAGTTATTTTTAGCTTTAATTGACACATAATAATTATACATAATTGTTGAGTATATTGTGATGTTTCAATACATGTATACACTGTGTAATGATGAAGTAAAGGTAATTAGCACATATATCAGCTCAAACATTTGCCCTTCTTTGTGATGAGAACATTCCAAATCCTCTCTTTCAACTATTTTGAGACAGACAAATGGCTCTGGTCATTCTACTGTGCAATAGGATGCCAGAATTTACTCTTTACTTTCTACTTGTAACTTTGTACTCACTGATCAACCAATCCCCATCCTCCTCTCTCTTACCTTTCCCAGTCACCTGTAACCACTGTTCTATTCACTACTTCTATGTGATCAACTTTTTAAGATTCTACATATGACTGAGAATGTGACTCATTTGTGTTTATGTACCTGGCTTATTTCACTTAACCTAATGTCCTTCAGGCTCATTTATGTTGTCACACATGACAGGATTTCCTTTCTATGGCTGAATAGTATTCCATTGTGCATATGTGCCACATTTTCTTAACTATACATCCGTGGTTTGACACTTAAGTTGATTTCATATCTTGGCTATTGTGAATAGTACAGCAATAAGCATGAGTGCAGGTATCTCTTCTACATATTGATTTAATTTTCTTTGAATATATACCCAGTAGTAGGATTGCTGAATTACATCATAGTAATATTTTTATTTTATTTTATTTACTTTTTGAGGAACCTCTTATTATATTAGGCCATTCTTGCACTGCTATAAAGAAGATTGGGTATTTTATAAAGACAAGAGGTTGAATTGGCTCACAGTTCTGCAAGCCTTACAGGAAGCATGACAGCATCTATTGGAAGCTTCTAATCATGGTGGAATGCACAGGGGGAGAAGGCATCTCACATGTCAGGAGCAGGATCAAGTGTGGGGAGGTGCTACATACTTTTAAATAACCAGATCTCACAAGAACTCCCTATCATGAAGACAGCACCAAGCCATGAGGAATCCTCCCCCATGAGCCAAACACCAGGCCCCACTTCCAGCATTGGGGATTACAACTCAACATGAGATTTGGGCAGGGACAAATATCTGAACTATATCATTTCATCCTTGGCCTCTCCCAAATCTCATGTCCATCTCACATTGCAAAATATAATCACGCCTTCCTAACAGTCTCCCAAGGTCTTAATTCATTCTAGCATTATCTCAAAAGTCCAAAGTCTCATCTGAGACAAGGCAAATCTCTTCCACCTATAAGCCTGTAAAATCAAAAAGAAGTTAGTTACTCCCAAGACACAATGGGCTATAGGCATTGGGGAAACATTTCCATTCCAAAATGAAGAAATCAGCCAAAAGAAAGGGGCCACAGGCCCCATGTAAGTTCAAAACCCAGAAGGGCAGTCATTAAATCTTAAAGCTCCAAAATAATTTTGATTCCATGTCCCACATCCAGGGCTCACTGGTGTGATGGGTGGTATCCCAAAGCCTTGAGCAGCTCTACCTCTATGGTTTTTCAGGGTTCAGTTTCTGAGACTTCTGTCACAGAGTTTTGAGTACCTGTGGCTTTTCCAGGTGAAGGGTACGAGCTGAGTAGATCTACAATTCTCAAGTCTGAAGGGCAGTAGCTCCTTTCTCACAGCTCCACTAGGCAATGCTTCTGCCTAGTCCACTAGGAGACTCTATATAGGGGCTCCAACTCTACATTTTTCCTTGGCACTGTTCTAGTAGGGGTTCTCTGTGAGGGCTTCACCTCTTAAGCAGGCTTCTGCTTGGCCACCCAGGCTTTCTCAAACAACCTCTGGAATCTTGGAAGAGGCTGCGAAGTATTCTTCAGTCTTGCATTCTGTGCACCTAGAGGCTTAACACCACTTGGAAGTTGCCAAGGCTTATGGCTTGCATTCTCCAAAATGGCAGCCTGAGCTGCACTTGGCCCCTTTGAGCCACAACTAAAGATGGAGTGGCTGGGATGTGGGAAGCAGTGTCCCAAGGCTGCCCAGGGCAGTGGGGCTCTGGGCCTGGCCCACAAAAGCATTCAGTCGTCCAGGGCCTCAGGGTCTGTGATAGTAGGGGCTGCCATCAAGGTCTCTGAAATGTCTTCAAGGTCTTTTTTCTCATTGCCTTGGCTAGTAGCTCTAGGCTCTTTCTTAGTAATACAAATCTCTCTAGCAAGTGGTTGCTCCACAGCTTGCTTGAATTCCTCTCCTGAAAAAAGCTTTTTCTTCCTCTGCCATACGGTCAGGCCACACATTTTCTGAACTTTTATGCTCTGCTTCCCTTTTAAGTATATATTCCAACTTTAAGTCATTTCTTTGCTTCTGCATCTTAATTAGGCTGTTAAAAGCAGCCAGGTTACTTCTTGAACACTTTGCTGATTAGAAATGTCTTCCACCAGATACCCTAATTCATCACTCTGCAGCTCAAACTTCCACAAATCCCCAGGGAAGGGACATAATCCAGCCAAATTCTTTGCTAAAGCATAACACAGGTGACCTTTGCTCTAGTTCCCAATAAGTTCCTCATTGCCATCTAAGACTTCACTATCCGTATCACTACCAGCATTTTGGTCACAACCATTTAACCAGTTTCTAAGAGATTCCAAACTTTCTCTCATCTTTCTGTTGTCTACTGAGCCCTCCAAAGTCTTCCAGTTCCAAAGTTACCCAGTTCCAAAGTTGATTCCACATATTTTGGTATCTATATAATAATGCCCCATTCCCAGTACCAATTTTCTGGATTAGACCATTTTTGCACAGCTATAAAGAAATACCTGAGACTGGGTAAGTTATAAAGAAAAGAGGTTTAGTTGGCTCACAGTTCTGCAGACTTCACAGGAAGCATGGCAGCATCTGCTCCAGGGGAGGCCTCAGAAAACTTATAATCATGGTGGAAACGAAATGGGGAGCAGGCACCCCACAAGGCACGAGCAGGAGCAATGGAGGGAGGTGCCACATGCTTTTAAATGACCAGATCACACAAGAACTCACTATCATAAAGACAACACCAAGCCATGAGGAATCTGCCCCCATGATTCAAACACCTCATCAGGCCCCATCACCAGCATTGGGGATTACAATTCCATATGAGATTTGGGAAGGGACAAGTATCCAAACTCCGTCACCTCCATACTTTTATTCATAATCACTGTACTAATTTACATTCCCACCAACAGTGTGTAAGTTTTCCCCATTCTCCACATCCTCCCCAACACTTATTATCTAGCATTTTTATAACAGCCATTCTAACAATAGTAAAGTGATATCTCATTGGAGTTTTAATTTACATTTCCCTGATGATTAGTGGTATTGAGCATTTTTAATATACCTGTTGGCCATGTGTATGCCTTCTTTTGAGAAATGTCTATTCAGGCTCTTTGCTCATTTTTTTAATGAGGTTATCTTTTTATCTGTTGAGTTGTTTAAGTTTCTTATCTGTTATAGAGATATATATACATATACACACACATAGTTTGCAAACATTTGCTCCCATTCTGTAGGTTGTCTCTTCACTCTCTTGATTGTTGCCTTTGCTATGCAGAAGGTTTTTAGTTTGGTGTAACATAATTTCCTAATTTTTGCTCCTGTTGTTTGTGCTTTGAGGGCTTAGCCAAAAATTCCTTGCCCAGTCCAATGTTGTGAAACATTTTCCCTGTGTTTTCTTCTAGCAGTTTCAGGGTTTGGGGTCTTACATTTATGCATTTAATCTACTTTGATTTGATTTTTGAATGTGGTAAAAATAGGGGCTCAGTTTCATTCTTCTGCATGTGGAAATCCAATTTCCCCAGCACAATTTTATTAAAGAAACTGTCCTTTTTTTTTTTTTTTCAATTTATATCCTTGGAACATCTGTCAAAAATCAATTGGCTGTAAATGTGTGGATTTATTTCTTGGCTGTCTATTCGGTTCTATTAGTTTCTGTTTCTGTTTTTATGTTAATATCATGCTGCTTTGGTTACCTTAGTGTATTAGTCAGGGTTCCCTAGAGAGACAGAACTATAGCATACATATGGGAGTTTATTAAGTATTAACTTACATGATCACCAGGTCCCATAATAGGCTGTCTGCAAGCTTGAGGAACAAGGAGGGCCAGTCCGAGTCTCAAAACTGAAGAACTTAAAAGTCCGATGTTCAAGGGCAGGAAGTATCCAGTACAGGAGAAAGATGTAGGCTGGGAGACATAGTTTTGTAGTATGTTTTGAAGTCAGATAGTGTGGGACTTCTAGCTTTTTTTTCTTTCAAGATTGCTGTGGCTGTTCAGGTTCTTTTATTTGTCATACAAATTTGAGGATTTTCTTTTATTCCTGTGAAGATTGTCATTTATATTTAAATAGAAATTACGTTGGGTATGTATTATTACTTTGGATAATATGGACATTTTAAGAACATTAAACCCTCCAATCCAAGAACATGGAATATCTTTCCATTAATCTGTGTCTTTTTTTTTCTTTTTCTTTTTTTTTTTTGAGACGGAGTCTCGCTCTTTCACCTAGGCTGAGTGCAGTGGCATGATCTTGGCTCACTGCACGCTCCACCTCCTGGATTCACCCCATTCTCCTGCCTCAGCCTCACCAGTAGCTGGGACTACAGGCGCCCACCACCACGCCTGGCTAGTTTTTTTTTATTTGTTAGTAAAGACAGGGTTTCACCACGTTAGCCAGGATGGTCTCGATCTCCTGACCTCGTGATCCGCCCGCCTCAGCCTCCCAAAGTGCCGGGATTACAGGCGTGAGCTACCGCGCCCGGCCTTCTTTAACTTCTTTCATTGGTGTTTTACAGTTTTCCTCACAAATCTTTTGCTACCTTGGTTAGTTTATTATTAGTTACCTTAATTTTTGTAGACAAAGTAAAGGTGTAGTTTTTTTTATTCTTTTATTAGTTCACTATCAGCATATAGAAATACTACTGATTTTTGTATATTGATTTTGTATCTTGCAAGTTTACTGTATTTGTTTATGAGTGCTACCATTTTTTTGGTGGAGTCTTTAGTGTTTTCTATATATAAGATTATGTTGGTTTGCAAAGAGGAATAACGTGACTTCCTTCTTTCCATTTTGGATGGTTTTATTTCTTTTTCTTGCCTAATTGCTCTGATTAGAGCTTTTAGTACTATGTTAAATAGAGGCAGTGAACGTGGGCATCCTTGTCTTCTTCCACATCTCAGAGTAAAATCTTTCATTTATTCTGTGCTCAGTTTGATGTTAGCTGATGATTTGTCACATATGGCCTTTATTGTGTTGAGTGTCATACCTTCTGTATTTAATTTTTTGAGCGATGTTACATTTTGTCAGATGCTTTTTTGCATCTATTTAAATGATTTTAAAGTTTTTTGTCCATATTTCTGCTATTATAATGTATCACATTTATGGATTTGCACATGGTAAGCCATTCTTGCAGCACAGAGATTAATCCCACTTGATCACAGTGAATGATCTTTTTAAAGTGCTTGAATTCAGAGTGCTGATATTTGTTGAGGATTTTTATATCTCTGTTCATGAAGCATATTGGTCTGCAGTTTTCTTTTTCAGGTTTTGCTTTTTTCTGGTTTTTGTATCAGGGTGATGCTGGCCTCATAGAATGAGTTTGAGAGTATAAATGTTTGATGGATTTTAGCAGACAGCCATCAAGTCCTGGGCTTTTTTTTTTAATGGGAGATTTTCCATTTCCTTATAAGTAAATCTTAGTAGATGGTATGTGTCCATACATTTATATGTTTTTTTTTCAGGATTATCAAATTTGTTTATGTCTAAATGTATATAATGGTCTCTTATAATTCTTGTATTTCTGTGGTATAAGTTGTTATGCTTCCTTTTTTTACTTCTGATTTTACTTGTCTTTTTTTCCTTAGTAGTCCAACTATCAGTTTTTAAATTCTATTTTGATAAAAACAACTCTTTACATTGTTGATCTTTTGTATTGTTTTTCTAGTTTTTATTTCATTATTTTTTATCTGTTCTTTATTGTTTTCTTCTTTATGTTAATTTTGGGTGTAGTTTGCTCTAGTTTATTGAAGTGCATCATTGTGTTGTTTATTAGAAACCTTACTTTTTTGATGTAGGTGTACATTGCTATTAACTTTCCTCTTGAACTATTTTTCCTTTATCCCATAAAAGATTTTGTATGTTGTGTTTTAATTTTCATTTTTCTAAAGTAATTTTTACATTTTCTTTGTAATTTATTCGTTGACCCATTGGTTGTTCAGGAACATGTTGTTTATTTCCATGTATTTTTAAATTTATGAAGATTCTCGTGTTATTGACTTCTAGCTTTATACTGTTGTGGTCAGAAAATATATTTGATATAATTTCAATCTTCTTGAATTAATGAAGACTTTTTTTCTAGCTTAACATATAATCTATCTGGTAGAATGTCCTATATGCAGTTGAAAAAAATTTGTATGTTTCAGCTGTTGAATGCAATGTTCTATAAATAACTGTAATGTTTATTTGACCCAGGGTAAAGTTTAAGTCTAATATTTTTGTTGTTGTTGACATTTCTGTCTAGATAATTGGTCTACTGTTACAAGTGGGATGTTGAAATCTGGTATTATGGTATTGCAGAGTATCTCTTCTTTAAATTTAATATTTGCTTTATATATTGGTGTTCTCTCATGATGGGTGCATATATGTTTAAGATTATTATATCTTCTTGCTGAATTCATGCTTTTATCATTATGCAATGTTCTTCTTTGTCTCTTTTTACAGTTTTTGATACAAAGTCTGTTTTATCTTGCATAACTATAGCTACTTCTGCTTGCTTTTCATTTCCATTTGCACAGAATATTTTTTCCTTCCCTTCACTGTCAGTCTGTATGTATCCTTTGGTTACATAAAAATACTCTAGGCTTTTTCCATTCTGCAACATTTTATATTTTTGTTGCCTTAATTCACATCTTTATATATTGTGTGTTCCCTTACCAGTAATTTTAGCTGCTTTTTTTATCATTTTGACTTTTCACCTTCATTCTAGAAGTTTGAAAAATTTTTATTGCATCATTACATTACTGGAATATTTTGAGTTTGATTATAAATTTAACTCTACGAGTGTTTTCTACTTGGATATATTTTCATGATAGTAACTGTCATCCTTTTATTTCCAATTATAGGACTCCTTTAAGTATTGCTGGAATTTCTAGCAGTAATACATTTCCTCAGCTTCTACAAATCTGGAAATAAATGTATTTCTCCTTCATTTCTGAAGGATAGATTTGCTAGACATTCTTGCTTTTCTTGGCTGATTGTTTGTTTGCTTTTAGTACTTTGAATATACCATTTTATTCTCTCCTGGCCTGCAAGGTTTCAGCTGATAAATCTACTGATAGCCTAATGGGGGTTTCCTTATATGTGACTTGATGCGTTTTCTTTTTCTGATTTTAGAATTGTTTGTCGACAGTTTGATTATATTGCGTGTTGGATGTATTGGGACTTTCAAGCTTCCTGAGTTTGAATGTTCATGTATCTATAAAGACTTAAGAAGTTTCCAACACTATTTTTTGTGTTCTTTTTGTTATTTTTTTGTTTTTGTTTTTTGAAGAAAGAGTCTTTCTTTTTCATCCAGGCTGGAGTACATAATTCACTGCTGCCTCAAACTCCTGGGTCCAAGGGATCTTCCCACCTCATCCTCCCAAGTAGCTGGGACTAAAAATGTACACCATTATAACCATGTAATCAAAAAAAAATTGTAGAGGCTGGGTCTCACCACCTTGCCCAGGTTAGGTGGGTAAGCACCTGGGGTCAAGTGATCCTTATGCCTCAGCCTCATAAAGTTCTAGGATTAGAGGCATGAGCCACTGAACCTGGTCTATTTTGTTAAATGGGTGTTTTTGTTTGTTTGTTGCTGTAGTTAATTTTTTCTTTTTCTTTTTCTTTTTTCCTTTCTTCATTTATTCGCCCTCTGGCACCCTAAAATGTGAATATTTATTCACTTAATGGTGTCTCATAGGTCTTGTAGGCTTACTTTATATTTTTTTCATTCTTCTTTTTTTTCTGACTGGGTTATTTCAAAATGTCTGTATTCAAGATCAGAAGTTATTTCTTCTGCCTATCTATTTTGTTGTTTAAGCTCTCAATTGTATTTTATATTTCATTCATTGAATTCTTCAGACTAAGATTTGTTTGTTGTTTTTAAAATAATATCTATTTTTTAATGGCTCACTCAGATTATAAATTGTTTTCCTAATTTTATTGAATTGCTTTTCTGTATTATTTTGTATCTCACTGAGTTTTCTTTAGATCATTATTTTGAATTTCTTTTCAGGTATTTTTAAAAATTTCCTTTCTCTAAGGTCAGTTATTACAGAAATTACTGTGTTTCTTTAGAGATATTATGTTTTCTCATCTCATGTTTCTTGTGTCTCTATGTTGATATCTATGCATCTGGTGAAACAGTAGCCTTTTCTAATTTTATGTAGTAGCTTTCATATGAAGATTTTTCTGTACTTAGGGTATCAGTTGGGTGTGGTGCACTGACTTTGATTCTGGGTAGATGCAGTAGTGTACACTTAGTGCAGTTTCTTCAGCTATAATTCATGTCAGCAATGCCTGTTAGTGTGTCAGTAATCTAAGCTGTAGGAGTTTGTGGTGGTGTTATTGTGATTTTGCTGGAGGCAGGCCTACTGGGCTGGTTATTAACCTGGGTGCCCTTGGAAGAAGTGTTTCCACTAACTCTAGGGCAGATACATTGTACACCCTATAGCAATTCTGGTACACCTTTGTTGTACTCCAGCTACTTTCTTATTTTTAATTTTTGTGGATACATAGTAGGTGTAATTATTTATGCAGTATATGAGATATTTTGATACAGGCATGCCATGTGAAATAAACACATCACGGAGAATGAGTTATCCATTCCCTCAAGCATTTATCCTATGAGTTGCAAACAATTCAATTACACTCTGTGAGTTATTTTGAAATATACAATTAAGTATTTATTGACTATAGTCACCCTGCTGTGCTATCAAAAGTAGTTCTTATTCTTTCTTTTTTTTGTATACGTTAACCATCCCAACCTCCTCTCAATCCTCCCACTACCTTTCCTATCCCCTGATAACAATCCGTCTACTCTCTGTGTCCATTAGTTCAATTGCTTTGGTTTTTAGATTCCACAAATAAGTGAGAATATGTGATACTTGTCTTTCCATTCACGGCTTATTTCATTTAACATAATGGCACCCAGTTCCATCCATGTTGTTGCAAATGACTGGGTCTCATTCTTCTTTAAGGCTGAATAGTACTCGATTGTGTATACGTACCACATATTCTTTATTCATTCGTCTGTTGATGGATACTTAGGTTGCTTCCAAATCTTAGCTAGTATAAACAGTGCTGCAACAAACATAGGAGTTCAGATATCTCTTTGATATACTAATTTACTTTCTTTTGGGTCCCTCCTCCAACATTGGGGATTACAATTCAACATGACATTCATGTGGGGATCCAGAACTAAACCATATCAGTGGCCTTTCAGACAAAGAATTCAAATTAACTGTATTGAGGAAACTCAAAGAAATTCAAGATAACACAGATAAGAAATTGAGAATTCTATCAAATAAATTTAGTGAAGAGATTAAAATAATTTAAAAAATCAAGTAGTAAGTATGGTTCTGAAAAATTCAATTGGCATACTGAAGAACACTTCAGAGTCCTTTAATGGCAGAATTGATCAAGCAAAAAAGGAATTAGTGAGCTTGAAGACTGGCTATTTGAAAATACACAGTAAGAGGAAACCACAGAGAAAAGAATAAAAAACAATAAAACTCACTTACAGAATCTAGGAAATAGCCTACAAAGGGCAAATCTAAGAGTTACTGGACTTAAAGAGGAGGTAGACAAAGAGATAGGTTAGAAAGTTTATTAAAAAGGATAATAACAGAGTTTCCCAAACCTAGAGAAATAAATCAATATCTAAGTACAAGAAGCTTACAGAACACCAGGCAGATTTAACCCAAAGAAGACTACCTCAAGGCATTAATAATAAAACTTCCAAAGGTCAAAGATAAAGAAAGAATCCTAAAAGCAGCAAGAGAAAAGAAACAAATGACATACAGTGGAGGTCCAATGTGTTTGGCAGCAGACTTTTCAGTGGAAGCTTTACAGGCCAGAAGACAGTGGTATGACATATTAAAGTGCTGAAGAAACAACAACAACAACAACAACAACAAACTTTTATTCTAGAATAGTATATCTGGCAAAAATATCCTTGAAACATGAAGGAGAAATAAAGACTTTCCCAGACAAACAAAAACTGAGGGATTTTATTAATACCAATTAACACCAGACCTGTCCTACATGAAATGCTAAAGGGAGTATTTCAAACAGAAAGAGAAGGACTTTAATGACCAATAAAATAATCAACTGAAAGTACAGAACTTACTAGTAATAGTAAGTTCACAGAAAATCACAGAATATTATAACACTATAACTGTGATGTGTAAATTACTTTATCCTAAGTAGAAAGAATAAATGATAAACCAGTCAAAAATAATAACTACAACTTTTCAAGACAGTATGTACAGTAAGATACACATGGAAACAACAAAAAGTTAAAAAGTGGGGGGGAAAAGTTAAGGCATATAATTTTTATTGTTTTTCTTTGTGCTTGCTTGTTTATGCAAATAGGTTTAAGTTCTCAGCAGGTTAAAATAGTGGATTATAATATAGTATTTTCAAGCCTATAGTAACCTCAAACCAAAAAATATACAATGGACACACACAAAAAAGCAAGAAACTAAATCATATCACTAGAGAAAATTATCTTCATTAGAGGAAGACAGGAAGAAAAGAAAAAAGAAAGAAGGCCACAAAACAAACAGAAAACAAACGAAATGGCAGGAGTAAGTCCCTACTTAACAATAATAACGTTTAATGTAAATCCACTACACTCTCCAATTAAAAGATATAGACTGGCTGAATGAATAAAAGAAAAACATCTGCTGATCTGTTGCTTACAAGAAACACACTTACCCTATAAAGACACACATAGAGTGAAAATAAAGGAATGGAAAAAGATATTTTATGCTAATGGAAACCAAAAATGAGCAACACCTGCTACATTTATATTGGACAAAGTAGATTTTAAGACTAAAACTATAAAAAGAGACAAGGAAGGTCATTATATAATGATAAAGTGGTAAATTAAGCAAGAGGATATAACAATTTTAAATATATATGCACCCAGCAGCACAGAACCCAGATATATAAAGGAAATATTATTAGAGCTAAAGAGAGAGATAAGCTCCAATTTAATAACAGCTGGAGGCATCAACCCCTTAATTACAACATTGGACAGATCTTCCAGGCAGAAAACCAACAAAGAAATATCAGATTTAATCTGCACTATAGCCCAAGTGGATCTAGCAGATATTTATAAAACATTTCATCTAAAAGCTGCAGAATATATATTCTTTTCTTCAGCACATGGATCATTCTCAAGGATAGGCCATACTTTAGGTCACAAAACAAGACTGAAAACATTTGAAAAAAACTGAAATAATACCAAGCATTTTCTCTGATCAAAATGAAATAAAACTGAAAATCAATAACAAGAGGAATTTTGGAGACTACACAAGTAAATGGAAATTAAACACGCTTCTGAATGTCCAGTGGGTCAGAAGAAATTGATAAGGGCATTGAAAAATTTCTTGAAATAAATGATAATGGAAACACAACATATGAAAACCTATGGGATAAAGCAAAAGCAGTATTCAGAGGGAAGTTTACAGCTATAAGTGCCCACACCAAAAAAGAGAAACAACTTCAAATGAACAATCTAGTGATGCATCTTAAAGAACTACAAAGGCAAGAGTAAACCAAACCAACAATTAGTAGACAAAAAGACATAATAAATATCTGCATACAAATAAATAAAATGAAAATAAAAAGGTACAAAAGATCAATAAAACAAAAAGGTTTTTTTGAAAATTTAAACAAAATTGGCAAAACTTTAGCCAGATAACTAAGAAAAAAAAAAAGAGAAGATCCAAATAAATAAAATTAGAAATAAAAAAGGAGACATTACAAAAATTCAAAAGGATCATACTAGGCTATTATGAGCAACAGTAAGCCAGCATATTGAAAACTCTATAATAAATGAACACATTCCTACATACATACAACCTGCCAAGATTGAATAATAAAGAAATCCAAAACCTGAACAGACCAATAACAAGTAATGAGATTGAAACAGTAATAAAGTCTTCCAATAAAGAAAAGCCTGTGACTTGATGGCCTCATTGATGACTTTTATCAAACATTTAAAGTAGAGCTAGTACAAATCTGACTCAAACTATTCTGAAAAATAGAGGAGGAGAGAATACTTTCAAACTCATTCTACTAGGCCAGTATTACCATGATACCAAAACCAACAACACATCAGAAACACAAAGAAAATCAAACTACAGGCCAATATTTCTGATAAATATTGATGCAAAAGTCTTCAACAAAATACTAGCAAACTGAATTCAACAACCCAATAGAAAAATCTTTCATCATGACCAAGTGAGATTTAACCCTCGGATGCAAGAGTATCTTAACGTATGCAAATCAATCAACGTGATGCATAATATCAACAGAATGAAGGATAAAGTCATATGATCATTTCAGTTGGTGCTGAAAAAGCATTTGATAACATTCAACATTCTTTCGTGATGATAACCCTCAAAAAACTGGGGATAGAAGGAACAAACCTCAGTATAATAAATGCCATATATGACAGACCGACAGCTAGTATCATACTGCCTATCTAAGCAGTGAACAAGGGGAACCTGTTGAACGGTTAGAGTGGGAGGTAATTGGATCATGGGAGCAAACTTCATTCTTTCTGCTCTCATGATAGTGAGTTCTCATGAGATCTGGTTGTTTAAAAGTGTGTAACACCTCCCACTTCACTCTCTCTCTCCTGCCACCATGTGAAGACATGCTGGCTTCCCCTTTGCCTTCTGCCATGACTGTCAGTTTCCTGAGCCTCCCCCGCCAAGCCTCCTGTATAGCCTGTGGATATGTGAGTCAAGCCTCTTTTCTTCATAAATTATCCAGTCTCAGGTAGTTCTTTACAGCAGTGTGAGAATGAACTAATACAGCCACATATCTCTGTTTCTCCAGGATTAGTCATTCATGCCTTATTTAATATGTTTTCCTGGATGGTGTTGATGCTAGTAGACGTTCTTTGGTGTCCGGACATTGAAAAGTCAGGTATTTATTGTAGTCTTCACTGTCTGGGTTTATTTGTAGCCATCCTTCTTGGGAAGGCTTTCTAGATATTTGAAATAACTTGGGTGTTGTGATCTAATTTGTATCTATTTTAGGGGGCACCCCAAGCCTAGTAATGCTGTGGTTCTTGCAGACTTATGGAGGTACTACTTTGATGATCTTGGACAAGATCTGGAAGAATTATCTGGATTACCAGGCAGAGACTCTTGTTCTCTTCCCTTCCTTTCTCCTAAACAAACAGATTCTCTGTCTGTTCTGAGCTACCTAAAGCTGGGGGTGAAGTGACACAAGCATCCCTGTGGCCACCACCACTATGACTGCACTGGGTCAGACCTGAAGCCAGCACAGTGCTGGGTTTTGCCCAAGACCTGCTGTAAGCACTCCCTGCCTACTGCCTATGTTTGCTCAAGGCCCTGTAATGCCACAATCAGCAGGTGGCATAACCAGCCAGGCCTGTGTCCTTCCCATTAGGACTGCAAGGTCCTCCAGGCTCCAGGTGGGTCCAGAGGTGCTGTCCAGGAGTCAGAGACTAGAGTCAAAACCTTAGAAGTCTATCTGGTGTTTATTATATTGTAGCCGAGCTGGCACTGAAACCACAAGATGCGGTCCTTCCCACTCTTCCCTCACCTTTTCAAAGGCAGAGGAGCCTCACTTCATAGCCAGTGCCACCTCAGACCATGAGGAGTACAGCCAGACTACCAGCCAATGTTCCCTTATGGTCCAATGCCTCTTAAGTCAACTTGTGGCATATGCTGCCTGTTCTGGGGCTCAACTTTCAGGGCAGTGGGATTCCCTCTGGCCCAGGACATGTCCAGAAATGCCACCCAATAGTCAAATCTTGGAAATAGGGCCCCAAGAGCCCACTTGGTACTCTGTGGCCATCCTGATAACTAAAGTGCAAAACAAAGTCTCCATTATTTTTCCCTCTGCTTTTCTCAAGCAGAAGGACTTTACCCCATAGCCATCACAACTGGTAATATGCTGAGTGTCACCTGAAGCCAGCAAGTCTCAGAGGCTCAACCAAGGCCCTTGATGTAGTACCTGAGTATCACTGCTGGTTATTCAGTGCCCAAGGGCTCTTCAGCTCTTCAGGTAGCAGGTGATGAATGCTGCCAGAACTGGGTCCTTTTCTTCAAGGCAGTGGGTTCCCTTCTGACCCAGAGTGTGTCTAGAAATGTCATCTGGGAGCCAGGCAAGATGACAGCCTCATGACTGTCCAGTGGCGTATCCTGCTGTGGCTGAGTTGGTATCCAAGATGCAAGACAAAGTCCTCCCCACTCTTCTCTCTCATCTCCTCAAGTTGAAGGAAGGGGTATCTTTTGGACCCATGAGCTATGCAGCCTGTGGTTAGGAGAGGGGTGATGCCAGCACGTCCTTGGCTTGTCACAGTATGTTTGTCCCCCAGTCCACTGTCTCTGGGCCTAGTTCAGTACTAGGAATTGCCTAAGAGTTGCAGTCCTTATGGCCTAGACTACCTTTCACATTTACTTTAAGACACAGAGTGCTATACCCTTCTGTGGCAAGGTTTGTAGGCACTCAAAATCCAACCACTGGGATCTGTGACTTCCCTCTGCCTATGGCTGGTTTAAATGCTTCCTCTGAGGGTGAATGTCAGTTGAATTTGGTCCAGTTTTTCTTTCTCCTCTTAGAGGACAGCACTGAGTTCAATACCTCACAATTGCTGTGTTCTCCTTCCCGCAGGTCCCAGAGAAGCTTTCTGCAGCAAGCTAGTGCTGCTGCCCGGAGGGTTGGGGGTGGGGCCACATCAGTGATTTCTGATTGTTTTTTTTCTATCTCTTTCTATCTCTTCAGTGCCTCTTTCAGTGATAAGAAGTTCAAACCAGGTACTGTGAGTGCTCACCTGATTTTTGGTTATGAAGGTGTTTTGTCTGTGTAGATAGTTGTTAACTTGGTCTCCTTGCATGGGAGGATGATCGGTGGAGCCTTGTATTCTGTGACTTTACTTCACTGGTCTCCTATATCCCAGCCTCTTTCTTTCTTTCTTTCTCTCTTTCTTTCTCTCTCTTTCTTTCTTATAGAGCCTTGCTCTGTCACCTGGCCTGGAGTGCAGTGGCACAATCTTGGCTCACTGCAGCCTCTGCCCCCTGGATTTCAGCAATTATCTTGTCTCAGCCTCCTGGGTAGCTGGGATGACAGGCACATGCCAGCATGCCTGGCTAATATTTGTTTTTTTAGTAGAGACGGGGTTTTGCCATGTTGGCCAGGCTGGTCTCGAACTCCTGACCTCAGGTGATCTGCCCCCCTCGTCCTCCCAAAGTGCTGGGATTACAGGCGTGAGCCACCACGCCTGGCTCAGCTTATTTCTTTAGTCACTCTAGTCAAAATGTATTTGTTTATTTGTTGCTTTAGTATTTTTTTTGTAGGGAAAAGGCAAAAACTCAGTCATTCATCATGTTCATAAACTTCCAATCTTGATTGGATAGTGTAAATAAAAGATAATTATTGGTTAAAAAATACAAATTAATGGTTTGTACGCATTTTTCTGACATAGTCATGGGGCCAGCTGTCTGTGCAGGCATACATTCGTGCAGCAGGTTGCTTGCTTCTGGGGCAGACTTGCCAGAAGCCAATCTAGGGTCAGTTACACCACTGTGCAAGATGGCATTTTCCTTGAGAGGTAAAGTGTCATGCAGGCTTAGACAGTGGGATCACGGCCATTCTGCTGGGTCTAGGTTTTGAGCAGCCAGGTTTGTTGTGCTTAAACCACCAATGTGAGTATGGTGGAATGACTGGAGTCTCAGGAATGGAGAGATATGACGGCTACTGGCAGCAGATCAGGACACACTGTGATTTGGTCCAGTTTCAAGATAGCACTGTGCCATGAGAGTTTGGGCCAAGAGGGTTGGGGGTATACAACATGAGCAAAGTAGTGGCATGAATTCCAGGAAGCTCTCCAAACTGGATCCAGGGCTCATGAGGACCGTGGGTTTGTCGTGTAATAAGAACTGCAAGTGTGTGCATCAATAATGAGGATGCTGGGAGCCTCCAGCTTATGTTTTCTCCACAATGAGAATCCCTTCTGGCTACAAGCTGATCCCAGCAGGGAAGATTAGATCCTGGAGATGGGAAGTTTCACTTCCCCTGTATGCTTGCTTTCATCCTGGGTTTCTGCGTCCCAGAAGAATTTTTCCATTCCTTTGTTGTACTTGGTTGTATTCCAGCTTATTTCTTCAGTCACTCTAGTCAAAAAATAATTGCTTATTTATTGTTTTGGTCTTTTTGGAAGGAAAGGGCAAGAGTCAGTCACTTCTAGTCAGTCATCCTTTTCATAAACTTCCAATCCTGATTGGTTAATTTAAATAAAAGGAAATTATTGGTTAAAAAATAGCATTGTAGATTAGTGGTTTATAAGCATTTTTCTCACTGCATCACAAATTCATTTGAGAATTTAATGATGGCCATATGTTCTCTCCTCAGAGAGAACAATTAACATTCACCCAATATTTTATATTTAGGTTTATAAAATTAATGGGCTGCCTGAAATACAGTGCCATCTTGGCCTGCCATCCAAAACTGCATTTTAATAGAAGTAAAACATTTCAAATAGGCACATAAAGCTTTTGAACATCAGATAAAGCTTTCAAGTTAAACTAAAAAAGAAGACCGTGCCTGTAAGTGGTAATTTCAGATAAAATAAACGTATCCTTCCTGCCAAAACATAAAGAAAAGCAAGTGTTATCCTCTGTGTAAGCAATCAAAGGTAGTGTCTATTCAAAATGAATTTTCCTGGCATATACTCCTGGAGTATGTCACAGAGTTTCCTCTGATTTGGGTCCCAGGGATCTGAATTTACTACAGAGATTAAAGACTGAAAATAGGCAAATCTTCTAAAATGAATACTAAAAATTTTAGAATGGTAATAATATTCTAGTTCCTTTATGTTTCATCTCTCATATAAAAAGTAGATGACAAAATATAGAATTTGAAAAACAAGATTAGGAAAATAACAACACTAGGAAAATACCATAGCATTTTTATAAAATATGTTACATTTGTTTTCACAGTCTTAGTTTACAGACAACTCTAAATATTTTTTCTACCATATCTTAGAATTGAAAATAAAAATTTACTCCACATGTATCATTTACTATGTGCCAGGCACAATTCTAAATGTTGGGAAGTCACCAAACAGTAAAAAAAATCCTTGTCCTGATGAATCTCATCATATAGCAGTGATGCGTGTAACAGATGGCATTAATAGTTCTCTTAAAAACAACTGAATGGAAATGTTATGCAGTTTGAACTTGGATCTCTTAATGATCCCACCTCAGATATATAATTCCATTACTTACAAAATATTAAACCTACTTTTGTGGACTTACACTTTTAATCGTTTTATTTTTAAATTTTCTTTCTTATTTTGTCATTTAATCAATTTGGTAATTTTGTAAGTGCTCTTTTTCTTAGTCTGTTACTGCTGCTATCAGAAAATACCACAGACTGGATAATTTATAAGCAACAAAAATTTCTCACAGTCCTTAACTCTATGAAGTGCAATATCAAGGCATCAGTTGGTTTGGTGTCTGGTGACAGCCTGGTCTGCATTTCCAAAATGGCATCTGTTGCTGCAACCTCTGGAGGGAATGAACTCTGTTTCCTCACATGGTAGAAGAGTAAATGAGCAAAGAGGGGCTAAGTTAGTTATCTCTAACCATTTTATAAGGCACTAATCCACTTATGAGGGCAGAGCCCTCATGACTTAATTATAATATGTCCACGAAGGCCACACCTCCTAATATCACCACAGTGGGGATTAAGTTTCAATACATGAATCTTGAAGGGTACACATTCAAATCACAGCAACAATAAATTTATTCATTTGGCCAAAGGAGGTTCCAAAACAGCAACAACCCCAGACAACAATAACAAGTGAGAAAATATAAATATTTTATTTCTAAAGCAAACACAATAATACGTGTTGATATCTTTAAAGTTAAATGTATATACTATGTTTTAGGTCTAATTTTTCCTAACTGTGCTTAAATGTTTTCCCATTTAGTTTAGTTAAGTACAGTTTCATAGACCTTTCATACAAATTTCCTGCCTTGGCATCTTTCTACTCTTTCATTGTCTTATAGTCCTTCCAGTTTATACAAAAGCCTTTTATTCTTCAGAACGAGATACAAATTCATTGATGTCAAGCAAGAAGGCACTGATGTTTATATTTTTTGCCTCACTACAGGCTGTTGGTATACTTAAAAACAAACAAACAAAATTTGTTTAACTATCTTTATATCCATATTCAGGGCATAATACCATAGCTGTCATCAACACAGATTTTTTAAAATCCAGCTATATTAAAGCATAATTGAGATAGAATAAACTGAACATACTTAAAGTGTACAATTTGTTAAGTTTTAACATTCATATACAGTTGTGAAGCCATCAAAATAATGAATATGTATTTATCTTCCAAAAGCTGCCATACATCCATTGGACCACTGGAATTCCTCTCAGATTGCCCTCCAACTCATCCCCATTTAACTGCTGATCTGTTTACCACAAAACATTAAGTTACATTTTCTAAAATTTTGTATAAACAGAATCACAAATTGCCAACACTGTTTCGTTTGGCTTTTTTCACTCAGTATGTACATCAATCATTGTTTTTACTGTTTAGTAGTATATCAGTGTATGGACATACCACAATTCCTTTACTGCTCCCAGTTTTTGTTTATTACAAATAATGCTATTTTGAACATCTGTCGACAATCTTTGTATGAACATTTGCTTTCAATTCTCTTTTGGGTAAATACTACAAGAGGAATGATTAGATCATACGTTGTAAGTTACATTTAAATTTTTAAGAAACGATCATACTTTTTCTAAAGTTGTTCCATTTTACGTTTCCATCAGTAGTGTTTGAAAGTTATGGTCACTCCCTATCTTTTCCTACACTTAGGCTAGTTTTACTATCGCAATAGGTGTATACTAAGTTTAATTCTGATTAGTTTACATATTCTTATTGACTAATGATGGCATCTTTTCATGAGACTATTTGCCAATTTATCTTTTCATGTACCTATTTGCCTACTTATCTTCTTTGATGAAGTGTCTGTTGAAACCTCTTGCCCATTTATTTGTAAATTATTTTTTGTGATTGAGCTTTAAAAATAATGTATACATTCCAGATCCAACTCTTTTATCAGATATGTGATTTGCAAATATTTCTCCCCAGCCTGTGGCTTGTCTTTTATCCTTTCAACAGTGTCTTTCGAAAATAAGTTTTAAGTAATAAGTCTCATTTAGCCATTTTTCTGAGTCATGCTTTTGGTTTCATGTCTAAAAAAATATAACTCCAGTCACAAACATGTTCTCCTGTTTTCTTCTAGAAGTTTTATAGTTATAGTCATAAAGTCTAAGTATTACATACAATGTATAGGCATATAATCCATTTTCAGTTAATTTTATATATGTAGACTTCAATCACAATTTCAGTCTATTTTTCAATTATGTCTTCTACCAATTATGCTGCTGATTTGGTTTAATATGTAGTCCGTAGTTTGGAACACTAAGATCAATTAGACAGAGAGCTTATCAATATAACTAAACAACACTTATGTTTAGTTTTAAGTCACTAAGAATCAAAGCACTTGCAACTTTTTAGTAATCTTACAACTCATATTATTAGCTAGCCTCTTGATAAAGTTGCTAACACAGTCACTATTTGATTGTTGATTACTCTTTTTCTGTCTGGCAGGATTTTTTTTTCCAATTTTTAAAATAATTGAATAATTCATTGTAATTAAATAATAACAAAGCGGAATTATTGATGGAGCAGGAGCTTCACCATCTTGGACAAGCACGACCATTTTAAAGTTCCCCTTGATCAAAAACTGCCTAAATCCAACCCAAAGGGCATCAGGCTAATGGGTAATGTCAGCATGACCATAAACCAAAAATGACACCTCTGACCAGAAACATTCCAATCCTAAGATAAACCCCTCCCCAACCAAGGACATGCCATTCCCAAGATAACCTCCTCTCCAACCAGAGAGATGTCAGCCCCAAGATAACCTTCCTTCTGACCAGAGACATTCCAACCCTGCAATAAACTTCTCCTCCACACAGAAACTTTCCAAGCCTGTGATAAGACCTCTCGCCCTAAACCCTTAAATTCTCTTAGTCTGTAAGAGAGAGTGCTCCTGACTGAAATTCTCCAGAAGCCCCTCTCATGCTAATTCTCCAAAATAAACCTGTCTTTGACTGTTGAGCCGCTTTTCATGTTTCTTTCCTCTTTCCTTAACTCTTACAATTATATTCTGCTTTCATTAGCTTTCTAATCCTATACTAGAAATAATTTTAGTTTTATAACTTAGAAAGCAATAGACAACTGAAGATCATTCTAGAGAAATGTACTGAGGAACAACATACTGAAATCAAAATATAGAGATTTGATATACAGATTTAGCAGTCATTTTCTTTGTGTTCTAGGACAAAACGCTTTGTTCTTTTAAATTTCCTTCCTCATAGGTGGAAAAAAATTATGAAATTGTTTAGGAATAGTAATAGAGTTAATATTGTACATGAACTGAAATTCTACTTCCTATCAAGATAAACAATTACTCAAGATATGCTTATGTCTTCAATTCTGGTTATTTTACATAATGTTGATTAGGTCATATTTTTGTTTTAAACTATCGCTTTTTTATGATTATCTGTGCAGGGATTTTTGTGTTTTTTTGTTCTTGCTTGTCAATCATATAAGAAAAGAAGATTCAGTGGCTCACGCCTGTAATATCAGCACTTTGGGAGGCCGAGGCAGGAAGATCATGAGGTCAGGGGTTCAAGACCAGCCTGGCCAGCATGGTGAAACCCCATCTCTACTAAAGATACAAAAAATTAGCCGGGTGTGGTGGCATGTGCCTGTAATCCCAGCTACTCGGGAGGCTAAGGCAGGAGAATTGCTCGAATCCAGGAGGTGGAGGTTTCAGTGAGCCAAGATCACGCCACTGCACTCCACGGGGTGACAGGGCGAGACTCCATTTTGAAAAAAAAAAGATTCAAAGACTCTAAGTCCTATAATAGTAAGATTAGGGAGTATAACGGGAGCTAAGGATTTGTTCCATTTGGAACAAATCTTACTAGAAAGTCTTCCCAAATATGAGCAAACATTTATCTGAAGAGAAGAAAATCAACTTAGTGTATCTCATGTTACATAACTGTATATTTGGACTATTAGGATAAACAAGTTTAAGATAAGAATAGACTCTGAAGCTGGGCATGGTGACTCACGCCTGTAATCCTAGCACTATGGGAGGCTGAGGCAGGTGGATCACGAAGTCAGGAGTTCAACACCAGCTTGGCCAAGATGGTGAAACCCCATCTCTACTAAAAATACAAAAATTAGCCAGGTGTGATAGCACATGCCTGTAATCCCAGCTACTCAGGAGGCTGAGGCAGGAAAATCGCTTGAACCAGGTGGCGGGGAGCGGGCAGAGGTTGGAGTGAGCTGAGATGGCGCCACTACACTCCAGCCTGGGCGACAGAGTGAGACTCTGTCTCAAAAAAAAAAAAGAAAAAAGATAGCATAAAACTGGATAATATTTTCAAGGAGAAGTTAAGGCCTAGCAATATATTTTACAAATCCTTCAGGAAGATCAAATAGTATTCTGTCTATTTGAGACTGAATAGCTGTTTCAGAAAGGGAGCTATGATTTTCTTTCTCCTAGTTGCATACGCTGGAATTTGAGGGATGCGAAATAGAAGCCTGGGAGATTCTCTGTGATAGGAAAACATTGAAATCTGCCAGTCAGGTTAGTGAGTTGGTGTGTAGCACTCTATAGATATATTATTTGACTTAAAAATAACCTTATCAAGATGCTTCTGGTTCTTAGGTATGATAGCCTACAATCTCTACCCTGTCTCTTCCCATGAGTCCAATTACAAACTTGACAGAATTCATGAACAGCTATATGCAGACTCTCAGAAGTTATTTGCAGGAGGCTTAGGGAAGTAAAGAATTTGAAGCACTACAAAGCTTACAGAGATCCTCTCTTGTTCCTCACCTACCCTTCTGATATCTCCATGCCTAAATCCAATGGCAGTCCAAAACCTGGCAGGTAGGAACTGAAGAGCTTTAAGTAAAATTCCCACTTACTGGATTCAAAAATCAGGAAGTTAGACTTTTAAAGGTCAGAGATTAGCAGAAATCATCTTTTTTCTTTCTTTCTTTTTTTCCTCCCTCAGATCTCAGGCAATCATATAGTGGCATGTGTGGCAATGGTGACAATGCAGTAGTGACAACCTAACATGCTGAAAAAGGAGCACCCTTTTCTCTGACCAGAAGAGCTCGGCTACTAAGAACCTGGGCAAATCTCTATTGCTTGTCTTGTGTCTTTCCACTACTTAGCTCTAGAAGCAGACAAAATTATAGGAAGTGTTCAGTAAAGGATGAAAAAAAGTCCCAGCTTTCTAGACAGACGACTATATGAAGGAGGCTCCAGGGAGCTGAGTAATTTTAGGGACGTTGCAGAGGAGGGAGCTCAAAAGTGCAATGTCACAAAGTGACGTATAAAATTCTGGGCGCAACCTCGAAGCTGCATATCTGTTGATCTTACACCAAACATTATATTTTGATATTGAACCAAACTGAACAATGGATTAGACTAGGAATCAGCAAACTTTTTTTTTTTTTCATGAAAGTTCAGATAGAACTATTTTAGACTTTGTGGGACATATGGTCTCTGTTGCAACTGGTCAATTCTGCCATTGCAGCACGAGAGGAACCATAGACAGCAAGTAAATGAATGAGCATAGCTTGTGTCAATACAACATTTTATTTGCATAAATAGGCAATGGGCCAAATTTCAACCATGGTTTATTGTTTTCATTATCCTGAGATGTATTTCTGCCCAGGTCCAGGTCTAAATGTAGCAGTATATCAATTCAATATAACTGCAGAAAAATTATTCATCTATCATTCCTCCAAAATTATAAGTACAACTTAACCTAGAGTAGATTACATACTCAAATTTTTAGGTAATGAATAAATCAACTATGAGTCACTCAAATGTTAATAATAAATCCATTTGTATTACATTCCCAAAGTTCCTGGCTTTCTATAAGCTGTTTATTTACTAAAGAGGTTAGAAACCATTACTATCCAGGGTAAACCACTAATTAAAGGTTAAAAGTCCATTTGCATGCTATGACCTGTGCCTTAGGAGGTTACTTTTTTCTTTCAAGAGTATAGGAAGCACCCAGTTTTAGAAAATGTATGCAGGCAAAAATATATTTAACCCTTTAAAGACATAGCTCTTTGTGTAATTATTTCCTGAAACCAGTTAAATTTTAATACCTATTGATTAAAGTGTCTGATACATGTTTTTATTCATCTATTAAAATGTCTGATATTCAAGCTCTGGTGAATCTGCATTTTAAATAAACATCTCACATATTTTAATGGAGATATTTTTTGCACTTAAAAAAAAACACTGTTATAAAGTCCAAGATAAAAATTTATTCCATGTGGAGGAAAGGGAACTCTTGTACATCATTGGTGAAAATGTAAATTAGTACAGCCATTATGGAAAACTTTATGGAGCGTGGTAAAAGAGCTAAAAATAGATTTATATGATCCAGCAATTTTATTTCTGAGTGTAGACCCAAAAGATCTGAAATCAGTTTGTTGAACAGACGTCTGCACTTCCATATTCATTGCAGCACTATTCAAATTAGCCAAGTTATGGAAACAATCTAAATGTCCATCAACAGATGAATGGATAAAGAAAATGTGGAGCATATACTATTCAGCCTTAAAAAAGAAGGAAATTCTGTCATTTGTGACAATGTGGATGGAAATGGAGAATGTTATGCTAAGTGAAATAAGCCAGGCACGGAAAGACAAATATAGCATGTTCTTACTTATATGTGGAATCTAAAGTAATCAAACTCACAGATATAGAGAATAGAATGGTGGTTACAGAAGCTAGGAGTTGGCAAGAATGGGGAAATAATGATCACAGGTTCCAAAAGCTCTGTTAGATAGGAGGAATATGTTTTTATTGTGAGATCTATTGCACAGCATGGTGAATATACTTAATAATATTGTATGGTATGTTTCAAAATTACTAAGAGTATATTTCAAATGTGTATACTACAAAAATAATAAATATTTGAAGTCATAGATATGTTAGCTTAATTTAAATATTCCACATTGCATTAATAAGTCATAACATTACTCTATACTCCATAAGTATATGCAATTATAAATTGCCAATTAACAATAAAATAACAATTAAAAAGATTTATTCTAGCTAAGAAATTGCATGGTTGGAGTTTTACTCTTCCTTAAAATTATAATAATTTTTTTTCTAAATTAAAATAAGAATAGGACAATATTGAATGATACCTTAAAAGTTTTACATTTAGAAGGCTTTTGGAAAATGTGACTAACATGAACTGTAGGTATTATGAGACTCTTCTTGCACTGGAAGCCTAATTGAAACCAAAAGAAGTCCTTAGGATGAGACGGGTTAAAAAACAAAAGACGTCTTGGTTATTTGGACATAAAGATACTGGGTAACTGAATTCTGTGGGATTCTTGCCAGAAAGATTAAGACACTATAAGCCCAAATTATTAAGAAGGCCTTTACTCTTTGATTATTGTTTCCATTTTTCACAGAAATATGTCTGTTAGTTGAACAAGGGATAAATTCACACACATCATGAAAGCCTTATGATAGCTCCTATAGTGTAGACTAATATAATTCAAAGGAAAAAAATAGGTGAATTCATTATTAGTGACCCTGGCTAAGAGATTTGTTATCTAAAAACTACGCATAAACTTTAATGGAATGCCAACATTGTTGGCTATACTCTCGAGTTATACTCAAAATTTGATCACTTTTTACCACCTTTATTGCAATCAACTTATCAAGACATGTCTCTGTCTCAGATTAATACAATAACTCTTAACTAATCCACTTATTTCTTCTTTCGATCCCTTACCCTCATCCATTCTTAAAATTGCATCTATAGTGACCCTGTTAAAAAGACAAATAAGATCTTATTATTCTTCCAATGATCAGCATTCACTGGCTTGTTAGTTTCCTCAAAGGACAAAGACCTCAGTATGGTTTACTGAGCTCTGTGTAATCTGGTCCCCTGCTTACCTATTTGGCAATCTGCTTTTCTTGTCTCCACTCATTTACCTCCAACCCTACTGGCCTCCTTGCTGATTCAAATTTTCAGAGTTGCTCTTTTCTTGCTTCATATTCACATGATTAACTCCTTTTCCTCTAGGTCTTTTTTTCAAAAACCACCCTCTTAAGTGAGGCTGTTTTTGAGAGAGCACTCTACCCTAGACTGCAACCATTTACCATTTTCTATTCCTTTGTCCACTTGTGTTTTCCTCTTTATTATTTATCCTTACCGATCAAGCAGTTTGTTGCCTCGAAACAGTATCTAAGGGCTTTAAATGAACTCTTTATTCCCGCAGTTTTTTTTTTTTTCAAAAATAAGATGGCCTTTCCTTGGAGTCCCATAAATAGATTTCCTCTCATATCTCATTAACTACTAATTGATTATATGCCTCTACCTAAGCCAATCATTAGCAAAGAAATAGCATTACCATGCTAACTCTCTCTAGGCCACTTGTTATTAATCATATCTGCATTTAGGAATCACATGAGGATTTTTTCAGTTACAAATTATTGTGACCCAGCTTAAAATAAGTAAATCAGAATCTCTCAAGTGAGGGCCTAGAAATTATTAATTTTTAAAATCATTTAGGTCATTACCACTTGCAGTCAGGTTTGAAAAACAATGGTCTGGCCGGGCGCGGTGGCTCACGCCTGTAATCCCAGCACTTTGGGAGGCCGAGGTGGGAGGATCACAAGGTCAGGAAATCAAGACCATCCTGGCTAACACGGTGAAACCCTGTCTCTACTAAAAAATAGAAAAAAACGGGCGTGGTGGCGGGCGCCTGTAGTCCCAGCTACTTGGGAGGCTGAGGCAGGAGAATGGCATGAACCCGGGAGGCGGAGGTTGCGGTGAGCCAAGATCGCACCACTGCACTCCAGCCTGGGCGACAGACCGAGATTCTGTCTCAAAAAAACCCCACACAAAACAGTGGTCTATCTCTGGATGATGCAGGGACTGGGTCAGATTTCTGGCAGATGGGGTATAAGTATATGAACAACATATAGGTCCTGTCAGAATTAGAGGAGTGGGGCAGAGGAAACAAAAAATGAATAAGCACTCAAAATGTTTGCTACATAGAATTAATTTTTAAATCTTGTACAATTTTAGAATAATATAAAAAGTGGAAATGGATTTTTAAATTCTTGAATCTGAATACATTGAGAATTCTGCTTGATCCAAACTAATGATTCTATTCTGTTTATTAGCATATATTTATAGATCCTGAAGCATGCCAAAGTTACTATACAAACAGGCTTCTGGCCTTCAGAAAACCTTCTGAACATCATTTGAAGCTTTAGAATGTTCTTCTTACACAGAGAACTATCCTGCTCTATTACACTTTGGCACTTTGGTACCGGTAATGACCAATTATTTTCACTTTCACTGTTTACCTACCGTGTGACTGACCTTTTGAAAATCAAGAAAAGTAGTTAACCTCTTACTATACCTCTTACAGATGAAAGCTTCTTTTAATCTTATTTTCAATAGGCTTTCTGCTGCAGGCTTTTTTAGCCAGTGGGTTGACCACAAAGATTCCTCAAGGCAATTCCTCAAAATTACAAATATAATTCTCATTTCTGTGTGATGCAGATGAATCCTAGTTATAAAACATTTCAGTGTCCTCATCATCAGCAGAGCTCGCGGAAGGCTCTAGGGGAATCTTAAGAAGGTTATTGATAATATTTCCTAATGTGTAGAGGTTCCTTGCTCCGGTTAGACTCAGCAAGATTTAAACATGCGTACTTTTGTTATGAAGACAGCAAGAAGGAGATCTACAAGGTGGAAGATAATTAAAATGCATGCTAGGTAACTGGGCATACAAATTTTTAATAGCTAATTGTTTGAAGCTTAAGGTTGTTGTTAACAAAAACATCATTACTTGTTCATGTTCCTCATAATGTTCAGTATTTAGTAAGTCCAAGTAATTGCAAATTTCAACTACTAGTGGTGTTTTCCCTAAAGCATTAACTTACATATTTGGGAGTCCTTCTACTGCAAATAAGGATATCTTATAAAAACAAGAGTTTATTCCTTAGTTACCTAATTTCTTACTCAGATGACATTGACAATTTAAACAGTAAGGGAGACACATTTGTTATTTTATATTCTGTAACCTGAGTACACAAACTATTTAAAAATTTTAAATTATTCCCATGGCCACAGAAAAATAAATTAGCTTCCTGGGTCTGTAAGGTTAAGACTGTCTCTGTTTGGAGTCCACTATTAGGAACCTCCATGGCCCCAAATTTTAGCTGTGCACTAAACAGTCTTCAGCTGTAATTGGGAGAGGTTTTTTTCCCCAGATAAATAGGAAAGAAAAGAGCAAATGAAGAGAAGGAGGAGAGAAGACTGTCTGAGACCCAGTAATCTCCTCCAAATTAGAGTGTGAATTCAGGTCAAGACATTCTAAACTCAACTTTCTGAATTATGTGCATATTAGAAGGAAAGGCTGATGTGATTGCTAATATGGATAGTAGCAATGGAGTTTTGCAAAATTAGAATAAATATTGAGAAGAATTACTGTGGCATTTTAAATTTAGAATATATGAATTATACACACATGCAAATGTGAATATATGTAAATGTATATGTGGAGACATATATAGATGTGGATATACATATTTTTTCAAACACATTTTAATAAAATACATGTATATATATATATGACCACACATTCACACACACATATGCATATATAAACACACAATTTCATCTTTTAATATACAAATTACACATACTGTATACACATATGAAATATTGTTAGGATGTGTGTGTATGTATTCAGTTAATGTAGGATAAAAACATTTTTAGGCTACAAAACTCTCAACCAATATTATTTAAAGAACATACAAAGTTCTACAGCATCTTACATAATATTCCTGCTTGCAAAAATTTAAAATCAGTTTTGCAAAATAGAGCATGAAACAAAAATAAATTGTGATCGTATTTTAACAACTATGAACATGAACTATACAGACTTGAGTTTGAATCCTTAGCCTTGAAGCTGTGTGACCCTGGATGATTTATTATTTTATTGATCTTTAGTTTTCTCATCCACATAACCATTTTATCTACCTTTCCTTTGTGGATAAAGTACATACCTCAGCACTGAAATATAGCAAATTCTCAGTAGATACGAGGCCATTATTTAAATGGTAGTAGAATATACAACAACTAATATTAACAGAGTATGCTAAAAAAGTCATACTAAATGACCAAATAATCATTCTTGCAATTTGGAGAAGAACGCAAGCATTTCATGCTGGTATTATCAAGGAAGTCTGGGAAGAGATGGGAATTGAGTTGAGACTTGAGAATTGTTCATTTGTAGTGAAAAATGTGGGAGGGAATGACTACCCACATCGTATCAAAGCAGATGCATACATACATTCTTTTATTTTTATCCCTGAAACCATCCTATGATACAGGCACTATTAATTTAGTTTTACAGATGAACAGCTCCAAAGCTCAAAGATATTAAATTATTTGTCCTCTTTTCCAAGACTGAATGTAATAGGGCTTAGATTTCAATCAACACTGTGTGATCCCAAAGTACCTGCTCTTTTCACAATTGCATTATAATCCTTCTTAAGCCAATCAGAACAAAGCATTCTGGAAAGTGAATGAATGCAAATATCATTACAGAGAGATGCTGTGGCCATTTACAGATGACTTACTGAGGAATCCAGACTGTGAGCTGAGCTGGCTACAGAAGGATTTGAAGTGTTCTCTGAAGGACAGATAAAACTTAAATAGAAAGGATAAATATTGAACAAACATGTAGGCTCAGGACTGTGAAAAAATTTTTTACATGAAGCAAGAAGTATATATATAGTGAGAAGGAGAAAATGAGTTGAAAATGTATTCTGAGCCAGCATTCTATAGGGTTTGAATGCCAAAGAAAGGAGGGTGTAGTTTAACCAATAGGTTGCAGAAAGCTAAAAGAAAAAAAAAGAAAAAGAAAAAAAAAACTTTTGGAATAGAAGAATAGCAATAAGAAAGTGGTGTTTGGGAAGATCTATTTGAAAATGTAGGAGGACAAAATGACAAAGAAACACTGGAGGTAGTCTGATCAATTACTTTTACACTGTTGGTGGGACTGTAAACTAGTTCAACCATTGTGGAAGTCAGTGTGGTGATTCTTCAGGGATCTAGAACTAGAAATACCATTTGACCCAGCCATCCCATTACTGGGTATATACCCAAAGGATTATAAATCATGCTGCTATAAAGACACTTGCACATGTATGTTTACTGCGGCACTATTCACAACAGCAAAGACTTGGAACCAACCCAAATGTCCAACAACGATAGACTGAATTAAGAAAATGTGGCACATATACACCACGGAATACTATGCATCCATAAAAAATGAAGAGGTCATGTCCTTTGTAGGGACATGGATGAAACTGGAAACCATCATTCTCAGCAAACTATCGCAAGGACAAAAAAAACCAAACACCATATGTTCTCACTCATAGGTGGGAATTGAACAATGAGAACACATGAACACAGGAAGGGGAACATCACACTCCGTGGACTGTTGTGGCATGGGGGGAGGGGGGAGGGAAAGCATTAGGAGACATACCTAATGCTAAATGACGAGTTAATGGGTGCAGCACACCAACATGGCACATGTATACATATGTAACAAACCTGCACATTGTGCACATGTACCCTAAAACTTAAAGTATAATAATAATAAAATAAAATAAAATAAAAAGAGACTTTAAAATTGGCTTAACAATGGGTAAGGGCGTGACACAGGGGCCCTAAGAAAATAAATGTGTAGTACACATTAGCTAGAAAGAGTACACTAAACTTTGTGTTTGATTGGTCATGGATTAGAGTTCCAGGAAAGCCAACAACAAAAACTACAAATATATTATATTTACAATAAATGATATAAATGAAATAGAGAATGGCTAATTGTGTCAGTGAAAAACTATTTCATTCAAGATGAGAACACAGTTTTTTGAGTTAATATATTTGAGGTTTGAAATGACAATAGAAAATAATATAAAGTGATAAAAATACCTATTCAATTATTTATTTTACAGCATCTACTACATTTCAACAATGTGGAAAATCACTATTGTAATGGACAGAGTTACAGTGGCAAATGAGATTTTTTTATTGTTGCTTTCTTGTTTCTGCCTTCATCTATCCCATCAAGGAGCATATGTGAGGGCAAAGATACACAATAAAATAGCATGGATTACTAAAATTAAATGTTATTAAGAAATTCAAGAGGATTATAGAATACAGAGTCATTAGAGATTGCGTGAGTTATTTTAGCGGAACCATGAAAGCCTTTTTCAAGAAATAATCTTGACCTGATTCCTAAGGATAAGAAGGGATCATCCATTCAAATAACATGTGGAAAAGCAGTTTGATCTAAGGTCATCGCAGGTATAAAGACCCTAAATCTGGAAACAGGGACAATGTTGCCAGAGAACAATAATTATTGAGGAATGGATAAATGGGGACTGAATAACATAGAGCTATGGAAATTAACTAAAGAGTCTAGGTGTTATTTTAAGTTCAAGGAAGCTATTGACGAAATTTAAGTAGAGTAGTGCTGTGACTTTATCACAGATCACACTGTTTTCTACAAAGAGAGAAAAGTGGAAATAGAGGTATAGTGTGGAGATACTGCATTTAGTGCAGAGAAGCAATGACGATGGCTTGGACCGAAAGGCTGAAAATTGAGATGATAATAAAAAATGAAAAGATTTGAAACATACATTGAGGTTAAAAATGATAAACTGATGGAACTGATTGTGGGAGATGAGATAATTTGAAGATTAAAGATAATGTTTACTTTTTTGTTTATATTTGTTTGTTTAGGCATCAGAGGGTGATGCCATTTAGTGAGATAAGGAAGGGTAAAAAATGGAATTTTATGAAGAAATATTGTAAGTGTTATATGTGTGTGTGTATGTTTATAAAATATCTGATAATCCAGTCATACTAAGCACTATTCAATGGAAAAAATATAAAATAATCTAATAACATTGTAGAATCATATTTGTCAATTATCTGCAGATATTAATGCAAGATATTTTGTTCAAACTTCTTTTAGTAATTCTGGTAATTGTTGATTTTCTTTTACAAAGATTAAGACAGTAAACATAAAAAATTTAAATTAATACTAGAATAATTTTGTGAGATTCACTCATCTCCAGTTCTCAGGAAGAGAAGGAAATGAGAAGCATGGAGTAGCTGAGTATAGTATGTGTCACCATTGGTTCTCACAGCATTTTCCACTTCACCAAAAGAAACGAAATCAGGAAATCCAATTTTACAAAATCTGAATGCAATGGTGAAGTTTCTGAAATTCACCATATATGTATGCTGTAACGAATTTTTCAGAAATTAAAACCACACATTTTAAATCACTGAAAATTCAATGTTCCATTACATTTCACTGTTGATAGAAATATAGACTAAATTTTAAAAACCAAAATTATATTTTTTTCCTTTTGATGAATTTTGGGGGAGTATTAACCCAAACTAGGCCAGTATCTCAGGCTATCAACACATGAAAAACACCTACAAATGTGATGTGTTTGAAAAATTAATATATATATATATTTTGAGCGGAGTCTTGCTCTGTCACCCAGGCTGGAGTACAATGGCTCGATCTTGGCTCACTGCAACCTCCCATTCCTGGGTTCAAGCAATTCTCCTGCCTCAGCCTCCCAAGAAGCTGGGATTACAGGTACACATAACCACTCCAGGCAAGAAAAATTAATATTTTTACATAAGCATCAAGAAGTATCTTTCCCTAGGAACATCATTTTCTTTATTAATTCACAGATGGAAAATTAGAATTAATTTATACAAATAATGTTTAGTAGTTTTTAAATATCATCATGTATATCCCAGATGTACATTGAGGTTAGTTTTATAAAAGACAACTACTGTATAATTGCTTATATCCATACTGAAGGAAAAGAACTATGGTCACACAGTAAAAACAGTTATGTCTAAATCATGTTTTAATTGATTATTATAATGGAAAATCAACTAAACAATTACCAAAACATATAATATTCTATTCTTCTGTATATTTCAATTCAAAAGTCCATTCAATTTTTATTGGTCTCAATGTTTAACCACATATCCTAAAGGACCTGACCATTCTACACAATAAACATTTTTAAATATTGTAATTAACTCCCTTCACTTTTCAAACTGTTGCATTGAATACAGACAAATATTCTCTGTTCATGGCTGTAGACACATTTAGTCCAACATGAGTAATTTTGTTTTATGTAAATCATATGGCAAAAGATCATTTTTTAAAAATGGGAATATGTATGACTCAATTTTATTTAAATCGGCCTCCTCCAGCTTCTCCTCATTAGAAAAAAAAATACTGTTTTAACCTACATTTTGCTCTTCCACTGTATTTCTTATTAACAAGGTGATAAGAATGAACACCCAGGAACCCAATCCTAATAGTGGTTGGTACAGTGGTAGCAATCGTATTTACAGAATTTCTCCTCCATAAAATAAAATTTATTGCACAATATGCTCTGCATATTTTGTTATATTGTGTGTAGATTATTTTTAAAAAGAAAGAGAGAGATGTCACACTGAGGCTCAGTAAATATACTTGAAAGGCTGGCACTTAGTTCTCAATTATTAAATGAGATCCTACTATGTGTTTGGATACAAAGAAAGGATAAGACAATGGCAGTGTGCACATATCACCTGTCAGGCTATTTAACCTTATCTAATCTTTACTGCAACCTACCAGTTGCTTATCATTTTTTTCATTTTACTAACCAAAACCATGATAGCATGGCTGATATCTGGCATATTAGTAGGAGACAGAAAGCATGAATCTGATAACTTGATCTCTGGCTTGTAAGTCCACAGTTATTATTCTAGAATTTTATTCTATTCATTGTTCAATGGCTTTAGCAGCTTGACTTCTACTTTACTTTTTACTTCTAAAGTTTTTTTTTTTTTAAATAGAAAGTTGTCTAGAATTCTAGTCTGCTCAGGTAGGAGACTTATCTCTCACTATTATCTACACCTTTACTTTGTTTTAGACTACCCAGTTCCAGTTGTTGATCTACACGGCAAAAAAAAAAAAAAAATATTAAACAACTTTATAGTTTGCTCATTAGACTGACAAGATAGACTGTACATTAAGCATGAGATTTAGAAAAGATTGTACTAGAATTTTATCAATTAACATAGGCAACGTGAAAAACAAAAAGAGAAGAAAAAGAGGAGTGTCTGTTGCCAATTTCACATAGGACTCAAGTCTTGGTTCAAAAAATTCTTTACTCTTGACCTGAGTTACAAATCATCCTCAAGTTTTCCTTTTACCAGAGGAGAAGGCTCCAGCCTAAGGGTCAGATAATCAACAAACTTGGAAAAGAGTAGGGGAAAGTGTTGGCTCTTCTCTTACTACATTGCTGAAAAACCAGTCTATTAAGTTAATTATTGTGTTTCAACAAATCTTCATTAATAAAGAGTCCTGTAATTTTATTTTTATTTTATATAATTTTATAAAACACATTCAACTAGGGAAATTAAGAAAATACCAAATCATATGAGTTAAATACATTTGTATCTATAGTTCAAAATTAATCTCCAACAATACTGTTGCTTCAAAAACAACAACAACAACAACAAAAACAACAACAACAAACTGGACCAAAGAAGGCATACAAAGACAAAGATGTATGTGAAAAGATGATCAACATCACTAATCATCAGGGAAATACAAATCAAAACCACAATAAAATTTCACCTCACAACTTCACACCTGTTGGGATGGCTATAATCAAAAAGTTAGAATATAAAAAGTGTTAAAAATATACAGAAAAGAGATTCTTTGTAGACTGTTGGTAGAAACATAAATGAGTACAGCCATTATAGAAAAATCTATGGAGGTTCTTTAAAAAATTAAATATAGAATTACCACATGATCCAGCAATCCCACTTCTGGACATATACCCAAAGGAATTATATCACTGTCTTGAAGAGATATTTGTACACCCATGTTCAGATGTTTATTGCAGCACTATTGACCATAGCTAGGATAAAGACTCAACCTAGGTGTCCATCAGTAGATGAATAGATAAAGAAAATGTGGTATATATACACAATGGAATACTATTTAGCCATTAAAAATAAGGAAATTCTGCCATTTACAACAATACACGTGAAGCTGGAAGACATTATGCTAAGAAAAATAAGCTAGGCATAGAAAGACAAATATTGCATGATTTTATTTAGATGTACAACTTAAAACAAAACAAAAAAAGTTGAACTCATAGTAACAGAGCGTAGGATGGTGGTGACCAGGGTCTGGGAGGTGAAAGAAATGAGAAGTTCTAAATACCTAATGTATAGCATGATGAGGATAGTTAATAGCAAAGTTTTATATACTTGAAATTTGCTAAGAAAGTATATCTCAAGTGTTCTTACTACAAAAAATGGTAACAATGTGAGGTGATGTATATATTAATTTTTTTTTTTTTGAGACGGAGTCTTGTTCTGTTGTCCAGGATGGAGTGCAGTGGCACGATCTCAGCTCACTGCAAGCTCTTGCTCCCTGGTTCACACCATTCTCCTGCCTCAGCCTCCTGAGTAGCTGGGACTACAGGCACCCGCCACCACAACTGGCTAATTTTTTTGTATTTTTAGTAGAGACAGGGAGGGTTTCACCGTGTTAGCCAGGATGGTCTTGATCTCCTGACCTCGTGATCCACCCGCCTCGGCCTCCCAAGGTGCTGGGATTACAGGCATGAGCCACTGCGCTTGGCCTATATTAATTTTTTAAACCTGAATAATTTCATTTAATTTGTGATTTTTTGGATATTATAAACTCACATTTGTTTTTATGCATTAATTATAAGTTACTAAAAATGAACTAATGAAACAGCAAGTAAATAAAGTGCCATACTAATTTATTGATTCAACAAATACACCACTGATTATCTTATAGATTCTCGAAATCTTTTTAGACATTGGGGATATGAAGCAGGAAAATACAGACAATTCCTATTCTGAAGAATAGTAGAGACAATAAGCAAACAAATTAATATATACACATGTCATGTAAAAAGTATTATGAGGAAAGTAAGGCAAACTAAGACAAATAGTATGTGACAAGGGGAATGCCAGCTGCTAGTTTATCTATGCTACTCAGGGAAGGCTTCTGTGATAGATAAAGTATCATTAGAGAAGAAACATGGAAGTTGTGAGGTGAGCCATATGGATAACTGGAGAACGAGCACTGCGGAGTGAAGAAACAGTAAATGCCTGGAGGTGGGAGTACACCTAGAGCTCAAATACAGGCAGGTAGCCAGTCTACATAGAGTGCACTGAGCATGAGACAGAGTAGAAAATAAGGTCTGAAAGGTAAGGGAGAAGGATGGATCCTGAAGGACCTTGTACTTCATTGTAAGAACATTGGGAAACTTTCCCAGTGAGCAAAAACATGACAGCCAGATGGTCACTCTTGGCTGCTGAAAGAAACATAACCATTATTACTACAAACTCTATGATATAAATTTGCTCACTGATTTATAACACATTTTACAACTTTGTAGTTAAACTGAAAAGTTTTTAACATTATTAAGCAACATAAAGTGAAACGTAGCTAAATTCTATTGAGAAAAAGCAAGTAAGAATTATTTCTTCACATCACTATTAGAAATATTTTAATGACTTAATAAACAATTTGTCAGACAAGATAATATATGCAGACAGCTTAAGAATGACATATGCTATTGATGAACTTCTCAGCATTTCTAAGCAATGTTTCCCTCTCCTCATAAATGTCTTCTGTGTTTAAGTCATTTTCAAAGCCTGACTTAGTTTTTTGGGATGTGAAAAGAAAGTAAACTTTTCACAGAGATGTAAGAATTTGTAAAACACATTTCCACAATTGAAACAAAATCGTATTAACTCAATGCTTCGTGATTAAATGAAGCTCATAGGAAGAGGACTTTTATTGATGACAAGCTTTAAAAAATAGCCTGGGCGCGGTGGCTCAAGCCTGTAATCCCAGCACTTTGGGAGGCCGAGGCGGGTGGATCACCTGAGGTCAGAAGTTTGAGACCTGCCTGGCCCACATGGTGAAACCTCCTCTCTACTAAAAATGCAAAAATTAGCCAGATGTGGTGGCGGGTGCCTGTAATTCCAGCTACTTGGGAGACTGAGGCAGGAGAATCGCTTGAACCCCGGAGCAGAGGTTGTGGTAAGCTGAGATCACGCCACTGCACTCCAGCCCGGGTGACAGAGTGAGACTCCATACCCCATCCCCCCTCCAAAAAAAAGAAAAAGAAATCTTGATTTTGAAACCATGATAACAGTGTTGACATGCCCCCTAATCTAGGTTTTAGTGGATCATTGCTTTATGTTGCTTTTGCACCATTTGCACAAATTGTTAGGTGAGTCAGTTTCCATATTACAGACTACTTTTTGCATAATATACATAATAATACCAACTATCCAGCTTCATTTATTTTTCAAATGTAGGATAAATAATCCAGCACATTACTTTTCCTAGCTCAAGTTTTTTGAGCATATGGATTTTTTCTAAACCAGGCCTTTACAAGTGCTATTTCTTCACTCTTAGATCCTCTTTCCTCTACTTATATTGCCTCACTCTTCTGGCCTCCTTCTTCAAGCCTCTGTATAAATAGTTCCTTATAGAATTCATTGCTGAAGAGGTAATCTAAAGTAGTTCCCTCCCCCTTTGTATATGCAGTTCCTCCCCCTAGGTCATTTTATTGCACTTGGACTCATCTGTTAATATTTTGTTTGTAATATCTTAAAACAGCTTTAACCATTATGTTCTAAAATCTATTCAAGGACCCTTTGTTCACCACTAACACAATTCCTAGCATTTGGTGGGCACTCTATGTATGAATGAAAGAATTAATGATTATTTAAGTCTCTGTTTATTCCCATACATACACATAAATCCACAATGCAAAACTATAATTGGAATATATATTTATACATCAGCTTAACATTTTTTCTACAAGAAGACAAATAACAGAAACACATTTTCTCAAGGAGAAATATATATAAATATTTTCTGATTTGTGAAACTTGTCTAAAATAACCAATATAAAATGGATAGTAAGCATTTAATATTTTAAAAGCACTTTGTGACAAATTGGCCCTCTATACATTTTAGCATTGTGAAAATTAGTGTGCTGTATAATAGCATAACCCTTGCTAAAGGAACCAGATGGAAGCATGGTATCTCCATAGCCAAAGCCATTTTCACAGCAGTACAAATTACTTCTTCGCTTAATCATGTTATGACAAAATTCATTTTCATGATGGATAGACCCAAAGACGTTGTTAATATTGAAACAAAATTTAAAGAAACCAATTGTTTCAAGTTTGTCTCACAGATTTTTGTTAGAATAATTATGGGTAATAAGATAAGAAAAGTAGATTTTACATGAAGATAGATAAAGATTATGTTTAAGAAAACAAAAGATTACAATTATGATTGATGAGCATGACTTTTAATAAGAAAATAAATTACCGTGAAAAATGATTAATAGTAAAATATTTATGATCATTAAAATACAGCCCTGACATTGATGGACTATGTATCTTGTGTAAGTAACTGGGAAACCATTTGTGTGTGTCAGAAGGTGAAGGTGAAGAGCTTGTAGAGTATGTGTCTGCTTCAGCATATAATTGATTTAAATGATTTGTTATTTTGCTTAGTGTATTCATAAATGAGTACATAAAGAAGCATTATTTATAAAATTGTATAATACTTAAAAACTTTATATAGTGTGTTTAAGGAATCCTAGTGACTTGAGTTAAAATATGAGAAACTGCATTATAAATAAGATATTCTGATTTTACTTCTAATTTTTATAACAAGGAATATTAATAAAATTAACTGAAATTACTTGTGAAAATTCATGAAAATCATCTGTTAAATCTTTTTCAAAACTGAATGCTTTCTCCTTTCTACTTCTGTCAGAGGCATGTGAACCAGAACAACTCCATCTTGAATAGGAGCTAGGTAAAATGAGACTGAAACCTACCGGGCTGCAGTCCCAGACAGTTAAGGCATTCTAAGTCACAGGATGAAATAGGAGGTCGGCACAAGAAACAGGTCATAAAGACCTTGCTGATGAAACAGGTTGCAGTAAAGAAGCCGGGTAAATCGTAGCAAAACCAAGATGGCCACGAGAGTGACCTCTGGTCGTCCTCACTACTACATGCCCATCAACACGTGACAGTTTACAAATGACATGGAAACGTCAGGAAGTTACCCTATATGGTCTAAAAACTGGAGGCATAAATAATCCACCCCTTGTTTAGCATATCATCAAGAAATAACCATAAAAATGGGCAATCAGCAGCCCTCTGGGCTGCTCTGTCTATGGAGTAGCCATTATTTTATTCCTTTACTTTCTTAATAAACTTGCTTTCACTTTGCACTGTGGACTCACCCTGAATTCTTTCTGAATTCTTCCTTGCACGAAATCCAGGAACCCTCTCTTTGGGCTTGGATTGGGAGCACTTTCCTGTAACATATTTCTTTGTGCTGTAACATATTTCTGGTGACCACAGAAGGGACTACAGTGCAGAAACCCTGACACACACAATGGCTACCTTTGGGTAAGTGTTGGGGTCCTGTAACACTTCCATACCCCTTTGTAAATTATCATATAATGTTGAAACATTTAATTATATAAAAGATTTTTCTTAAAAACATATGCTGTTTAAAGGAAAGAATACTGTATTTTTCATTATGCTACAATGCCTGACAACTAACTGTTGGATGAATGAGTGAATAAATGAATGAAAGAACTGGTTACAAAAGTAAGTAGTGAAAGTGCAAAATATGTTATTACAACAAGATAATTGTATGAAAATGTAAGCCATTCATAAATATTTTCATTACAGTGAATACTTTATTGTCTTTTTTTCTCTTTCTTATTTTTTGTTTGTTGAGTGACTAAGCATCACATGCTAGGACCTTTGCTAAATAGTCGTGATAGTGGCAGTAAGATGTTCATATATAAATCTAAAAATTTCAGTATTTAAAGAAATCAATTTTAAATTACCTCGTTAAGATTGAAGAGTTTTCCTTGGGATGAAAAGATTAAATGAGTAAGTTCAATGCCATGAAGGCAAGGATATGCATGTGGTGCTGTACAAAACAGGAAGAGATTTGGCATAACTAGAAAAGTGAGTGGGCCTGTAAAATGGACAGAAATGAGATTAGTAACATAAATGATTACGTTGTCGGGATTCTAGCATATAATGCTAACAGGATTGCACTTTATTAATGCATTTTAATGTGGAATCAAAAAAGATTTTCAATCAGAGGGTTGGAAAATTATTTTTTTTTAATTATAGGACTCTATTACTAGTGATTAATCAACTGGCATAAAACAACTTCTCACTGTCTTACTGCCAACCTATGCTTAATATTTACTCAGGTTCAAAAATGTGTCATAAAAATATTACAATTCTTTTTTTCTCCTGCCTTTCTCTTTCAACAGATTGGAGAAGATTAGTAGCTATCAACACTAGTACATGGTTAGAGAAATTATACTATTAAATCTTGAATACAAGGAAAGAATTAGAATATCTGTATAGAATATACATATTAAAAGAGCTTACAGATCTAAGACTCAATTAAACAAAATATAACTATAAATATTATTTTAGTTACAAAGAATATTTATTTTCCACAAATGACTACATTTTACGAAAGAAGGTTTTGATCAATTATAGCAGCTATGTATTACCTTTTCCCCCTGAACTCAGGGTTAGCTCTTAAAATAAATAATAGATGTAAAATAATACCTATCATCACACCAGGCACTTAAATTGTATAAAATATCATAATCCAAATTTTAACTAGTATTCACTGTTTAGTATTCCAAAGAAATATGGATTTTTTTTCAAAGAATGACTCAGTTCTTCAGGACTATATGCTCCTTTGCAACTTTATTATGACAATTGTACATCATATTTCTTTGGCCCAAAAAAAGATCCCCAACCCTCTTCATGACTACCTATCCTTAAGTTTCAATCCGTAAATCTCCTTCTCTAGTGACAAAGTTGATAATTTAAACAGAACTCAGTTATGTTGCATCCCTCTGTACTGCAATTAATTTACATGTCTGTTTCAAACCTTTCTTTGAATAACATTAGGTCTTAAGCATTTCTGTATCTCTAGTAATAGCTTGCTTGAGAAAGATATTTTTCTTCATTATATATGTTTGAAGTTCATTTAATCTAATAGATAAATGAAAACTAAGAGATAAAGAGACCCATTATGTAGCAATTGGGACTAAATAAATGGAAGAGATAAAATGTCAACTCAAATTAGTTTATATGAAAAAAATAAAAGAATATACTTTTCTCCTCACAACTGAGAAATTCAGGTAAATATTTAGCATAATTCTCCTCTCGACTTTGGTTTATGGTACCAAATAATATCCATATTATGAGAGAAATATCTGCCACCTCTACCATTTCTCTAAACCCCAGCAGATCCAGTTCAGATACTTAAGATTTGCGACTCAAAATGAACATCTCTCCCAGGGTACAAAGTAATTCTACAAAGAGATTTACCCCACTTATATAGTCTACCTTGGATTCTCACACTGCACAAAGGGAGAATTATTTTGAATGGCCACCCTAGGTAAAATGCCTGGATTTGGGAAGGGTGAGATTCATTCTCATTAGAATTACGTAGATTTAGGTATAAAAGAGGATAGTTCTTGACTGATGAAAAAGGGTTAGACCAAAAAATAATACCTGTCCACTATTACCCAAAAGTAATCTTTTGAGTCAGATTACTTGAGGCTAAATTCTGGCCTTAACCATTTACCAGCTGCTAAATACAGGAAAATTTACTTAAGCACATTGTGCTTCAGTTTTCTTTTTGTAAAAAGGATTACAAATCATAGCCAAGAACAATAGTTATCTTCAGACACTAGTAATAAGGAATAACTGGGATAATGCAGCTACAACACTCAGCATAATGTTTCACAAACAATAACCACTCAAAATATTTGCCATGATGACAATAATGCAATTCTTAATCTTAAGGATGCACATTCTAGTCCCTCGATCCCTGAATCTTTTTCAATGAGGCATTAATCTATGCAGGGTTTTAAATAGTGATTCACAGTCTTCTGGACACAGCACTCTCTGGGGATTCCTATGAAGGAGAGGAAAGAAGAAGAAGAATTGCATCTCATCTGGAATTGTAGCTCAAATTTATAAGCTTTACATGTTGTGCCTCCAAGAAAGATTTTATTTGAAAGCAGAATTCCACAGCCAAAATACATTTTGTAACCCACTGATGCTCTAAGATATTATCTTTATAGGTCTAGATAAATCATAAATGGAACACCTAAAATAAAGCAAAAAATATAGCAAGTCTATGGTGTTTGTTACAAGAGGGCTGAGCAAAGAGTATAGGTGAATAATGTCAGACATCATATTGCTCCAGGAAAGCAATTCATAGTCACCACTCTACTGAGCATATTTCAGTATTGCCATTTTTACAGAGTGAAGACAACATTGTTATATTATAATGCTATTAAGCATATCAAATATTATATGTGTAAAGAACCAAAGATGCATATCTTCTTTTTCACTATAAAAGCATCTTATTATTTCTTTCACAAGTGGACTCAGAGCACTGAGAGAAAATATAGCAATTTATGAACTGTGGACAAAAATGAGAGCACAAAAGCACAATCATATTAGGATTCCAGCTATGCTTATCTCATTATCTCAGTCAGAGCAGAAGACATTTTAAGACGTTTATGTACAGAGAATATTAACTGTTTTCAAAAGATCATTTTTAAATGTTTCAAGATGCGAATGTAATAAAACGTGTGTGTAGAACACTAGAAAAAGCCTTGGTACTTTTTCAAATATTTGCATGCATATAATTTAACTCTAATATGCAGCATTTTTTGTTTTTCTCAATAACTGAATTATGAAAGAAAATCTAATTTTCTGAATCACTAGAAAGTGATAGTTAAAGCTTGCGAGAGAACTAGCATCTGAAAGTGTCAAATCCTAGATGAATGATAATATTCATGAAACTCTGAAAATAGTTATTTGCTTATTTTGATTGCAGTTATCTGGATAGCTATATTTCCATTGAGTTTACTCATCAATCTTGGATTTTTTTTTGTTTGTGTGTGTGTGTGTGTGCGTGCGTTTGTAATAAAGACTAGTTTCTAGCAAGACATATTCTTCATAATTTTACCCTATCATCTTTAAAAATTATGAGGAACACAGTAAGAGCTTTTTGAAAAAACTTATTAAAAATTTTATATGTTCCTACTCTTTAGAAATTTGATTTCTGATGTTAATGATTCTTATTTAGTTAAATAAGTTAAAGTACCTGATCAAACAGGGAAATGGTGAGCAAAATTTATTTTATCTCTTTGCCCTCCCAGAAAAGGGCAGAAAGTTTTTTATGAAGGCAATATATTAGAACTATCAAAAACATGAAAATATCCAAATTTTAAAATATAGATTATTAGTTATGTAATATGACTAAAATAATAAATTTCATATAAGCTTTATTACCACGTCCATGTGCTCTGATACTTTCCACATTAATATTCCTGTGATATATATGTATAATTCATAAAAAATACACTTGTGTCAACAAAGAGAAACTTAAGAAGGAATTGATTATAAACAATGCAAATTTATTTAAATACGCTGAAATATACATATTTTAAACTTAGGCTTAAAAAGGCTCGGTAGCAATTTGAAGGAGAAATGAGAAGCATTAAGGTGTTCCAAAGGTGGCCTTGTCACAGGCTTAATGTCTAGTCTCTCAGGCAAATAGAAAAACAGAAGGAATATGTTTGCATATTATGTATTGTAGTTGATATTGTGAATAGAAGGAATGTGATACCAACCTTGAGATAACTAGATGTTGCAATTAGCAGATAAGAATTTTAAAGAAGCTGTTATAATTATGCTAAAAATGTAAGAAGGATATGAATTATAGTTGATATTTTGGTTAAGGGGATAGCAGGAAAATGGATAAACTAAAGGTTTCTGGGTTGTTTTGTTATCTGTGATTTGGGGCACAGATAACTTCCTGCAGGATGTGGATTGATGGGAAACCCTTATAACGCTACACAGATTAAAACATTATTCATGCCAATTAGTGAATTACAAACGATTTAAGACACATCTAAAATGGTACAGTTGACACTTAAACAACATGAAGATTGGGGGTGCTGACCCCCTGTGCAGTCAAAAATCCACATGTAACTTTTAACTCCCCCAATATTTAAATGTTAATAGTCCACTGTGGACACAAAGCCTTGCTGACAACATAAACCAGTCAACACATATTTTGTATGCTACATGTATTATATGCTGTATTTATAAATAAAGTAAGCTAGAGGAAAAAATGCAATTAAGGAAATCATAATTGAGATACAATATGTTTATTATTTATTAAGTGGAAATGGATCATCATAAAGTTCTTTATCCTTATCATCTTCATTTTGAGTAGGCTGAGGAGGAAGAAGAAGAAGGATAATTAGGTCTTGTTTCAAGGGTGGCAGACGTGGAAGAGGTGGAGGAGGTGGAAAGGTAGGCGGGAGAGGCAGACATATGTAGTGTAATTTTATGAAAATACACGGTAATTTCTGTCCAACATTTTTGCTTTCTAATTTCTCTAAAAAGGTTTGCATTTAGTACCAATCCTTATTCCCCATTTGTTTTAGTATCAGTGCCTGTATCACAGAAGGGTGCAAGTTGTAAAGGAGGTCAAAGGCAGTGTTGAATAATCAGAGCTTTTCTGTCAGGTTGTCTCATGTCAGTATGTATCTTGGCTCTGCCTTTTCTGCATTTCCTTTCTCATTATCTGGAGCTGGTTAGGAAGCACTCATCTCTACCAAGTTTTCTTCTGTTAATTCCTCTTAATGGTGACTATTAGTTCTTGAAATTCTTCATCTCCTATCCTTTTCACAATATCCATAATCTCTTTTATGATTTCCTTGATTGGCTTTGCTGTAAATGCTGTGAAGTCATGCATGACATCTGAGCACAGTTTTGTTTTTTGTTTTTTGTTTTTCCCCAGCAAGAATGTATTGTTTTGGGATTAATGGCTTTCATGACTTTTTCTATAACAATGATGGAATTTTCAATGGTGTAATCCTTCCAGATTTTCATAATCTTCTCTCCACTGGGTTTCTCTTCCATAGGGTTCACAATCCTTTCCATAGAATAGCATGTGTAATGAGCCTTAAAGATTCTTGTAACCTCTGATTACAATTTAGAGGCTAAATTACAGATGTTGTGTTTAGGAGCAAGTAGACTACTGCAATGCCTCGGTGTTGAACGCATAGGGTTGTGACTAGCCAGGGGCACTGCCAATATTAAAATAACTTTAAAAGGCAGTACCTTCCTGGCAACGTACTTCCTGATGTCAGGGACAAAGCATCGATGGAACCAATTCAGAAAAAAAAAGGGTTCTTGTTGTGCAGGACTTCTTGTTGTACAGTGAAAAGACTGGCAGCTGGTGTTTATATTTTCTCTTCAAGGCTTGCGGTTAGCAGCTTTCTAGATAAGGGCAGTCCTGATCATAAACCTGACTGCATTTGCACATAACAGTAGAGTTAGCCTATTACTTCCTGCCTTAAATCCTGGTGCTTGCATCTTTTTGTTACTAATAAATGTACTTTGTGGCACTTTTGTTCCCAAAATAAGGCACTCTATCTGCATTAGAAATCTGTTCAGGCAGACATCCTTTCTCCTCAATAATTATATTAATGGTGTCAGGAAAGTTATCTGTTGCCTCTTGGTCAACAGAAGCTGCTTCAAGGCTCTCTCTAAAATTGTCAAATCATTTTTTGGTGGCATTAAGTTCTCCAGTTTTAGATCTTTCACTTTCCTTTGGCTTTAGGTTATCATATAATGACTTCTCTTTTTCTGGAATCATCTTAAGAGTCTACACTATAAGTAGGCATAGGCCTTTCTTTTTTTTTTTTTTTTTTTTTTTTTTTGAGAGACAGAGTCTCACTCTGTCGCTCACGCCAGATTGCAGTGGTGAGATCCTGGCTCACTGCAACCTCTGCTGCTGGGGTTCAAGTGATTCTCCTGATTCAGCCTCCCAAGTAGCTGGGATTACAGGCACCTGCCACTATACCCGGCTAATTTTTGTAGTTTTAGTAGAGAAGAGGTTTCATCATCTTTGTCAGGCTGGTCTTGAACTTCTGACCTTGTAGGCCTTTCTTACAGCAATCTTTCACTCAAGTAAAGGTTTATTTTCAATATGAAATGAAAAGTTATCTTGCAAAACGTACAGGGTTTTTGTGCCTGCTGACATAGCTGCAGGAATGGCATCACAGGTTTTCTTTTCTTTTTTAGAAAGGTTTTTATGCTAAATATATTTATTTTAAAATGGTGGGCAAACACAGCTGAAGACTTCAGTCTATGGTACATGTCAAACAATTCAACTTTCTTTTTGTAATGTCATGACCTTTCTCTGCTTCTTGGAAGCACTTCCAGCATCACTAGCTACACTTCATATGGGTCCCATGATGTTACTTAAGGTTTACAGTATCACACTAAACATGATGAAAAATACTTGAGAACTATGAGAGATCACTTTTTGCTAAAATACACAATTTCTAGAGAAATGAACTGTTCACATGTAGAAGATTAGCATCACATGGTGTTTTTTCATTACTTTAAATGTATTATTATTATTATTTTAGAGATAGGGTTCCACTCTGATGCCCAGGCTGGAGTACAGTGGTACCATCATAGCTCACTGTAGCCTTGAACTCCTGGGCACAAGCGATCCTCTTGCATCAGCCTCATAAGTATCTGGGACTACAGGTGTGAGCCACCATACTCAGTTAATTAATTAATTAATTAATTAATTATTATTATTATTTTTTGAGATGGAGTCTCACACTGTCGCCCAGGACGGATTGCAGTGGCGCGATCTCAGCTCACTGCAACCTCTGCCTCCCTCCCGAGTTCACGCCATTCTCCTGCCTCAGCCTCCCCAGTAGCTGGGACTACAGGCGCCCGCCACCACACCTGGCTAATTTTTTGTATTTTTAGTAGAGACGGGGTTTCACCATTTTAGCCAGGATGATCTCTATCTCCTGCCCTCGTGATCTGCCCGCCTTGGCCTCCCAAAGTGCTGGGATTACAGGCATGAGCCACCGTGCTCGGCCTTTTTTTTTTTAATAGAGATGAAGGTCTCCTTATGTTGCCAAGGCTACTCTTGAATTCTTGGCCTCAAGAGATCCTCCTTCCTTAAAGGGATACTCACAACACTTGAGCTCAAAGCAACAGCAATGGGAGGTAGCTACAAAATTATTACAGCAATACAATATATACTGCAGATAACTTTATGCAGTTATGATTTAATATCGCATCTTTACATTTGCTAAAACTTCTCTCAACTGCGAATGATGCCACGTACGATCTGTGGTTGTGTAGGTAAGTTTTGATAAGTTTTAACTTTTTATAATTAATTTGCATATATTTTATGGTAGTGAATGACACAATAGACTAATATCTACATATATTTTATGAATTCATGACACACAATTGAAAAAGGAATATAACACTTATAATTTATTAATATATTCATACAATATGTGTTTATTTATATATTACTGAGTACATAATTAATTTATATAAATTAAAATGCTAAAATTTAATAAAAAGTGGCCAAATGATATAATGATGCATTTAATAAAAGAAACAACTATAGCCCATAAACATTAGAAAGAATGTTCTACGTCATAGTAATAAGTTAAATAGAAAAGTTCAGTGGAATTTATTTTAAAACCTATCAGATTGATAAAAATTAAGACACCTTAAGACATCTGACAACACAAAAATATATTTAATAAGCTTTTAGGCATCACTTTTTTTAATGAAAAGTGATTAAATTCATGAAAGCACTTTAGAAGACAATTGCTGTTTTTTGTTTGTTTGGGATTTATATATATCCTCTGAGCCATTAATTTCATTGCACATGTGCACCAGGACATGTGTGGAGACTATACAAAGCAGCGTTTTAATTCTTATTTTATTTTTTACAGCAAACACACTGAAGATAGCCCCAGTATATACTGGCAAGTGTACACACAAATATACTATGGTAAAAATGCATTCCTACCATTGCCTTTAACAGCAAGGAAGAATATCAAAATAACTGTTAAACATAAAAGACACGGCACAGAAAACTACATGTGCTAAAACGTAAGTATATAAATAAACTAACATACTTAATATACTACTGAAGGATGTTACATATGTCATGAAAGCAAAACCAAAAGAATAGGAACAATAAAACAAAATTATCTAATCACAAATTTCATAGCATATAAAATGGTTCTTCTTTGTTCCACCTAAATATTTTAATAACATGTTTGTAATTATTATTTTATGTAGTATAAGAATAATCTATAATTGTGATATTCTTAGTACATTACTATCAGCTGAATTAACATAGTAAAATACTGGCTCAGTTAAAACTGAAACTGTTCAAAACAATACTTAGATTTTGCAGATTTAATATAAATTATGCTATTAACATATTTGGGACAAAAAAATCTAAATCATGAGTTTGAATGTAGTATTTATTTTGAGAAATATAGAATACTTAAGAAGAATAAAGAGTTGCTATTTCACATAAATTAATAAAGATTAAGATGCCCAAGGCCATTTTGGATAGAAAAAATAAAATGACTGTGTATATACAAATTTTGAATAGATATTACCCTTTTTTTAATTTGGGAGCTTATTTTTAAGTTGGAGGGAAAAATATATTAGTGCCAGGCAAAAAAAAAAAGGCATATGTTCACACTTGGGAATTTATCAAACTATGAACTGAATTTAATACATTTTAAATAATATCAAAGGAGGAATATTCCTAAAAATATGTTGTATAAAAGCATAGTTAATATACTAATAACACAGACAAATTTCACACTTTTGCTGAGAATGGATTCTCTACAATGTTGCATATACTGATTTGTAGAAAGTTCTTAAGGTATTTTGCTTACCTCTAAAGTGAAGAATTTGAACAAAGTCAATAAACTTCAACTTAATTTTAACCATTCTTTCCGAAAGTGATATTTTTATGTAAGAATGAAGTATATGCATTACATAAAAGCACAGATTATCTGACTGAGGTGCGGATGAAGATGAGAAAACCATTTCTGACTCACTACCAATCTTTTATTCTTATTACATTATCAAATCACTTTAATTAGAAGTCTATTCATTTCTCAGAAAAATAGGAACCTCACTAGACTAATGGAATTGTCTAGTTCTTTCCAACTATAAAAGTCTATAATTTAGTAAAACACAAGCCTTTTAAGTTTAGAAAACTATTGGTAATAATAATATCCCAAATCTCCTCACTTATGAATATAAATGTTTAAATATAATTTAATAGTTGCATACATTGGGTGCATTATTATTTCCAAAATATAGGCAAAAAAGTGAGACTCAAAAGTATAAACTAAGCATCCCCAAATCTTACATCAAATGAGTTTGAAGTAATGCAATCCACTATATCTCTAAAGCCTGGTCTCTTTTCATCACACTCCACAAGGAGCAAGAATTAAAAAGACAACAAAGGTTCTCCTCTCCCTAAATCTCTTTCTTAATAGCAGTCATGAAAGGATGAAATTTCGAATACAGAAATTTTATTTTTTTGGCTAACAGCATTGTTCCTTTGATAAAAATCAATTATCTCCAGAAAAATAACACATTATTTTGCCATCATTTCTCAGTATCTTAGGGTAAATTAGTTAATTAGAATACTTTGAAAAGTTAGCTTTGGATGAGTTTTATAAAGAAATGTAATACCTGGATCTAGGTGACAGAGCAGCCTAAGTACTGAATGTTACTGTAGTCAGTTTCTTAAAAGCAAAGGCCTGCAGTCATACAGGACTTGTGTTTATTTTCCTGACACCACCACTTATTGTGTGACTTTAGGTGGTCATTTAAACTTTCCAGACCACGTTACCTTCATCTGTACAAGAGAACTAATAATTGTCCCTATATCAAGGCTGTTTTAAGAATTAAAGACAGAAAAAGCACTAAGCACAATTCATATAGATGATATTCACATAAATACTTAATAAATAAATAATAACTATTAATATTATAGGGTCACTAAATAAGAAAGAAAAGAATGTGAAGTTTTGGAGGACAACAAAAATATAAACTTAATTAACTCCTAATCAGAAAGCATGAGATGTAGTTTCATCAACAGCTCTCTGTGAACCATTGGGTCGATAATTTTAACCTCTCTGCATCTCATTTGTAGTATGAGAGGAAAATATAGTGGGTGGATAATGATCTCTAAGTGTCTTTTCATTTCAAATATTCAGTGATTTTCATAATTGTGCCCTGTACTAGCCCTAGCTACAATAACCTAGAAACAGCTTTTCTACACAGTGAATTTTAATACCTAAGAAGTAGCGTTCTCTGGTAGTTGTTTTAATCTTGTAACAGTTAATGGGCCGGGTGATAGGATGTACAGCAAGAAGGTCTTATAGAATCTAGATTATTAAATAACCACAGGTAAGTGTAGAGAAAAATTAAGATCATTATTGTTACAGTTGCTTTTTAATTCTTACATTTGAAGGCTTCAAAACAAACTTATAAGGGAAAAACTTATTTCAGAAACATTTTTTAATCCTTGAATCAGATAAAGTAATAATTTCTTGTCTATTTTAATTGGAGGAAGTAATTGTAATAAAGCAAAAAGAGAAGAAAAAGCCCTTCATGGAGGTTTCCACTGCCTTAAAATTACAGCAAAATCTCATTGAGCAGTAATGGAAATGGAAATTACTTGCTCATGGAGCCCTGATTGTATTCCTGTTAGGTCATTTGCATACTGTTCATTGATTGGATTACTGATGAGGCTGAGAGGTCTCAGAACTGCATTCCTATGTATTCTCAACTAATTCTACTGCTGTGACTAGGAGCAGAAATTATTTCCTGAACTTTGTAATATGATCCTTATGGAAGCATAGAAGCCTTCTTTAGATTTTAAATGGGTATAAGTGTAAACTCCCAAAGTTGGCTCAAAGCTGCATAATTTTAAAGAGCTTAAAATATACTTTACCATGTTATGTCATAGAATGTTAGTAACTTTCTTAACAGTTTCAAATGTAATGAGCCAATACTTACATTCTCAGTAATGGCTGGTTGTGGAATGAAAAAAAAAAAAGAAAATCACAAATAGCAAAACAATTTCTGGTTAATATACAGTAACCACTTTTTTTGTTTGCCATTTCCTCCTCTAGCCATTTTTGTATTATTTGAGGGTACATAATTCTCTTCTAGTATAAGTTCCTCTGAAGGTAAAGAGTGTTTTTTTTTGTCTCCTCCAGAAACTAACAACTAATAAGCCACTTTGCACATAGCACAGTTTAAACACAATAGCATATTTTTCTAAGAATCAGTCTCATCTATTTATTTATTATCTATCTTTACACATATCCACACACAAATAAGTAAAAATAAGTCAAAAACATACAGAATTTTATTTTTACAGTTAAGCCCCCTTCTAAGTTTTGTCATTCATTTTTAAAAATTACCTGAACTATTGAATTCATTGACACATTTTATTTTCCTATAAGTAAGAAGCCACACAAAAATATTAGGTATAAACTATTTAAAATAAATCAGACATTGTTGTCACCCAGTGTTGATATTTCAGTATTATCTGTCAACATGTATATTTAATCACCCCCTGGATCAGCTCTTTAAGAGATACTTATGTAAAAATCACTAAGATTTCTAAAGTGAACATGGATACTTATGTTTAAATAAAGCTCTAATGTCATGGCTAGTTTTTCGAAAATGTCCAGCATTGGGAAAACATTCCAACAATGGAGAAAAGAATGTGTATTTTTTAAATGTTCCAAGCAATGTTCCTTACCTTGGGGGTCATTTATGCCATTTTTCTCCTTTTTACCAATTCAACCTTTCATTTATAATGCTTTTTATTATAGAATTTTGCAACTTGGAATTACATCAATTGGAATTACAGTAATGTCAATAGTGACACATGTAACATGTTTATCTGTCAAGTTAGGACTGATATATTGTTATTAAGCTGTCACAGTCAGTGTCTTGAGAGCCAGCATTAAAATAGTACTTTGTTCTGAATTCTTAAGATATAGGACAGTGTCAATCACAAAGTGATAATTCAATAAAGATGTCCTAACACATTTATTAGATAACTAAAATGAAAGCATTATCACAAAATGGAACTACCACATAAAAGATATATTTACTACTAAGTTAAGAACACAGAGTTAATTTAAAGAAAACTTAAAAAACTTTAAAAAGCAGATAATGAAAGACAATGGGCCCTAAATTCACAATGACCTAGACTCACATCCCAGTTTACATATGATATGGTTTGGATCTCTGTCCCTGCCAAATCTCATGTTGAAACATAATCTCCAATGTTGGAGATAGGCCTGGTAGGAGGTGATTAGAAAATAGGGACAGATTACTCATGAATGGTTTAGCACTATCCCCTTTGTGCCCTCCTTGTGATAATGAGTTCTCCCAAGACCTAGCTGTTTAAAAGTCTAGCACCCACCCTTCCTCTCTCTGTGGCTCCCACTCCTGCCATGTGAGAGGCCTGCTCTTCCTTCACCTTTCACCATGACTGTAAGTTTCCTGAGGCCTCACCAGAAGCAGATGCCAGCACTATGCTTCCTTTACACCCTGTACCACTATGAGCCCATTAAACCTCTTTTCTTATAAATTACCCAGTCTCAGGTATTTCTTTATAGCAATGCGAGAACAGCCTAATACAACATATATTCTTAGAATAATTTTTTCTCTGCCCTACAGCCAAACCTTTTACAGTTAAGGCATTAAAATAAAACAAAACAAGTACAAGTTTATAAGAATCACTCTATCTGCATGCATCAACAGAAAATAAACATTAATGAGCATATCATTTAAAAAAAAGAAATTAAAAACAAATTTCTAACAGCTATCCATCTCCCACCCCATGATTTTTATAATATACTAATAATATTTTTTCCAATTTATTCTATTTTTCAAATTTCTCTATGACATTATTCAGAAATTCATAATTGTTTAATATATGTAAACTTGACTATTTTGACTTAGTTTTTTTTCTTAGGTAAGACATTGTAATTCTATGCATTTCATAATTATATTAGGTACTTAATAATTTGTCTTGTTCTTTATTCAAGTTTATATAATGTCATCATTTTTAGTTCAGTTATAATTTTTGTGTGTATGTGTATGTACACGTGTATACTTTCTGTGCTGTACTGTGTGCCATTATTTTATAGTATTTTTTCTTACTATATTTATTATAGACTCTTAAAATCCATACTTATAGTTTTTGATATCCATTGTTAAGTACCCTTTGTTTGTTTCCCAAAAATATCTTGGTGTTTTGCATACCAATTCTTACAAACAATATTTAGGATTAATTTGTCTAGTTTGAAAACAAATAAACAAGCAAATAAAACTTTCCTTTTTTATTTTAAAAATAAACACTTAGTAGGTCTCACATAATTATGCTTAAAATGACTATTCTGTAAATTTAGTTTAAGTACATGTGATTTCTGTATTAGTCTGTTCTCACACTGCTAATCAATAAGATATACCTGAGACTGGGTAATTTATAAAGAGAAGAGGTTTAATTGACTCACAGTTCACCATAGCTGAGGAGACCTCAGGAAGCTTACAATCATGGGGAAAGGGGAAGCAAACACATTGTTCTTCACATGGCAGCAGAATGAGAGCTGAGCAAAGGGGGAAGTCCCTTATAAAACCATCAGATCTCAAGAGAACTTACTATCAGGAGAATAGAATGGGAAAACTGCCCCATGATTTGATTACCTCCTACCGATTCCCTCCCACCACAAGTGGGGATTATAGGAACTATAATTGAAGGTGAGATTTGGGTGGGGACACAGCCAAACTATATTAATTGTATTGCAAAATACTAATAAGAAAATAGGAGAAATTTGTGTCTTATTCTGTATCTATGTTACACAAATCATAAACCTAAAATTGAGCTAAAATATCCTTTTGTCTTAAAGCTACGAAAATCCAAAAGTATAAAAACTCTTCCACTGTTGACAATTTAGAAGAGGTTACAGTCGTACAGGCCAGAGAATAAGTATGGTGGGCCAAGCAAAGAGACCATTGCTAGTCCCTCCCTATCTCTACCTCTGAGGCTGGAACCAAACTTAAGCAACGGGAGCTCTCCCAAAGGAGTTAAGCATGCCAAGGCCAGAAATGAGCAAGGGCAGTATGACAAAGGACTTTAGAGGTGGTTGGGTCTCCTTGGCTTTCATTTCAAGGGTACTGCCACCTGTGAAGATCTCAACACATGGCTAGGAGGCCAGGGCCCACTCAGTTCAGATGGCAGCCATGTTGATTATAGGACCAGGGCATCCAGGGAAAAGATAAGCATTTTCCCAGCATCCTTCAGGCCAGGCATGGGGTGGGACCTCACTGGGATCTAGGGCAGGTCAGGATCCCATCAGGCCATGGAAAGAGGTTGGGGTGCTCTTGCATAACTAGAGAGTACCTTGGCCACCTAGAGGAGGAACTTCCACTGAGGACATTTTGGTAGCTGGGGAGCCATGATTGGCTCCAGCCAGGTACAGTGGAGCCATCGGGGAGAGGCAGGAACAGTGTAACTGCTGTCACCATTCCCTTCAAGTGTTGGACCCAGCAGGATGTCTGGTACTTAGATGGTGGGAAGGGCCTAGATTCTCACTAAACCTGCAGCTGGTTTAAAACTGATTACAGAGCTGCCTGTAAAGGGGTTAACCTCATTGCCCTCATTCCACCACACCCTTCAGTCCCTCAATCCTCCATTCTGTACTCCCACCCCTGCGGTATTTTGGATTCTGAGGGATGGATTCCATGGGTCCCAGGCAAGGTTGGGAATGGTGATGAGAGATACGATGTGTTGATCAGCATCTGGAGGATTGATCCCAGCACTGGGCAATTTTGATTCGCCTCATGCTCCCCGCCCAGCAGGTGCCTGGACTATTCTCCTATCATGGCTCTGGATTCTGCCATCCTGCTGCTGCACACGAGATAAACTGGGAATTCTGGAAGCTGCCAGCAAAGGTGTTAAAAGCAAACTGCCCAGAGTTCCGTGGCAGCAAGAACATGCACTTATCCACATTCTCAAAGAGTTGCCAGCTCTAGTCCATGAAGGCTGCATAGGGTGTAGATATTCATGGTTTCTTCTAGAAGTGTTTTAATGAAACCAGAATATCATCAGCAAAAATAATCTGGAAGGCAAATAAGATCTCTGCTGAGCAGCAGTTCCAGAATGGACCTTCCAGGCTGTGGCTGCACTTGGACCACAGTACTGTTGCCCATCTCGACACCAAAGTTTTATATCGATGCTTAGTTCAATTTTTCTTATCAACTTTTAAAAACAGCTTTATTGAATTATAATTTACAAAATATAAAATTACTCATTTAAACCATACAGTTCAGTGATTTTCAGTATGTTCACAACCATTATCATAATCAATATTAGAATATTTTTGCCCCCAAAAATGATACCCATGAGCACTTGCTCTCAATCTTCTATCCACCATAAACCCAGCCCCCATACAAACACTAGCCTATTTTTTGTCTCTATAGATTTGTCTTTTTGGAGCTTCATATAAATGCTTCTTATGTACTTTTATATTTTAGATATATTGATATAATAACTACTGCCCAGAAAGTCAAAGATTCTATGAACTTGCGTCATTAAAGGGTAAATTTTAAACACATTTTGTAAAAGACTAAAATTTTTATAAAAAGCCTTAATGAAATACCAACATTTTTCATTTACAAGGAAAGAGATGTTGTGACCTGCTGTTAAACATAATAAAAGACTATGTTACTAAGTAAATTAATATACTATATGCATAATATCAAGTATTCATGACTTTTCTAGGACTTTATTTATGGAGAGTTTTTAATACTATGCTCACTTCCATCAATTCCTAAATATTTCTGCAGTGTGTTTTTTTTATTAATCCGTGTGTGCTAGTATATTCAAAATAGTTTTAAGGTTAGGCAAAGGAAAATATAATTACAAAGATAAATCTTCCCCCCAAGCACTCAACACACCCTCTGCACACATATGCTTTGATTTTCCTAAAAGCCATTGCATCAGTTAAAACCATTATTCTTAAGCCTATTTGGCTGTTGGTCTAGCAGTGAAACCAGAGATTATTTGTTGACAAAGTTAAATTAGTTTTGCTTCTGAAGCAGTCAGGAGAGATGTTTTACATATGGAAAATATAAATTGTGCTACAAGTTGTGATTTGTACATCTAGAGCAAAATTCCTCTCTCCAACCATATTTTCTCTATTGTGCCTTCTAAGGTGCCTAGGATTCAGTCTGTTAGTCTTTATCAGTGAAGGCAGTATGGGCATTTGGGCTAATCTTTTATTGTGCAACTCTGTGCTGTGCACTGCTAAATAGTCAGCATCCCTGGCTTCAAATCACTAAATACCAGTTGATCTATTTCCCTCATTGTAAAAACCAAAACATAGTTTCACTTACTTACAAAATTCTCTTGGGGAGCATCACACCTTCTCTTCCCACCTTAGTTGAGGATTTCTGCTAAAATACAAATACAGTAACACTCTTACTAATTACATCTTCAGTTCAGATTTCTTTATCTCATGCACTAAACAGAAAATCATTAGGGCAAGGCTTTACTCTTTTTTTTTTTTTTTTTTTTTTGAGACTGAGTTTCACTCTTGTTTCCCAGGCTGGAGTGCAATGGCACAATCTGGGCTCACTGCAACCTCTGCCTCCCAGGTTCAAGCAATTTTCCTAGCTCAGCCTCCTGAGTAGCTGGGATTACAGGTGCGTGCCACCACACCCAGCTAATTTTTTGTATTTTCAGTAGAGACCGGATTTCACCATGTTGGCCAGGCTGGTCTGGAACTCCTGACCTCAGGTGATCCACCTGCCTCAGCCTGCCAAAGTGCTGGGATTACAGGCATGAGCCACTGCTCCCGGCCCGCTTTACTTTTAATATTCAATTTTTATTTCCCACTGTATGTCTTTGCTCATGCTACTCTTTTTCTCAAAATGGCTAAGGATGTTTCTGGCACATGGTCCATCTATCTACCTCATAACCCTGACAAAAGTGTTACAATGCTAAGAACTCAAGAACCAATGTCTCAGGATCCAGTTGCAACATTTTTGTACAATGCATCATACTGGTTATGGATACGTTTTTACTGTTTTGTATTTTCTGGATGGATAGAAGCTTTATCGTCAAAATGCAGCTGTTTAAGCTGAAGCACGCACACACACACACGCGCGCGAAAAAATCCCGCATCTATTTAATTCAGAAGTCATTAAGGAATTTTGAAGAGCTCTGTCACACAGAAGTTTCTGTTTTCTTCCATTTCAATTTTCAGAGAAATAGAACGAATGGCATATGAAAAACGAACTCACAAAACTGTCTAAGAAATATCAGTTGCTGTGGCCAAAGCTTTGCTGTTATTTCTCGTGACCATTAATTGAAGTCCAAAAGGAATTCATATTCTATCCCCATGAGTTCAGCACCCAATGTCCCTTGTCCGGATCACACCCCTGTCCTTGATTCTGTTCTATTACTGGTTGATATGACCAGATACTGTAAAGATTTAATGCTGTAAACCAAATTTATGACTAATAGCTACAGATGGCTTTTCTCATAAATAAACTACAAGAACCTCTCCATGAGCTTCAGTCTGGAGTCCTTTTTTACTGGAAACAATACCAATATAAGACTGGTTTTGAAACCTCGCTGGAAAGGATTTAAATTTTAATTATGATTAAATACTAACAAAGCATTTACGTAATAAGGCATAGATTCCCAGATCCACATTTCCAAACCCCCAATACATCATATTACCATAATCTGAACACATTTATACTTGGATATCTAAAACAGGATTCTCCGGAAGTAGACAAAGTTATAAAGGAGATACTTTTTTTTTTTCAAGAAACTCAAAGAACAAATTTCCAGAATGAGGTGGTGTCCACCCAAGATTCCCAAAGACCCACAAATGCCATGAGCCACCAAATGTCTCATGCTTCTTGCCTTTCTTCTCTCTCTTCTCTTACTCTGCTAAGCTATTAACGGATTGGAGTGGGTAGTTTGAGACAACTGACTCAGGAGTTGAGGTAGGTTTGGTTTTCTTGTTGATATGGTTCCCTTCTTCACACCACAGCTTGAAGTTCCTCTAGAGTGACCTTGGAGTCTGGGAAGGACACTTTGACATTACCCATGTCACCATTTCCCCAAGTCTGAACACTGAACTGCAGAGAGAGACACTCTCTGTGTGTGAGGATAGTGAAATGAGCACTTCACTTCACTGAAGAATTCTGAACCAGGCCAGACCCCAAGAACTCAGGCTTCAGAACAGCCTCTGCAAACCCGGATCCCAAGACCTCCCCAATGCCAAGAACCTTGTCCTTTGGATGGGGGAACTTGATGAAGGACTTTCACAATGTTTCTGCTACATCTTCAGCTTTAAGCCCAACCTGTTTGCCAATTCCCTATAGTCTCTATCTTTCTCATTCTTCACTTGGAAACCATTCTTTGCATGTTACTCAGTGCCTGCTATCCTTTTCCTATGGGGAGATAGAAGTTTCTCTCTCTTTCTCTGTTCTCTTGGCCCTGCTTCGCTGTGTCTTAGGAAGTGGGCTTTCTTCATGATACTTCATCTTGTCTAGTATTAAAAGACTTCTAATAATATTGGAATTGAATCCTGGGCCCAGGACCATTTCCTATCCCTTCCCTAGGAGGAGGTTTTTTTGTTTGTTTGTTTTGTTTTTTTCCTCCATCTCTCAGCAGCAGTTGGCCTTCACCTGTGTCCTCCTTGTGGTGACTGTTTAATGTGGTGACTGACTTTCTCCAGTAGTTTAATGATTTTATTCACTAGGGAAGAAAGGTGTGAGTGGGACTCTTTTTTAGTTTGTTATACTTTATTTTATTTTAAAAAATTCATTGACAAATAATTGTATGTATTTATAAAATATAATGTAAAATTTTTATATCTGTCTACCTTGTGGAATGATTAAAGCAAGTACATTAATATATCCATCACTTCACTTACTTGTCATGTGCATGTGTGCATGAGGGAGTGTGTGTTTTGAACATTCAAAATCTACTCTTAACAATTTTGAACTGTACAATACATTACTATTAACTGTGGTCATGATGCTGTGCAATAGATCACTAAAACTTATTCCTTCTCTCTAACTGGAACTTTTACTATTTGATCAACATATTCTCTTTTCCTGTGTTCTCTCCCCCAATACCCTGGCCCTGGTAACCAACATTCTACCCTCTGCTTCTATGAGTTTCACTTTTTAGTATCCCACATATAAGTGAGATCATGCAATATTTGTTTTTCTGTGCCTGGTTTATTTCACTTAAGATAATGTCCTCCAGGTTCATCCATGTTGTCACTGAGTGGGACTTTGTACTTTTTTTCCCTCTTAGCAACTGCTTCTCTCCTCCAAGCTTGCCCCACCTACTGAAGCTTTTTTAAATCTCCCAATCTGTCCCCAAACATTTTCTGAGCTGCTACTGGACTTCCATCTATAAAAGCTTCTGTGTACACTTACCTTGTATCAGTGGTTGTCAAGAATATATACTTTTAAATGACCTGTCTTTGAGATCACTGATTTCTATTTCTGGTTGATCAAGTCTGCTCTTGAAGCTCTCTATGGAATTCTTCAGTTCAGTTCTTTATTCTTCCTCTACAGAATTTCTGTTTGGTTCTTTTTTGTGGTGTCTATCCCTTTCTTGAACTTCTAATTTTGTTCATGTATTATTTTCTTGATTTTGTTTAGTTTTTATTTGTGTTATAGCTCATTGAACATCTTTAAACTATTTATTTTTAATTCTTCATAAGGCAGTCTGTAGAGCTCCATTTTTATAGAGTCAGTTAGTAGTGATTTATTTTACTCCTTTGGTTGTCATGTTACCCTGATTAGTCGTGGTCTTTTTAGGCTTACATTGGTGTCTGTGTTTGAAGCAGTGGGCATCCCTTCCAGTCTTTACATACTGGCTTTGGCAGGAAGAGTCAAAGAGCCCATCCAGAGATTCTGGGTGTGACAGCTAGTAGGGTCCATGGTTGGGTTTGCTGCTGGAGTTCTAAAGTGGACTGGCCTTGTGCCTGGATTAGCAAACAGGTTGGCCTGGCACTAAGTTCTGTGAGTGCAGACCTGGAGCTTAAGTCCAAGGGGACTGGCCCAGGTGTTGGGATCCACTGGGGCAGGCCTAGTGACTTGGTCTGTGCAGGCATGCCTGGAACTGGGTTTATGGAACCTGAATCTAGGCAGGCCTAGAGTCTGGTTCCACAGTGGGTAGCCTGAAGTCTGGGTTCTTGGGTGCTAACTCATCTCCAGGACAGGCCTTGAGCCTGAGTCAGTTGGGACCAGCCTGTTACTGGAATGCACCTGGTGCTTGGGTATGAAGGGATGGGCCTACACCTGGGCCAGGTAGCATCAGGCTGTTTGGCTGCAGAGTCCCCTAAGGTAGGCCTGGTTTCTGCATCAGTGGTGGGTGGTACTTGGAGCCTGGGTTCTTAGGGGCCAGCCCAGCACTGGGGTCTATTGGAACAGGCCTGAACCCTAGGTCCATTAGAGTCTAGGGCCACAGGGGCCAGCCTAGAGCCTGGGGCTTTGTGGGCTGTCCTGGCTCTGGGGTGGTCCTGCAGCCCGGCTTTACAGGGTCCAGTCTGGCACTGGGTTCTACTTGGGTGGGCATATTGCCTGGATCTACTGGGGAAAGCCTGAAGCCTGGGTCTGAGGTTGTCAACTTGGCATGAGGGAAGGTCTGGGGTCTGGGTTTGCAGGGGCTATTCTGGAGCCTGTGTTCTTGGGGGCTGGCTGGTGGGCACAGGCCTGGTTCTGGGGTCTTCAGTGAAGTCAGGTGCTCACTTAGCTCATCGTCTCCCATGCTGGTGCAGTGCTCAGGCTTGAGGGACTGGTGACATGGTTTTGTCAAAGTGTCCTTCCTAGACTCTTCAATGTATCTTGTGTTATTTCTGTGCTATACCCAGATGCTCTAATCTGTCAAATAGGTTCCTTAGCATTTGTGAAAATCTTTTCATAAATAGATTGTTGTTCAAATTGATGATTTTACACAGGAATGAGTGCTGGAAATTTTTATTTTGCCATCAGGCTGATGTCACTCTTTATAAATCACATTTCTAAACCTAATTTCTCTATATATATATATATATATGTATATATATATGTGTATATATATATTTGTGTATATATATATAATATATAAAGGATACCGTTCCTAAGATACCATTATTTAATACTAATATCTCTTAAAATTCTGCAAGAATTGAGCTCCAGATCACTTTTTTTCCACTCACAGTATTTTTTTTTTTTTTTAGATGGAGTCTTGCTCTGTTGCCTAGTCTAGGATGCAGTGGCATGATCTTGGCTCGCTGAAACCTTTGCCTCCTAGGTTCAAGCAATTCTCCTGCCTCAGCCTCCCAGGTAGCTGGGATTACAGGCACCCGCCATGCCTGGCTAATTCTTGTATTTTTAGTAGAGATGGGGTTTCACCATGTTGGCCAGGCTGGTCTCAAACTCCTGACCTCGTGATCCACCCGCCTCGGCCTCCCAAAGTGCTGGGATTACAGGAGTGAGCCACTGCGCCCGGCCTGGACTAGTGTGGGAAAGGTTTTTAAGAGTATAGCCCTAGGCAGTGTTACTGAAAAGGGCTATGGATTAATGAGAAAAGAGAAGATACAGAAAGATGCCAGAGTAACAATTCTTGAGAAATGGAGGATAGAGAGAATTTCAAAAATGAAATATTTTTAGTTACTTAATAAGTAACAAGTTTGCCAACAGCCCATTGCAGAGGCTAAGGCAACCACTGAAGCATGTTTTATTTAATTTAAAATATAGTGCACAGACTGACCTATCTATAATATTTGGATCTTTATGTGTGAGCATTATTGTTTGTAATCATGTTTTTATCTTCCAAATCTCTCTTGAGCTGTTTTTAATATATTTTGAGCATCCCAAGTCTGAAAATCCAAAGTTTCCAATGATCTAAAATTCAAAACTTTTTGAGCACTGACATGACACGTAAACAAAATGCTCATTAGAACATTTTGGATTTTGGATTTTTGGATTTGGGGTACACAAGCAGTAGGTATTATGCAAATATTTAAAAATCTGAAAAATATGAAATCTTAAATCCTTCTGGAGTTTAATCCTTAATGCTTAAATCCTAAGCATTTTGGATAAGGGATACTCAACTTGCATTTATTGAAGATGCGAGTCTAATGAATAGATAAGAGAACGACTGGTTTTTAACCCCTTGGTCAACACTAATTTTTTTTAGAATAGAGTTTTGATTCATAAATTTAAATTCTTTTACATTGGCTATTATATGTTATTTTTAAATAATGCAAATCGTATTTTAGATTTGACTTAATGATTACATAGCAATCTTTAGTGAATCCTCTTTTTCCTCTACTCTTAAATAATTCTCCTATTTTCTAGTCAAATGCATTTTTTTGTATAATTTTGGGTATATCCACCTCCTTATTAAAATTTCTATTGAATCAGGACTAAATGTGTATTAATTTTCTTCACGGGTTTATTTATTGTGTTTATAACAAAATTTCCACCCACAGTGATCTTTTCACAATTGTAGCTTTTTTATTTTTTACTATTTCACCTAAATTATCTTTGTATGAAGACTACTATATTAAATATACAATTTTTCTATTGTCAGTTATAAATTATTATTAATTTGGCCTTCTGTTTATTGTCTTTATGTTTGGTTTGCTGGTTCCCTTTTTAGCTAGCAAATAAGATTTCTCTAAGAATTTCAGAAATAATTCAATTTGTAATGTCAAAGTTTTATAAAGGTTACTTTCATAGAATATCTTCTTTAGGAGGATATTTAGGAGAAATATGTCAGAGTTTGCACTACCAAGAATGATTATGCTTATTTGTGCAACTGGCTTCTCTTGTACCTTACTGGTATATTAATTTATGCATGTGACCATGTTTTCTTTTACATTGGCTGCTAAGAATTGTGGGACAATATTTATGACCCATGTGGTTAATATACTTGACTTTTAAAGCTGTAGATTTGTAATATTTTTTGAAAAGTTGATAAAAATTTGGAGATGACTCTTATGGTTATCAACTTTTCAAATAACTTCTCGAATTACTGATCAGAGAAAGCTCTATTTTGACTTTGATGAACTCAGTTAAAAAACACTGAAAAGAACTTTTTAATATTTGTCTAGTGCATAAATGCAAAAGTCAAAAGCCACATACATTTGTTTTGGTTCATATATAAAACATCAGAATATTTAAAAATTATCTGCTTCCTAAGCTTTTATTATAAAAGAGTTATAAATCTTGAAGACCTATACTATAATAGATTCCAGAAAGATGAGCTAAATAATTTATTTTTTATTACTGGTTTTCAAATAACCCAGGGTTAAACTAAGAGAAAATTGATTAAAGAAATCTTGCATAATTAAGCAAGCCTTTTTAGTTATCTTTCTTTGTCATTCATTTATTGTATATGCATTTGTACTTTTGAAATTATGGTCAAACCATGTTTGTCTTGTTTGCACCATCTCATCAGTGCCTAGCATAGTGCTTGGCTGTGGTTTGTGTTCAATCAATAATTAATTAAGAACAAATCATAATACACACTTCTCAGACAGAAAACTATTTTAAATCTCTTTAGATTACCAATATATTAGACCTTGGTTTGAAGGAAGAGGGGTGGTTGGCCAGATTGTTGCTGTTCTTGTTGTTATTTGACCAGTTAACTCCCGTCTCAATTCTGCCTTGGACCTTTTATTTACCCAGCTAAGATTAGAAATCATTAGAGGATCACAAAGCCAATACTCGGGACTCATACTTTCAATATATTATTTTTGGGCTTTCTACTAGTAATAACACATAGCCTGCTTTATCATAAATTTTTTTCTGTTTGAATAAGTAGTTACATTTTGGTAATCATCTTTTTAGCGTTCTTAAAAACAATTTTTACTTCTGTGTTCTAAAAGCACTTTAAACCCTACAATTCTAAATAATTAGGGATCCACTTCAACATTGCTTTAGATGTGATGAAGTTTGGACAATCAATCAATCCTTCTTGTATCTACCAGTGACCCTATGTGACTGCTTTTTTTCAAGATTAATTAACCTTTCAATTGATAACAAATGCATTTTTCTTCCTAAGACTTTTAACCTTAACATCTCTGCTGATATATATTCACGATTATGTAAGCAGTCATACTGGAGGACATATTCATGGTACCCCTGAAAACTGGATCTCTATGTTGTAAAATATCTAAAGCTTATTTCTTTTATCAGTATAATCAAATGATTTCATGTAGGTTATAAATTACTATCACAGTGCTTACATTTTTATCTGGGAATTCAAAAGAGTTGCTCAGGCAGAAAGGGAAAACACAGGTTTGTTATAGTCAAAGGGCATGAGGAGTATGATTTTACTACATGATGATTCTATGATTTTTCTACTCTGAATTATCTTATATTCCTATTTTTCTAGTTGTATATTTCTTATGGTTTTTTACTCTTATTATAAAGCCATCATAGTAAATGTAAAAAACAAATACTGTTCTGAAAGAATTCTGTGAATAATTCATTCCAGCTTTCATGCTTTTATTTTTTCTTTGATGCAAATGTTATAAGTAACACAATTTAGTTTTTGTAAAAGCTTCAAGAAATCAGTAAATGTTTTTTAAAAGAATAAATATCACTTCTAAAATTCTGGAATTATTTGATCTTGGGATTCTAAAGCTTTATATAAAAGATCTTTTAAAATACTTCTCAGCTAATTCTGCCAATAGACAATTTTACTTAGTGCTGGACAGTGATCACATACAAACACACACACAGAATTTTATGCCGTAATGGCAAGTTCCCAATTCCCACCATTGCCTCTGGCCCTGTACCTTCTTGATTACCCATTTATGTTAGCTGTTCTGCCTCTTCTACATTTAAGCATAGACCTTTGTTCTAAATTAAAACATAACATAAATATTTAAATTAGTATATACATGAGCAAGGATACTTTCAGTGAATCTTCAAGCAAACTTTAATGTAAAGGTAGCCTAATACTCATGATGAGTTATTTTTTCTAAATTTATTATTAGAAATATAGAAGTATACTGCATACATGTCTTTCTTAGCCATCTCCCTGCCAAAAGGAAAAAAAAAAAAGAAATCAACAAATCCATAAACAAATCATTTTGGAGTCCCAATTTCCTTACTCAATTTTTTTCTACTCTTTAAGAGAAATGATTTACTTTTAAAAATGTTGTGCCAAGGAAATAAACTAAAAAATTTAATCATAACAAACAACAAAAAATCCAAAAGCAGAACCCACAAAAATTCTACAATTACTATACCTGAAAAATTAGGAGGAATGGTAAATAATATTTTTAAATCTGCCAACAAAATAGAAAATTTATAATAGGCACATACAGAGAATATGTAATTTTAAAAAACCAGTCCAGGTGCAGTTACTCGCACCTGTAATCTTAGCACTTTGGGAGGCCAAGGTGGGCGGATTACCTGAGCTCAGGAGTTCGAGACCAGCCTGGGCAACAACAGGAAACCCCATCTCTACTAAAATACAAAAAATTACCCAGACATGGTGGCGTGCGGCAGAAGAATCACTTGAACCTGGGAGGCAGAGGTTGCAGTGAGCTGAGATCGTGCCACTGCACTCCAGCCTGGTTGACAGAGACTTTGTCTCAAAAAAACAAAAACAAAACAAACAAACAAACAAAAACATCCCTCTTTTGCTGAGTAGAGTAATATAGAAATTCATGGGGAAAATGTGTTTTATTGTGAAAATTAAATGTTCAGTGACATAACCAAGCATTATACAACACAACTATGTAGGATTCTAAACTCAACTACAAATTTCTTTCTTCGCATCAAAAAAATATCTCCAGATGGCAGTAGTACAGAAGATTTCCATATGGGTATTGTGCATTATTTAAATCTGATTTTTATTCTGCTTACTGGAGCTGCAGATGGTGGTATAATTAAATTTTGACAGGGACCTCCAGCTACCTGTTAGCCTCAATCCAAACCTGAAAACCCCGTACCACACAGTGGACTCTAATTTCTATAATTTCAATTTCATTGGTTTCTAGGTGCACAAACTCTTTGAATGCCCTCTTTTAAATATACCTATGCTGTTTGAATAAATGTAGCCAAGACAAATTAAGACAATTTCATATTATGAAGATTATAATACTAGACTCAGACAAAAGACAAAATTGTAAGGACTTTGATGGCAGGGTCATGTTTCACAGCTATTGGTAATCCCCTACACACATAATTTTTGATCAATTAATTTATTTGAGGAAATGTTGTAGAGTGATTCTCAAAAAAGAAATGGAATGAATCATGCTTTTCTTTTTACATATTTTTGTGATTTCATGAAGAATCACATTCATGACATGGTATGTATTTGTTAAAGATGACTTCTTTTTCCATAAGTCATTAATTATGTCACAACCACGCTAGTTGCCCAGGTGAAAAAATGGGATATAATTTTGGTCTCTTTCTTTCAACTTCAAACATGTCAAATCTCCATCACAAAGTTGTTCCCAAATCTAACCCATGTACTCCAGCCTGACTGTCATTATATGTGCCTGGGAACTATTTCTTCCTGGAATTGTTGAGCCATACTTTTTATTTTTTTCCCCCATCTATGCTCTACATTGCCATGAAAGTGATAATGTAAAAACACATGTGATTATGTAACTATCTGCTGAAAAACCTTTGAGGGTTATCTACTTGTTACATACAGTATGTAGTCTAAGGCTCTTAGAATGGTATATAAAGCCCTGGGCTATTTTGGCATTACTTACTTCTCAGCCTTATTGCCTGCCAGATGTCTTCTTATGTCCAAATTATTCTGTCTGCCTGAAATGCCCTCCTTTTATTTCTTTATCTGACATGCTTCTCTCTATCCTTCAAAACTCAACTCCAGGTCACCTCTTTAGAAATCTTTTCTTGACAGTCTTATTCTGAATTTTGTGTGTCTCTCCTTTATTCCAATTATATTCCTCCTATATTCTCTCCTATATTCCAATTATATTTTTTGCTATCTTTCCAGGAAGAACCGACTTAAAATCCTCTATTAAACTCTCGAGTACTATTAAAGGAAGATGTATTTGTACTATTAACCTGCATAATGCCTGCATTGTAGGAGGTGATTAAGAGTAAGTCAATTAATTTCTTTTCTATTTAAGGTATGTGTGATGGTTAATTTGGGTTTCAACATGACTGTGTTAAAATATATAAATATAGCTGGTAAAGCATTATTTCTGGGTTGTATCTGTGAGGGAGTTTCTGAAATATATTAGGATTTGAATTAGTGCACTGAGTAAGAAAGATCCACCTTCAGTGTGGGCAGGGACCACCCAATTAGCTGAAGACTGGGTAGAACAAAATGGCAGAGGAAAGGTAAGTTACATTCTCTTTTCTGGGACAGGGACACACTACTTCTCCTGCCCTTGGACATCAGAAATCTAGGTTTTTCAGTCTTTGGGCTCTGGGACTTGCACCAAGATCTCCCCCATCTCCAAATTTTCACTTCCACCCAGGTTCTCAGGCCTTTGGCCTTGGACTGAGAGTTATACCATTGGGTCTCCCCCAGTGAAGGTTCTTAAGCCTTCTGACTTGGACTGAGTCACACTACTGGCTTCTCTGGATCTCTAGCTTGCCAAAGACCCATTGTGAGACTTCTTAGCAGCCATAATCACGAGTGAATTCCTCTAATAAATCCTCGAATAAATCCCCTCTCATGTCCCTTTCTCTCTCTCTCTCTCTCTCTCTCTCTCTATATATATATATATATATATATTTGTGTATATATAAGATATATATTTCCTATTGGTTTTGTCTCTGGATAATCTTAATACAGTGCCTTAGTGGCACAGACATAATTAGGAAAGGGAGACAATTACATAATCTCATATAAACCAATGTGATTTTGTAACATTTTGAATAAAAAAGTAAATCTTAGTACAAAGCATAACATAATACAACTGTGAATCTCAATTTCCTGAGTGCAAATCCGCCCTGAATTTCCAGTAGCTCTTCTGTAAAGGTAATTTTTTAAAAGTATTTATTGTATAGGTTTATCTAAAGGATTAAATCCATAATGTACATGAAGATGACTACCTAGCTTATGGCACATAGTAAAGCTATATTGTCTATGTTCAAAAACCTGGACATGTGAGTGTGATTCTCCATGTTTGAATTTCAGCTGAGCTTGATTAATCTCGAATTTTGTAACCTTTGAGAGGTTACTTAATCTCAGTATTCAAATTACAAAATAATAAGTTTATTATGAATATTAAATAAAGTTTTCTATTTGAAGTGCCCAGCACATTGCAAGCATTCAATAAACATTAACTAGTGTTAATATTATTAGAGTAGATACTTAATAAATGATTATTTCCTGAGTTTTTCTTCCCACTCATACCTCAATATAACTATGAAAAGTATTTAGTTAGGTGTTCTGACAGCAGCCACTATGGGAGATCATTAAGAATTTTAGTGTTAGGAATTTTAGCATAGAAAAACAATCAGAAGAACATTTTCAGATATTAAAGAGTGATAAAAATTGTTCATGTTTCTTGGAAGTTTTTTTCTTCTCATTGGTTATTACATTCCGAAAAGTATATTTTTGATAACTAATGTTTTCAAAGATTGGACAGGAGCATTCAATTGAAATTGAGGACACCATGGGATTTATTTATGAGCACTAGTGTCCTACAGGTATTGATAGTGATGTCTCATTGCTTCAAACCTCCTGTCACTGTGATCTTAATCCTTCACAAATCTCCTCTATTAATAATAAGGAAAATTGTATTTTTCATCTCAAGATGCAGTAATTGCCAAAGTCATCTGTTCCCTTACTATTTTCTAATTGTGTGACTATCTTAGCCAAGTTTTAATATACATGACTTTTTATTTGAAGCATTAAAAAAAATGGGTTTTTATTTTGAGATACCTACAGTGACACACCACATTAAACATTAAAGAGTGGAAACTGAAAATGCCTGCAGTAAACTGTTGCTGTCATAGCACCGCTGTATTTGTTTTAACTTATTTTCTGTGTTAACCTAAGATTGAATAACCAGTTGAGACTTTCTACTTACTCTAAAATAGTTACAATTTCAAAACAATTTTAATGAGGTTTTTTTTTAAAAATATATCCTTTAAGATTATCTGCTTTTATTTCTGGAAGATGCAAGCATATAATCAGTGGTGCCTTATTTGAGTAGTAGATGAAACTTGATAAGTTTATTTCAATTAGGAGTAAATTAACAAAATAGTAATAACTCTATTTATAAAGAAGTAAATATTTTATTTGAAATAGTGGCAAAAAATTTCAAAATTCTAAAATCAAAAGTTTTATCTTACCACTAACAAACTTCTGAGTACATCCTTCTCTGGCTTTTGCACTATCCTCCTTCCATTTTTAAATGGCCCAAACCCTCACATTACTCCTAATTAATTCCAATACATAATGAATTTTAACAAGTTTTACAGAAATAATATTTTAAAACCTATAAGTGGTGTAGACTCTAACTAGATACAGAAAAGCATTAAATATTTTATTAGTAATGCTTATATTTGCTCATGGGATTTAGTTCTTCCTAGTGCTCTTAGTTCTTTGTTTTGTGGTATAAACACAACCTCTTTTTCTGTTTTTATATTGCATTCTGATATGGTTTGGCTGTGTCACCACACAAATCTCATCTTGAATTGTACTCCCATAATTGCCACGTGTTGTGGGAGGGGCCCAGTGGGAGATAATTTGAATCATGGGGGCGGTTTCCCCTATACTGTTCTCATGGTAGTGAATAAGTCTCATGAGATCTGATGGTTTTATCAGGGGTTTCTGCTTTTGCATCTTCCTTATTTTCTCTTGCCGCTGCCATGTTAGAAATACCTTTCACCTCCTGCCATGATTCTGAGGCCTCCCCAGACATGTGGAACTGTAAGTCCAATTAAACCTCTTTTTCTTCCCAGTCTCAACTATGTCTTTATCAGCAGAATGAAAATGCACTAATACACATTCCAACTTTAAACTAATGGTATGGTTTTAGCTTTATTTATCTACCCCTAGCTCTCCTATGATCTAGTTCCAACAGAGGATGGAGACATAAAGATACATGCCCTAGGGATTTTGACTTCCAGACTCTTCTGATTCTCAAAAACTGAAGAAAGGTGGCCTCCCTATTAAAAGATAGGACTCTCCAGGGCCTAAGCCAACATCATTATCTAGGAGACACCCGAGAGCCTTCTCCCATCAAGTCCATAGGAAACCCCATCAACCTCACCTTGTCTCTTGGCTGCCAGAAGTATAACTAAGATTAAGTGCCAGCAAAAACTCAACCAGGAATATCCACGCCTGATAAAGTAGGAAAATACTGCACCCTGGAAGAGCTACAAGAATTATCTCACATTAATGGAAGTCAAAGGAGTACCTGTGGTACTAAATGTTGAAGATGTTTGATCAAGAGAGCTGGAATACAGGATTAGATAAGAAGGAGAATACTTACTTGAGCTCACACACTTGAGACACAGAATTTAATATCCGATAAGTATCCTAGGGCACTATGCAAATTCTTCATGAGAGTGGCTTCTAGAAACCTGGAGAAAGTGTGACCTATGCTGAATAAGGTTGAAATGCCAGTAATGCAACCACGAATGGCAAAGGAAGGAATTAAAGGGCTCAGGGAGGTGGGCATGCTGGAATGGATACATTTTTTGAGGCTAGAAGACTCACCCAAAGATGATGTTGCATAGGATGATAAGAAGTAACACTGTTCACCAAGACTATTAGACATGTGTTGATGAGAGGTACACTAAAGAGTTCTAAGGTTGCTCTCCTCTGCAAGCCAGGACTGATGGTAGAAGAGACTGTCAATGAACTTGGATTATTGATAGAAATGTGAATTATGACCCCAAAGCCATAGGGGTCAGGTTGTAACACACAATTACCAGAAAGGCTTTTAGTGCTCTTCAAGTTAAAGTGGCAGCCAAAGGGAAATGACCTGAAGAGCTTCAACAGTACCACTATCTTGGGGCTTACAGAGACCTCATCCAAAGGCATATAGGATTCCATAAAATAGCATCAACATAGGGACCTGTTTCAAACCAGTGGAAGCATGGGAGCAGGCGTACAACCATAGAATTCACTGGTTTTGTCATATATTTTACCATCCAGAAGAAACTGTCCTAAGAGAGAATTGGAATGGCCTGCTGCAGGTGCAGCTGAAGTGCCTTCTTAAAGGCCATATCCTCCAAGATAACATATACACATGGAATCAGAGAACTCTGTATGATCCTGTGTACCTGGTAGGAAGAATGCATGGGTCTGGGACCAAGGAATAGAAGAACAAGTGCTTGACTTACCAATTATTCTCCATGACAACTGAGGGACTTATGCTTCCTATCCTTACAACTCCGAGATCTGCAGGATTAGCCTCAAGTCCCAAAATGGAGCCTTTCAAGTGACATACAAGAGATCTATTGAGTTATAGGCTATGACTGCCATCTAAGTACTTTTGCCTTCTTATGTTCAGGATTCTACAGGCAAGAGGGAGGGTCAAAATCTAATACAGAATAATTTAACCTGATTAGCAGGAGGAGGTGGGACTGTCATTAAACAACTGGGAGAAGAAAGGCTTTATGTGAAACTCAGATCATCCCCTTGGGAACTAACCCGCTCCTATAATAATGGCATTATTCCATTCCCTTCCTGTCTTAGTTCATTTTCTGTTCCCAAAACATAATACCTCAGACTGAGTAATTTTTAAAGAAAATACCTTTCTTTCTCATAGTTCTGGATGCTGAGAAGTCTAAGAGAATGGCACTGGCAGCTGGTGAGAGTCTTCCTGCAATGTCATACCATGCAAATACGCAGAAGGGCAAAAAAGCACTTGTGAGAGAGAGCTCACTTTTATAAGTAAATCACTCCTCCAGTAACTAACCCACTCCCATTATAATGGCATTAATCTATTCATAAGTGTGGAGTTCCCATGACTACACACTTGTTAAAGGCACCACTTCTTAATCCTTTTATATTGGCAATTACATTTCTAACACATGCACTCTTGTGGGACACATGTAAACCACAGTGTTCCAACCCAACTTCCAAAATTTGTGTCCTTCTCACATGCAAAATGTAGTAATTCCATCCCAATAGTCTCAAAAGTCTTAAATTACTCCAGTATCAACTTAAAAGTCCCAGTTTCATCTAAATTAGAGGTGGGATTCAAGGCATGATTCACCCTGAGGCAAATTCCTTCAGCTGTGAGCCTGTGAAATTAAAACAAGTTATCTACTTCCAAATACAATGGTGGAACAAGCATAGGATAGACATTCCATTCCAAAAGGGAGAAATAGGCAAGAAAAGAAGGGTAACTGGCTCTAAGTTTTAAAGCTGTAGAATGATCTCCTTTGACTCCGTATCTTGCATCCTAGACACACTGGGGTGAGAGTTGAGTCGCCAAGGCTTCAGGCAGCCCCATCCTTAGGCTTTGCTGGGCTCGGCCCACACAGCAGCTCCGATGGGCTGGATGTTTTAGGGGTTCAATCAGGATGGTGGGAGAAATTGTAAAATAAACACAAATCTTCTTGGAAGGCCAGAAGGTTTCTGCTAAAGCCTCAGGAGAGAGTTATGGCTGAAGGCAGCCTAATCCTCTTTGAGCTATAGCAAGGGTAATTTAACATAGGAATGTAGAGGAGTCTATCTAAATAGCTTGTTTACTCATGTGGTCCTAAGACTAACCTTTGACTATCCGTGGGTCCATGATTACTCTCTAAGCGGGGAGTCAGCAATGGTAATTACCTTCTAGTGATGTTTACTTGAGACCTTTGTTATTTGATGTGTGCTGAATAAATGCCAGCAGGGCCAGCAAGTTGAAGTCATGGCTGCTGACTATAGCACCTTCCTTGGTGTCTGTGAGTGGCTCAGACCCCTAGCTGCTCTTTCACTAAATATTGGTGTCTGGGTACATTATTCATCTATTGGGCAAGCTGGAGTCTGCAGGACAGACCCCCACAGGATGTCTCATGCATGCAGCCTTCCAAGGCTGCAGTTGCACGGCGATAGTTCTACAATTCTGGGGACTTTGGGGTGGCTCTACTTTCATGGCCCCTCTAGGCATTGCTCTATTGGGCACTCTCTGTGGCAGCTCCAGTTCTACATTTCTGCTCAACATTACCCTAGTAGGGGCTCTCTGTGGTGGCTCCATTTCTGTGGCTGTTTTCTGCCTAGGCTTTCATTCAGTCTGCAAATTATTTGAAATCTGTATTGAGAAAGCCATACCCCCTCATTTCTTGCATTCTGTGTGCCTTCAGAATTAGTACCATGTGAATGCTGCCAAAATCTATGGCTTGTATCTCCTAGAGTGGAAGACTGAGTCACAGCTGAGGGTGCTTAAGCCATAGCTGGGGCAGTCACAGGATGCTGCACCAGAGTTCTGAGGCAACTCTTGGCAGTGAGCCCATAGAGGGTACCCTAGACTCATCTCCCAAAACCATTCTGCTTTTTTAGAGCTCTTGGCCTGTGATGGAAGGGGCAGCCCTGAAGATCTTGGAAATGCCTTCAGGAACTTTCAACAGGACACACTGTGTTGATGAATAGCATCTAGCTCCCTTAATTCTACAGTAATCTTTTTAGCAAATAATTTCTCAGACACACCCTTAGTATTCTGTTCCTTATTATTCTCTCCCAAGTGTGGTTTTCTACTCTTTATGATAATCAGGCTGTGAATTTTCTAATTTTTCCCCCATTTCTCTTTTAATCGCATAGTATGACTTTAAGTCATTCCTTTGCTCTTTCATCTCACTGTATGTCCTTACAAGTAACCACAGAGCAACCTGAACACATTGCTACTTAAAAACATTTCTTCTACCAGATATTTTACTGTGTCATTCTTTAATTCTGCCTTCTATAAAGCCCTCAGGCATGGAAACAATTCATCAAAGCTCTTCACTGCTGTATAATAAGAATGTTACTTACCACAGTTTTCAAAACTTGTTACTCATTTCTGTCTTAGATCCCAACAGAATGGTCAGTACTGCCCATATTTCTATGTTGATAGAAATCAGTCATTCTCATCACAACCACTTAAGTAATGTCTAAGAAGATTCAGACCCTATGGCTCTCTTCTTCTGAGCATTCACCAGAATCTCTCTAAATGTTCTGTTCACTGCAATACAGGCTATTTCTGGCGTATTCCTCCAAAGTATTTTAGCCTCTACCCATTACCCAATTCTAAAACTGTTTTCACATTTTCAGGTATTTGTTATAACAACAGTTCTACTTCTGAAGACCAATTTCCTGATTAAGCCTATTTTCTTCTGCTGAACAGAATACCACAGACTGGATAATTTATGTAGAAAATGTATTTCTCATGGTTCTAGAGGCTGGTAAATCTAGAATATGGTGCTGACATCTGGTGAGCGCCTTCCTACTGTGTCATCACATGGTTGATAGGAACACAAGGGAGTGTGCGTGTGGAAAAAAAAAACTCACTTTAAAAAGAAAGCCACTCTGATGATAATTAACCCACTCCTGTGATAACAGCATGAATCCATTCATGAGGGTGGTTCCCCATGACCTAATCACTTCATAAATGCCCTGTTAACACTATTACATTGGCAATTAAATTTCTAACACATTAACTTTTGGGGCACATATTCAAACTGTGTGAATATCAAGGGGTAGGTTCATCAGTTCTGACTCAATCAGAGAATGATTTCCAGGAGCTCAGTTCCCTTAGAAATGAAATTTTAAATGACACTACCAGGTAAGCCACTGAGACCAGTGGAGGTGATAGCTAAGAACATAAGGAATTAAGAATTTTTAATGGAGAAAGGAGGTAATGAATACCAGTTACATCCTAAGACTCACTGTAGTGGTGAGTGTTGTAATTTATCTCGCTATCCATCCTCTTTTAAGTTTTTCCTTAGAAAGTCCTCTATTGGTACCTTGGAGGGACTGCTGTCAAAATATATGGAAAAGTGGGTCTGTGTGGTACAAGAGGTGGACTTTGCCACACATGGAGGTTTGCTGCCAAGATCTTCACTAATGAAAGAAATCACCAGTGAGCTGCACAGATTAGCCAAATACTGAGCTCATTAGAACTACTAAGGCCTGGACATTTCTGCCTAATCCAGGACTCCTGTAATTATCAGTCTTTGCTTTGGAGCTTCCCATTGTGTAGCTGAGAATTTGTCATATCTGCATTATAATCTAAGGCTCCACATACTTAATCCTGCTTCTCCCCCTTTTTCTTTCCCTTTCCCAGCGGTCAGCTCTGCTGCATAGTCTGAAGACTTTCCCTGCCCAATCCTGATAAAATTCTTGCACTCGTAACCCCATCTCAGTGTCTGCTTTCCAGAACACCCGATAAACACAGTAGTTAACTTAATCACGGTCTAAATGAATCTTAATTTCATAAATTCCCAGGACCCATAGGAAACTAGTCTCATATATAATCCTCACTTAGCATCTGGAAGTAATGTAGGTTTCTCTATCCACCTTCACAGAATCTCATCAAAGCAGATTTAACACTTTCTTAATTCTGGTAAACCTTATATCTCTGTAGTCTTGAACTGACAAGACTAAAATTCTCTTCTTTAGTCAGTGTGCTATAAAAACAAGTAGCTTTTATTCCTGAAAGAACATGTAATTTATTCCAACATATTATTCAGTAAGATTTTGAATTGTAATTCTTAACCACCATTCATAACTAGTATTAATAACTACAGAACAATGTAGATGAAAAGCAGGAGTAGGCGTTTTGAAGATATGGGAATAAAATTTATATGAGAAGTGCCTTAAAAACTAGCGGAATGCAATTGCCTTATTCTGGGTAGTAAAGGTGGGTGATTTTTCTATCCAATCCTTCTTTTGTATTGCTTCATTTTATTAATTTAGAAAAGATTCACCAATCTGTTGAACTCAAGAAAAAAAATACTTCCTTAAACTTCTTGGTCAGTTAATGTGTGATCCCAAGAGTCAAAGTTAGCCACTATGACTCCCCACTATATACGCACCCTTAAAACTGTAAAATAAAATATATCCCTCTTTTTGAGATAAATTAAAAGTAAACAGTGGAGGGGTAGAGAGTAACAACAGTGGGAAATATGCTGTAGTTTAGTATTTAAAACCAGTTGTGTGGATAAAAGCTCATATGAAAAAATTTCTGGGTCATTATAATTAATAGGGTATAGACTGAGAAAAAGTTCCTCTTCAAAAAAATGTTAAGAGTATATATTTGCATGGTGATTTTCCTAAAATAAAATATTGGCTCTTTGTCAGATTATTATCACTATTATTTATAAATAGCAGTACAATATATATTCAAAATACAGCTTACGTGTAGGGGAGGTATTACATTACTCACACTTGAATGCAGTGTAGGCACTGAGCAGTATAAGCTGTTTCCTGGATCATAGTGGAATTGAATTAACTACTATATTAAGCACTGTTTGTTTTGCCCACAAACAGATTTGAATTGAGGGGTTTGGAGGAGAACACCATAATTATAGACAAAAGAAAAAGACAAAATAAATTAAAAAAATCAAATTCACTGACTGAAAGGAAAAAAGAGACCACAGATATGTATGTTAAAGAATATATAGACACCAATCTTATTCAACATGACATTGGAATATCAGCAAGAGCACTATGTTGAGTCTGTTCTAGACATATGAATTAAAAAGGAAAATTAAGAATAACTGACTGCAGGAAATGCAAAGTTAGACCCCTTTGCCCTGACATAGCTGCCTTCAACTTAATTATATCTTTAGTATGTATTTTCTTGTTTAGCCTCAGTGCTTATTTTCTTTTACTTCTCTCTTCCCCACATTTCAAACACATTTCCTGTTGCTTCATTAGGTACTATATATCTTTAGTTTTTCACATACTTTTAGGCAAGCTCTTTCTCTGTCAGTGGGTCCTTGTCAATACATACTTACTTGTGAAGTTTAGTTGTTTTATTGGTTATTGGTTATTATTATGTAGGAAATTATCACAAATTATATAAGAACTAGACAAAATTCTGATAACTTACTGTCCTTATTTAATACAAAATGGAAGTGATCTAACAGTTCATTACCATTATTCCAAAAAAATTTATATTACATAAACTAGATGTTTTTTCAAGGGCAGATTCAATTTTCTTATATTTATAAATTCTGCTTACAGTCGATAATAATCAAAGGTAACTAACACAGATGCAACAACAATAACTTCCCTCAAATTCCTTCCATACTGTGATTCATCACAGCCTTCTTCTCAGGACTACTGTACAAATCCTATGATTTCATGAATAAATATAGTAAAGAACTCTATCAAAACAACATTAATGATCAACCAGATCTACTCCCCAACTACTATTTTGTCTGATGGTAAAAATAGTACATATTCCTTGGGAAAAATTCTACCAGAAAACAAAAATGGTAATAAGTAAGATTAAAAACAAACAACCAAACAATCAAAACTCTGTAATTATAGTATCTAGGGAAAACCACTGTCAGCCCTGAGGTGGCCTCCTCTGACACTGTGGGGTGGGGGACTCATTACTGCAGGGTGATGGCAGAAGCCCTGTCTCTGCACTAGACCTTCTCTGGCAATAGCCCAGTAGGGAGAAGCACAGGTGCTTCATTACTGTCTGGTGGGGTGGAAGTCCAGGCTTCCTATATGGTCTTCATGACTTCACTGGGAAGGGGAATGAGGCTTGTTATAACCTAGCAGGGATTAAAGTTCTGGCTTTCTGAACTTGGACTTCTTTATCCCTACTTTGGCAGGGCCCTAGGGTGCCTTTTATAGTCCAGCAAGTGTGGAATTCTTAATTCCCCACTCAACCTTGGATAGCATAGTTAGGAGTGGAGAAGAGTTTTTCTGTCGTGTTTGGCTAAAGTGGCTATTTTCTAAAAGTTTTTCTTTTCTAGTCTTTTGTCTAGAGAGAACAGGCTTTTGTTGGGGACTTTTTGGTTCTGAAATTGTCCCTTGGTGTTGCTAGTTTCCTGGTATCTTCAGCAACAAGTCTGAGATAAATTAGGCAAAATGAAAACCCAGAGAAAGCACCACATTTATTTCTACATTAGCCAACGGGGATAACTGCATAAGTGTAACTCAACTCAGGTCTGGCTGCTCAGTGCTTGCAGAGCCCAATAACAAGAGCAAGGTATGGTGGAAAGAAAGTGACTTTATTCACCAAAACTAGCAATAGAAATGGCAGGATTCACATCCAAAGTAACCACTTTGAATTTCTGGGGAGAAGGCAAAGGTTTAAAAAGGGAAACTTGATAGAGGAGGCATGTAGGAGTTGTGCTGAGTGGAAGGTCTGTGTATCTTGTTTGGTGGCTATCTTGAGTCACAGACCATCTGGATCGCAGGTTGGCATCATCTCAACAATGGCAAGGTGGCTGCCGAGCTGCCTTGAGGTAATCTCTGGAATTTTGCAGCTGGGTCTCCAGGTTTGGCCTGTCTGTCTCAAGATTAGCCCTTGGAACTTCTAGCTAAGCACATAATTAGATACTAGCATATAATTTGATAAATATGAGAGTATCCTACGGGAAAGGGTAGGTGGGGAGTCTATTTCAAGATTATGGGAAAAGGCTTCTGCAGTTTGCTTCAAGGTTACGTCTCAAAACTAGGGAGAAAATAGAAAGGGGAAAAAGTTAAAATGCATTTTGAAGTTAAGCTGCTCGGTTACTTAAGGAAGAACTTAAAAGGCACATTGAAGAAAATATTGTTGGTTAGTTATATTTAGATTTGTGATCTAAAATATATTTTCTTTTTGTTAGGGATCATTTAATGCTAAATTTAAATATTAAAGTGTATTAAAGATAAGACTCATGCTAATTAGCTCTTGTTGGCTACGGCCCTCTTATCTCTGAAACTTTATCCTGTTGTATTTCGAGAAAATTTTCCATTTATAATTGATCTTATGAGTGATTTGAGGCAGATGTATCCATTTAGTCTAGAAACATCATGTACTAAATATGTTAAAAACTAAGTAGATGATCAATATAATCCATAAGTAAATATACTTACAAATGTTTTCTTTACCAGTAACTCATTATATGTGGTACCAGAAAATGGTGTTAAATGAGTTTACCAAATAATTTCACATATAATGTAATATTTCAGTCATGTAAAATCAGCTGAATTCAGTAGATCTGGGATTATTTCTTTCATTTTACAAATGAGTGGTGGGAGGTGGGGAGTGAGAATGGAAGAGAGAGAGATTAGGTAGTTTGTCCCAAATCATACAACTGTAAAATGAAGAATCTGAATCATCTTTTGGGGTGAATCTTCTATTTTTCAGGACATCAGCTATGAAAAATGAGGAATAATACAGCTTTCAAAGTGTGTTTCACTTTGACTTAGGCTATTCCTACAATTATGGTTAGTGACAACTTGTGAATTATGCTGCCAGATGATCAAATTTTCTCAAATATGGATACCACAAAGATATTTGTTAAAATACAGACCCCATATTTAGTCTATTAGGTATAATTAGGAAATTACCACTTTTATAGGTCAATACAACAAAATATTGGCAATTTCATATTTCAGACTATTATACAACTAATTTTTAGCTTATATAAAATATGATTCCAAGTGATTTTGTTAAACAAAACACTTTTAAGAAAATACTGAATCATTTTACATCTTTGGGATGGCTTTTTTTCACTTACTTGAAGAATATAGCTGCATTTTAATTGAATGTACATTTTAAAACGTATTTTTGTAGAAAATTTACAATCATAACTTCAGTCTACTTTTTTCCCTATGCATACTTTTTGAGATTCAATTTAAAAAGTTCTTTAATACTAATTTTACCTGAAGTTTGGAATAAAAGCAAAAGCCCAAACAATATTACAAGAAACAAGTAGCAAGTAAAATTTGTGGCTTTTGTTGCTATCCAATAAAAATCAAATTTATACTGATTACTTGGTGATTAGGTAGTTGATTCTCAAGGTATTAATTTATTTTAATTCCCATTGAATACTTTTTCTTTCTTTCTTTCTTAGCTTAGTAGTTCTTGATTTGTTTTTTTCCTATTATTTTACAGACTATTATTATGCTATTTTTAACCTCTGTTTCCTATGAAAGGGGCTTCAGTTTTATTTTATACATAAACATATTCTAATTATAAAACAAACCAGTCTCTTAAACACTATTTCTGTGTATATACAGACACTACTTTATTATTTCCTCAAAAATATTCATTTTTTATTCATTTTTACATAGACTTTATGAGTGTTGAATTACTGAACATTTCACGTTTAAACTAGGTAAGAAAAAATAATAGAAGTTAAATTATTGAAAGTGTAGAACTAATACAAAATTGTGTTCAATAGGAAAACCATAATAAAATATAAACTGACTAGGTATCTTAAATCAGAAATAGTAATTCACTGTGTAAAATAAGGAAAGAACTTACACAAGTGACAATGTAAAAATCCAAAATATCGTAATTTAAAAGTTAACCTTTATTGGGCATTTAATGCCAGGCACTGTGTTAAGGGTGTTATGGATATTATATCATTGTATCCTAATACTTGAAACTACAGTTTAATTTTTCTCTTTATCCCAGTAAGTAATGTGAGACCTAGGCATGTTCAATAACCTGCCCAATGTCGCACAGTTGGTGAACCAGGAGTCAATTGTTGGTATCCTGACTCTAGCACCAGCACTCTTAACTACTACACCTTCAATCTTACAATGCTTAATTAGTCAAAGGATATTCTAAAATGCTGTGACTTAGGAATAATAAGCTGAATTACCACAATCATTATCTTGAAATACTTTCCCAAACATACAATTCTGTTTACAGTTAATAATAACCAAGGATAACTAACACAGAGGCAACAATAATAATTTCACACCAAATTCCCCCCATACTATGATTCATCACAACCTTCTTCCCAGGACTACTGTAGAGGTCATATGATTTCATAAATAAATACAGTAAAGAGCTCTATCAAAACAGTATTCATGATCAACCAGATCTATTCCCCACCTATTCCTAGAAAAAGTCTGTGTCAATTCAGGGAAACGTCATTCTTCAAGTTCATCAGAACGAAGACCCAGGAATCATCCTATACTTTCTTCATTCTCTCTCAGCTCATAATACAACTGTCAAAAAAAATCAGTCATTTCTATACTCAAAACATATTTATAATATAATCACCTGTCACCACCTCCACTACCACTACCATGGTCCCAGCCATCATCATTATCTCTTAGTGTAAAAATGCCTCCCTGTAGAGGGAAGGTATTTTCCCACTAAGGGCTCAAAAGAACTCTGGTACTGGAATACCGTTTGGTGAGATAATGGGAGGGTAAGGAGTGTATTAGTTCGTTCTCACATCACTATAATGAAATACCTGAAAGTGGGTAATTTATAAAGAAAAGAGGTTCAGGCCAGGTCCGGTGGCTCACATCTGTAATCCCAGCACTTTGGGAGGCTGAGGCAGCTGGATCATTTAAGGTCAGGAGTTCAAACCAGCCTGGCCAACATGGTAAAACCCCATTTCTACTAAAAATACAAAAATTAGCTGGGCATGGTGGCACACACCTGCAGTCCCAGCTACTTAGGAGGCGGAGGCAGGAAACTGGCTTGAACCCAGGACGTGGAGGTTGCCATGAGCCAAGATCACATCACTGCACTCCAGCCTGGGTGACAGAGTAAGACTCTGCCTTAAAAAAAAAAAAAAGAGGTTTAATTGGCTCATGGTTCTGCTAGCTGTACAGGCTCCTGCTTCTTGGGGGACCTCAGGAAACTTACAATTATGGTGGAAGACCCAGGGGAAGCTGGCACGTCTTACATGGTGGGAGCAGGAGGAAGAGGAGGAATGAGGAGGTGTACCCACTTTTAAATAACCAGATCTCAGGACCACTCACTCACTGTATCACAAGAATAGCAAGGGGGAAGTTTGCCCCCAGAATCCAATCACCTCCTCCAACACTGGAGATTACAATTTGACATGAATTGAGATTTGAGCAGGGACACAAATCCAACCTATATCAAGGGGACATTTTTTTTTCTTATCTTAATGAAACTCGATCTATGTGCATTTATATTTTTCTCTTTAAAAGGTCTATTCTTTAATCTATACACAGTGAGACATCCTAGAATTAGTATAGACTCTTTGAAAATGACACGTGGCTAGACCCACCTGGCATAACAATGTCCTCAGTGTCAATTATTGGAGTGTACAAGTTGATAAATAAATACCATAATAGCTGACATTTATTGATTGCTTCTGAGAATTTTCATGTGGTACCTCATTTAATTCTTGCAACAACCCAATGAACTAAATACTATTATTTTTATCCTGCTTTACAGCATAAGTGATATATATATATATATATATATACACACACACACATATAAAATACACACACAGATATATATATAAAATATATATAAATATATATATTATATATTATATAACATATATAACATATAACATATATATATGTGGTAAAAGAGCCATGTAAGAGGTACACACAGTTTTTGAACCAGATAGTCTTGCTCTGTGGTTTATGCATGTGAAATCAACACCAAGGCGCTTTCTATGTTATTGTTTTATAGAAAGTTGTAACAGGGAGAAGGTGATAGATATAGGAAAGGTCTTAGACAATCCTTTTTATAGGTAATGGAGATGTCACATGCAGATTTAAGAAAGTGGATAAAACAATTAAATTTTATTTTGATCATCTTCATCAGGAAATGAATACTAGATTTGATGGTGACAAAAGTTAACCAGAAAATCAATTATAAAGCTGTTCAAATATTATGTATGAAAGAAGAGATGATTAAAGTAATGTCTAGAAGGTAAAATTGGCAGGACTTTACATTTGATTACATAGGTAGAGGTTAAGTTAAAGGAAGGAATCAAGAATGACCCTCAGGATTCTGTATAAGTGGCTAGGTGGAAGTTGGAAACAGCAACTATGAGAGAGACCACAGAAGGATTATGGTTAAAGAAATGAGAGTCACTTCAAATAGACAGGGAGAGTCCAAGAAGCTTTTATGACAAAATCCCTTGCAACAGGATCGAGTGGCAGGTAGTAGTAGAGTACTAGTAGAGTACCAGTAGTAGAGTGAGGATCCACATGGTGTCTCCTAAAATAAAAGATGGCCGAGTAGCTCAGGCATAGTGGTTGGGCCAAAATAAAACACAGTATAAGCCCACTTTCAGCCTAGAAACCTAGCTACCAAAAAAAGCATGAGGTTGTATGTATAAACATTCATCAAATTTGTTAGATCTATTAACCATCACTCCTTCCATTCATTTCTACTCTTACACTAAATAGGACCACTATATAGAAATCTAGTAGCTAAGATAGCTTCCCCTAGAACATTGCTTGGATCACTACTGCCAAAATTGGAATCTATAACTCAGTTATGTGGTTTGTGGCTAAATAACAACCACCTCTCACTCCCGCATATATACACAACTTTTAATTTATATATTATTTATTTTAATAAGTTATTAATTCTAAAGTTTGTGATCACTTTGGTCAGTTCTCCTGGATGAGAATTATTGTTTGCTCCTTAAGATACTTACACATATTTAAAACCAAATTTGTTATGTGTTTATTTGACAAAGTAATTGCCAGAAAACAATTTCATTCCCACCATATCCCAGTTCTGGAAGCATGTGTGTGGGGATGGGAGAGGATATTAGCAGCTGTTACCCATAAAGAACAGAGATAACCATGTATAACATGTTGTTCAGCAAACAGAATGAAGCTTTGGGGTAGGAATGAGAATTTTTAAAATAAGAAATGCACTCTAAACAAATTTTAATTCTGAGGTATCTGTCTACATATTCAGTGGCCTCCAGGCTCTCCTCATTCTAATCCATTTACAGAACTCTAAAATATATATCTGATGATGTCACTGTTGTTAAATTCTTCCAATGGACCCAGATATCCATTAGATCACAAGTCTTACTTTTCCAGAAAGGATCTGCCTTATGCCTACCTCTTCAGTGTCTTTTCTAACCATTCTCTCCTCCCACACTGTAAATTCTATGTCAAATCACCTACTGTTTTTCAAATAAGTCACACTATTTTAAGCCTCTACTCATTCTCACAGGCTACAATAGTGCCTGTTTGTATAACTTCTCAATCTTTAAAACTCAGCTTCAATATTTAGAATAAATGCTGTAACACTTCCTTTGCCCTATCCCTTTCTATCAGTGATTAGTAGGCAGTTAGCAATCTGTGGTGAGCCAACGTGGCTGGGTGTCCACAACACGGTCCTCTCTACTTACCTATATCCTAACATATCACACAATAAAGACTTATGACGTCTTCCTCCCTATCCTCAGATGACTCTTGACTGCAAGGAGTATGCCTCTTTTTTTAAATAAATTCAGTCTAACAAGCGCCTGGATTGTAGAAGATATTCGGTAAATATTTGATGTACAAATGACCAATGATGGGAATCTTGTATAGCATTTTCAAAGTGTTTTAAGAAATATGCTAATACACCTTCTGCAGGAATAAAAAACGATTCTATATTGTAAATTTGGGAAATGCCAGGATAAATACACTTACACAGTAAATTTATAATAAGAATTCTGAGAGCTATATATATGCTAATTCTCACTGTAGCTTTCCAAGAGATGGCTACTATATGTAGTATTTGCCAAATTTGCTTGAGAACCTCTTTTTCTTTTAACATCTATTAACGTTTAAAGTTACTCTGAGGAACACAGTATTGAAAAAGCTGGACTAGTCTCTCCTATTTACTTTACTGAAATACATTTCATTCCTTCATTGAATCAAAAAATAAAAAGGGATGGGGAAGAAGTTTCTGTTATCTTTTAACCATAATTCATCACAATTAAGTTTTAGAATTAAATTAGCATTTCTACTTCTATAACACATTTATTTTTAATTTTGACCACTTGAAATTTCTAAAAGTTTCTATTTATTTATTTTAATATGGTCATAAAGAGATTAAAGGCATAATAGTCACTGCATTAAAATAAGTAGATTTAGTTCAGAGCAAAGATTAGATCTTTTCTGTTATTGTCAAAAAGACATGGTAAAAAGCATGACATCACATGTAAAATTATTATTCATTAAATTATTGTTGTTAATATGTATTCCTTAAAACAATGCTTTCCTGAACAATTACTTTTTATTCAGCCCAAAAGCTTTGTTGAACCACATTCGTTAATACAAAAGTGGTGTATATTTTCTTTGTGAAGTTTTATTTTTTTAAATTTCCTTCAAAGGATGATTACAGAGGTGATTATTCAAGTAGCAGGTTACTTTTCAATATATTCCACATTTTAATCTCCACAATATTACCTTTCCACCTTAAGAAATTTTTTCAGCCCTTTTTTCAGTTCCACAAAATAGATACCCAAATATGTCCACATTAAGATTAATTTATTTCCTAAACTAAACCAACTCATGTAATTGGCATAAATCCTAACCTTTAGTTTTAAGGCAAGTATAAATACGTCTATACCTATGTGATACTAAAATGTACTAGATAAGTATTATGAGCACATAAGAGAAATATATGTCACAATTGGGTGGGGGTGGTAAGGAAGAAGGTAAATTAGGATCAGAAAATAATTACAAAAGGACACAACATAGGTGTTTTTCCCTTGAAAGCTGCACTGGATTCCAGGAGGCAGTGTTTGTAGAAGTGATTTCAACCTGAAGAATTAACAGGTACAAAAAAAATAAAAGTGACAAAGCATGAAACTTGTTTGGGAGTTATTAGTTGTACTGAACAACTGCAATATTATAAAAGTATGCAGCTGAAGTGGGTAATAGGAAAGTTTAGGTTGAGTCATTTTGTGGAATTATTTGAAAATCAGGCAGACGGATCTGTATTTAAGGAGTTGACACGTGGATGTCATTTAAGGTGGTTAAGCAGGAGAAGAATTTAATCAGTGTGGCACTTGAGGAACATTGATCAGCCATAGACGCAGCCAGACACAAGAAGAGCAATTAGGTCAACAGCAACAGGCAGCAGGCTTGTAAGAATTTGATTCAAATTGCAGTGACAGTAATAAGGATGGAGAAGAGAAGGTGGATTTGAGAGTTAGAGGACACTGACCAAAACAAAACAGTTGATGATGAAGTGTTCTGCATTACTACAATACAAAAATGTAAATACAATACAGAGAGCTAAGAGGTGAGAATCAAAATTAACTAATGGAAACTCACTTTGGTGGTTTTACAGTAGGCATTTTAAAGCATAATTTTCAAAATTTTCTTTTGTTTATAAATTTGCTGTAATTTTTCTTATAGGGACCAAAACAACAAATCAGGTTGAATTCCTGCACATTACCCTCCCTAGACATACCATATCACTATTATTATAAATTCAGTGCACATTCTGTTCATATTTTTTAAATTTCCTAAGTACACATATGTACATATAAATATTAAAAAATATATTATTTTAGCATTTCCTGGAGTTTAATTAAAGACTGTATTCTGCAATTTGCTTTCTGAAACTGTATGTCATGAGATTCATCTATACTGATGCATATAAATCTGGCTAATTCATTGTTAACTATTACACAGTATGAATATACCACAATGTATTTATATTTTACTTACTTAAAAATAAAAGTTCCAATTGATAACATGATTTATCTTTTTGCAGTATTTAGATAAACTTTTTTATTTGGGAATAACATTAAATTTGCAGTAAAGTTGCAAAGTTACTGCAGAATTCCTGAATACTCCTCACTCAATTAGGATTCACCTAATTTTATCCTCTTACATCACAGTGTTACATTTTATCAAACTTCAAAAACAACATTAGTACCATAAGCTCAGCTTTTTAGAGCAAAACTGTAGGGAGCTGAAGGCCCATGAGACCTGACCAACTCAGCATTCCAATGGAGGCTATATGATCAAACAGTTTGCTGTTTGTCATGAATGCAGGATGTGAGCAAACTCACAACTGCTCCTGGCAATAGAAGGTTTGCTGGAGGCAATCACTCCCTGGTGCTGAGGTTATCTACTGCGACATCTAGAGCCTGTTGTTTGAGGAATGCAGTCTTGCAAGCCTACTCTGGATTGAGCAGCTGACCCCTTCTTCCACCACCCTTCTCACAATCTCTTTTGCCTAATAAATATGGAGAGCTGTGTAAAGCTCAGGGCCCTTGTCCACTAGAGGCAACGTGCCCCCTGACCCCTTCTTCCAAATATACTCTTTTGTCTCTTGTCTTTTATTTCCGTGTTTGCCCCCTTTGTTTAATCCCCCTAGGTCTGTGCGGGTTACATAGTGGCGCCCGAACAGGGATGGAATCGGGTGCTCAATAAGTGGTGCCTGAACACGGGACTTCAAGGATGTGAACGAAGAAGGTCTACTGAAGCAGAGGAACTGAAATTGGCAAGGCAGACAGGGACCCTGGGACAAGTCTGCCGGCAGTGGATATAAGGTCCCTAAAGATGTGCTGGGAGCAGTGCTTTAAAGAAGTACTGGGAACAGGAAGTTTTCTGAATCAGAGTAACAGGAGAGGGAGGATAAAAATTGGCCTATACCGCCTCCTCTGCTTCGGTAGCAGAAATAGAAACCCAAATACAAAGGATTTTATGCTCTGCTGCCATAGCTGGAGACCCCTTAGGACCTTCTGCTTTTCCTATTTCTGTAAGGCCTGATCCAAATAATCCACAGCAGGTTATTCATGAACACACTCCACTAGAGTTTAAGTTGTTAAAGGCGTACAGAGCTCATTCACCTTAGGATTGCTAGACTCTGTGTTTGGTGCTATGCGTCTTTTACCCTTTGATGTGAAACACTTGGTGCGAACTTGCTTGTCTGCGAGTGAATATCTGACACAAAACAACATATATTTCTGACCCAATAATTCCTCCTCTGGTAGCCATTCTAGATAAATCAAATGCATAGATGATAAAGGTAGCTGGAGAGATAGATAGATGCTCATTGTAGCATTTTTGTTATTGTGAATAATTGAAAACACAATATACTAGTATATCTTTTACAAAGCCATTTCAATTGATATAGGGAATAATGGGGCGTTTGGGGGTTTTGCTTGTTTGTTTTTAGAGAATGTTGACTTGAAAATACATGTTAAAAGAATATGAATCAGGGTTATAATTGTTACAAAGGTATTTTTAAAATAATTACTTTGTCTTTGACTGATACATCCTAGTCTAGGCAATATTTAGATGTTTTTAATTGAATGGAAATTAATTACTAGTTAGAATATTCTTGATTGCATTTAGCAGAGTAAATAGTGTGTGTGTTTGTGTTTGTGCGTGTGTATGTGTTTGTCACAGAGAATACTAGAAGAAACACTAAAAAAAAAAGTTGGAAGATTTAGAAGAAATCTTGGAGTATACCCAACTCCATTATTTCATTGTACAAATGGGTTAGCAAGGAACTAGTGAGGGGAAATGATTTTCCTGAAACAATGCTACTGATAAATGTATCAATAGGACTCAGGGATTCTTAGCCCAAACCTTTTTTTTTTTTCCTTTCAACTTTTATTTTAAGTTCAGGGGTATATGATGTGCAGGATGTGCAGGTTTCTTACATAGGTTAATATGTGCTATGGTGGTTTGCTGTGCAGACCATCTCATCACCTAAGTATTTAATCCAGCATCCCTTAGCTATTTTTCCTGATGCTCCCCCTCCCCCTAACCCCTCAGCTCTGACGGGGCCCAGTGTGTGTTATTCCCCACCATGTGTCCATGTATTCTCATCATTCAGCTCCCACTTATAAGTGAGAACATGTGTTAGCCCAAAGCTTTTATTTTCACTGAGGAGTATTCTTTTTGGGCATACAGCTAAAATAAATTAAGTTGCAATTAATCTTATTTTATTTATAAACAAAGCTATTTATTGACCTGTCCCTACCAAAGAGAGATATTTATGACTCTTAAAATTTAGCAAGAAAGATATAAAATTTTGTTCATGAACTTAAAAAAGGCATCACGTTAAGTTATACAAATATCTGTGAAACTCTTACTCTAAATAAAAAAAAGTTATATTTTAATAATTCCTTAAAACTCATAGTAGATTGGAAATATGACCATAATTCACTTCTACATCCATACCCTTTGCAGTGTGACTTTGCAGCTGCTCACATCAAGAGAGGAGTCTCTTTTCTTTCCCTTTACCTGTCTTGTGACTTCTTTTGGTCACAAAACGCAGCACAAGTAATGTGGTGCCAATTCCAACTCTAGGCCTCAAAGGGGCTTTGTAAATTTCTGTCCTTTCTCTTGAAACCCTACCCAGACATTGTGTGAAGAATCCTAGCTGGCCTAAAGGAAGGTGAGAGATGAATCATACCACCTGAGACTTTACTGGACCATCCAGTCCCCAGCTGACCTGGCAGGTGATCTGGCAACTGACCATAGATGCATGAATGGGCTCAGCTGAGGATGACATCTGGCCCAGATTAGCAGAACCATCTTGATGACACACAGACTCATGAAATCAATAAAATATTGTTATTTGAAGTCATTAGGATTTGATTAATTTTTTATGACAATAGCTAAAAAGCCATTGTTTACATGAAGGCATTAAAATTAGATTATGTGTTACTTATATAATATATCAAAGCTTTTGGATAATAAGTAAAATTTTATCCCACAGCAAAATATCATTTTATCAGAAGGCATAATTTTGGCCTGGTAAAAATATTTTTCAACAATTTTTCATAAGTGATAGACCCCGCTATGGTTATATATCATCAAAGTTTTAAGATCACATTTTATATTCTCCTCTAACTTGTAAGTTCAAAATATAGCTTCTTAAATTTGTTAAAATTTTTCATTATTTAAATTATGTTTTGCATCAAAATCAATGGCAGGAAAATACAAACCCAAATCCTCAATTTTAATGAATAAGCCTGGCTTAAAAATGACTCTGTCATACTCTAACACATAAAAGCAGAGAGTACAATGGTTTTTATCAGGGGCAGAGGGAATGGGAAAATGGAGAGTTGCCATTCAAGGGAGGCAAAGTTTCAGTTATAAAAGATGAGTAAGTTCTAGAGATCTGCTGTGTAACATTGTGACTACAGGTAAGCATTCTGTATTGTATACTTTAACATTTGTTAGGAAGGTAGGTCTCATGCTAAGTGTTTCTACCACAATTTAAGTTAAAAAAAAGAATTTTAAAATAAGGTAATACCAATGAATAAGATGAGGTGAAATGTATGTATCTTTAAATCATTTGGCATTCAGTTTGCAAAAAGTGAATTGACAGTAATAGCACATTAGAGCATGTTTCTTAATTTCTATTTATTAGCTAAGTGTAATATTTGTATGTGACCACTAGATAGAGCTACTATAATATCCTGAGAGAAAAAAAAATATAGGAAACTATCTCACGTTTAGCATGTATATAGATTGCTTTTCTTTATATTGCATTCTATATGATCTCAGGTAGCTCTGGATTTGCTAACTTTAGTTTGATGTAACTCAGCTTTACTTTCACTATAATACATGCAAACACCAATTTTATTAGTTTACCAACCATGATCTGCATATAATGCATTATGAAGTTTAATCATAGTAATAGTTCTAAAACCATAATACAATATTTTAGGATGTTTCAGTATGATATTTGTCCTAAAGCCACCAAAAATAATTTTGTGCTGAACTCTTAATATATTTTATGATTTTTGATATCTGTATACATTAGAGTGTTTATTACACATGTGGCAAATAAGGCTTCCCACTTTCAGATAAAGATTATATGTAAAATAAAGAATATACAAAATAAATAAAGGTTCAGTCTAATGCTGAGGTTCTTAAAGCAGAAAAATTAGGCTAACTAAATGAAACATAAGTCTCCTCCGTTTTTGTCAACAGGCAGAAGACCTCCATTATAAAACCAACAAAGAGAAATTCAATTCGTAAAAAACTCAAAGGCAGAGATTATGTCCTAAACTTTTTTTCTAGTTCCTATAAACAACGATCACTGTCCTCATCATAGAATAGGAAAATAAATCCACAGAGATTCATTCTTAAAGATCAGCTGATTATTTGCTAGCTACAGTAGTACATTATTTATAAATATCTAGAAATTAATTTGACCATTATTTAATGCAGTGTATGTAGTTTATTATAATTTTGAATTAATGACCCCTCCAAAACCTAATTTATTAATCTGTAACATTTTCTTAATGATATGTGATTTAGGAATTGAGTCAGGATCAACTGGCTTTGCTAGTCAATAAAGCAACATTTCCCAGATTTTATTGAATATCTGAATCACCTAGGAGCACGTTGAAAAGACAGTTCCAGGCCCTACCTCCTGATTTTACAGGTGATGAAACTGACTTTGAAATTCTGCATTGAGTCCTAACTATCTGTATTTTATGAAGCACCTCTCATATTTCCAATGCAAAAAACCATATTCTGTAATTTCATGAGGTTAGTAATTAAAAACATAGACCCTAAATTTAAAAAGACCTGAAATCAAAGGCTCAGTCTTAATCAACAAAATGGGAACCACAATACCAACACAAGTATTTGTGGGAATTAAAGCAGCTAATGCATAAAGAGGAGTAATAATGCTTGGCACAAGACAGTAACTATAAATGGTGTTCATTAAATTTTCTTCCCCACTTATGTCTAAATAGTGTGAATATTCTTTGACAAGATATTCAAGAAATAAATGGTAATTATAGCGATATGCATTTTTGTTATGCTTCTGTGACTGTATTATTCCTTGCTATTTATTATATTATGCAGTTCCTGCTAATCACATGCTTACATGAGTAGCAATGTCACTTTATCTATTGATAATTACTTAAGAGTCTTGTTCTTGCCTATTTGTTTTTGCTATGTTTACGAACAGATCACATTGCCAAAAGGTGTATCTACCTTGTCTACCGCAAATGTAAGTTGTCAAGAAAAAAAAAAACCATGCCTTTTCTTACAAAGTGCTCTCAAATAAGAACTTCAGAAATTCCTCCTGAAGAAAAGTATTCAATTGAATCCTGTCATCTAGTATTTTAAATCCCTTTCTTGTCATAGGGTTGCTCATAAAATTGTTAATGCATGACCCTCAGTGAGACCGTTGAACTGAGCTGCTTTCATAGTCCTGCATTTACATAATCCTGCTTGCTGGTATTATTCTATCTGAAGACAAATATGTGATGAGTATAAAATACAATGAGCCCAATTTTTTTTAACAATTGTCTTTTCTTTGGAAATTAATCACTTTGAAAAGATGTACATTGATATATCAAATGTGTTGGTATGGCTTTTGAATAAAAGAGTTGTCCCATACTGACATATTGAAAAATAATCTGAATTAAATAAACAGTGATAAGATAGGCTAAAATGATAATGTATTTGTCCAAATATTGAGCTGTATATTTCAAAGGTAAATGACTTCAAATACTTTCATCGTGTGTTTCTTTCTCCCCACTCATAATTAAACTTAAGGGAGCTAGAAATAATATTATCTTACATTTATTGAGCATATATTAACTTCTGGGCAATCCCCTAAGCACTCTATATTTAGTAGCCCATTTAACCCTCATAAACCAGTAAGGTATACAAAATTATTCTCCTGCTTTGATAGGTGAGGAAACTGAGACACAGAGTAAGTTAAACAATGGGCCAATGGTCATGCGGTGGAGAATTTTAGATTCATAACCAGGCCTTTAGTAAGAGGAGAGGTGGCTCACCAAACTCATTAAAGTTTGGTTGCAAGATACTTTTCTCATCTATTTTCCAGTAATTCCATTTTTTCGTTGCTTTTCTTTCTGCCACTGCAAGCTCTTGAACTTGCCCACTTTAAAATTATTGCTTCATCCACCTGAATGCCTTACCTTATTTTATAGCACACCAATATCATATTCATCATTCTACATTCCACTTAAATCCTTCATACTTTGTAACATTTTGTTCATATCTCTCTGGTACAAAATAATTTCTTCCTTTTCTGAACCTGACAGGAGATCCTGAGAGCTCAGTCAAAAAATTTTAAGCCCACATGTGACTAAACTCCAAAACTCTCTATTTTCCAATACACATTTATTTCCTGGAAATAATCTTTTGCTTTGGGATATTTTCCACCCATCAGGTGAGATCTCCTACATTACATGCACTGCCTTTTGGAGATTTAGGGATGACCCACATTTCTGCATAAATTTAACTCTCATTGCAGAAATCAAGAAGGAGAATATGGGTTCTTATGGGTCCAGCGACTCACCTAATGAAGAGTCTGGATACCACAGGAGAACTTATCTTGAGAGACCTCTAGACTAGGTGATGCAAGTGAAGATGCAATGGTTATAGTGCTTTGGTTTTCATTTTGAAATTCCTGCTAACTCTTTATTAAACATTGTCTATATCAGTGGTCCCCATTTATTCTTTAAGTTACAAAAACAAAACCATTCACAGACCTCAACATGGTAATGATCAGCTGTTTTAAAACAAAAGCTATAATTGTTTCAGTAATACATTTCAAGTAATTTGAATTTTGTTAATCTCCATATATCTATTAGCATATAAATATGTAAGATAAATTTTTTATTAATTTAGAAGATAATACGTAGAACTCACCAATTGAAGGATTTTCTGTAGTGACTCTGTGGCCCTCCATGGCCTGAGGACAAGTTGAAAACTTCTCATTAAGACTATTTATTTGAAATTTAACCTTTTACTTTAAAGTTCATGTGGAACTAAAAAAAAGAGCCCGCATTGCCAAGTCAATCCTAAGCCAAAAGAACAAAGCTGGAGGCATCGCGCTACCCGACTTCAAACTGTACTACAAGGCTACAGTAACCAAAAGAGCATGGTACTGGTACCAAAACAGAGATATAGACCAATGGAACAGAACAGAGCCCTCAGAAATAATACCACACATCTACAACTATCTGATCTTTGACAAACCTGACAAAAACAAGAAATGGGGAAAGGATTCCCTATTTAACAAATGGTGCTGGGAAAACTGGCTAGGCATATGTAGAAAGCTGAAACTGTATCCCTTCCTTACACCTTATATAAAAATTAATTCAAGATGGATTAAAGTCTTAAACGTTAGACCTAGAACCATAAAAACCCTAGAAGAAAACCTAGGCAATACCATTCAGGACATAGGCATGGGCAAGGACTTCATGTCTAAAACACCAAAAGCAATGGCAACAAAAGCCAAAATTGACAAATAGGATCTACTTAAACTCAAGAGCTTCTGCACAGCAAAAGAAACTACCATCAGAGTGAACAGGAAACCTACAGAATGGGAGAAAATTTTTGCAATGTATTCATCTGACAAAGGGCTAATATCCAGAATCTACAAAGAACTCAAAGAAATTTACAAGAAAAAAACAACCCCATCGACAAGTAGGCAAAGGATATGAACAGACACTACTCAAAAGAAGATATTTATGCAGCCAACAGACACATGAAAAAATGCTCATCATCACTGGCCATCAGAGAAATGCAAATCAAAACCACAATGAGATACCATCTCATACCAGTTACAATGGCGATCATTAAAAAGTCAGGAAACAACAGGTGCTGGAGAGGATGTGGAGAAATAGGAACACTTTTACACTGTTGGTGGGACTGTAAACTACTTCAACCATTGTGGAAGGCAGTGTGGTGATTCCTCAGGGATCTAGAACTAGAAATACCATTTGACCCAGCCATCCCATTACTGGGTGTATACCCAAAGGATTATAAATCATGCTGCTATAAAGACACATGCACACATATGTTTATTGTGGCACTATTCACAATAACAAAGACTTGGAACCAAACCAAATGTCCAACAATGATAGACTGGATTAAGAAAATGTGGCACATATACAACATGGGCTACTATGCAGCCATAAAAAATGATGAGTTCATGTCCTTTGTAGGGACATGGATGAAGCTGGAAACCATCATTCTCAGCAAACTATCACAAGGACAAAAAAACAAACACCGCATGTTCTCACTCATAGGTGGGAATTGAACAATGAGAACACCTGGACACAGGAAGGGGAACATCACACACTGGGGCCTGTCGTGGGGTGGGGAGAGCGGGGAGGGATAGCATTAGGAGATATACCTAATGTAAATGAGGAGTTAATGGGTGCAGCACACCAACATGGCACATGTATACTTATGTAACAAACCTGCACGTTGTGCACATGTACCCCAGAACTTAAAATAAAAAATAAATAAAAAAAGAAATTTAACCGTTTACTCAATTGTGATATTATTCTTTTTTCTCACTTCCTCTTCATTTTCTTTTTCTTTTCCTCTTCCTCTGCTGTTTATCTTTTAATTCTTCATCATAGTAACATAACTATGTCCTTTTCCATGATGAGTATGCAGACTTACATTTTGAATATTGCAATCTCATTCAATGGTTTGGAACAGAATTCAGCTGAGAGCAGGCCTCTGAAGTCTCACGTCTAGGCAACGGCTACTCTCCTCGCTTTCTTGGCTAAGAACACCCAATTTTATTCAGGTATAGCAGCCTGCCACTCCCCAGGCACAGGTAGTTGATATTGACTAGTCAAGATAATCAAGGTAATTCTCATATTGGTGCTGATGACTGGCTTGTATTTCAATCTTCATTAACCAGGTGGAAGGAAGTCTGCTTCCTTTACATTTGATTACTGTTTTCCTACTTGATAAAAATAGAAAAACAAAGAGAAATTGTCTTTTCCACCTCTAAATATTTTTCTGTGAGGAAGCAATGCCTATAACTGCTCAAACCAGGCCTTAGGGACCCAACATCATGTTGAGAATGACGAAGTTTGAAGTACAGTAGTTCAGTAGTTCCCTCTTATGCATAGGGGTTACTTTCCAAGACCCCAGTGGATGCCTGAAACTGTAGCAGTATGAACTAAATTGCTGTCTTGGAACATGTTTCTGTTCATATTTTCCACCCACACCTTCAGCGCCTTCTACATATTAACTAAGCACTTTTCGTGCACCGTGGCTGTAACTTTTGCAGTTTGAGGTGTGACAGCAAAACTGGCAAACATTTCTTTTTTCTTCTTCATAATTTCACAGAGAGAATATGCATTCTTGCCATAGATCTTAGCAATCTCGGCATGCAGGTTTTTTCCTTATGAATTTCAGAACTTTTACCTTTTTACTTAAAGGAGGTACTTTAAGGCTTCTCTTTGGCTTATTGTATCAGCTTCACTACTTTTGTGCTTTGGGACCATTATTAAATGAAAATAAGGGTTATTTGAACACAAGCACTGCTACATGTGACAGGTGATCTGATAACCAAGAGGGCTAAGAGACTAGCAGGCAGGTAACAGTGTGGATGTGCGGCACTAAAGGAGTTTAACGTTATAGGAAGGATGGACAGCATGGCGCGAGATTTCATCACACTATGTAGAACAGTGTGAAATTTAAAACTTACAAGTTGTTTATTTCTGTAATTTTCCAGTTAATATGCCCAGATCGAGGTTGACCACAGGTAACTGAAATCACAGAAAGCAAAACCATAGTTAAGGAGGTCTATTGTAGACTAATGGGACTGAGCCCTTAATAAGTGTTAGCCACTCTAAAGTCAATCTCCAGACATCTTACGGTGCGATTTTATTATTTAAGCATTCTTAAGTAAAATTTCAGTTACTTGCAACAAAAATCGTCCTATTTTACTATGCTTATTTTAGTAACCCTGCTTCTCATAAGTTATGTTCCCAAGAAAAGTATCATTGACGCCTATTCTATCAATATTACATGAAACATTTTTTCTTACATGAAAATAATATTTAAGCTATCCGTAAGAATTCAAGAGACAGTAAAATATAATATAAATGTATCTTTTTATTTTCAATAAATTCTTAAAATTATTACTATAGTAGAACATGATAAGGAAAGTAAATTTCTCTAAGATTTTTAACCTGCAATAAGAATTTAACTGTCAGTATAGGCTTGGCTGTAACCCACAGACAAAATTACATTGATGCAATGAATATCTTTATGTTATTTTAGGAATATCACAGCTTTTTGCAGGATTTTATGGTTTATTACTCTTGTAGTGATTCTTTTTTCATTTCAAATTGAGGTTTTAATACAATTGTGTATAATTTATAATATTTTATAAATTTATTTTTTAATCAATAAATTATAATTTATTATAATTGAAACACAGGAAAATTTGAAACTATTAAAAACTTTCACTCCATTTTCTTAAGACTGTATCTTCTTAAATTATGTAATTCTTGACATAAGTTTAAGTAACGTTTAATCTTTCCTTGTATCTTAATTTTCTTTAAAAAAAAAGACACACTTTTTCAAAAATTTTATCAAAATTTCCAGGTGTACATATTCTAATTTTAGATTATCTTTTCACTCTACAATGACTCAGAGTAGTATAATTACATTGGTTATCTTTGAATAAATTGAGTGCATAAAAAGAGAGCCCTGTCATCATTTTGTTTTTTTTTTTGAAACCATATTTGAAGAGAATGAGTTGTCCTTTTTATACCCTGTGGTATAAAGGACGACAATGGTAGGAAGCAGGGAACACTTTTTGTGAATAATTGATAAGATTATTTAAATTTAATTGATAATAATTTCAAAGATACTTTTTAAATTTTAGTCAAACCCGTTTTTTACATCTTTTTTGAGGTCAGTTTTACTGAGTTATAATTTATATCTAGTAAATCTATGTATATTTTGTATACAGTTATGAGTTTGAAAAAAAACATACATTCATGCACACCAATACCGCCAAGATTAAAAATATTTCCATCACACCCAAAAAGTTCCTTAGTACTCCTTTTTGTGCAATCTCTTCCTCAACCTCTACTTGGCAGTCATTATTCTGATTTTGCCTATTATTTTTATTTTTTAGAATGTTTTAAAAATGAAATTATAGAGCAGGTGGCATTGGTGTCTGGCTTCTTCTCTTTAGACCAAAATGTTTACAAGAGTTATTTATATCTAGTGTGGTTTATGTGACACAAAAGAGGCTGGGCACTCCATCTTACACTGTTTGAGGAGCAGTCCTAAGGAGAGTAGAGTAAAATGACAAATAAACTCTGAATTCTTGATTGTGATGTTGCTAAACCAGTTTTGGGTCTCTTCTCTGTTAGACTCCTTATTATGTGAAATAAGCGTTCATTATATAGACTATTTTACATGGATGTTATATCACTTGCTCAAATGCAGAATGAACTACAAACAAAAACGTGCAAACAATGGGTATGAAGAAATAGAAGCTATTTTTTTCAAGTGTTATCTTGTTTTAGTTGGCAGTGAGCAATATTTGAAGACTTTCAAAAACTATTTAAAACTAAATTGTATGCAAAACATAGTATGTAAATCATCTTCACCTTTGCAATTTGTTTTCCTCCACCCATACATTTTTTTTCCTACTACCCTCATTTCCTCAATCCTCTGGACACTTTACGGAATCAGAAGAATTTAATCTTAGCATGATTGGATTATCAATGACGATTAAAAAAATAGATGTCTTGGACGGATATCTCCTAGAAATATGTCCAGTGATCTTTCTGTGTAGTCAGTCTATTTGTTTCTGTGAAAGAAAAATTGTGCCATGCTGCTTAGGAAAACTCATGCCAAACAAATTTTATCAATGTTTTGATTAAAGTTTATAGATCTAGGGAGTTCCTTAGAAATGCCATTCATCCAGGCTATTATCAAAAAATGAAAATAACAAGCGTTGGTGAGGGTGTGGAGAAAAGGGTACCCTTGCATAGTGTTTGTGGGATTATAAATTACTACAGCCATTATGGAAAACTGTATGGAGTTTGCTCACAAAATTAAAAATAGAACTATCATATGATCCCACTACTGGATATATATCAAAAGAAAATTAAATTCGTATTTTGAAGAGATACCTGTGCTCCCACATTTATTACAGCCTTACTTGCAGTAGCCAATATAGAGAGTCAACCTAAGTGCTCATTAAAGATTTGATGAATAAAGTAAAAGTGGAATATATAAACAATGCAATACTACTGAGCCTTTAAAAAGAAGAAAATTTTATGATACGTGACAACATGGATAAACTTGGAGAACATTATGTTAAGTTAAATCAGCCAGGCATAGAAGTACAAATATTCCATGATTTCACTTATTTGTGGAATCTAAAAATTTTGAGAATCATAGAAGCAGAAAATAGAATGATAATTACCAGAGATTGGTGGTAGGAAAGATTGGAGCGATGTCATTCAAAGGGTACAAATTTTAGTTAGGAAGAGTAGGTTTGGAAGATCTATTGTATATCATGGTGACTGTAAATTATAACAGTATATTGTATACTTGAAAATTGCTAATATAATACATTGTAAGTGTTCCCACCACAAAATAACCACAAGTATGTGAGGTCATGCATATGTTACATAGCTTGACTTAGGCGTTCGGCAATGTACACAGATGTTAAAACACTGTGTTGTACACCATGAATTTATAAAAATTTTAGTTGTCAATTAAAAAAATACATATTCATCCAAAAGAGCATTTGGCAACGTTTCTCATGTTTCACTTGAGAATAAGGTGGTAAATCTTATTTTCCATTCATTGTATGATTATAAGAGTAGCATGAAATGTTATGATTCCCTTGCCCACATGGAGGAGGTTTCTAAGAGCTTTATTTAGTACTTTTCTTAATCATTTCTTTTTTTGTGAAAACTGTTAACATTTCTTCTAAAGAATAAATTGAACTTAAGCTTATACAATTCACAACTGACAAAATATACACACAAAGAAGCATAAACTTGGTAAAACATTAAAGATTGTTTTTACAGATAAAGTATTTTTAAAGGATTTAGCATACAGGCCCAAAAGTCACACACACAAATAGGATTTATTAGCAAATAATTCAATTTTTTGTACTTAATTTCTAAGGCAGCTACTTGAATATGAATGTAAAAAAATATAGTTTGAGGGAGTTTCTGGAAAATAAATTTAAGGATTTTGTTTACCCTTCCCCTATGTTACGGCATAATCTCTTAAAATATATAAAAGTTGAAAGTATATATAGAAATACAATCTCCATATTGTGGTAAGAGATTGACCAAGGAGATTGAAACTGTTACTCATTAGATAAACATGTTTCAATTCTGAGTGCTACAGTCTAAAAAAAATGAGAAATTATTGTGTATTAAAAAATGATTTAGTTATATTTTTATAATTCTCACTTGGACTCTCCAAAAGTCTCTTATTAATTATATCGAATCTTTTTAATCTGACAATGTTTTGTACATCCTTTGAGGGTCTAGAGGTCAGAGACAAAAGAAGAAAGAGTCACTTTTTTTTTTTTTTACTTTTTAAAATTATACCTTAAGTTCTGGGATACATGTGCAGAATGTTCAGGTTTGTTACATAGGTATACACGTGCCATGGTTGTTTGCTGCACCCATCGACCCGTCATCTACGTTAGGTATTTCTTCTATTGCTATCCCTCTCCTAGCCTCCCACCCCGTAACAGGCCCTGGTGTGTGATGCTCCCCTCCCTGTGTCCATGTGTTCTCATTGTTCAACTCCCACTTACGAGTGAGAACATGCAGTGTTTGTTTTTCTGCTCCTATGTTACTTGGCTGAGAATGATGCTTTCCAGCTTCATCTGTGTCCCTGCAAAGGACATGAACTCATTCTTTTTTATGGCTGCATAGTATTCCATGGTGTATATGTGCCACATTTTCTTTATCCAGTCTATCACTGATGGGCATTTGGGTTGATTGCAAGTCTTTACTATTGTTAGCAGTGCTGCAATAAACATACGTGTGCATGTGTCTTTATAGTAGAATGATTTATAATCCTCTGGGTATATACCCAGTAATGGGATTGCTGGGTCAAATGGTATTTCTCGCTCTAGATCCTTGAGGAATCACCACACTGTCTTCCACAATGGTTGAACTAATTTTCACTCCCACCAACAGTGTAACAGTGTTCCTATTGAAAGAGACAGTTTTCTATTGGCCTTGAAGAAACAAACTGCCATGCTGTAAGAGGGTCCTATGATAAAGAATGGTAGGCAGCCTCTGAAAGCTACAAAATACAAGGAACTAGATCTTGCCAAAAATCATTGACCCTGGAAGAGGACACCAAACCTCAGATAAGATCACAGTCCTGGCTCTGAGACCAGAATCCTGGAAAAGGGGAACTGTCAGACTTTATTGCTGCCAAGTTTCAAGGTGACAGTAGTTTTAGCTGCAATCCAGCTTAGCCATCCCTGGACTTCTGCCCCATAGAAACTGAGATTATAAGCATCTGGTATTATAAGCTTCTAATTTTGTGGTAACTTTTTTTTGCAGTGACAGAAATTAATACAGTCACAGTGTGGTGAAAAAGCAGAACCAATACTAATATTGCCAATTCATTCATTAATTCATTCATTAACTCATTTTGTATTTACTAATTATCTATTATGTACCAGTCATTTTACTAGAAACAATGATGAGCAAAAAATTATACACTGCAGTCCCTACTTTAAAGAGACATGGAATGTAACACAAAACAAATGTAAATTATATAGTCACAATTATAAAAAGCTGATATATGGGCTCTAATGTTAGAGTATGGATTTTCTTGTTGCCCATATATAACAAAGAACCTCTTCTAAGTTCAAGATTCAGGCAGTAATGTTTAACCAGAGATTGGAAGGATTGTTTGGAAAGAACCCTCTACAAAGAAAGGTATGGTTACATGGCTACTTCATTAGATCAAGGTCCTTCTTCCATTGTAGCCTGTTCCCATTAGACAACAAATTTCCTTGAATACAGAAATTGTATCTTGTTTTATTTTATTTACAGAGTCTAGTACATAAGATGCTCACTATACACTGAACAAATAAACAGGTGAGTGAATCATTGATACTACAAGAAAGGAGGATGTGGCTGTGTGTATAAGAAAGGTGTGTCACATCACAGAACTGGCCAGTGATGAAACAGACTGCCCTTCATAGAAAATAGCTGGATCCCAATTATATGAAGTCTAATCAGACACTGTATGATCATCACTCAAGAGCATTGAGAATATAGTGAGACGGCTATTAAATCAATTCTAGTTCTCAGCATCTGCTTACTCCTCGGAGTGATAAATAGAAATTATGATAGACAGGATGGGGTGTCTTTATGCAAATCAGAAACAGCAACTGGAGAAGGGGAACTTTCACAGGATGAGACTTGGGCCAGAATAAAATGTATTACCAAATAGTGATAGCATAGAAATATAAAAGAACACTTTTGACACCGAAAAGAAAATCAGGTTATTTTACCTTAACAGAGTTTGAATAAAGCAGTGCATGTAAAGGAATGATGAATTACCTGGACATAAAGATTACCATTGCAAAGGATTATCAAACTCTCTGAGTCCCGTTCTCAAAAGAGAAAAGCTTCCAAGATGTGTAAACAGTTTTTACATGCATGCTTCTTTTAGGGTGGACAAATAGTCCTCAGGATTCAAAGAATCTGAGGACATGACCTTTTTCTGTGTCATAACTCAAATTTCAAACTGGAGTAGAAAGATCAGGCACAAGCTATGCAACCAGAAGCAATGGTGGGTCAGCCTTTGTGGTTAAAACTTTTAGCAGACTTTTTCTGCCTTAATCCCCAGTGCAGATAGTACTATGTAGGTATCGAAAGATTCCACTAGACCAAAATGATTTGTTTGACTATATGTATGATCAAAAGAACATGACTACATGTATGATCAAAAGAACAATCTTATTTTGGATTTGTTCTGGATGTTTGGTTGAGGTGGTAGACAATGTTAATAAGATAAATACATGTTCTAATTATTGCTTAGGTACTATAATTTATCATGGATGGCTCATATTACAATTTGAGGTAACAATTATGTAAATATAAAAGACACTATGAACATCAAAATAAAAAATATTGACACAAAATCTAATTAACAATATCTCTCAATGAAAGTCTATATTTAGTAGTAAGAATTGAGCTCCCTGAATGGCGTGAACCCAGGAGGCGGAGCTTGCAGTGAGCAGAGATCTGCCACAGCACTCCAACCTGGGTGACAGAGCAAAACTCTGTCTCAAAAAAAAAAAAGAGCTCAGAGGAAAAGTTCATGATGCTTAGTCAAGTTCAGTTAGGATATAACTTAAAATAGTCACTCAAGGATCCCATACTGATTTTGTCTGTGGTTCACTTCTATAGGTTTCTAGACTTGATTTTTCAGTGTACTCCATGTTTAGTAGGCTAGGAATATTTACTGCCACTATGTAAACTCAAAAAGTATTAATCTCAAGAACAAATAATTGTAAATTTATCTGCCTAGAATTAAAACTACATAAACAAAATTTAGGAATTAGGTATTTATTGATATTTTCTATTGATTCATTTTTTTTTTCCTTATGGGAACATACACCTAAGAAACCAAATAAAATTTCTTAACATTGTTGAAAATAATATTTTACAGTTTCGATATTTTTTTGAGTGCCAGATACATGCCAGGAACAGTAGGGTGACATGATCCTTACACCAAGCTTGTAGATTAAATATCCGTGCCCTTGCTTTGTGGATGGAGAAACTAGCTGAAGGAGGGTAAGTAAATTTCTAGTGATTACAGGCTAGCAGGTAGCAGAAATACTATTTGTGCTCAGGGCTGTTTTCAAAGGCCATAACACTTTCACCGAACTCCTCTGCATATACAGATGGTCACAATAAAATACATAATGTGTACTAATTCACAAACCTTCAAAGTAATAGTCTTAGTAATGCATACACCTAATTTATACAACTAAGTAACTCCCAATGTCGTAATGAAAATATCTGCATTCAGAATTTTTCCTTCTGTTCAGTCTTCTCCAAGAATTTTAAGTTTTCTTGAATTATATTTGCATTATAAATGTATATATTGTTGTGGTTTTCCATAACAGTGACAGTGAGGATACATTTTTGTAAGAAAGAAAACTATCATCAGCTTTTAAAGTTTGAAATGTGTTCAAAATATCTTAATATTTACCTTCACTTACAGTCACACTTTGTATAAGATACAGCTTTACATATATATATGTTAGCCAGAAGAAGTTAGCTATAACTTGAAGTTCAGAGAAGTCTAAATGGAAGATTCTGAATTAGGAATCACCAAAATGTTGGTGGCAACTGAAGCCACATTCCTGGACAGGGTCAGGGGTTGTAGTCTGAGAAGATAAATTACCGTAAGTTGAAACACACAAACATTTAAAGAACTGGTGGGGAAAGTTAGACAAAAAAGTACTGGAAAAGAATCACTTAGGGAAAAAAAATAAAGAGAAAGGGTGAGACACTCTAAGAAAAGAGTCTTTTTAAAAGAAGGTTAAAAGCTGCTGGGATGTCTACTGATTTTATAAACAGGGAGGCTAAGGGTGAGCTACAGAGGAATATTTTGGTGGCAAGATGGGAAAAGAAACCCAATTTTAGTGTGATAAGGAGTGAGTGATTGGTGAATAAATTAGAGTGGAAAGCTTAGGAAACGAAGTCAACAATGATAGCTATAAATGTAGGTAAGAACTAGAAATTTGACTGTTGGAGGAAGTGAATAAGGGAAGGTTGTCCATAATTACTTTAATTTACTTTTTAAATTATTTTTTATATTAAAGATGTTGCAAACTCATAATCCAAGGGAAAAATTTTTTAGTGAAGATATTAAAATTACAGTTGAAAGAAGCACTAAAAATGGGGTCATTTTGGATGTTATGGGAGGCAAATATTAAGTAGAAAAACATTTAAACTATATCTATAAAATGTAATTATCCTTTCTCATTTCCTTCATCCACACCCAAAGAAAAACTAAGTATAACATAATTTCTTCTTGTCTTTATTAGAATGAACAAACCAGGGCCCTTTTCTGTAATAAGCAAGAAGTAGGCTACTAACAGGACATTTATTACACTTGCTTATTCATCAAGGCAATTGATAGGTATAAAAACAAACAAGTAATATTTTACACAGAAATGAGAATTACTATTTTTATAGGAAATGATAGACAACTTGCTAAATGAGGAAACGTTTCCTTCTTCCATATGGATTTAGATTCGCCCATATCTGCACCTTAGTTTCTGGCTTCAGATGACATATCTGTGCATGAGCTAATGATTTCACTAATTAGAGAAATGAACATATTCTCAGCTCTTACATGTGAAAATAACCATGAAGATCGGTTCATGGCCATCTTTAATGGTGGAGTTTCAGAATTTATTCTACCATCACCACCTCAACCTTCTGCTCCATACCACCCGAGGTCCCTCACTCCACCTGACACTCATAAATCTACAAGACTTTGGTAACAATGGGCATCACCATTTGCGAAGTCAAGGCAAAAATATTCTAGACTCTAATTGTGGGAAATGAGTAAAGAAAATAGATTCAGGCAATACAATTTGCTCCTATGTTATGTGGTTGGGTGTTCTTCAGAAGTGAGTAAGGCAGGAGAATCGCTTGAACCCTGGAGACGCAAGTTGCAGTGAACTGAGTTGGACCCACTGCACTCCAGCCTGGGCGACAGAGTGAGACTAGGTCTCAAAAAAAAAAAAAAAAGGGTAGCGGGGATAAGAATTTATACAGTGAGATTTAATGAAAGATTCACTTTGGATATAGGAGCACAACCTAAGAGTGAAGAACCAAGTAAAGCCCTGAGAGAGAGAGAATGGTGGCACTCACCTTGGGAATAAAGATCAAAGGTGTTTCCCTTGAGCTCTAAGGGAACATGATTTTGTCAAGAGTTTATCATTTTATTTCCTTTGCTGCAATAGCCTTTTACAGTGTAACAATTAGTGATTAAACCAGATCCTTTCCTGGCTGCAGTCTTGAGGAATCTAAAGAAGATAGAATAATAATTGGAAATATGTTCTCCTAATTCTGTTTGGCTCCGTGGAACTTGATCAAAAGCAAACAGAAAAGAAGCGAAAAATAAGTGGCCAATATATTTGCAGCCCAATTGAGGTTGACATGCAAAACTGAAGATGAGGCCGTGGGAATCAGTGGAAGGAGGGAGGAAAATTATTGTAGATGACTAAGTCTAAGAACAAAAAGACAAAAATCATGACGTGAAATAGAAATTTTGTTTCTTATGGTAAGAAATTCATAAGAATAGGTACTTTGAAATGAGTAATAATGGTTGGGAGTTAAATGTGTAAAACCAAGATAAAACAGATCCAATTTCTGGTTATTTTGGAACAAAGGAAGCAAAAGAATGATTACTTTTACTTGTAAAAACAGTGGAAATAAATGCCTTCAGCAAGAATCTAGGTTTCACTTTAAGCCAGAAGCATAAGAAGTTGGTCACTGAAAAATGGATGATATAGATGTAGCTGGCAGAATAATGGCCCTGAATCTGTGAATGTTTCCTTACATGGCAAAAGGGACTTTGAAGATATGATTAAGATTAAAGACCTAGAGACAAGATTACCCTGGATTATCCAGGTTGGCCCAATCTAATCACTTGAGTTCAAAAGCAGCAAATATTATGACTGCAGAGAAACGGTTTAGAGAAATTTGACTTTGCTGTCTTTGAGGATGGAGGTAATTGACCATGTGGACAACCTCTAAAAGCTGAAAAAATCGAGGAAGCAAAGTCTCCCCTCGAACTTCCAGAAAGGAATGCAGCCTCTCCATCACACCTTGATTTTAGGACTCCTGACCTCCAAAACTATGAGATGATAAATTGTTGTTGTTTTAAGCACTATTTATGGTGGTTTGTTATGTCAGCTATGAAAAACTGATACATAGAGAGATTTATCATGGAATGGAGGGGGGTATAGAATGCAAAGTAACATAAGGATAGTTGTGCCCATTGCATAAATCTGTTTTGAGAATCAGTGAGATGGAAATATATAAATCACTTAAAATGATCACTGGAACATGGGCTTTCAGAATAGGTAGTTATTATTTGATTATTTATTGCAGGTACTATGAATCAAGCAATGTGGTAGGCACTGCTGATTAAATGCTGGAAAAATTATACATGGAATTATTCCCATGCCACTTACACTTAGTTTTCTGAAAATAAAGTCAATTAGTTCTAGGTAATTAGGCAGTCTCCTGGTGAAATAAAAGCAGAATTGCAGACACCCCCTCCAAAAATAAGTTTTGTTTTGTTTTTTATTCTTTGAGTCCTAGTTTATTCATTTATAAATGGAACTTAACAAGGACCAAACTTTCAATGCCAAAGCAATTGACATGAAATGTTTTAAAAACGGGTTTAGTCCGGGTGTCGTGGCTCATGCTTGTAATTCTAGCACTTTAGGAGGCTGAGGCGTGCACATTGTCTGATCTCAGGAGTTTGAGACCAGCCTGGGCAACACAGTGAAACCCTGTTTCTACTAAAATACAAAAAATTAGCCAGGCATGGCAGCGTGCGCCTATAGTCCCAGCTACCTGGGAGGCTGAGGCAGGAGAATTACTTGAACCCGGAAGGTGGAGGTTGCAGTGAGCCGAGATCGTGCCACTGCATAGAGCGAGACTCTGTCTCAAAAAAAAAAAAAAAACAACAAGGGTTTAGTATTTTATTTATGTATATATGTGCCTACTTGTGCACGTGTGTGTGGACATATATATATATATATACACAAATACATATATATGTATATATATGTGCATGGGTCCACATTTGTGTATGTGCCCATGAAGGACTGAATGTACTTTGTGGTGAAAAATATAGCAACTATTCTCGTCTTTATCACTCTATTTTTGGCTACATTCAGAAGGGGAATAGAGATGTTGTAATCAACATGAGGTAATTCAAGCTTTTCACATTATTAGCCGTGGAGTCTGTTAAGCAACCCATTTATTTGTGGAGCTGCCATGGCTTCACAATTAAGGGGAAACACTAAAATCAAGGAAGTCTTTCTTAGTAATTTGTTGAGGATCAATTTAATTGTCCTTTGGCACTCAGTGCTACTGAAACTCAATAAGTAGTTCACTTGGAGGAAATTTGATGACGAATAAAACCAATAGAAAAACAAGATAGTCACTGTTAGTCACTATTCAGCTTTTGTCCCAAGGATAATGCTATCATGTTGTGTCTAAATTAAATGTCACAAGTTGGAATAATTCAAATATAAAAATAAGAATTCCAATAATCTATTCAACTATATTCAATACATTTTCTGAGCAAAAATTATGTTTTATGCACAAAGATGAATTAGGAACAATTCCTACTCAAAGAATAATAATAGTTGCTGTAATTTCTACACTGTTTTGCAGTTTGTAAAACATTATTTATGTGTTATTTTATTTGAAAGTATTAAAATCTTGTAGTATAGGAATATGCATGAAAAACCCACTTTCTTAAGGATACAAGAAAACTATAGGAGTACAGGAGGGTTATCAGTGATTTTGGCTGGGCAGTTATTCAATGGCTTAACTGAAGATGAAAAATCTTCAGTTATGCTAGTAGGAGTAGGAGTTAAAAAATAAAATCTGTTATTCTATAAACAAAATAGGTGCTGCTATTTCAAATAACTGAATTGTAGTGTACTTAGTGTTCTTAATCAGAATTTTCTTTTTCTTTTTGTGGACACTAATTTGTACAAGAGTATATTAAAAAGAAATTTGCATGGGGGAATAAAGGAAGCAAATAAACTGAAACATTAATAATAAAAAATGTCTGCATTCTAGTATTGTCTGTTTTTTACTTATTTACTTTTTAAATTGACTAACAAAAATTGTACATATTTATGATTACAACATGATGTTTTGATATATGTATACATCATTAAACAGCTAAATCAAGCTAATTAACACACATTGTTACTTCTCATACTTCTTTGTAGTAAGAATGCAAAATCTACTCTCAGTAATGTTCAGGTATAAAATACATTGTTATTAACTATCAATCAGAATTTTCAATGTGTAAGTTGCATATAACAAATTCAACAATTTTAAATGTACAATTGTATGAGTTTGAAAGCATGATATGAAATATTTCTACCACTGCAAAATGTTTCTTCATGACCTATTGCAGTCAACCCCTCCCCTCCACTGCTCCTGGTAACCATTGCTCTGCTTTCTGATAATATAGTTACCTTTTCCAGAATGTCACATAAATAAATCATAGAATTTTTAGTCTTGTATCTGGCCTCTTAGCATTTTGAGTTCTATCTTTGTTGTTGAGTGTATTAGTAGTTAATCAGCGGTTAATTGCTTTTAAAGCTGTGCAAAATTCTGTTGCAAGGATATACCACAATTTGTCAACTCTCAAGTTGATAAAGGCTTATTTTTCAGTATTTGGATGTTATAAATAAAGCTGTTATGAATATCCAGATATGAGCCTTCATGTGAACACATCTTTTCATTGACCTTGAGTAAATCCTTAAGGAAGGATTTCTGTGTCTTATAAGGAACTGCTAAAGTGTTTTGCAAAGTGTCTATATCATTTTGCTTTCATACCAGCCACATGTGAGACTTCTTGAATTTTATCTTCAATATTTGTGGGTGTTAGCTATTTTGATTTATATTTAGTGGTATCTCATTGTGGTTTTACTTTGCATTTCTCTAATGAATAGTAAGCATCCTTTTTGAAATCTGCTTATTTCTTAATCTTACATTCTTTTCTAAGTTTTTGCAGATTTTTCTTTTAAATTGAGTTGTTTATATTCTCCTTGTTGAGTTCAATGTCTCATATATTCTGGACAGGAGTCCTTTTGAAGAATATATTCATAAGAGTTATATCTGATAGTCTGATGCTTGTCTTTTGTATTGTAGTTTGTTATTTTTTTAAATGCTATCTGATCCAGTTTTGAGGTTGTGGCTAGAAGCAGATCTGTTCCACTTCTAGAGCAGCTGATTAAGTCCACATGACAATCACTTGCTTTATTGGACTCTCGTTTTCTGGAGTTACTATGCACCTGCAGCAATTGCCCCAAAGCCAGATAACAGGCAATTAGGGGCAGCCTCTATGCCCAGAGCCAGTGAAATTATTTAAATTACTCAATTCATCGGGAGCCTGTATGACCTAGCTAATCCTATCCCACTTGCCATGCATAACCTGCTCCCGAAAGTCCCAGTTCCTTGTTACTCTGTCCCTGGTGCAACCCTCTTTGTGGCCCTGCATGCAGCCTTCCCTCATTTGGAGCTGTAACAAGCAGTTTTGCTATTTATTTATTCAAATATCACTGCATTGTATTCTATGATCAAAAGAATCTTCAAATCTTCTAATAGGCCTTTCATTCCACTAACGGTGTCTTGACAAGCAATAGAACGAGTTTTCATTTCATCTTTCTAATGGTACAAATTTCTTTTGGGAAAGCATACTACCTATATTGGCTCTATGCATTTGGAGTGGACATGGTATAAATCTCAGATGCAAGAACATGTCCTGATTGGGTTAAGCAAATCATTATATTCCATGTCTTTGTGTATAATTCAAAGATGGGAAAGTGATGCTACTAGAACCACAGAAATGCAAGAAAATGTTTTTGGGTTTTCACTGAAATAAATACTCACTGTCTAGTTGGAAGGAGATAGAAGAAATTTTCTTCCTCTCTTCTTCATGTTCTTTCATTTTAAGGTCTCTGTTTCTTCAATTCTTTCATATTTACAAATATAGTGTTATGCTGTGTGTGTGTGTGTGGGTGTGTGTGTGTAGAATGGCTGTGACTTGATTATTCATATTGTTCCATTGTTCTCTAGCGAGTGTCAGAATTGAGACCTCTCATCTCACTGTGTTTGTTTTTACTTTGTAGCCAGGTAGTTATTTCTTCTGAAAGTATAAAAATTTTCTTTTTACTCTTGGAGTTAAATAATTTTATTAAAATAAACCTGAGTGTTTTCCTCTATTCATTTACCTTGCAAAGGCTTTTAATCCCCAGAATCAGTTCTTGTTCCAGCTCAAGAATGTTTTTTTCCTACTCATTTAATTCTCACCTCTCTACCTGTTATTTATTTTTCTCTTTTCATTATTTTGTTTGGTGTGTGCTTTGGAAAATTTATTTCATTTGAATGAATTCCTAATTTGAATCTCACTCAGTAACCTAATTTGGTGATCATTTTGATTCATGATTTTTAATTCAAATAAAATATTACACACAAACTTAAATAATTATCTCACTATCTACGTACCTATTATAGAAAACATTTTGTGCTATAATTGAATTGTCCTATGTGCTCTTATTTATTTTGCTTCAAGTTATTCTCTCTCTCTTACAGCAGCCCTATCTTGCTATGCTGTGAGTATTCTGTTGTTTTTCCTTTTTTTTTTCTTTTTGTTTCATAGCTCTGGTTAGGTTCTTTTCCTTTGTCTACTCATATGCTGCACTTGGAGTTCAGATCCAGATCCAGAGATCCTTAACAGGTGAAAGTCTGATGAGATGAGAAAAGGGCAAAACTCTGTCCTGTGAAGTGGTGGAATGCCAGTCATCAAGTTCACTCTATTTCTTTTGTGCTCATTGATTAAACCTTTCTATTTTCTGGACTTATCCTCTGCAAAGGTGGTGCTATTTTTGCCTGAATGGTAGAGAGAACTCAGACCACCAGCTCTTCCCCACAACTATCTAGGAGCCTGGGATACCAGCAAAACCATATGTGGACATTCCCAGGTCAATCTCTACTTCTAGGATTTCTCTCACCCCCACTCTCATCTGAGGGTTTTCCATGTCTGGCTCTCACTTCATAGGGGAAAATGTTTTTCATCAGTTCTCTCTTTCTATTCATCATCTGGCAGATCATGTTGCCTCTGCAATCCTTCTGTGCCATGTTCCTGCCAATCCACAATCACAAATCTTAGGGGACCTGGTTGCTGATTGAATTGAAATTGAGAGTAGAGGGCAGCAGGTATACTGCCACGGGGTCACATTCCCTGATCTCCTCAGATGTTAACTCGTTTTTCTCTCCAGATAGAATTTCTAGTGTTGGTTGTCTGAATGGGTAGGAAAAAGAATCCCATCAAAGTGAAGGAAATGTCATGAGCAAGATTAAAAGTGACCTGGTCTGTGTAGAAGTCACAGAAACTATCTCTTTTGTTACCACTTGTTCAAGTTAGGTTTGGTGGAACCAGATTGTGAAGATTTTTGTTAAACAGGATATGGAATTTCATTTTAATCCAGTTACTACTGATGGGTTGTCACTGAAGGCACTTAAGAAAGAAGAATTTATATTGCATTTTGTCCAAACATTTTGCTACACATGGTTTACAAAAATTATAATATTATACAGTCTCATTATTTTTCAAAAATTTATTATAAAATTAAGTATGTTAATTCAAATTTTAGAATTGATCAGAGTATAATAAAAACTAATTTTAAAGTTTAAAATTTTATAATAAAAATAATTACTATGTACTTAGTTGATTTCTTAATATAATATAGTTTTTGTCTTAGTCAAATGCATGCAGCTGATACAGAATTGTCAGCATAGTAAAACTATCTTTTTATGAAACTAAAATTAAAGAATAATATATAATACTTTTTGAGGCTTACTCTGTGCTAGAAAAGCACATAACTTACAGTTCTCTCATTTATACCTTAAATCAACATTATAAAGAAGCTATTATTATTATATCCCTTTTTTCATATAAGCAATGTGAAGCACAGATATTTATAAATGTTTGGTTCAGGACCATTGCACAATGTGTCCAGGAACTTCCTGAACCACTCTGTGGTTGTTTTCTCAGTTCCACTTATATAGTTCAAATAAATATATTCAGTATAGTTCAAATAAATATATTCAAAAACATGCAAAATCCCTACAATGGTTCCTTGACCCATGAGGTGGGTTATAGTAGCAAGAATAGCCAAGGGAAGCTGCTAACACTGCATTTATCCATCAAACTAATAAAGCAAATTCAATACTGCATTCCCAGAAGCACTACTGAGGTTATTCTTCCCATCAAGAGCAAAATGGCAGAAGGATGGTGACACCCATCATATCCTCCCCCTCCTTTACTTCACCTATTTGACTGTGGTGAAAGCACATGGCCCTTGGAGAATGACAGTGGATTATTATAAACTTATTTAGGTGTTGATTCCAGCTGCAGCCACTGTCCCAGATGTGGTTTTGTTGCTGGAGCAAATTAACACATTTTTTGGCATATGGTATGCAGTTATTGATCACGTGAACACTTTTCTTTATACTTCTTTTAAAAAGACCACGGAGAACAGTTTCCTTTCAGAAAAGTCAGCAATACAAAATCATGATATTGCCTTATGACTGTAATAATATACCAACTTTAAGTTACGGTGTAGCATACAGAGATCTTGATCACCTTATATGCCACAAGGCATCATACTAGTGCATTATACTAATGACAAAATGTTCATTGGACCAGGAGAGAAGGATGTTACAACTACTTTAGACATTTCGTTGAAAAAACAAGCATGCCAGAAATAAATCTCACAAAAATTCAGGAGTCTATATCTCAATGAAATTTCTAGGTATCTAGTTATCTTGGCGGTGTCATTTATTCTTTACAAGGTGAAAGACAATTTGTTTCACCTGCCTCTCCCACCACTAAGAAAGAGGTCACAATGCTAATGGACCTCTTTCACTTTTGGAAGCAGCATATTCCTTGTTGGTGTGTGCTACTCAGAACCAATCACCAAGTAACCTATAAGGTTGCCCATTTCGAGTGACATCCAGGTAAGAAAAGATCCCCAAACAAGTACAAGTTTCTATATAAGCTGCTCCATCACTGGGCCATATGATCAGCAGCTGTGATGGTGCTTGAAGTGTCTGCAGCAGTTAGCAATGCTATATGAAACTATTGGCAGGTTCCTAAAGGTGAATCTTACCACAGACCTCTGAGAATTTGAAACTGTGCTGTGCCATCATCTACAGACAGCTATTCTCCTTTTGAGATGCAGCTCCTAGCTTGCTACTGCACTAATAGAGACTGAAATCTAGCCATCATAAACTGGATGTTTGCTGACCTACCAAAAATAATGCTAGGCATGCTCAGCAGTACTCCTACATCAAATGGAAGTGGCATATTCAGGATTGGACTCAAACCAGCCCTGATGGCACAAAATAGTTGCATAAGTAAGTGTTCTCAATGCCTACTCCTGACAAATTGCTTTTTCTCTCTTGACCACTTAACGACCTTATTAAGAGTCCATTATCACCAGGTGGCTGAGGAGGAAAAAGATGAGTATGGTGTTATAGATGGATATGCATAATATTCTGGTGAAACCCGATATCGGGTGACGTCAGTACTACTGTAGTCCCACTGCAGAGTGACTATGAACGACAAAAGAAAAATGGGGGAGGTATCTCCCCATTGGAGAGAACTTTGAGTAGTACACCTGCTGTTTGCTTTGTCTGAACGACATTATGGCCAGAGATATGATCTACACTGGTTCAGGACAAATGGTCAATAACTTGACATGATGACCCAGGACTTAGGACAAATACAATTCAAAAATGGAGGCTCGGCACAGTGGCTCACACCTGTAATCCCAGCACTTTGGGAGGCCGAGGTGGGTGGATCACCTTAGGTCGGGAGTTCGAGACCAGCCTGACCAACTTGGAGAAACCCTATCTCTACAAAAAAAAAAAAAAAAAAAAAAATTGCCAGGCATGGTGACGCATGCCTGTAATCCCAGCCACTCAGGAGGCTGAGGCAGGAGAACCACTTGAACCCAGGAGGCGGAGGTTGTGGTGAGCCAAGATCGCACCATTGTACTCCAGCCTGGGCAACAAGAGCTAAACTCCATCTCAAAAAAAAAAAAAAAATAGATAACAAGGAGGTCAGGGGAAGAGGTATGTGGCTAAACCTCTGTGAATGGACACAATATGTGAAGTATCTGTGTCTCACATGACGCTCACGAAGGAGCAACCTCAACAGAGAACTTTAATACTTAGGAGACAAGACCCATTGTGAAGATGTCGGTTATCTCCTCCCAGGAATTCTTGTGTAAAACGTGGTGAAACTCTTTCATTTGAACATTGAGGTGTTTTGTTTATTTTTTTCCTTCTTTCTTGGAAATACCATTTTCAATTTAGTTTTTGGCTATTGCCTCTTTTCAAATAGTTCTTTCTTCATTTGGAACACTTGTTTTTTAGGTAGATTAATTGTTTTCCATATCTATGATCTTTTCTTTTTTGAGACAGGGCCCAGCTTTGTTGCCCAGGCTGTAGTGAAGTGGTGTGATCATGGCTTACTGCAGCCTCAACCTCCTGAGCTCAAGTGATCCTCTCACTTCAGCCTCCTGTAGCTGGGACTACAGGTGTGTGCTACCCATCTAATTAATTTTAATTTTTTTTTTTGTAGAGATAGGTTCTCACTATGTTTCCCAGGCTGGTCTTAAACTTCTGGGTTCAAGTAATGCTCCCCATTTGCCCTTTCAAAATCTTGGGATCTTTGCTTATATTTCTTTCTTACTTTGTTCTTTTTAGTTGCACTTTGGGAGAACTTTTTATATTATTATATAAGTTTGCACTTTGTCACTTCTATTCTTTATTGTCTTCCATTAGTCTCAACTCTTATTGCATTTTTACTTGTACATTTGAATTTCCTTTGAATTTTGTTCATTTGCTAACATATTTTAAATGGTATTTGGCCTGTAGTCTTTATATACCTTCCAACTTTTTCTAATCTTGTTTTATAAAACCGTGTCTTCTTACTTGCTAGAGGGAATTACAAATATATTTCTATTTAGTTGTGAGTATACAATTTTTAGTGGTGTTTGATTGCTCTTAGTCTACAAGGTGATGAAAAGAATTGTGACTTATTTTCTTTCACCTATGTAACCTTATGTTGATTTTCTTTTTCTTGTGCTCATTCTGTATTGAGGGTGCATCAGTCTAGGTTTAGTGTTTCCCAGAAAAAAAAAAGTGCGTATATAGCACTTGGCTCTTCTTGGGTACTGTTAGCATACCTGGAGACCTAATTCAAGTACCTTCCCAGAATTCTTACACTGTAGAAATTTTTAGCCTCATATAAGTAAAATTCTTGCCCTTTAAAAATGATCATAACACAGGGTGAGAAAATATCTTTATAAGAACAATAGAATGCATAATGGATAAATACAGACTTAAAAACTTTAAGTAAGACAATCTTATGAAGGCATTAAAAAACATAAGAATCCAATGTAAGAAAATCTAATGTTTAAATTCTGTTAAGATTACTACAAATGTAAATTTAACCCATTTATGCCTGAGATTGCAATGTTTTGAATTTTTTGCAATCAGACCTTGGCGATGACCTTGAGCAGTAGGCTATAAATAACTCCCACATGCTTAGCGTTCCAATAATGGAACACTAGGCGTAAAATAAGAAAACATATGAAAGATCAAATTGTTGCTTAACTCCTGTTTTGATCTGTAAAATCAATTTTTTCTGCTGAAATGAATTTCAATCTAATAAGCAATACCAGATTTTTTTTGTGCACTTTGTAAATCACATTGCCTTTAAAAGTACTTTTTCAGAGTAACATTTGTATGGTTTTTCATAGCTATTGCACCATTTTACATTCCCACCAACAGTGTACAAGGGTTCCAATTTCTCCAAATTCTTAACACTTTTTAAAAATAATAGCTATCCTATCAGGTATGAGGTATTATCTCATTGTGGTTTCGATTTGCTTTTCCTTGATGATTAGTAATGTTGAACATTGCTTTTATATCCCTGTTGTCCATTTGTATGTCTTATTTGGGGAAATGTCCATTTAAATGGAAATGCTATATAAAACTGCATTCAAACAAGCCCTTAATGACACAGATAAGTTACATGTCATTTAAAAAATTAGATTATTTGTTGTATTGCCCATTTTTAAAGTCCTTTGCCCATTCTTTTAATTGCATTTTTTGTTTTATTTTTGCAATTGAGTTCCTGGCGTTTTTAAAGTATATTTTGGGCATTAACTACCTAACAGATATGTGTTTTGCCAATATTTTCTTCTATTCTATAGGTTGCCTTTTCACTTTATGGATTGTTCCCTTCTCTGTGCAGCTTTTAGTATATACATACAATGGAATATTATTTAGCCTTATAAAAGAAGGACACCCTGCTATATGTGGCAACATGGATTAACCTGGAGAAAATTATGCTCAGTGAAATAAGCCAGTCACAGAAGAACAAATACAGCATGGTTCTACTTGTAGAAGATATTTAGGATAGCCAAACTCACAGAAGCAGAGATGGGAATGTTGTCTGTCAGGAGTTGGTGGGAGGGGAAAATGGGGAGTTGTTTAATTAGTATAAAATTTCAGTTATGTAAGATGTTTACATTCTAGTAATTTGCTGTACAACATAGTGCTATTAGTTAATGATACTGTAATGTACACACTTAGGAATCTGATGAGAGGGAAAAAGAAAAGAAATTTGATAAGAGGGTAAATCTTGTGTTATGTTTCTTACCACAATAAAAGTTTTATTGTTATACCTATCAAATAATATTATAATAACAGGAAACCTACCCCTTTTATCTGAATGGTAGTCAAACTCAAAAAAATGGATATGTTAGTATGAATCCAAAAAATCTACTTTTCAAAAAAATTCGGTCACACTTCTCAAATTTCTTTAAAATCATGGTAAATAACCTCTAGCAGAAACTATGATTTTTCTTTCTTACATGTCATTTTATATAATATTAAAGACAAATATGCTACATGACTAAGTCAAATAATAAAATATTAATATAAATAGAAATAGTTCAGTATGATTTTTAGGATGTTAGGATTATTATTTGTTTATTGAAATGTTTTATGCTCTCATGCCAAGAATTTCAGAATTTCCTTCAAAAATATGCAATTAGCTAAGAATGTCTCAAAAGAGATTTTTAAAACTTCACTATTATGAGCTGGTGTGGTGGCTCACTCCTATAATTCCAGAACTTTGGAAGGCCAATGCAAGAGGATTGTTTGAGCCCAGGAGTTCGAGACCAATCTGGGTAACATAGTGAGACCCTGTCTCTTCAAAAAGTTTAAAAATTTGCCAGATGGCATGGCTGTAGTCACAGCTACTCAGAAGGCTGAGGTGGGAAGCTTGATTGCTTGAGCCTGGGAGGTCAAGGCTGCAGTGAGCTGTGATTGTGCCACTGTATTCTAGCCTGGGTGATAGGGTAAGACTGTCTCAAAAAAAAAATAATTAAAAATAAAAATAAAATTAATTACAAAACTTTCCTCTTATCATTGCTTTAGCTGCATCCCGGAGATTTTGGTATGTTGTTTCCATTTTTCTTAATTTCATTTTTTTTATATTTGCATGAATTTTGATGTTCATCCAGAAGTTATTCAGGAGAAGGTGTTCAATTTTTATGTTTTTATGTGTTTTTGAGAGACCTTCTCAATACTGATTTCTATTTTTATTGTACTGTGGTAAAAGAGTGTGCTTGGTATGATTTCAATTTCTTGAATGTATTGAGCTTGCTTTATAATGGGTCATGTGGTCAATCTTAGAATATGTTTTGTGTGTAGATGAGAAGAATGTATATTCTATGGTTGTTGGGTGGACTGTTCTATAGATACCTATTAATTTCAATTGGTCAAGTGTCAAGTTAAAGTCTAGCGATTCTTTGTAAGTTTTCTGCTTTGGCAATCTATCTTGCACTGTCACGTCACTGGGGTGTTGAAGATTTCTGTTATTATTGTGGGATTGTCTATGTCTTTTTATAAGCCAAGAAGAGCTTATTTTATGAACCTGGGTGCTCCAATGTTGGATATATATATATATATATATATGATAGTTAAGTCTTCTTGTTGGATTGTACTCTTTATCATTATATAATGCCCTTTATTATCTTTCTTAATATTTGTTGGTTTAAAGTATGTTTTTCCTGACATGCGATTAGCAACTCCTGCTCTTTTACTTTTCTGTTTGCATGGTATAATTTTCTCTGTCTCTTTAATCTGAGCATGTGGATGCTGTTACATGTGAGATGGATCTCTTGAAGGGAAAAGATGTTGGATCTTGTCTTTTTATCTAGCTGGCCACTCTGTGTCTTTTAAGTGATGTTAATTGGGTTAAGTGATGCTTAACCCAATTACATTCAAGATAGTATTAACGTGTGTGATTTTCATTCTTGTCATTGTGTTGTTAGCTGGTTGTTATGTAGAATTGATTGTGTACTTACATTATAGTGCCTGTGGATTATGTGTTTATTTAAGTGTGTTTTTGTGGTAGCAGGTGTCATTCTTTTGGTTTTATGTTTAGCACTCCCTTAAGGACCTCTTGTAATGCTGGTCTAGTTGAAACAAATTCCCTCAGCATTTGCTTGTTTGAGAAGGATATTTTCTCTCCTTCACTTATGAAGCTTAGTTTGGTGCAATATGAAACTCTTCGTTGATTTTTTTTTCTTGAAGAATGCTGAAAATAGGCCTCCAATCTCTTCTGGCTTGTAAGGTTTCTGCTGACAGATCTGCTGCTGGCCTGATGGGATTCCCTCTGTATGTGATTTGACCCTTCTCTTTAGCTGCCTCTAAGATTTTTTTTCTTTTGCATTAACTTTGGAAATCTGATGATTATGTGCCTGAAGGATGGTCATCTTGTATAGTACTAGCTAGGGCTATTTGTATTTATTGCATTTGAATGTCAACCTCTGTAGTAAGTTAAGAAAATTTTCATAAACTATATTCTTATATATTTTCCAAGTTGCTTACTCTCGCTCCTCTCTCAGGAATGCCAATGAGGTGTAGATTTGATCTCTTTGCATAATTTTATAGTTTTCAAAGTTTTCATTAATTTTTTAAAATGATTTTTCTTTATTTTTGTCTGAGTTGTTCTGAAGAACTGGTCTTTGAGATCTGAGATCCTTTTATTAGCTTGGCCTATTTTGTAGTTAATACTGCTTTTGTATTATTAAATTCTTGCATTAAATTTTTCAGCTCTAGAAGTTCAGTTTGGTTCTTTCTTAAAATGGCTGTTTCATCTTTCACCTCTGGGATCATTTTACTGGATTCCTTGGATCGGGTTTCAACTTTCTCCTGAATCTCAGTGTGCTTTCTTGCCATCCAGATTCTGAATTTTGTGTCTGTCATTTCAGTGATTTCAGACTGGTTAAGAGCTATTGCCAGTGAACCCATTTGGAGGTAAGAGGACACTAGCTTTTCCAGTTGCCAGAGTTCTTGTGCTGATTCTTGCTCATCTGGGAGAATTGGTGTTTCTT